>NC_000006.12:82023261-82648261 GCF_000001405.40 Homo sapiens | reverse complement strand
TTAATTTTGTTGTCTACCCAGTAGTCTTCAGAAGCAGGTTGTTCAGTTTCCATGTAGTTGTGAGGTTTTGAGTGAGTTTCTTAATCCTGAGTTCTAATTTGACTGTACCCTACAGTCTACTTCTTATAGCATCATAATGCTTCCTACATTTTCCCCGTTCCTCATTTCAAACAAGTATTCAGAGCTTTTTAGCCTACTGATTTCAGGATGGTTTATGTTCCTGGACTAAAAGCCAAAGTTTCCTGTCAGACACATACCTTTCAGATTTTTGAAAAGCCTGAACCCATTGAAGAGATATGCAAGGTATGTTGGAGGCCGATGGCTTAGAGAGGATTGGGCCTTTGAGAGGCTGTAGGTGGGCAGATCACCTGAGGTCAGGAGTTCGAGACTAGCCTGGCCAACATAGTGAAACTCCCTCTCTACTAAAAATACAAAAATTAGTCAGGCATTGTGGTGGGCGTGTGTATTACTAGCTACTTGGGAGGCTGAGGCAGGATAATCGCTTGAACCCAGGAGGCAGAGGTTGCAGTGAGCCAAGGTCATGCCATTGTACTCTAGCCTGGGCAACAAGAGTGAAACTGCATCAAAAAAAAAAAAAAAGGAGAAGAAAATAAAATAAAATAAAATAAAATAAATAGGATAGCAGAGAGTTAGTAGAATCTGGGGGATGAAGGGCATAGTACCCAGAAAGAGCAGGGGCTTGCATTCTGCTCTGAAGCGGCACCTGAGAAGATGGCATGACTCAGAGGGTAAGGCTGGGGGCTCCGTATAGATGCCCATTTCCCACACTGGGACAGAGCAATAGGGCTGAATCTGAAGGGACCATGCTGACTCTACAGTGGGCATATTCCGCCAGCCACAGAAGACTTTGAGCTGATGGCCACAGGGCTTCCTGGTGCTTTGTTACTATCTGAGAGCTTTGGTGTTTGCCTGGCCCTTCTGGGTTACTCCCAGAACCATTTCAGATATGCCTTCTGTCCAGTAATTTAAAGTAACCAATGCCCTCACAACAAAACTGACCATTGTTAATAAAAAATGTAGCTCTGCTTTCCTACAAGGCATAACAAGAACTTTATTCTCTATTTTAAAACCCTTTGCCAGGCCCTAAGTCTATTGTGTTTTTTCCTAATCTACTTTGCAGTGTTATTCAAACTCTAATATGATTCTTACTTCTTTGGGAAATTTGAGACCTCGATATTAAATGGTGACCCTAGCAACTCTGGTCCTTCCATTGATTTTAGCTACTGTGCATAGCTCTTGACTATCTGAAATAGGTACATTATTGAGATTAAGGTGGGTAAACCTGGGATTTGTCCTCTATGGGTGAGCAGATGGTTCTGAGAAGGAAGTCTAGGGAAGAAAGAATGAATCCCAAGTTGGAATGATCGGACTAGACTAAAGCTGAGCAAGCAAAGATATACAGAACTTGGACTGAGGAGGGTGAGATAAGGAAGGGCCAGAGGCCTGGCTTCAGGGGTGTCTGTCTACTTCTGTGAAGTTCTGTCTGCAGAATGAAAAGACAGAAATATATTGTCAGTGATCCACATTTGTTGGGCATCACTAGCTCCTACCAATGAATGTACAGGATTAAAAAGATAAATAATAGTCACAATGAACTTACTTTAGGAGCTTTGGAATTCCCCAGGTGAGCTGGATGGTCCTGTTGCTGCCAGTAGACACCCAATAACACATTTGCTCTTATAGTTTATCTTCATAGCCATAAGGTATTTGTTCCATTTCCCTTATGTCCTGAATTGGTTCCTCTGTTCTCACTGACACTGTCTTCCTTAAATCATAAACGCCTAGAGGTTAGGCATCATGTCTGTTTAATTAGCTCTGTAAAATGCCTAGCACAGCTCTATACACAAGAAAGTATTAAATGTGCTTGGATAATGAGTCAATGTTTGAAAAGTGGAAAAGGGCTCTGAGTCACTTAAAATAAAGATCACAGTTCACAGGATCCTTTTAAGTCTCCTGTTAGGACTCTTTTTAGTTGTCAAAAAGTATCTTGGAGATAGGGGTGTCACTAGGGGTACATTGGGAGCTGATGTTTATTTCTGTGCACAGGAATGAGTTTCTCAAGTTCAAACTTGTGGGCCTAGGTTGAACTAAGGCACCCATGTAGATGCTGTGTTGAGTGTAAGGAAAAGACGACTGATTCCAATCCCTCTGAACACCCCTTTCCCTATGCCCTTCTCTCAGGAAGCATGGGCAGCTGGTTCCAAGACCTGCCTGCAATAGATGTGAGCCTGGCCCTGGGGCAATGAAATATGTGGATAAAATGACTTGCTTCATCCCTTTGCTGAAAGCAGAGGCCAAAAACCCTTGCCAAACAAAAACCCAAAAGCCTCGTTTGCTCAAAAAATGACCACAAATTATCAAAGTTATAAAGAACAAGAAAAAATCCATACTTCTCTTTGAGTGGTCAATTTTGGACAGCCATTGTCCTTGAAATGTTAAGGGTTATGTAGATGAATGTATCCATGACAGCACTTGAGACACAATTGGACCAGGGAGGACAGGGCTATTGTTGACTCTGACAATGGACAGGAAGGAATTGAGCTCACATGGGCCTAAGAGCCAAGGAGCTAATGAGGTCAACGATCCAGGAATTAAAAAAAAATCCTGTGAAGAGCTTTGAAATGTTCACCTGTAATAGTTCTGGAGCTGTTAGCACAAGCTGTCATATCTGCAGGCCCTATTTCAATAACTGCTTTAAGTATCCAGTGTGTTAAATATCACACACTTGAAGACTTTACTTGGCTGGTATTTACTGAAGGTGACAGCTAGTAAAAGTTCCAAACAGGCTTATGAAATATGCAATTAAGACTCTGGAGAGGAGACTTGAGAGGAAAGATGGTTAGTACAAAAGAAGAGCAAATCTCTGGAAGCTTTTGTTTGATTTGATTAATTACCTTAGATTTACATTGGAGGAGGAGGATCTCAAAGGCAGAGTTTGGAGTGATGGATGCCTGGTGACTTTGTTCTACAGCCCACCTGTGATCTAGGAGCTTGAGCTCTTCAGGCAGATTCAGCCACAGAGATGGTCCGTTCCCTGCCCTTTGCTTTTCTGTCTGCTCTATACCTCTGGATCTCATTGGTGCTTATGTCTTCTAACAGCTTAAAGCAGATGGCTTTCAACTGTGTATCTCAATCTCTCTTCTGAGTGTCTGTCACACATTCAAAATTATTCACTGGATGTTTCTACTTGGAAACTAAAATGCAGCCTGGATGAACCTAACTCACCACCTTCCATCAAGAACTGCTTGTCCTCTCCTAACTTGTCCTGGTTCTGAGGGATACATGTCCCCTGTTTTTCTGTACCGCCAATAGGGAACCTTGAGGTCACTGTTGACTTCTCCCTGTTCCCACCTATCCCATAAATAATCACTCATCAGAACTAGTTTATTCTTCTCCCAATATCCTTTCCTGCAACTTGGACATGTCAGGCCCTTTTCTCGGCAGCCTTGGATTATTTCTTTTGTCTAGGTATTGTGCCTTTCTATGGTTCAATCTTTCATAAGTCTGGTAGTTTGTATTACTAAGCCTTTTTCAGAATGTTATATACTTGGAATCATACAGAATGTTGACCTTTTCAGATTGGCTTCTTTCACATAACAACATGCGTTTAAAGTTCTTCTGTCTCTTTTCATAACTAGACCGCATATTTCTTCTTTGTGCTGAATAAATTCCACTGTTGGGATATACCACAGTTTGTTCGACTATTCACCTATTGAAGGACATCTTGGTTACTTCCAAGTTTTGTTAATTATGGGCTAAGCATCTGTAGTCAGAAAATCTGAAATCCAAAATGTTTCAAAATCCAAAACTTTTTGAGCACCAACATGATGCCACAAGTGGAAAATTCCACACCTGAACTCACGTGCCATTGTTAGTTCCTGCTGTTGTTTAACAGCTGATACGAGTATCCTAATGATGCTACTATGCTGCTTAGTTATCCTGAACACATTTTTTTACTATATTAATGATATGTCTTTTTTTTACTGTTAAGTACTTACATGTGAATAAATATGAGAAAATGATTGTTTATTGGTAGCTATAAATTCAGAGTCAGGAATGATGGTGATGCCAAACAGCCACAGATTGTCTACATAAGTGCTGAGATAGTGATATATTCGCTTTCTGATGGCTTAATGTATACAAACTTTGTTTCATGCACAAAATTATTAAAAATATTCTATCACTTACCTTCAGGCTATATATATAACATGTATATATAAGGTAAATATAAAACATAAAGAAATGTCATGTTGAGACTTGGGCCCCATCCCTAAGATATTTTATTATGTATATACAAATATTCCAAAACCTGAAAACATTCAAAATCTGAAACACTTTTGGTCCCAAGCATTTCAGATATGAGAATCTCAACCTGTACAAATAAAGCTCCTACAAATATCCATGTATGGGTTATCTAGACATAAGTTTTCAACTCATTTAGGTAAATCAAGGAGCATGACTTGTGGGTCATTGGTAAGAATGTGTTGAGCTTTGTAAGAAACTGCTAAACTGTATTCTAAGTGACTTTCCCATTTTGCATTCCCACCAGGAATGAATGAAAGTTCCTGTTAGTCCATATCCTTGTCAGCACTTCCGCGTTGTCAGAGTTTTGGATTTTAGCCATTCTAATAGATGCATAGTGTTATTTATTTATTTATTTATTTATATTTCAATAGTTTTGCGGGAGCAGGCTGTGTTTCATTGCATGGAAAAGTTATTTAGTGGTGATTTCTGAGATTTTGGTGCACCCATCACCTGAGCAGTGTACACTGTACCCAGTATGTAGTCTTTTATCCCTCACTCCCCTCCCACACTTCCCCGAGTCCCCAAAATCCATTATATCATTCTTATGTCTGAGTCCTCGTAGCTTAGCTCCTGCTTATAAGTGAAAACAAAACAAAACAAAATGGCTGGGTGCAGTGGTTCATGCCTGTAATCCCAGCATTTTGGGAGGCTGAGGTGGGCGGATCATGAGGTCAAGAGATCGAGACCATCCTGGCCAACATGGTGAAACCCTGTCTCTACTAAAAGTACAAAAATTAGCTGGGCATGGTGGCATGCACCTGTAGTCCCAGCTACTCAGGAGGCTGAGGCAGGAGAATTGCTTGAACACGGGAGGCTGAGGTTGGATGTTTGGTTTTCCATTCCTGAGTTAATTCACTTAGCAGAATAATGGACTTGGACTCCATCCAGGTTGTGTGAATGCCATTATTTTGTTCCTTTTTATGGCTGAGTAGTATTCCATAATATATATATATATATATATATATATATATATATATATATATATATATATATATGTGTGTGTGTGTGTGTGTGTGTGTGTGTGTGTGTGTGTGTGTGTATCACATTTTCTTTATCCACTCATTGGTTGATGGGCATTTAGGCTGTTTCTATATTTTTGCAATTGTGAATTGTGCTCTATAAACATGTGTGTGCAAGTGTCTTTTTCTTGTAATGATGTCTTTTCCTCTGGGTAAATACCCAGTAGTGGGATTACTGGATCAAATGGTAGATCTACTTTTAATTCTTTAAGGAATCTCCATGCTGTTTTCCATAGTGGTTGTACGAGTTTACATTCCCACCAGTAGTGTAAAAGTGTTCCCTTTCACCACATTCATGTCAACATCAATTTTTTTTATTTTTAAATTTTGGCCATCCTTGCAGGAGTAAGGTGCTATCTCATTGTGTTTTTTATTTGCATTTCCCCTGTTAATTAGTGATATTGAGCATTTTTTCATGTTTGTTGGCCATTTCTATATCTTCTTCTGAGAATTGTCTATTCATATCTTTTGCCCACTTTTTGATGGGGATTATTTCCTTTTTTCTTGCTGATCTATTTGAGTTCTTTGTAGATTATGGATATTAGTTCTTCTTTAGATGCATAGTTTTCAAATATTTCCTCCCACTCTGTAGGTTGTCTGTTTACTCTGCTGATTATTTATTTTGCTCTACAGAAACTTAAACTTAATTAGGTCCCATCTATTTTCTTTGTTTTTGTTGCATTTACTTTTGGGTTCTTGGTCATGAAGTCTTTGCCTAAGCCAATGTCTAGAAGAGTTTTTCTGATGTTATCTTCTAGAATTTTTAAGGTTTCAGGTCTTAGGTTCAAGTCTTTGACCCATCTTGAGTTGATTTTTATATAAGGTGAGAGATGAGGATCCAGCTTCATTCCTCTATTTGTGCCAATTATCCCAGCACCATTTGTTGAATAGGGCAGCCTTTTTCAACTTTATATTTTGGTTTGTTTTGTCGACAATCAGTTGGCTGTAAGTGTTTGGCTTTGTTTCTGGATTCTCTATTCTGTTCTGTTGGTTTACATGCCTGTTTTTATACCAGTACCATGCTGTTTTTATATGAGTACCATGCTGTTTTTGGTAACTATATTCTTTTAGCATAGTTTGAAGTTAGGTAATGTGATGCCTCCAGATTTGTTCTTTTTGCTTAGTCTTGCTTTGGCTGTGTGGGCTCTTTTTGGGTTCCATATGAATTTTAGGATTTTTTTTCTAGTTTTGTGAAGAATGATGATGATATTTTGAGGCAAATTGCATTGAATTTGTAGATTGCTTTTGGCATTATGGTCATTTCCACAGTGTTGTTTCTACCCATGCATGAGTATGGGATGTATTTCCATTTTTTTGTGTCATCTATGATTTCTTTCAGCAGTGTTTTTAGTTTTCTTCGTAGAGAGCTTTCACCTCTTTAGTTATGTATATTGCTAAGTATTTTATTTGTTTAGCTGTTGTAAAAATGGTTGAGTTCTTGATTTGATTCTCTGTTTGATCATTGTTGGTGTATAGCAGTGCTACTGATTTGTGTACCTTAATTCTTTATCCTGAAACATTATGGAATTCATTTATCAGATCTAGGAGCTTTTTGGATGAGTCTTTAGGGTTTTCCAGGTATACGATCATACCATCAGTTAACAGTGACAGTTTGACTTCCTCTTTACTGATTTGGATGCCCTTTATTTCTCTCTCTTGTCTGATTGCTCTGGCTAGGACTTCCAGTCCTATGTTGAATAGAAGTGGTGAAAGTGGGCATCCTTGTCTTTTTCCAGTTCTCCGGGTGAATGCTTTCAACTTTTCCCCGTTCAGTATAATGTTGGTTGTGGGTTTATTATAGATGGCTTTTATTACCTTGAAATATGTCCCTTCTATACAGATTTTTCTGAGGGTTTTAATCATAAAGAGATGCTGGATGTTGTCAAATGCTTTTTCTGCATCTATTGAGATGATCATATGATTTTTGTTTTTAATTCTGTTTATGTGATATATCACATGTACTCACTTGCCTATGTTAAACCATCCCTGCATCCCTGGTATAAAACCCACTTGATCATGGTGTATTATCTTTTTGATATGCTATTGGATTTGGTTAGCTAGTATTTTGTTGAGGATTTTTGCATCTATGTTCACCAGGGATATTGGTACGTAGTTTTCTTTTTTTGTTATGTCCTTTCCTGGTTTTGGTATTAGGGTAATACTGGCTTCATATAATGATTTAAAGGATTTCCTGTTTCTCTGTCTTTTGGAATAGTTTCAGTAAGATTGCTACCAATTCTTTTTTTAATTCCTGATAGAATTCAGCTGTGAAACCATCTGGTCCTGGACTTTTTTTTGTTAGCAATTTTAAAATTACTGTTTCAATTTGGCTACTTGTTATTGGTCTGCTCAGAGTTTCTATTTCTTCCTGATTTAATCTAGGAGGATTATATATTTCCAGGAATTTATCTGTCTCCTCTAGATCTAGCTGGTGTGTGTAAAGGCATTCATGGTAGCCTTGAATGATATTTTGTATCTCTGTGATATTGGTTGTAATATCTCCTATTTTGTTTCTAATTGAACTAATTTGGATCTTTTATTGGTTAATCTTGCTAATGGTCTATCAATTTTGTTTATCTTTTCAGAGAACCACCTTTTTGTTTTATTTATCTTTTGTATTTTTGTTGTTGTTGCTGTTGTTTCAATTTCATTTAGTTGTGCTCTGACCTTTGTTATTTACTTTCTTCTGCTGGATGTGGGTTTGGTTTGTTCTTGTTTCTCTAGTTCCTTGAGATGTAACCTTAGCAATCTAAATTGTCTATTTGTGCTCTTTCGGATTTGTGATTAGGCATTTGATGCTATAAACTTTTCTCTTAGCACCACTTTTGCTGTGTTCTAATTGTGTCACTATTATTGTTCAGTTCAAATAATTTTTTAATTTCCATATTGATTTCATTGTTGACCCAAAGATCATTCAAGAGTAGATTATTTAATTTCCATGTTTTTATATAGTTTTGAGGATTCCTTTTGGAATTGATTTCCCCTTTTATTCCACTGTGATCTGAGAAGGTACTTAATATAATTTTGATTTTCCTACATTTGTTGAGATTTGTTTTGTGGCCTATCATATGGTCTGTCTTGGAGAATATTCCATGTGCTGATGAAAAAATGTATATTCTGCAATTGTTGGGTAGAATGTTCTGTAAATATCTGTTAAGTTCATTTGTTCTAGGGTATAGTTCAAGTCCACTGCTTCTTTTTTGACTTTCTGTCTTGATGACCTGTCTAGTGCTGTCAATGAAGTATTGAAGTCCCCTACTATTATTGTGTTGTTGTCTGTCTCATTTCCTATGTCTAGTAATAATTGTTTTATAAATTTGGGGGCTCCTGTGTTAGGTTCATATATATTTAGGGTTGTAATATTCTCCTGTTAGACTGATCCTTTTATTATTATCTGTCTTTATCTTTTTAAACCGTTGTTGCTTTAAAGTCTGTTTTGTCTGGTATAAGAACAGATACTCCTGCTCACTTTTAATGTCCATTTGCATGGAATATCTTTTTCCACCCCTTCACCTGAAGTTTATATGAGTCCTTATGCATTAGGTGAGTCTCTTGAAGACAGCAGATACTTGGTTGGTGGATTTGTATCCATTTTACCTTTCTATATCTTTTAAGTGGAGCATTTAGGCCATTTGTATTCAACATTAGTATTGAGATATGAAGTACTGTTTTATTCATCATGCTAGTTGTTGCCTGAATGCCTTGGGCTTTTTTCATTGTGTTATTCTTTTATAGGCTATAAAGCATGTAAGATTTATGCTGTAAGGACGTTCTGTTTTGGTGTATTTTAAGGTTTTGTTTCAAGGTTTAGAACTCCCTTTAGCATTTCTTGTAGTGCTGGCTTGGTAGTGGTGAATTCTTTCAGCATTTGTCTGAAAAAGACTACCTCTCCTTCATTTATGAAGATAAGTTTGGTGGATACAAAATTCTTAGCTGACAATTATTTTGTTTAAGGAGGCTACAATAAGACCCCAATCCCTTCTCGCTTGTAGTGTTTCTGCTGAGAAATCTGCTGTTAATCTGATAGGTTTTCCTCTATAGGTCGCCTGATGCTTTTGCCTGAAAGCTCTTAAGATTCTTTCCTTCATCTTGACTTTAGATAACCTGAAGACTATTTGTCTAGGTGATGATCTTTTTGTAATGAATTTCCCAGGTATTCTTTGAACTTCTTTTATTTGGGTGTCTAGCTCTGTAGCAAGGTAGGGAAGTTTTCCTGGCTTATTACCTCAGATATGTTTTCCAAAGTTTTAGATTTCTCTTCTTTTCCAGGAACACCAATTATTCTTAGGTTTGGCCATTTAACGTAATCCCCAAATCCTTGAAGGTTTTGTTCATTTTTGAAAATTCTTTTTTCTCTGTCTTTGTCTGATTGGATTAATTCAAAATCCTCGTTTTTTTTTAAAGCTTTATTGAAATAATTTACATATCATTAAGTTCATGCATTTAAAGTATAAAATTCAGTGATTTTTAGTGTATTTACAGAGTTATAAAACCGTCACCATAATCTAATTTTAGAACATTTAGAACATTTCTAACATGCAAAAAAGAAACGCTGTACCCATTAGCAGTCAGCCCCTCTCTTCCCCCACTCCCCATCCTCGGCGTCCACAGATCTGCTTTCTGATTTGATGGACATTGCATATAACTGGGTTCATGTGGCCTGTGGCCTTCTGCCACTGGCTTCTTTTACTTGTGTAATGTTTTTATTTTATTTTATTATTATTATACTTTAAGTTTTAGGGTACATGTGCACAATGTGCAGGTTAGTTACATATGTATACATGTGCCATGCTGGTGTGCTGCACCCATTAACTCGTCATTTAACATTAGGTATATCTCCTAATGTTATCCCTCCCCCCTCCCCCCACCCCACAACAGTCCCCAGAGTGAGATGTTCCCCTTCCTGTGTCCACGTGTTCTCATTGTTCAATTCCCATCTATGAGTGAGAACATGCGGTGTTTGGTTTTTTGTCCTTGCGAAAGTTTACTGAGAATGATGATTTCCAATTTCATCCATGTCCCTACAAAGGACATGAACTCATCATTTTTTATGGCTGCATAGTATTCCATGCTGTATATGTGCCACATTTTCTTAATCCAGTCTATCGTTGTTGGACATTTGGGTTGGTTCCAAGTCTTTGCTATTGTGCATAGTGCCGCAATAAATATACGTGTGCATGTGTCCTAATAGCAGCATGATTTATAGTCCTTTGGGTATATACCCAGTAATGGGATGGCTGGGTCAATTGGTATTTCTAGTTCTAGATCCCTGAGGAATCGCCACACTGACTTCCACAATGGTTGAACTAGCTTACAGTCCCACCAACACTGTAAAAGTGTTCCTATTTCTCCACATCCTCTCCAGCACCTGTTGTTTCCTGACTTTTTAATGATCAGCATTCTAACCGGTGTGAAATGGTATCTCATTTTGTTTTGATTTGCATTTCTCTGATGGCCAGTGATCATGAGCATTTTTTCATGTGTTTTTTGGCTGCATAAATGTCTTCTTTTGAGAAGTGTCTGTTCATGTCCTTCGCCCACTTTTTGATGGGGTTGTTTGTTTTTTTCTTGTAAATTTGTTTGAGTTCATTGTAGATTCTGGATATTAGCCCTTTGTCAGATGAGTAGGTTGCAAAAATTTTCTCCCATTTTGTAGGTTGCCTGTTCACTCTGATGGTAGTTTCTTTTGCTGTGCAGAAGCTCTTTAGTTTAATGAGATGCCATTTGTCAATTTTGGTTTTTGTTGCCATTGCTTTTGGTGTTTTAGACATGAAGTCCTAGCCCATGCCTATGTCCTGAATGGTAATGCCTAGGTTTTCTTCTAGGGTTTTTATAGTTTTAGGTCTACGATTTAAGTCTTTAGTCCATCCTGAATTAATTTTTGTAGAAGGTGTAAGGAAGGGATCCAGTTTCAGCTTTCTACATATGGCTAGCCAGTTTTCCCAGCACCATTTATTAAATAGGGAATCCTTTCCCCATTGCTTGTTTTTCTCAGGTTTGTCAAAGATCAGATAGTTGTAGATATGTGGCGTTATTTCTGAGGGCTCTGTTCTGTTCCATTGATCTATATCTCTGTTTTGGTACCAGTACCATGCTGTTTTGGTTACTGTAACCTTGTAGTATAGATTGAAGTCAGGTGGCATGATGCCTCCAGCTTTGTTCTTTTGGCTTAGGATTGACTTGTTGATGTGGACTCTTTTTTGGTTCCATATGAACTTTAAAGTAGTTTTTTCCAATTCTGTGAAGAAAGTCATTGGTAGCTTGTTGGGGATGGCATTGAATCTATAAATTACCTTGGGCAGTATGGCCATTTTCACGATATTGATTCTTCCTACCCATGAGCATGGAATGTTCTTCCATTTGTTTGTGTCCTGTTTTATTTCATTGAGCAGTGGTTTGTAGTTGTCCTTGAAGAGGTCCTTCGCGTCCCTTGTAAGTTGGATTCCTAGGTATTTTATTCTCTTTGAAGCAATTGTGAATGGGAGCTCACTCATGATTTGGCTCTGTGTTTGTCTGTTATTGGTGTATGAGAATGCTTGTGATTTTTGTACATTGATTTTGTATCCTGAGACTTTGCTGAAGTTGCTTATCAGCTTAAGGAGATTTTGGGCTGAGACAATGGAGTTTTCTAGATATACAGTCATGTCATCTGCAAACAGGGACAATTTGACTTCCTCTTTTCCTAATTGAATACTCTTTATTTCCTTCTCCTGCCTAATTGCCCTGGCCAGAACTTCCAACACTATGTTGAATAGGAGTGGTGAGAGAGGGCATCCCTGTCTTGTGCCAGTTTTCAAAGGGAATGCTTCCAGTTTTTGCCCATTCGGTATGATATTGGCTGTGGGTTTGTCATAGATAGCTCTTATTATTTTGAGATACATCCCATCAATACCTAATTTATTGAGAGTTTTTAGCATGAAGGATTGTTGAATTTTGTCAAAGGCCTTTTCTGCATCTACTGAGATAATCATGTGGTTTTTGTCTTTGGCCCTGTTTATATGCTGGATTACATTTATTGATTTGCGTATATTGAACCAGCCTTGCATCCCAGGGATGAAGCCCACTTGATCATTGTGGATAAACTTTTTGATGTGCTGCTGGATTCGGTTTGCCAGTATTTTATTGAGGATTTTTGCATCAATGTTCATCAAGGATATTGGTCTAAAATTCTCCTTTTTGGTTGTGTCTCTGCCAGGCTTTGGTATCAGGATGATGCTGGCCTCATAAAATGAATTAGGGAGTATTCCCTCTTTTTCTATTGATTGGAATAGTTTCAGAAGGAATGGTACCAGTTCCTCCTTGTACCTCTGGTAGAATTCGGCTGTGAATCCATCTAGTCCTGGACTCTTTTTGGTTGGTAAGCTATTGATTATTGCCACAATTTCAGATCCTGTTATTGGTCTATTCAGAGATTCAACTTCTTCCTGGTTTAGTCTTGGGAGAGTGTATGTGTCAAGGAATTTATCCATTTCTTCTAGATTTTCTATTTTATTTGCATAGAGGTGTTTGTAGTATTCTCTGATGGTAGTTTGTAGTTCTGTGGGATCGGTGGTGATATCCCCTTTATCATTTTTTATTGCATCTATTTGATTCTTCTCTCTTTTTTTCTTTATTAGTCTTGCTAGCGGTCTATCAATTTTGTTGATCCTTTCAAAAAACCAGCTCCTGGATTCATTAATTTTTTGAAGGGTTTTTTGTGTCTCTATTTCCTTCAGTTCTGCTCTGATTTTAGTTATTTCTTGCCTTCTGCTAGCTTTTGAATGTGTTTGCTCTTGCTTTTCTAGTTCTTTTAATTGTGATGTTAGGGTGTCAATTTTACATCTTTCCTGCTTTCTCTTGTGGGCATTTAGTGCTATAAATTTCCCTCTACACATTGCTTTGAATGCGTCCCAGAGATTCTGGTATGTTGTGTCTTTGTTCTCGTTGGTTTCAAAGAACATCTTTATTTCTGCCTTCATTTCGTTCTTTACCCAGTAGTCATTCAGGAGCAGGTTGTTCAGTTTCCATGTAGTTGAGCAGTTTTGAGTGAGATTCTTAATCTTGAGTTCTAGTTTGATTGCACTGTGGTCTGACAGACAGTTTGTTATAATTTCTGTTCTTTTACATTTGCTGAGGAGTGCTTTACTTCCAACTATGTGGTCAATTTTGGAATAGGTGTGGTGTGGTGCTGAAAAAAATGTATATTCTATTGATTTGGGGTGGAGAGTTCTGTAGATGTCTATTAGGTCTGCTTGGTGCAGAGCTGAGTTCAATTCCTGGGTATCCTTGTTGACTTTCTGTCTCGATCTGTCTAATGTTGACAGTGGGGTGTTAAAGTCTCCCATTATTATTGCGTGGGAGTCTAAGTCTCTTTGTAGGTCACTCAGGACTTGCTTTATGAATCTGGGTGCTCCTGTATTGGGTGCATATATATTTAGGATAGTTAGCTCTTCTTGTTGAATTGATCCCTTTACCATTATGTAATGGCCTTCTTTGTCTCTTTTGATCTTTGTTGGTTTAAAGTCTCTTTTATCAGAGACTAGGATTGCAACCCCTGCCTTTTTTTGTTTTCCATTTGCTTGGTAGATCTTCCTCCATCCTATTATTTTGAGCCTATGTGTGTCTCTGCATATAAGATGGGTTTCCTGAATACAGCAGGCTGATGGGTCTTGACTCTTTATCCAATTTGCCAGTCTGTGTCTTTTAATTGGAGCATTTAGTCCATTTACATTTAAGGTTAATATTGTTATGTGTGAATTTGATCCCATTATTATGATGTTAGCTGGTTATTTTGCTCATTAGTTGATGCAGTTTCTTCCTAGTCTCAATGGTCTTTACATTTTGGCATGATTTTGCAGTGGCTGGTTCCGGTTGTTCCTTTCCATGTTTAGCGCTTCCTTCAGGAGCTCTTTTAGGGCAGGCCTGGTGGTGACAAAATCTCTCAGCATTTGCTTGTCTGTAAAGGATTTTATTTCTCCTTCACTTATGAAGCTTCGTTTGGCTGGATATGAAATTCTGGGTTGAAAATTCTTCTGTTGAAGAATGTTGAATATTGGCCCCCACTCTCTTGTGGCTTGTAGAGTTTCTGCTGAAAGATCCGCTGTTAGTCTGATGGGCTTCCCTTGGAGGGTAACCCGACCTTTCTCTCTGGCTGCCCTTAACATTTTTTCCTTCATTTCAACTTTTGTGAATCTGACAATTATGTGTCTTGGAGTTGCTCTTCTCGAGGAGTATCTTTGTGGTGTTCTCTGTATTTCCTGAATCTGAATGTTGGCCTGGTTCCATTCTCCCCGTCACTTTCAGGTACACCAATCAGACGTAGATTTGGTCTTTTCACTTAGTCCCATATTTCTTGGAGGCTTTGCTCTTTTCTTTTTATTCTTTTTTCTCTAAACTTCCCTTCTCACTTCATTTCATTCATTTCATCTTCCATTGCTGATACCCTTTCGTCCAGTTGATCGCATCGGCTCCTGAGGCTTCTGCATTCTTCACGTAGTTCTTGAGCCTTGGTTTTCAGCTCCACCAGCTCCTTTAAGCACTTCTCTGTATTGGTTATTCTAGTTACACATTCTTCTAAATTTTTTAAAAAGTTTTCAACTTCTTTTCCTTTGGTTTGAATGTCCTCCCGTAGCTCAGAGTAATTTGATCATCTGAAGCCTTCTTCTCTCAGCTCGTCAAAGTCATTCTCCGTCCAGCTTTGTTCCATTACTGATGATGAACTGTGTTCCTTTGGAGGAGGAGAGGTGCTCTGCTTTTTAGAGTTTCCAGTTTTTCTGCTCTGTTTTTCCCCATCTTTGTGGTTTAATCTACTTTTGGTCTTTGATGATGGTGATGTACAAATGGGTTTTTGGTGTGGATGTCCTTTCTGTTTGTTAGTTTTCCTTCTAACAGACAGGGCCCTCAGCTGCAGGTCTGTTGGAGTACTGGGCCATGTGAGGTGTCAGTCTGCCCCTGCTGGGGGGTTCCTCCCAGTTAGGCTGCTCGGGTGTCAGGGATCAGGGACCCACTTGAGAAAGCAGTCTGCCCGTTCTCAGATCTCCAGCTGCGTGCTGGGAGAACCACTGCTCTCTTCAAAGCTCAGATGGAAATGCAGAAGTCACCCGTCTTCTGCGTCGCTCACGCTGGGAGCTGTAGACCGGAGCTGTTCCTATTTGGATATCTTGCGGCTTATTTTATTTAGGTTAGTATCTTCCAGGTTTATCCATGTTGATGTATATGGCAAGATTTCTTTCTTCTAAAGACTGAATACTATTCCATTGCATGTATATACCACATTTTCTTTATTATTTTTCCCATCAATGAACATTTGAGTTGTTTCTGTATCTTGGCTATTGTGTAATAATGCAATGAACATGGAAGTACACATATTTCTTTGAGATCCTGATTCCGATTATTTTGGGTATATACCCAGAAAATCAATTGCTAGATCATATGGTAGTTCTATTTTTAATTTTTTGAGGAACCTCTGTGTTATTTAGTAGTGTATTGTTTAATCTCCAAGTATTTAGGGATATTCCAACTATCTTTTGGCTATTGATTTCTAGTTTAATTCTATTGTGGTCTGAGAGCATATACAATATTATTTCTATTATTTTAATTTTGTTTATGTGTGTTTTATGGTTCAGTGTGTAGTTTATTCTTGGTGAATTTTCCATATGAGCTTGAGAAGAATGTGTAGTATGCTGTTATTAGATGAAGTAGTTTAATAATGTCCATTATATCCGGTTAATTGGTCGTGGTGTTGAGTTCAACAATATCCTTACTAATTTCCTGCCTGGATCTATCCATTATTGATAGAGGGGTATTGAAGTCTATAATCATAATAGTAGATTCATCTGTTTCTTCTTGCATTCTATTTGTTCTTGCCTCATGTCTCCTGATCATTTTTGCTCAAACATGTCCAGCTTGCCTCTTTACAACTCCCATAGCTTGACAGCATGCCCCAATAAAATGTTCTGCTCATCTTTGTTTCACAGTTCCACCTAAGATTCTGCTGAGTCCTATTTTCATATACTGTAGCCCAAAGCAAGTTCAAGTCTGAGGTCTGGACTCAATCCAGTTTCCCTAGATCCTGCCTGTTGGGAAGGGGCAACTAGCTGGTTTACTTAAATTGGTTAATTCCATCTTATTACTGCATGTCAACTTTTTATAGGCTTATTGTGTGGCAATGTATACATGTTCAACATGATCTTCTAATATTAATAGAATGAGTATAGGGCCAGGTGACCTGTCTACTCACCCCCACACAGGAGCATGGTTGAAACTTAATAAATGTTTGAGAATTAAATGAGCATATTAGTGTCTAGCTGGAAGAAGAGATTTTGTGTCCTAATGTTTGAGCTTGAAAAGATAAAGATCAAAGATGAAGATTTTTAAAGAGAAGAAAAGGAAAGAAAACAGTTCTTTGGAATTAAAACCCCTATTCACTAAAGAAAGAGAACCTATTAATGTGTTTATTAAAAATAATGTTGTATTTAGAGTTATGAGATCAAAATATGAGCCCTAGTTTCATCCTTGGACAACTTGGTTATCCTCTCAAAGCTTTAAATAATACTTACCTCATGGAGTCATTGTGAGAATGCACTGAGATATGATGATTTATGCATGCTATTAAATATTTCCATTAAGTCTTCATTAAGGGTGAGAATAAGATGATATCAAATATTCATTCACAGGTAACTGTTTGAAAAGCACTGTTTGAGCATATATATACAAAAGAGAACAGCTATGGCACGTGGTTCACTTTTTCATCTTTGTTTAGAGAAGAGGTGAATCCTGATTTGGCTGTTTTGCTTGGCTTACATTTAAAAACGTTCCACATTGTGTTGCTAGTTTGTAGAATTTGAGGTTAATGCTTCATGGATGTTTATAAAGACACATTTTTATTTCTGCAACATGAGTTTATGCTATTGGGCTTAGAGTGTCTGTCTAGTATAAGCTCACTTCAATTCTCAGCTACTAATGTGTTTCTAATTAATAAATGTGTAATGGAAGCATGGAAAAATCTTTTTCAACATGAAGTGAGGCCTGAAAATTTTGTTCATTTTATATGTGCCTTTTTTGCTTGTTTATTTAAGCTTTATTGCCAAATTGCAATTTAATTGCCTTTAATATATTAGCAGGACTAATTTTTTCCATAATAGAATTTCTGAATTATCACATATGCAGTGTATATGGGGTTTCTTAAAGTAACTAATTTCGAAGAGGTCCCCTTCCAGAGCCTGAAATTCTGCTTAATTTTTCTTAAAAAAAAATTAAAAATCAAGTTCAACTAAGAACTCAGTGGGTAGGGTACTTGCTATGTTAGTAACTTGCCTATTCATTCCTGTCTCTCTCTCACAGGAGAAATAACTAATTAATGCCATCTAACCTAGGCTCCACTTTCCACAGTCTAGCTCCAGCCATGAACCAATCCTAATCATGCAGCTATGTACTGATATGATTAGGCTTTGTGTCCCAACCCAAATCTCATCTTAAGTTGTAATCCCCATAATCCCTACATGTCAAGGGAGAGACCAGGTGGAGGTAATTGAATCATGGGGGCAGTTTCCCCCATGCTGTTCTCATGATAGTGAGTTCTCATGAGATCTGATGGTTTTATAAGGGGCTCTTCTCCCTTCACTTGGCACTTTTCCTTTCTGCTACCTTGTGAAGAAGGCGCCTTGCTTCCCCTTCACCTTCTTCCATAATTGTAAGTCTCCTGAGGCCTCCCCAGCTATGCTGAACTGTGAGTCAATTAAACCTCTTTCCTTTAAAAATTACCCAGTCGCAGGCAGTTATTTATGGCAGTATGAAAACGGAATAATAGATGTCCACACCCAGTGGGAATTAGTCATATTACTGTAGACTTAGACCAATTTGTACAACAAAGCTTTTGCCTCAATCTTTGAATAGCACCCAACTCTTCACCATCTTCAACTCTAGTCCATTTGGGTAGCCCCTTGTACCTTGCCAGGCTCTAACCCTCCCTTTTCTCTGAGAATAGAGTCCTGCTCCCTGCACCAATTCAATCCACTAGCCAAAGAATAGTTGCTATTGACCAATTACTTAAATTCATAACCACTATTGGGATTCCTCTTCAAATGCCTTAGCTAGGTACTGGATCTCCTTGGATTTCTCATCTCTCATTGCTTCACCCCTGCTACTCAATTATCTAGCCATAAGCTTCTGTCAGTTCTTCTAAGGCATCAGGCTCTCTCTGATATCTGAATATTTTCATGCACATTTCCCTTTGTGTGGAACAGTTTTTCTACTTCAGCTCCTTCTCCTCCAAGCACAGACAACCCTAACAAATTCTATAGTTCATTCAGCTTATCCTTCTAAGACACCCAGTTTGGGTTAGGTAGTTTTCTATCACACCTTATACCTCCCCTGTTGTAGCATTATTATATTAATACCAGATTATAATTGCCTGTTTAGTTATCTGTTACCCCCATCTCTTCCCCCAGATTATAAGAAATCATGTCTATCATGTTCACAGTTGAATTTCCATGAATAGTAAAGAGCCTATCATGTAATAAGCACTTAATGAAAACTTGTTGAAAGAATAAATGCTGACTTCCTACCCCAACTAAGTCTCAAAATTAGCATGCTCTTGGGGCTGAATTTCAGCTGTCCTTGAAGAAACCAGCTCTATAACCATTATTATTTCTCCATGATCTTGTCTTATTCAGGCCCTGAACGATCCTTTACCAGTCTGAAATGCTGAGTTTTGACATAATCTTGAAGCCCTGTAGACCAGGGCAGGAGGAAGTATGTCGGAAGGTGAACTTTAGCTCACAGCATCTCTCTTGTATCCTATACCTCTGAAACTCTCCATATCCCCAATCTTTCTTTCAAGGTGCTGCACAGTCATATTTTTATGCAGATTTAGACATCTCTGAAAGCCATCATTCTCAGGTTCCTCACCTGTGTCAGTGTAGCAGTTTGCGCTAACAGTAGAGCTGAGGGAACAGAGACGCCCCCTTCCCCTCCCAACACTGCCCTTTGCATATACTTTTTTCTCAAGGCAGGAGGGGGTCACAGTCTTGAGTGCTTCTGGGCCTCTCACCTGGATATCTTATTATGGATGTGTTCCTGAGCCTGCTTCAAAAGGATAGAACCTACCCTTTGTCTATGTCTGGTTGATAGATGAAACTAAAATTATAATAGTACAACAAACTTCAATCAAATTTTATGATTCAAAGAGGATCCAGTTTTCTAATTCTTAACTTGGCTCTTTCCATAAGAACCCAGCTAATGTAGAGGCCTCAGACTTGTGGCCCACGGACTGAGTCTAACTGTCAGTTTCATTTGTCTTGCATAGAATTGGCTCAAATAGTGTTTCCTAAAATATTCCACTAGTTGTCAATTTTTAAAAATCAGTTGATACATCAAAAATTTGAATTTTGGCTTCTCTTGAAAAAAATGAGAAGACCAGGACCTGACTTCAGGCATAGAAACAGTCGTTTTGAGCTGGGTGAGGCTGCTGTCTTTATGATGGCCCATGCTTTCTGGTTCACCACAGTCCTCATCGCTCCCTATTGTTGCCACCATGCGTGGACCAGGCCCTGTGTTTACATTGCCTGCTAGGCCCTGATGGCCATTTGAGTTTGTGATTCTTAGCCCAGAGATCCATCATCATCTAGGTCCTAACTTATTAAAGATAAGCTGTGCGTGAGCTTTATCTAGTATGTCCCCTCCTAATGTACATGTGGCATAGACTATGAGCTAAGACCATCTAACTTCCAATAGAGAGAGAAGATTAAGCATGAGCAGAAATAACAACAACAAAAAACACAGAGGCATGCTTAAACATGACATATCTAGTGAGTGGCATATAGGGAACCATTACAACTGATTTTTTTAAAGATTTTTAAGGCAAAGAAAAATAATCACTATATGTTGATAAGTAGAAAAATGCTGACTGTATTACTACATATAGTATAATCCTAATTCTAAAGAAAAAATATACAGATATATTCATCGAAAAAGTCTGAGAGGAAAGAAACATACTGGAAAATAAAGTTGGTGATCTCAGGTTACTGGGATTGTAGGTAATTTTTGGTTTTTATTTTGTAATACTTTCTTGAATTTTCCAGATTTTCTCCTGAGTATCTATTACCTTTCTAATCAGAAAATAAGTAATCTTTTAAATAAATGAATACAGCATTATTCCAGCAATATAAATGTACCATTTTAATAAAGTCTGTTATGGTCCTAGGGAAGATTTTTAGCCTGTGGGTATCCCAAGTTACTCAGTTTGTGTGTGTGTGTAGATACATAAATAGATATATAAATTATAAATATGTATCATATAAATATAATATATATTTATGTATATAATACATATAAAGTGTATATAGTGTGTATAGAATATATACTGTATATACACTAAAATATATAGTGCACACAGACTATACATATATAAATAGTGTATATAGATATATATATATTCATACATGTTTTTATATAGAGAGACATAGAGTTATATATGTATATATTATATGTAAATATAGATGTGTGTATAAATATATAAATATATAAATATCTACATATATTTATCTCTAAGTATAGATAAATATATCTTTATATTTATATATCATAAATTATTATAAATTCTATAAAATATTTATTTATATATTGTATAAATATATTTTGCATATAAATTATTTAAAAGATATTTATCCATACATTTTTATATATTATATATAAATTATATATGTAAATTATTTATATGTAAATATAAAAATTTATTCATTTATTTTTGAGACAGAGTCTCACTCTGTTGCCCCAGCTGGAGTGCAGTGGTGCAATCTTGGCTCACTGCAGCCTCTACTTCCCAGGCTCAAGCAATTCTTGTGTCTCAGCCTCCTGAGTAGCTGGGATTACAGGTACATAGCACCACACCCAGCTAATTTTTGTATTTTTAGTAAAGACAGGGTTTTGCCATGTTGGCCAGGTTGGTCACGAACTCCTGGCCTCAAGTGATCTGCCGTCCTTGGCCTCCCAAAGTGCTGGGATTACAGGCATGAGCCACCATGCCTGGACATAAAATTATTTATATACATCAATTATAGATATTTATAATATATATCTATGTATAATATTACATATAAAAATATTATATATGTTATATATAAATATTATATAAATATATACAGAAATATATTGAATAACATTGAAGGAAACATGAGCTTCATTAATGGGAGCCAGAGGGACAGCCGGGGAGGCGGGGGAACTAGAAGCAAACAGGTACTAATCATTCCTGCTATTGAGGCACCTGCTCCATACAGTCCTTTTTTCTATACTCCTGTGCCTGTATGAAATAAACAATGAAAGAAGTCAAAGAAACAATGTCAAGATGCTGAAGAAATTAGAAATAGATAAACTCACAGAGGTAAAAGTTTAAGAAGAGCAGCAATTAAGAGACTAGAGTGCAAACAACAGAAAGAATAAAAGAAGCAAAAGTGGCCAGGCACGGTGGCTCACGCCTGTAATCCCAGCACTTTGGGAGGCTGAGGAGGGCGGATCACGAGGTCAGGAGATGGAGACCATCCTGGCTAACATGGTGAAACCCCGTCTCTACTAAAAAATATAAAAAAATTAGCCAGGCCTGGTGGTGGGCGCCTGTAGTCCCAGCTACTCGGGAGGCTGAGGCAAGAGAATGGCGTGAACAGGGGAGGCGGAGCTTGAAGTGAGCCGAGATCGAGCCACTACACTCCAGCCTGGGCGACAGAGTGAGACTCCGTCTAAAAATAAATAAATAAATAAAATAAAAAATAAAAAAAAAAGAAGCAAAAGTAAGAGATATTTTAAAGTTGAGACATAAATGAGTAAACAAAATATAGATAAAGCAAAAGCAAGTTTTATCAAACAAAACCCCAGAACCACATAAAATTAAAAGGGCTCAACAAAGAGAGAGGTAATATGTAAAAGGAGAAAAAGGAAAAAGGCTCAGGAATAAAACAAATGCAACTGTGAAAGAAGTGAAGATAATTACAATGATAAAATTTGAGAAATAAATGAAAGAGACAAAAATACCTAATCTTTGAAGGACAAAGTAAAAGATTACAGTAGTATAAAAATATTAAGAAAAAAATACAACCATTTAAGAGAGAAATGGTAAAATCTGGAAGCTTAAAAACTCAAATCAGGAAGCTTAAAAACTAAAAGAAGATAAAATATGACAATTGTCTTAGTCTGTTTTACGCTGCTATAACAGAATATCACAGATTGGGTAATTCATACAAAAAAAGAAGTTTATTTTTCACAGTTCTGGAGGCTGGGAAGCCCAAGATGAATGCACCTGGTGTGCGCCTTCTTACTGCATGCTCACAAGGTGGAACGGCAAGAGAGAGACCAAGTCTGTGTCCTCACTTGTAGGAAAAGCAGAAAAGAGCAAACCTACTCTTGCAAGCCCTTTTTACAGTGGTATCAATCCATTTGTGAGCTAAACACCTCCCATTAGGCCCCATCCCCCAACACTGTTGCACTGGGGATTGAATTTACAGCACATGAATTTTGGGAGCCATATTTAGATCATAGCAACAATAGAGAAGAAAAACATATAATGATTAAAAACAAAATAAAGGCCGGGCGCGGTGGCTCACGCCTGTAATCCCAGCACTTTGGGGAGGCTGAGGCGGGCGGATCACGAGGTCAGGAGTTTGAGACCAGTCTGGCCAAGGAGGTCGAGACCAGTCTGGCCAGCATGGTGAAACCCCGTCTCTACTAAAAATACAAAAATTAGCCGGGCGTAGTGGCGCATGCCTGTAGTCCCATCTACTCGGGAGGTTGAGGCAGGAGAATTGCTTGAACCCGGGAGGCGGAGGTTGCAGTGAGCCGAGATGGCACCATTGCACTCCAGCCTGGCGACAAAGTGAGACTCTGTCTCAAAAAACCAACCAACCAGCCAACCAACCAACCAACCAAACCTAACCAAAACAAAAGAAAAACATATAATGAGTAGAATTACAATAGACACCTTTTTGTAGGAGCTTACTGGTACCAAGAGCTTTACATTAATTCATGGAATCCTTTCAGTCACCCTTTGAGGTCAGTGCTACCACCTTCAGCTTCCTTCGAAGCAGGAGGAAAGTGAGGCACACAGGTGAATGGTTCCCTTCCAGTTACTGGCTGGGAAGGTGTGTGGCTCTGGGCTTGAACACAAGTCACCTGCCTTCAGATCCAGGGTCTTTTGACCCCTTGATCATATATACTACAGCTTAGTATAGATGAAATGACAATCTTAAAAGATTAAACTCTGCTAAAATAGTAGCCCCTGTGAAGTTAGAACACATTTAAAATAAATACAGTTTCAATGAATAAGGAGGAAGTAGAAAACAAAGACCAAGATGTAAAGGCTGCCCTGCCAGGCTAAAATGTCCCATTAGACCATTAGCCTAATGAAATGTCCCAAAGACTATTAGTAAAGGCTGCTCTGCTGGGCTGAAATGTCCCTGGGAACAAGCACAGATGCCTGAGGGCAGAAGGCAGAAGCCTAGGTGGCAGTCTGCATACTCTCCAAAGGACAGCACCCAACTTTACGCAATCTACAAAGAACACATATTCCCTAACCCCTGGAGGTATGTGCACCTGATGCTGCTCCGACAGCAGTGTAAGCAGCCCAAATATTGCAAAGAAGGCTAACGGAGAACTATCTTTACTTATTTAAGGAGATAGAAGGTTTGGGAATAGGTAGAAAGTTATAGAAAAATCTCACATATTTTCTTTTCAGTGAAATCTTAAAGAGGGTTATTTGAGCCTCATGCCTCTATACCTTTCTTTTAAAAGGGATCTTCATTGCTGTTTTTATTTTCTACAGCATCTTTAGCAGATAAATCCTGTAAATGTAAATTGCTAACTTGTTGCAGTGTATTCATAGCACATTGTTATTTCTTGAGCCCTCCTGTTTAACGTATACCAAGTGGGTATACGGGAAAGAAAATAAATTAATATAACAAAAATAATTTTGGGGAAAAATTTGATGGCAATATCAAATCTTATGTACTATTTTCCACAAACTTAGAAAAGTTAAATTCAACTGGTACTGAGGCTCAATACCTCACATATAGTAGGAATAAATAACTTAATGGAAAAGTTCTATTTGGGGCAATGCAAACTCTTAAATATGAGGAATTTTCTTGCAAGGTTTAGGCAGAATCTTGAAATCACGTGTCAGTCTGTGTTAGAATGCCTTGCTACTAACTAGAAGCTTGGCAAAATCTTACAGGGAACATAAATAGATTTTATTTTTTGTTTCAGCAATTATACTATTGCTGTTATACTAAAATATATATATATGACATTACTGTTCTGGCTGCTATAAAGTTTTAAAAGGTGCCACAAAACGCCATTGCAATCTACTTTCTTAAAATTTAAAACTAATATAAGATAGTAGAAAGGAGTGGGGGGAAATGTTGAGTGTTGCAGTTAACTTGCCTTTTTAATTCTTACTTGTCTTTAAAATTAAAATGATTTGGGTTTTCAGGGTAAGCATGATGAGGATATTTCTTTCCCTCTTTCCATGCAAAAATCAACTTTTAAAAAGAGAAGAATGAGAAATAGTAAACTCTGTCTTTGTGAAATTAGGAAACACACTAAACTCTGAGTTGAAAAATAAAATAAAATCTACTAGGTGCATTAAATACTTGACCAGGGTTAGCAGATAGGTGCAGTGGTGGGGAGGGGAATGCCAACAGATGAACTTTGTCTCCAGATCTCAAGCAACAGAGCTGGTAGCCTATATAGCCCAAGGATTAGAGTGTTTTGTGAACCAAAGAAGATTCCCTCAACTCTGTTGAACCCCAAAGTTTAGAAATGTAGGTGGGGCTAAATTCCTAACTCAAAGCATGGACTCATCCAGGATTCCACATTACATTCAGTCATTGTCTTTAGTCTGCTTGGGCTGCTATAGCAAAATACAATTAACTGGGTGGCTTATAAATAACAGACATTTACTTCCTGCAGTCTGGAGGCTGGAAAGTCCAAATCAAGGAGTGAGATTTGGTGTCTGGTGAATTGCTTCCTCATAGATAGTGCTTTCTCATAATATCCTCACATGGTAGAAGGGATGAGGTATCTCTGGGGACTCTTTTATCTAATACAAGGGCACTAATCCCATTCATGAGGGCAGTACCTTCATGACCTAATCACCTCCCAAAGGCTCCACCTCCTAATACTATCACATGGGGTAAGGATTTCAATATGAATTTGGGGCACACATTCAGACCATACCAGTCATTGTGTCTCCTTAGATTCCTGTTGGCAGTTTCTCAGACTTTCCTTGTTTTTGATGACCTTGACAGATTTGAAGAGTACTGGTCATATATTTTGTGGCATGTCCCTTGATATGATTTGGCTGTGTCCCCACCCAAATCTTACTTTGAACTGTAGTTCCCATAATCCCCAGGTGTCATGGGAGGGAGCCAGTGGGAGGTAACTGAGTCATGGAGGCAGTTACCCTCATGCTGTTCTCAGTGATAGAGAGTGAGTTCTTATGAGATCTGATGGTTTTATAGGGGGCTTTTTCCCTTTTGCTCAGCACTTCTCTCTCCTGCCACCATGTGAAGAAGGACATGTTTGCTTCCCCTTCCACCATGATTGTAAGTTTCCTGAGGCCTCCCCAGCCATGTGGAACTGTAAGTCAATTAAAACTCTTTTCTTTATAAATTACCCAGTCTTGGGTATTTCTTCATAGCAGTGTGAGAACACACTAATACACCCCTCATTTAGGATTTGTCTGATATTTTTCTCATGATTTGACTGGGGTTATGGGTTTTGGGGAGGAAGGCCACACAGGTAAAGTGCCATCCTGATCATATCAAGCCTGCATACTATCAACATGGCTTATCACCATTGATATTAACTTTGATCACTTGACAAAGATGTTTGTCAGATTTTTTTTCAATGTAAAGTTATTTTTTTCCCTCATTTCCATACTGTACTCTTCAGAAGAATGCTACAATGCACAGCCCACATTTAAAGAGTAGAGAGTTAACGCTGCCCCTCCTGGAAGGTAGAGTATTCACATAGATTTGAAATTATTCTGCATATGCCACGGATTTGTTCACCTTTTCTGTAGTTTAATGTTATACAAATGGCCTTTTCAGAATGACTTCTTTTATTTAGCAATACACACTTAAGACATGTGGTTTGATAGCTCTTATTTTTTTATCATTGAATATTTTATCATGAAATAATTGTACTACAATTTACTTGTCCATTCATTTGTTAAAGGACAGCTCTGTTGCTTCCAATTTTTGGCAATTTAAATAAAGCTGCTATAAACTTTCACATGCAGGTTCTTGTGTGCATACAAGTTTGCAAATCAGTTGGATGTGTGATTACCCAGGATACCTAGGAGTATATTGCTAGATTGTATGGGAAGACTGGGTTTAGCTTTGTAAGAAACTGCCAAACTGTCTTGTTTTGTTTTGTTTTTTTTGAGATGGAGTCTCTCTCTGTCGCCCAGGCTGGAGTGCAGTGGCGCAATCTCGGCTCACTGCAAGCTCCGCCTCCCGGGTTCACGCGATTCTCCTACCTCAGCCTCCTGACTAGCTGGGACTACAGGCACCCGCCACCACGCCCGGCTAATTTTTTGTATTTTTAGTAGAGACGGGGTTTCACCATGTTAGCCAGGGTGGTCTGGATCTCGTGACCTTGTGATCCGCCCATCTTGGCCTCCCAAGGTGAGAAACTGCCAAACTGTCTTCCAAGTAGCTATTACATTTTGAATTC
This sequence comes from Homo sapiens, assembly GCF_000001405.40. Taxonomy (NCBI): domain Eukaryota; kingdom Metazoa; phylum Chordata; class Mammalia; order Primates; family Hominidae; genus Homo; species Homo sapiens. Next base: position 82,621,217 of record NC_000006.12, on the reverse strand, counting down.
CCATCAACAATGAATGAGTGTTCCTGTTATCCAATCCTTAGCAGCAATTGACATATTGTCAGTTTTGTTTTGTTTCTCTGGATTTTAGCTACTATAAGTGCTACACAGTGCATTTCCCTAATGATATATGATGTTGACCATTTTTTTATATGCTTATTTTCTATCCGTGTATCTTCTTTGGTGAGAAGAGATATATCCAGATCTTTTGCTTGTGTTTAAGTTGGCAACATTTCATATTTCTAAGATTCTTTTATTAACCTCAGCTTGCTCTTTCTCTGTTTTCTTATCTTGGAATGAGAAGACGCCAAACAGACCTGCCATTTATATTCCAACTCCAGTGCAGAATTCCCTTGACACCCCCCTCACTATTCACCTGGGGCTCAGAGACACCTCCTTAACTCATGCAGTGCATATGATCTGCATGCCCATTAGGCATTTACCTATTGTGAATCTGCTGGTCTGGAAAAGAATCTGTTCCTGCTTCTGCTGCCTGATTGTGTGATATGTAGAGGGAAATTACTCTTGATAATTTGAATCTATTTGTCATTTCCCCTTGTCAAATTGTATGTGCGAAAAGCCTACAGAATCTACCATTCATTCTACAGCTCTTCCTGTCTCCTGCTCCTTCCTCCCATGGCCAGCACATCTCAAGGTGCAATCAATGCACCTAACATTTACTTCCAGCTGTACTACATTACTTGGTGTTATAGTCCATGAACAAATGAAAAAAGAGTTACTGATGCATGGGATGAAGGATGCTGCATTGATTGCTTTAGAAAAAAAATCCCAGTAAGAATGTGATGACCAGCTTCTACAAATACCCTGCATCTCCAAGGTCAGCAACATGATGGAAGAGGGAGAACAATCTCTTTAATCATGACAGCTCCCTTTATTAATCTCTTCGAATGAGCCCAGAACTTTTCTAAGCACTTACATTTTACATTTGCTAAGCACTTTACATATTATGACATTTAATGCTTACAGAAACCCCTGAAAGAGAAATAATTGTCTTCCATTTACAGATGAGGGCATAGATTATTCAGAGAAAGCTGAGAATTCAAACTCAGGACAGTGCAGTTCCAAAACCCATATTTCCAACCAGCATTGTTTTCCCTACTCTGGGTTTCGTACTTTTGGGGCAGGTCTATATTTAGGCTTCACTAGTGACAGTTCCTCCTGGAGTTTGGAAGATGGTGGTTAATATTCATATTTCCAATTCTGTGACGGTTTTGTGATTTTATAGTTAAGAAATTGGAGTCAAGTGAAGTATGAGTAACTCATTAGCTGCCAGCTCTACCCAACTCTCTCTATAGCCAATGTTAGAAAAATGAAGTTATAAAAACAGGTTTAAATTTTTAAATGACAATCTATATTCTGAATTACAAAACATTCCACTGTTCTTTATTTGTAATAAATTAAAATACTGTAAATATTTTTAGCTGATATAACACTTTTCATCTGAGATCTTTACCATCTCTGTCATTCATAAATCATCAAACTACTTTGGGAAGCAAAATTATTTAATAAATGGCCCTCATAACATTTGAAATTTAAAATGCTGAATTCTTTTATATTTTAAAGTATCCCTATGTTAATCAATAGAAAAAAAAAACAGTAATTTTTTTCCAAAACAAGAATGAGGCTCACATGTTGAGACTCCGGCTTAAAAAAAAAAAAAAAAAAGTGCACCTTCTATTCTTCTATCTCACCTCCTGAAACAATTAAAGTAAATTTTTTTAAGTTAAACTCTACCTGGTTAAATGTATCATGTGGACTTCTGGGACAGATTCAATGTTAACTTTGGCTAACGAAACTTATGATGTTATTCCTACTATTATCATTCTAGTTCAACACTTGTCTTCTTGCACCCGGATTATTGCAGTCATCTCCCAGCTGTACTTATTTATAGCATCCATTTCTCTTCTTCAAAACACGTACATGTTCAGTATTGTGCTAATCACTCCTGGGGAGCCTCTTTCACTTTCTGAAGTGGCAGTAAAGAGCTGGTCTTATATCCCATGGAAAGAGCATATCAGTTGAAGTCAGACAACCCTAAATTGGAATCCTATCCATTCTGCTGGTTAAACCTGAGCAAGTTACTTAGCCCAGCTAACCTTTAATTTCTCAAGGGAACCCTGAAATATTGCCATAAAATTAAATGAGACAAAGTACATAAATAAACATTCCTCATTTCCCTATCCAGGACTGGCACCCTATGGAACTTTACAGTTTCATTTCCCAAACAAATAGTAGATAAGCCATGCATTATCTACCATTTTTGAAACAAGTTTTGCATTTCCCTGTGCATTTTATCATGTATTCTCTCTGACTGAACTGTGCTTCCTTCCATATTTTTATCTGCCAAAAATGTCAGCCCTTTCCTGATCCAGCCTACCTTCTGACATGGAGGACCTTCTGATGGCTCAGCTCTGACATTTCCTAAGCTAAGATCCTGGGTGGGGCAGCCATAAAATAATACCTTCCCCATCCTAGTGGTGTATGTGTGATAACATATGGGCATGCATGCCCACTAACCCACAGACTTCTCTTAACTTCTATTACATTTCTCCAGTATGCAAAATTGTCGATTACCTGTACTTTAAAAACAGCACTCTGATCATTCCATATTAGGATTGCATCCTAGCCCTGGGCTCCCATCTTCTTGCCTGGGATCATGATGCTTCCTAATTTTTGATAGTTCCTACTCTAGAAGGCTATTACTACCTCTGATTGGGTCTTAATCTGCCTAAATGAATTCATATAAAATATCACACCTATTTATCTCGGCATCTTTCCTTGAGATAATGATGCTATAGACTATCTACAGGAGTGGATTACAATCTTGATTTCTGCCATGCTTTTTTGGGCATTATAATTTGGACTCTGGCTTCATATTTCGGGGACAAATTGTATAGCCAAGTAAATTTCTCCACCTCCCCAGGTCTAGCTGTTTATTCTCCTTAGTCTATGCATTGAGAATGGAGATCCCATCTTGCCTTGTAGCCATGTTCAGAAGCAATGAGCAACCCATCATTCATACCTAGCTCAAATGCTTCCTCTCCTAGAATCTCTTAATTTTCTTCCAGAACTCTCCTTTATTCAAAAATATTTATTAAGCATCTAGTATGTGCCAGGCACTTGGATGCAGCAGAAAAAAAAAAAAAAAGAAAATTCAAAACCCTACTCCTATGTTTTTTTTTTTTTTTTAACATGGTTTATTGTATTTTCATAGTGCCTCTTCTTAGTTAGTCATAAATGCTGTAATACAAGGGCAGGAAACTTAAAAAAATTAGTCTGTCTAACCACACCTGTAATGGGTTGAATGGTGGCCTGCCAAAAAATACATCCATGTCCTAACCCCTAACCTAAGAATGTGACCTTATTTGGAAAAAGAGTTTTTGCAGATGTAATTAAGGATCTTGAGATGAGATCATCCCAGATTATCTGGATGGGCCCTAAATCCAATGTCCTTATAAGAGAAGACACAAACACAGAAGTGAAGGCCATGTGAAGATAAAAGCACACATAAGAATTATACAGCCATGAGCCAAGGAATGCTTGGAGCCATCAGAGCTTCCTAGAAAAGGCAAGAAAAGATTATCTCCTCTAGCCTTTGGAAGGAGTACAGCCCGGCTGAAACCTTGATTTTTGGACTTCTGGCCTCTAGAACTGTAATAGAATATATTTCTCTTGTTTTAAGCCACAATTATCACAAATTTGTTTGAAATTTGTGATAATTTTTTACGGAAGCCACAGAAAACTAATATACCACCATACTTTGCAGATGACCAGAGCTGGCTAAAATCCTTAGAACCCACAAATAATAAAAGGATTACAGTCTTCACCCTATCCCATACAGGTTAGGACCTGTAATTTGAAAGAAAATCATTTCTAAATAGAAAAACAAATACCCATGCTGAAATTAAAATAGTTCCCTTTCAGCTTTTCTGATTATAAGATTCTAAAGAGTTCATAGAGTATGATTTGTTCTTTTGCTTCTTTTTTCTATTTTTTTCATTGCTCCATTTCTTTGGCTGTAATGCTTTTTTTTTTTTGCAGAACACAAACAATAAGCCAGCTCATAATGTGGGAATAAAGTGATACAGCATGGGAAGCACATGGTGCTAGTCACTTGGTAACTAAATATGCCTTCTCTTTATTTTGGGACTGGTGATGGGGTGGTGGCAAGGGTATAATGAAGACGAGACATACTTTGTTCCTTGGTCCTATCTACTGACTCAGTGGTTCGAGATCTATGAGGTAGAGACATGAGACAATTCTCCAGATAATTTGAATTAACTCAGCTCAACAGATTCATTCTACCTTGCAACTGGCATTTGGTGAATCTCACAGTTCTTCATTTCTGCACTACAGTTTTTCCAGTCACCAGATGAGGTCATCTGTGTTCTTCTCATTGAATTGTTCTAGAACCATGAGGCAAGATGTATCTGGGTCTGATTCCCAAGAAACAAATCTTAAAATTATTTTCCTTGAGTGGATGAGGAAAAAAGAAGCAAGAGCTTTCTCCTTGAGATGTTTCTGGATTTGTAGGTGGCTGATTGAGTGGCTATGAGCCGTGCATGAGCCTTAGCGTTTCTTCCAATTGAGAGTGAAAATAGCATAATTTCTTTGGGAAACTTTTTACTGTCAATTATATCTTACCTCCTGGAGAGACTAGCCAGACAGACTCCACTGACAATATGTAAAGGAAGCATCTTAAGTGCCACTTAGTTGTCCCCAGAGCTTTAGTCACTCATAATACTTCCTCAAGACTGTAAAAACATAACCCAAAATTATTTTACCTTTTTTTAAATTGAAGAATTCTTTGACCTTTCTCTAATAGTTGCTCCCTAGAAATTTCTTCTAGCTGAAGCCATACTTTACCCTGGCCTTCCAAACAAGTTAATGTCTTTGTACGCAGGTTTCCTCGTATTCGTTTGAAAATGGGGAAAATAATAACGACATTTCTTTCTTTTTGAGCCATAAAGTTATTTTCTGAACTGACTTCCAATTTATTTAGATCAAATAGACTAGCACTGTTATCACTAACAAGCATTCATATATCTGCCTTATCCCTACGCAAATGCGGCACATTTGTTATATACTACAGCAGATTCTTGGTGTTCGACTTCCTGTATCTTAAGTTAACCCTGAGTTCAGTCTTAGTAGAACTTAGCAGCTGATACAACTGTGTGATATACTCACTGTTTATAGCCAGCTTCTGTTCTGATTGACTGGTGTCCATGTTAAATACTTGGAATATCACCCTTGTTTAACTGCCATATTTTAAAACTGATCAGTGAAATAAATGGCTATAGGAGTCCATATAGTGCTTGTAAAGTACCACAGTGTTTGAAAAAGATTTTATTTCCTAAAATATGGTGAGTTAACTCCCAATCTTGGAAAGGAATGGGAAATCTAATGGGCAGTATTATACCTTGTAACCACTTAGGTTTGTTACTCCATTTAGTTTAAATGATAGATGTTGGAAGAGGCAATCTTCTTCTGTGGGCTCTGAGTATTCCTGCATGCTCTTTCTGGGTGTGCCAGCCAAGAACACAGGGTCTCGTCTGCTCTTTACGAGACATTTCTTAGAGTTGAGTTTGTAGTGAGTAACCTAACCTTGAAAGATGAGGTAATATTTTCCTGGAGACCAAAGGTAGGCTTGCTTCTGTTTAGTATAAAAACAATAAATCCCCAAGCTCAGTGTTCCTTTCCTGTAAATACAACCCATTTTCTTTGCAGGCATCCATCATGAGCCCTTTGTGTTGCCCCATACAACTTGGGGCACATGGGGACCTGAAGCAAGCAACCATGAAACTCTGGTCACTGCTTTTGCTATGAGTAATAAAGTCTTTTGTCTCCATCCCAGGAGTCTCATGCCTTTTGTCAGCCATCAGTGAAATAGTAACAGGCTCATTTGTTAGTTTGTAAGTAGAATAAAACCTTAACTCTTGCAGAGTTCCTGAGGGTTTTCAAATATTTCTTATGTAAACCCCAAAATAGGTCCTATAATGTTTATTTATATTGTTTCAAACAATTAGTGAACATAAACAGTATAGAATCTTGGTCTTTTATCCTGACTCTACCACTGAGTAAATGATCTTGAGTAAGTTTTTTTTTTCTTGTAGGCTTCTGTGTTTTCATCTGTAAAATGAAGGGGTTCAACTGTGCCCTGGGGAGTTGATGACAAGTCACTTCAAGGGCACTTGCATTAGTCCCTGGTTGTGGGTTGTTGGCTATGGCTGGGGACAATGATATAGCTGTGTTGACTGGCCTGGTCTCCTACCCTCAGCAGGGCCAGCAGCTGTAGACACTGTCCCTCATCAGCTCTCTTTCATATTTCTCTTACGTATGATTTCCTCCACACTTTTCCTCATACTTCCTAACTCTCTCATTTCCTTTTTCTCGGGAAAAAAACAATGCAGATCATCAGAATTTTTTCCTTTCTATCCCTTGAGCCACGGACTGTGCTCTGGATACCATCCATCTTATCAATCCAGGGCTGACACCTGGCAGGAAGAGATGACATGTGGTTTCAGACCACACAGTCATTAAAGTCTCTAAGAGTTCAGCAGAGAGGGAAATTACTATGAACTGGCATGTGGAAGAATGGGGAAGAGTGACCTGGACCTTCAAAGCTGGCATTCTGAAATACAGAAGGAGAGCCCTGCCTCAAGGACTTGCCTTCTAAGACTCTTTCCCTACAGGAATGTAGAATATTTATCTCAACAGGGAACACAAAGAGCTGGCTTTTGCTAAGTTGATCCACTGTCCCAATTTGCCAGAATTAAGGGTGTTCTTGAGACATGGGACTTTAATATGTTAAGCCAGGACAGTCCTGGGCAAACTCTACTAACATATTCTTCTAGATCCACACTTTGTGGTATAAGCTTTATGTCATAAGGTCCTCAAATATTAAGGTTTTGGAAGCTCAGACATCAAGAATTTGATGTAGCCCCCACTCCCCAAATATTGCTGTAACAATGTGCTTAGGAAAGGCAATAAACACCCCTGAATAAATGGAAGAAAGAAAAAATTAGAAAACATAGTAGAAAATGTTGGTTAACATAACATGTATTATCTTCCTATAGCTATCTTTAATAACTTGTAAACTAAAATGGTTTCATTATGATCCCTTTCTAATTAATTTCTAAGTAATGGGAGTGAAAATACTCATGAAAATATGCTTAGAGCAAAGAACTGATATAGAAAAAAAAATAAAAAGTGAAAGAAAAGGGCATAGAGAGAATGTATACCTATATAGCGAAAAGCAACTGTCAGGACATAAAATTAAATATGATTAATAATGGTTATCTCTGGGTGTTTATTTTTATTTCAATATTTATGCTTTTTTGTGTTTCTAATGTAACTATAATAACCACATATTACTTTTGTAGTAAAAAATAGCTGTTAATTGCAGCTTAAAAAATGAGAGAAGAAAAGATGTGTCAAGACCACAGTGGGAAGGACTATGTTAAGAAATATTAGGATTTCATGCTGGAGACAATGGAAATCAATTGGTGGCTTTTAAGCAGGAAAACCACTTATTGTTCTTGATCAGAGGAAGAGTTTTAGATCAGATTTTTGAAAAGGATCCTGATGGCACAAAGGGAGGTATTGCCCTGGCTGGAATATTTGGTTTTAAACATGGGTCTCTTATTTTCAAATCCAAAAGTAATAGAAGTGCGGGTCCTCTGACAGGTGACTTGAGATTCATTCAGGCCAGAGGGCCCAGCCCAGTGCCTGCCAAATATTTTGACATAGGTGAGCATTTATTTCTCCTACTCAAGTGGCCTGCCCTTTTCTTCATCAAAATCATTTAAAGGTCAGCTAGAAAACTTGTTGAAATTGTCAACTTCCACTTTCTCTGAATTTCTGGTAATCTGAAGTCTTCTGAGTTTAGCATCCCCCTTTCTGAAGTCTGAGTTTTTATGAGTTTGATTTTATATGATTGGTTGTACTAATTTGTAGTGATATATACTACCATGGTGCAATGAGGAACTGTGCAAAGAAACAAAGGATGTTTGTTTTATTTTATTTATTTATTTATTTATTTTTGCTAGATATGTTTGTTGGGGTTTGGGACTTTATGTAATTCTGTAATCACTTGCCAAAGAGAGAATTTGACTAAAAATAATATAGAGGGGCTTCATCAAGGAGTGTTTATAGATACATTAATTACTGTGACTTCGCACCAGAATATGAAGGAAATTATGACTTGTACTGAGTGCTTCTTAGTTCTCTTGCATTTTATTTAGGAATGAGAGTTAGGGGATTCAATGTGTGTGCTAAGGTAGCATGCTCTAGACAACACTATAAAACCATGAGTCACCTAGGGTCTCTGAGGGAGGCCTTGGCTTCTCTAACTGTGGAATTTAAAGCACACAACTGTATTGTGTGATTTTTTCTGTTCTGTGTTTTCAGCAGCATTATCTGAAAAGAATTTTCAGTCTGCTGCTTGTATGCCATGCTGTTGTCATCTTACTGAAACATGAAGTGATTTAAGCTTCACAGCTGTTATTGTTTTCAATGGAGCAGCTGCCTGGCACTTCCAGGGACAATGACAGGTTCACATGGAGGCTATCTATGCAAATTACAGTAGAAGGTTGAGCAATAATCTGGTGAATTTGATCATTACAGACAGTCTAAATAATTCAGATGCAGATAGTGTAAAGTTCTTTCACTGGCCAGAGCAATGCAACAAATTGCTTTAGTTCCTTCACTTGATTTAGTGACTTTGGACTTAGCCTTAGTGATCAATTTAATAACCAAATTCATAAGAGACTGATGTATGAAACTAAATGCCAATTTACAATGAGAACCACAGTTCATGCCAGTAGATTCTCTCTTCATAGGAAGAGCTATATGTGAAAATTACTATAATCAGAAGATGAACTTATAATAACAGCCTGAGCAGGCATAGTCAGCTGTTTTAATCAATAATAATCTCAGCTGTAGGAATAAAACTACTCAGTAATAGATCCAGGATTTTGACGCCAGAAAGCATAGGGCCTTTAGCCATTAGATCATGTTGTCTGGAACATTTTTTTCTCTATTAGTTTTAGTTTTGCTCCCAAAATTCCAATTTATACACCTTAATTGACTTGAGTACTTTCTAAATCTGCTTCCCAGGTTCACACATAAAATTCTGAATCATATCTTTAGATGGCAATCCCATCCAGTCTAGGTTGATTTCCTGTGTGTCAATTCTCAGGCACTCTGGACTCTAAGAACAGATGACATGAGGTTTCAGACCACACAGTCATTAAAGTCTCTAAGAGTTCAGCAGAGAGGGAAATCACTATGAACTGGCATGTGGAAGAAGGGGGAAGAGTGACCTGGACCTTCACAGCTGGCATTCTGAAATACAGAAGGAGAACCCTGGAGACTGCGACTAAATCTGCTTGCCTAGATGAAAAGGTAATGCTGCAGAGAAGTACAGATAAAGATGGAAATTCACTCTGAGGCCAGATTGTGGAGGTTCTTAAATGCCAGTATAGTAAGTGTGGATTCATTTTAGCAGCTACTGTGGATGCCTAAGAGCTTTGGTTTAGAGGAATGACATGATCAGTCCAGGGCATGAGAAAAATAAATCTGACAACCTTTCACAGAAAGGAGGAATGGAGAATAGAAGCAGAGGAAACAGGTAGGAGACTGTAACCCTAGCCCAGATAGAGGTGAAATTGAAATGAGTTTCAGACCAAAGTCAGGTATAGAGACTGTATTTGTTGCTGATTGCTGCTGTAAAAAATGACAACAAACTCAGAGTCTTAAAGTAACACTAATCTCTTCTCTTACAGTTATGGAGGTCAGGGTCAAAAATCATGGCATTGGCAGGACTGCTTCCTAGTGTTTCTCAGCTTCTGGAGACTGTCTGCATTTCTAGGCTCATGGCCTCTTCCTCCATCTTCAAAGAGCATTACTCCAACCTTTGCTCCTTTTGTCCCATCTCCTCCTTCTGCCTTGTGATCTTCCTGCCTCTCTTGTATAAGCACCCTTGTGATTACTTTGTGCCCACCTGGCTCATCCAGGATTGTCTCCCCATCTCAAGGTCTTCACTGAATCCCATCTGCAAAGTCTTTTATGTCATGTTAGGTATCATATTGTCAAGTTGTGGGGATGGGGATATGGACATTTTGTGGAGAAGTGCCTTATTCAGCCTACCACAGAGACACAGAAACATCCACCTCTCACTGTTGTCTCACACTACTTCCCTTTCAAAGACACCGAGCTCCAAAGGAACGTGATGACTTATATCCAAAACGTACCTTGTTATTTGCTGCTTTTAATTCTGTTCTTTTCTTTGCCTAGAATATCTTTTCTCAATATTGACCGCCTCAAATGCTTCCATCCCCAAAAATCTTTCTGCTATCCTCCCTCATCCCCTCCCTTTGACTTATGACTTGAGGAAAGATTCTCTCTCCTTTGTCTTCTGCCTATACTTTATATGACTCCTGTTATTTTAACAAAAACCTTTATTTTGAAATAATTTCAGACTTTCAAACAATGCAAACATAGTAAAAAAATTGCTCATACTGTTTGCTCACTGTCTTCAAATCTTAATAACTTGAATAGCCATAGCATAGTGATCCAGACCAGGAAATTAATATTGCTACAATACCATTAACTAATCTACAGACTTGATTGAGATCCTAACAATTTTCTCACTAATGTCCTTTATCTGGTCCAGAATCACATGTTGCATTTAGCTGGCATGCTTCTTTGATTTTCTTCAATCAGAGACAGCTTCCCAGTCTTTCTTTGTCTTTCATAGTCTTACTACTTTTGAAGAGTCTTGACAGTTATTTTGTAGAATGTCTCTTTATCTGGGTTCATTCATGTTTTCTCCTGATTTGATTCAGATTATACATTTATGGCATGGATATCTCAAACGTGAGGTGCCCTCTCGGTGCATCGTATCAGGAGTTAAATTACATTGGTATGTCTCATTACTTGGGATATGTAACCACTAGTTTAAAATGGTGTCTGCTAGGTCTTCTGTTGCTCTTAGCACATTTAGCCTTGTACTGTATATACTTTTGTCAGCATGTTAGGACTGGAGAGGATCAAAGCAATGATTTGGCAATAATAGAAAAGTAACATAATATCAGGTAATTTATACTAAGGATTTAGCATATGCTAGGAACTACACACATTAGTTCATCTAATCCTTAAAATACCCCTTTAAAGTTGACACTTTATCAGCTCCATTTATCTTTTTGGAGAAGACATTCCTGGTTGACAAGTACTGTCTTGAGAAGAGGGAATACAACTTGCTCATTTTTATCCCACACAGAGCCTAGTACAGCACTCTACATAAAGTAAGGGGTAGAAAATATTTGTTAAGTTAACTTAAATTGAAATTAAATGGAAGGCAGAATCTTGAGATTGTATAACTAATTAATGTCAACAAAGGAGAAGGAATCCTGGGTAATTATGAGTTGCTGAGTTTGTGGGAGGGGAACACATATAGGAAATGATTTCTTTTCAAAGGGGCAAAAAGTTGGAACTTTTGTTGGCCAAAGTATGAAGAGTGGCTTAAAAGCAAAGACTTGGAAGTACATTCACATTTATTTGGCAGAAGAAAAATCGGTAAAGGAGAAAAGGAGTGAAGTGTAAACAAGGTAGAAGAAGCAAGATAATGTAGGCTTATGGCTACACAATTTTAAAATCTGAAATGAAGAAAATTCAGTGGGAATACACATAAAGCCATTCTTAAATTACAATCAATATTTTGGGAAAACTGTAAAAACACATTTGATGAAGTTGTTACTGGTTTTTAAAAATTTAGGCAACACACAATTATCCATAGTAGTCCATAGTAATGGAAAAGAACAATATCAAGCATAAATCAGAAGAATGGATGATTCTGAACATGTAGAAGTGACTATAAAGCACATTGTGTATGATTTCTGAGGCAGCATATTTCCCTTTCAATGACTGCTGAATTTAGATGAAGAACAGCTTTTATTTCTTAATACAAAACCTGAGTGCTGGAAGGGAAAGAAAACTGGAATTTGAAAAGTGGTCACATGTTTATAGTTGAGGGCTTATTATAAATATAAGACTGTTTCACAGTGTTCTAAATGTAAGCCCTTTCTGGCTTTATCAACCTTCCAATTTTACAATAAAGGAGATCAGGTCACTGGACCAGAACTCAGACCTGGCTTCTATTCTTAGCGTGGCCACAAACTGTGTAGTGAAGCGGGGAAATTCATTCTGGCCCTTTGGGCCCCGGACAAGGAGGTTATTAACTAGACGATCTCAATGATCCCCTGTGGAGCTAAATCTCTGAAGCTGGTTCTGTTGTTTAGGGAAGGCTAACTATATAACTGGTTTGCATTACATACAAATTTTATTTACTAGATTATTTGACATATGTAAGTACTTCCTTAAAAGCAGAGTTTTCTGGAGAAAAGTGTAAGTGGAGAGATTCATTGCCAGAGCGACATAGCATGGTAATTGTAGAATTAAGAATTACAGGGATAGCTTTCTATTTAAAACAAGCTTGGCATTTTCCATTTGTTTGGGGTTTTCTCTGAAGCATTAAGGATGGCCCTTGCCGTTTAGTTCTCTCTCCCTGTGTCCTTGGATGAGCTGCCTTTGTGTGAGAGATTGGTCTTGGAAGCCCAAAGCAGCCAGGAACAAAGGTGTGAAGCTGGAGTGCCCAGCAATTCTTCAGAGAGGACAGATGGAGTCAGGAACTAAAGAGGGGAGGAGCCTGACAAAGGAATGAAATTAATTTGGATGGGACCCATGGAGATTGGATGAAGTCAAATAGTTTATCAGTAGGAGGGCTTATTTTACATCCAAAGTAGTTTTCCTCTGAAAGAAGACCCCTTAATGATGGGAAACATTCTTTCTTCTTCCATGGCAATCTCTGTTTTAAGTCTTTATTCTTGCTTCTTCCCTCCTCAACTTTGTTGTCCTTCCTCCCCCTTTTTGCCACTCCCCTCCCATTTTTCTCCTTCCCTCCCCCTCTTAACACTCTTTCATGATTAGATTAATTTGTTTGCCCAGACAAGGGGAAGAATAGTTTGCAGACTTGTAAGAACAGGCTTCCTTTCCCAGTGCACATTAAGCCTCAAAACACTGAACTCCTCTCACTGCCCTGTGAGCAAGAAAAAGGGACACTTAGTCCTAAAACAAAAGAAAAGACTCTTGAAATCTTTTAAAATTGAAGTAATGAAAGTCCTGCTGTAGTGAGGAAAGGAGAAGCGGTGTGTGTGTGTGTGTGTGTGTGTGTGTGTGTGTGTGTGTGTAGACAGACTATAAGGCTCTGATAAAGATGGATGCCAAGGTTACAGAGGATAGGAGGGTAGAAGGAAGCACACAGGAGCCTTGAAGAAGGAGAGATAGTTTGAGTTGAATATATGTCTGAAATAGTGCAATTTTCACACTATCAAGTTCATAGTCCCAGGAAGAGGGAGACTGGAGTAAGTCTGAGCAAGCTACTTAACCTCCCTGAGTCTGTTTCCTAAAATAAAATGGGCACATTCACACTTTCTCACAGTGTTTTTGGAGGGGGACATAATAAGTCATTCATGTGCTAGTGCTTAGAGAGTTGTGTGATATTAGATACAGTTTTGGGTATTAACTTGCCCATCTGTAAAATGGGAATAATGATGGAGGGTTTTCATGGGAATTTAATGAGATAACAGAGCCTAGCGTAAGGAAATGCCTGATTCTTGTTTATTCTCTTATTTTCCCTTGGGTACAGCTTATCTTAAGTATTGGGAAGTAATAGTAGGTTGGTTTGTATTACTCATCTTTAATACTAGCCTAAAAGCATAGTTAAAAACTTGAACTTACTGAAAATCATATAATGCATTATACAGTAAAATAGAAAAGCATTTAATGTGGTTTGTTGTGTTTAAATTATCAATTGACCATTGATAATAGCTAACTCAGAGTGCACTCTGTATGAGCAAATGGTTAACATAACACAGTTTCTAATTTGTGGTCTCATCTGCTTACATTATAATCAACTGGTGTTGTGTGGGCATCACCCAATTAGAATGGACACCCTTGTGATAGTTTGCACCACATATTCTCACTCATAGGTGGAAATTGAACAATGAGAACACTTGGACACAGGGTGGGGAACATCACACACTGGGGCCTGTTGTGGGGTGGGGGGAGGGGGGAGGGATAGCATTAGGAGATATACCTAATGTAAATGATGAGTTAATGGGTGCAGCACACCAACACGGCACGTGTATACATATGTAACAAACCTGCACGTTGTGCACATGTACCCTAGAACTTAAAGTATAATAATAATAAAAGAAAGAATGGACACCCATCACAGTGCTGCAGCAGGGCCTCTGAGGCCCCTCACTGTGACATGCCGGACATTAACCCTTGAATTGCCAGAGCCTGGGCAGCTTCAGGGCTCTGGGGAAACAGGAAGTTCCTTCAAGGGGTTGTGGGTAGTGACTGTTTAATAACTGGTATAAAAATATTTTGATATTTTTTAAACGGAAAGGATAAGCCAGTGCAGAAAGACTGAGTATCCTAGCTCATCTGGAACTCCATAATAACCTAATGCAAACAAAAAAAAATCACTATACCATCCCACTTCCCCTCAAACAACAACTCTCAACTCATTGTATCATTGACTAGCAAGTTTCTGAATGGGCTTTCAAGTCACAGAAGAACCTTATTCTTTTGATAGGACAATAGAATGAGGGAAAAACAGGTAAATTCTAGGACGGGATCTCAGAATAGGCATAGAACAGGTGGCTTGTGCTAAAAATTACCTACCCTACTTTTAACACTTTTCCACTTAGTAGGAATCAATTTCCATAATTATTGCTGTGATGTCTGGGCCTATCAATCGTTCTACTTCAGAGAGATTTATTTAGTTAATTATGTTGAGGATCTGGGAACTTTGATTGGGATAGTGGTATGAGGAGAGAAAAGAGATCATTTGGAAGGTAATTTACTTTAGAAGAAAGCAGACATGGTGGAAGAGAAGCATTAGAACACTTGGACATCCATGAAGTAGTCCTAAAGTTACTGGCTGCCTAGTAGTTAGGGGAAAAGGATTTCCAAAAAGGAGGAGACTTCAAGCCCCCCATCCTGATGACTGACCCTTTCCACACATCCCATGCTTAGGACTTGTGTGGCATCAGATGCAAATACAGGTTCCAGAATAAGAAACAGACCGATCAAATGCACATGGCAGTTCTTGCTGAAGCTGCAGCTGTGCTGGGTAGCATCATCTAATAAGGGTGTACCTGAAAACACAGATGAAAGAAAAGAGTTGGAAGGCAGCCAAGAGTAATTTCTCCCTAATTAGGAAGAGAATCATAAATTTACCTATGACATTTAATGGCCAGGAACTTAGATTTGGGGGGAGATCACTTGAAGAGCAGTGAGGCTGGAACAGAGGTAAGACGGAGTCATAGAGAGTCCCAAGCATTGTTTCAACTGGGAATACCCTGGAAGACAGTCAATAGCTAACTCACCAACACCAACTGCTTCACCACTGAGATGGCCTACTTGGAGGGCAGCCTCACATGAAGAAATCTTGTTCAATAAGAGTCAATTGCTAGGATTATGGCTCAGGGCATAAAGCTTCCAGCTGAAGTCCTTAGCAAACATAGATACTAGTTTAGTGTTGCAACTGAAGTAAACTGTCATCAATAATAATGTTTATAATTTAAGTTCTGTTATGCTATTTTCTTTCTTTATCCAGAATTCCTGAAAAAATGGGAATATTCTGGTGAATAGATTTTTTTTAAAGGAATTGTCTTTAGGACTATATAAGGAAGCAACAATTACTAATAATTGAAAGATAATAAAATATGCTTAAAAGTACAGTAATTCCTTTGTGATTTTTAAGAAGCCCTTGAGGAACTCATATTGCCTAAAACTCATGAGAGGCACCAAGTTCAGGATGTCAAATACTGTTCTTAATCTGATGGCACCAAAGAAATACACTTCAGAAACTGGTTTTTAAATTGTTTTAGCTAAGATTTCTTTTCTCAGTGTTCTCAAAACTAGACTGTAAAAAGTACATTAAAAACCATCAAATTTGGATGTATATCATTTTAACACTTATGCTGAATAAAAAGTTGATCTTATTTTTTTGACAATTTTGGGTTGTGACCTTGTTTGACCAAAAGATGGCTTTTATCCTAATTTAAGAGACATTATTCCCTAATTTCTTTTGCTAGAGTAATTGTTTGAAAACCAAAATCAGAAGAGTTTTCAACAGAACTCAGAGCTTACTGACTCCTAAACTTCAATTTAGTATAAATCTATTTCCTTAGAAGGGATCTATTTCCTAGTAATTTTAATAGTTATTTTAAAAATTGAGATATAATTTACACAGTGAAGTGCACAGATCTTTAGTTTCACAGTTTGAATTTTTACATATTTATACACTACTGTAACCACCACCTAATTAAGATATAGAACATCTTTACCACCCAAGAAATTTCCCTTATCTTCTTTGCCAGTCAAGCCCTGCCACTTTCCCTCCCTCAAAGCAAATGCTGTTCTGATTCCTATCAATATAGATTCGCTTTCTGTAGTATAGTACTGCAGTGTGGGAGATTGAAGATGCCCATACACTTTTTTTTTAAAAACAGAGTCTTGCTCTGTTGCCTGGGCTGAAGTGCAGTGCCACGATCTCGGCTCACTGCAACCTTCTCCTCCCGGGTTCAAGTGATTCTCCTGTCTCAGTCTCCCTGAGTAGCTGGGACTACAGGTGTGTGCCACCACACCTGGCTAATTTCTGTATTTTTAGTAGAGATGGGGTTTCACCGTGTTGGCCAGGCTGGTCTCAAACTCCTGACCTCAGGTGATCCGCCCGCCTCAGCCTCCCGAAGTGCTGGGATTACAGGTGCTCAGCACCCCCATACACTCGTTGACATTCCTTCCATCACAAAGTGGGATCTACGTCCCCTAGCTTTGAATATACAGTAAGAGCTTAACTAATGGAATACAGTCAAAGTTATGCTGTGCCAGTTTTCAGGCCTGTGCTTTAAGAAACTGGCAGCTTCTGCTTCCTGAATCTTGGGATACTCTCTCTTAAAGCCCAAATGGCATACTGTGAGGAAGTCCAAGTACCCCATAGAGAAACCCATGAGGAAAGAAACTGAAGCCCTAGCCAACAGCCCTGGCTGAGTTTCCAGTCAACACCCAACACTAATTTTCCAGCCATATGAGTGAGCTATGTTGGAAGTATTAATAGTTCTGACAGTCTCAGTAGAGCTGCCTGGCAGATACTGTATGGAGCTGAGATGAACCACTCTCATGAATCTTTGTTCGAATTGCAGATTTGAGGCCAAAATGGATGTTTGTTTAAACCATTAAGTTTTGGATGGCCTGTTTCACAATAGGTAACTAGAACATTTATATAAATAGAATCCTACCACATGTACTTAAAAAAAATCTGACTATAATGGTTAGTTTCATGTGTCAACTTGAATGGGCCATGGGGTGCCCAGATTAAATATTATTTCTGGGTGTGTCTGTGAGGATGTTTCTGGATGAGATTAACATTTGAATAGGTGGGCTCAGTAAAGGAGATTGTTCTTCCTAGTGTGAGTAGCCATCATCCAATCCATTGAGAGCCAGAATAGAACAAAAGATGGAGCCAGGAAGAATTTAGCCCCTTTTTTTTCTGCCCAACTACTTGAGCTGGAACATCTCATTTCATCTTCTGCCCTTTGACTGAGATTTACACCATTGTCTCCTCTGGTTTTCAGGCCTTTGGACTTGGCTGGAATTACACCACTGGCTTTCCCAGGTCTCCAGCTCACAGATGGCAGATGCTAGGACTTCTTGGCCTCCATAATCATATGAGCCAATAGACCATAATCTCCCATATATATCCCATTGGTTCTATATCTCCTATTGGTTCTGTTTCCCTGTAGAACCCTAGCTAATACACTAACTTCCTTAGCTCAGCATTTTAAAAAGTATATCCACGTCACTGCATGTACTGGTAGTTTATTCCTTTCTATTGCTAAGTATTATCCCATTAAATAAATACACTGTAATTTGTATATCAATTTTTATGTTGAAGGAGATTTGGATTGTTTCCAGTTTTTGCCTACTGTGAATGATGTTGCTGTGAACATTCATGTGCAAGTTTCACGTGGATATTTGTTTTTATATCTCTTGGGTAAATATCTAGAAGTGGAATTGCAGTGTCATATAGTACATATAAGTTAAAGTATTTTACTTAATAAAAATACTGCCGAATCTTTTTCCAAAGCCACGGCCAAATTTTACAGTTCTATCAGCAATGTTATACGAGTTCTTGTTTCTCTACATTCTTTGCATACTTTTATATTGTCAGTCTTTTAAATTTTTACCATTCTTGTGGGTGTTCAATAACATCTTATTCTTATAATTTGCATTTTTTCAATGAGTAATAATGTCAAGTACTTTTCCATGTTCTTATAGCCATTTGGTTCTTCCTTTGAGAAGTATCTGTGCAAGTATTTTTTTCATTTTGAATTGGGTTGTCTTTTTATTACTGAGTTATATGATATTTTTATATATCCTGATATCAGTTGCTTTTTATGCATAGGTTTTGTGACTATATTCCCCTAGTGTGTGTCTTATTCATTTTCTTAATATTATCTTTTGATAATTAGAAAACTTTTATTTCAATTAGGTCTAATTTATCAGTTTTTTATAATTAGTGCTTTCTGTGTGCTAAGAAATTTTTCCTACCCTAAGGTTGTGAAGATACTCTCCTATATTTTCTTTTAGAAGCTTCACAGTTCATATTTCAAATCTATAACCCAACTCAAATTAAATTCTGTACATACCGTGAGTTAGAGGCCATGTTTATTTTTTTCCCCAAGTGGGTATATGGTTGCTCCACCACCATTAATTAGAAAGAATTTCACTTACTCATAGGGTATTTTTGCCTCTGTTGAAAATTGATTGTATATGTATGTGCCTCTTTCTAGATTCTCTCATCTGTTTCATTGATCTACTTTTCTAATTCTATATCAATGCCACACTATCTTGATTAACATAGCTTATAGCAAACCTTGAAATCAGGTAACATAAGTCCACCAACTTTATTTTTTTCCAAATTGTTTTACTATTACATATCTTTTGCATTTTCATGTAAATTGTAAAATTAGGTTGTCAATTTCTATATAAAAAGCTTGCTTGGATTTTGACTGGACTATGCTGAACCTATGAATCAATTTGGGGACAGTCAACATCTTAAAAATGTAGAGTCTTCTCATCAGTGAACATAGTGTATCTCTCTTTTTACACAAATGTTTATTCTGTCTCACAAAGGTGTTTTTAGTGTAGAGGTTTTGAGAATCTTTCATTATATTTTTAATGATTGATTTTAATTAATTGTTCAAAAGTAGATATTGAAGCACCTATGTGTCATACACTGTTTCAGGTGCTTTATACACAAGATCAGCAAGTCTTCTGTTTTCATTCTGGAAGGAAAGACAAAAACAAACAATAAACATATATGCAACATAGCTTTACATAGTAATAAAGGCTATAAAGGAAATAATGCTCCATAAGAAATAGAATCATGGATATGTACATTTTTGATGGGGTCATCAGGGAGCATCTCTCTGAGAAATTGACAATTGAACAGAGGCTTACATCATGTTAAGGAGCAAGTCATAGTAAATATCTGAGGGAATAACTTTCTGGACAGAAGAAATAAGGGGCAGAAATAAGCTTGGTATATTTTGACAAAAGCCAGAAGAATTGCCGGTAGTTTCAGAATGTAATTTTAAGATATTCTCATCTGATTCCTTCTATTTTCTCAAGGAATAAGAATTGATATGATTATTTGATAATGAGTGGGACAGATATTGGAGAGAGGAGAAATACAAAATGTTCTTTTGTGAAATGAGAGAACAGTAATACAAGAGAAGTGTGGCAGTATTGCTTGGGCACTTGGGAGTGTTCTTTGAGATCTGGATCATGAATTGAATAGTAGTTAGTAATGATTGTGTATTGTATGGCAGGAAAATTAGTCTGTTAGAGAGCAGATGGAGATTTGGTGTGGAGTTGGGTTTAACTAGCACTGAGTTTGTTTCCTTTTCCTAGTAAGAATGTCATAGAAGAAGATGAGGAGAAGAGTTTAGAGTACATTCAATGGGATGATTACAGTGATGATTAATGGAAACCAAGCTGGGAGCAGTGAGAATATAAAGGGAATGAGAAAGTTTTAAAAATTTGCCAATGGACTGGAGAACCAACTACCTTTGGAGTTGGGATGTTGAAATAGATGATCTGGAAAGACAGGAATTGGTAAAGTATAGGCTGTTTGAAGATTTTGGAAGTGGAGCAATGAGTACTGATACTGAAATTTCTAAGACGTAGCCTTGGGATTGGATTGCTACAGTGAGGAGGAGAAAATAAATTGTTGAAATTGAGTTAAGGAACAAGAAGAGTGTTAAGTGGATATTGACATGAATAGGGAACTCACTAAGAATGATGAAAGAAATAATAGTGGAGGGAATGATAAATGAGAAAGAGCCATCCAAAGGTTGATGGTGATGATAATAAAGAATGGTACCCAGGGGTACAGTATGATGGAAAGTGCTTTAAAGGTCAGGAGTTTTGGGGCTGAATGTCGTGGCTCACACCTGTAATCCCAGCACTTTGGGACGCTGAGGTGGGAGAATCACTTGAGTGCAGGAGTTGAGATAAGCCTGGGCAACATGGCAAAACCCCATCTCTACAAAAAAAATATAAAAATTAGCTGGGTGTGGTGAAACGTGCCAGTAGTCCCAGCTATTCAGGAGGCTGAGATGGGAAGATCGCTTGAGCTTCGGAGTTCAAGGCTGCAACGAGCTGTAATTGCATCACTGCACTCCAGCCTGGGTGACAAAGTGAGACCCTGTCTAAAAAAAAAAAAAAAAAAAAAAAATCTAGGGAAGAGCTAAAGAAGAATTATAAGAGTGCATTTCCAAGAATACAGTGCAAAAGTTTGGGAGGTCAAAAGAGATTTTGGAATAGGGATAGACATAGCTCTATGAAGGGACAAAGTGTGGATAATGAAGGATGATCTGAGAAGTTTGGACTTCTAGCACTGCCTGAGATAAATAAAGTTGTGAGGCATGATGAGTTTCCTTCGAATGATTTCTTCTGGGAAAGTGTATGATCAGTTCTAATCATAAGACACTTATGCCATTTGTGGTGGTAAGTGAGGTGATATTGAAGTCAGGAGAGGCAAAGTTGCACCAGGAGAACTTAGAACTCTGTAGGCCTCTCTTACATTCATAAAATGCATGATGAATGAAACAAAATCTCATGGACCTCACACACTTGTCAGTGGACATAAAGAGAATCATCAGTTTGTATTTATAGATTTTAAAATGGTTTGTTACTTCTAAAAGAGAGGCTTGGGCATGCAAGAGGACTTGAAACAAGTTGAGACACATTATTGGTCAACTGTTAGGATGTGTTTGCCTTCCTTTTTAATTAATCCAAGTATTAAACACCATTTAAAAATGGTATAAAAGATCAGGGCAGTAATCCTACCAAAATAAAGACTGACAATAAACACTATTATCTATATTAATAATAATAATATTTGAGATTATTAATAACTATTATTATTTGCATATATATCTCATTAGAGCACATTATGTCATTAAACAAGCCAAGCCTATTGTTTGCAATATAATTTTTCACACTTATGAAAAAATTGTAGTTGCCCACAAAGATTTTAAAAAACATATCCTTTGTGCTTATGTTTATTCAAACGTTTAAAATCTATTTCTTCAACTGTTTAAATCTATGTTCTTCAAGTGTTTAGCTTTAATCCAAGAAACACCTTTCTTATCCGGATTTACTCTTTGATTTTTCTTTATCAGCTTGAGACAGGAAAAAAAATGTCTGTAATAATGAAGACAGAAAAAAATCTGTATTTATTATTAATCTTGTGTTCTAGGCTGGAAAACTGATGTCTTATATTAATACTTGGGTAAATGAAAGAAAGTTTTCCTATATGACTGTATCTTGGAAAGTGGTTGTCTCCCTATTTTCTCCTTTTCTGCTTGTTCCCTTCTGGGGAGAGCTCTTCTGTCTTATGGTTTAGATGATTCTTTTTCAGCAGCTGCCCTGCAAATTTATTTCTCTACTTAAAACCCCTTTCTCTCTGCTCAGCAGATCCTCCCTACCTGACACTCAGATGTATCAACTTAGATGTTTTTTTCTCTTTGCAAGTTAAACATGGAAAAGACAAAAATAGAAAAGCTCATTAATCGTTGTAAGGAAAATATGTCAGAGAGAGAAAAAGAAGTTATGTTATAAGGGCAACCACAGTGTTGATTTTTAGCAAGTTGACCCAGGATCATCCTTCATCAAATAGCTGTAATGTAGTTCACAGTTTGGATCATGCAAATATTATGAAATACTTATTTGACTTATACATTTATTATTAATGAATGATAATATTAGTAATAAACTTGAACTAGACTCAGCTGCTTCATTTGGCGATATAATACAAATAAACCCCATGTTCAGATAAATAGAAAAAAAGCAATAAAAACAATTTGCCAAAGGGCCCATTTCCCACTTGCTATGACAGCTTTCTTAATTTGCTTTCTAAGCCTTTACTCATTTTCTCATTTATTGCAACAGTTTCTGGTTTGGGAAGTAAACAAGGTTACATACAAAATTGTAATTAAATTTTTCTTCAAGTTCAATCACCAAAGAATTGGGCTTAGAGGCAAAGCAAATGTTTCATGGTATAGCAAATGGGAATCTTCTTAATTTATTCAGAAGAATAAAATAAACCTGGCCTGGAAAATCTGAAATGGGAGAAGAAGTTGTAGCCTTGCTAAACCTGTCTCACAGGTGAGTAAATATAATAGAGAATGCATTTTCTTTTTAGTGGTGTCTAGGGCAATTTTTTGAGATATTAATTTTTAATTTGTTCTATTGTTTTTCTATTGTTCAATTCCTAGAAGATAGCAAAGCCTTCATACTCACTTGACTCTGGGAAGGATTGTGTCACAGAGTAAAAGAAGAAATTGCTTATAGACTACAAAGGCTAACATGGAGATAGAAGAACCACATGGAGCTTGGAAAATGGGAATCTCAGTAATAACATAATGGCTGTGAGTCTGCAGGGGTGTCCTCCAGTGCTTTTGTTCTTGTTAAATCCCCAAGGACCTTTGAAGGATAGTGGGGAGGGGAATCCTCCAAATACCTAAGATTAAATTTCCTACTGGCTTGGTAGGATGGAACTTGTAAATGAAATTAAATTTATTTATATTATTATTGTTGTTATAATTATTATTATAATTTATTTTTGACATTAGGCACCAAACAAGACCAATCATAATTTTTGGCTCATAACATACTTGCCATCATTGCTTACTCCTGGCCTTCATTTATTTTATTTCTTTAATTTTATATATTCATTGACAATATGATGAAGTTATATGAATTCACTGCCTGAATCAAGAACTAGAAAGTTATTAATAACAAATATACACATATATGTTCCTCCCTACTCCATTTTTAAAAACCTGCCTTTGGAGTAGCTATTATTTGAATTTTATTTTTATCCTTATTATGCCTTAAAGAAACATTATTGTGTTTGTGTGTATGTGTGTGTAGTCCTAAAAATATTTTGCTTAGTTCAAAATGTATGGATCTTCTTGGATTTGCTCTTCCACTCTTCATTTTCATAATAGGATTCATTCATGTGTTACATGTTGCTTGGTTCATTAATTTCCATTGATATTTAATGTGTCTGTGATTATGCCACAGTTTATTGAAACTCTTGTTAATGGGTATTTGGACAGCTTCCAGACTTGTGCTATCATGCACACTGCTGCTTTCTGGTACACATTTGCTAAACTTCTCTTGGGTAAATACCTAGAAGTGGAATTGCTGGCTCACTGGGTGTGCAAATATTCAACTGTATAAGATAATACCAAATTGTTTTCCCAAGTGATTATTCTAATTTACATCCTGTCAACAATGTGTGAGAGTTCATCAATCTACAGTCTCTGGAATACTTGGTATTGTCAGCTTTTCAGTTCTTGCCTATTGAATGCATGTAAAATAATATTTCCTACTCTTGTTTCACATTTCCCTGAGTACGAGTTAGATTGAGCAACACTTCATATGCTTTTTATTAATACATATTTTATCTTCTGTGAAATGCCTATTCAGGTCTTCTGCCCAGTGTTCATTTATTATTGGCTTGTAGGACTTCTTTACGTATAAACAGTATCACAATTTTAATCTTTTCTATTAAGTGTTTTTGCGGTAGTTTAAGAAATTATTCTTCACCTTAAATTCAGAAAGATATTCATCTATATTTTATCTTATAATATTAAACTTTTAAATTCAACAGCACATCACCATCTCTACACATCATGTAGGAGTTTCTAACTAGTTCCATAAATGAAGAAATGAATTAAAAGTTATAAGGCTAGGAAAGGAAAAAAAACCTGTAATTTTCAGACGACATGATTGTCTGCTTGAAATCCTCCCCAATTGAGCAAACAAATAAATATAATAGGAAGTTGAGCAAAGTGGATGAACATAAGATTAATACAGAAAAGTTGATTACACTTGTATAAATCAGAAACAAACAGAATAATAACTATGAACACACAATTTACAACTAAAAGTATAAAGTACAATACTTAGGAATAAAGCTAATAAAAGATGTATAAACTTGGATGTAGAAAACTATAAAACATTTCTGAAGAATATTTTTAAAATACTAATAAATGGAGATGTATCCCTTGATCAACAGGAAGATATCATTAAGACCTTAATCTTTCTTATACAGATCTACAGATTTAATGTAACTCTAGTCAAAATCCAAAAAGGATTCTTTAACTAAAAAAGGTCCAAAATAGCCAAAATACTTCTTTATTAAATGAAAACATGTAGATGGAGTTGCTCTTATAAATACAAAGACATATAGAGCTATACTAACTGGCATGTGTTATTCACACAGAAAAGAGAAATTCATGCATGAAATAGGATACAGAACTCAATAAAGGACTCATATATATAACTTTGATGGGGTGGCATGAAAGAACACTTAGGAAAGGAGTAATTATTCAATAGTTACAGCTGAAAAAGTTGGTTGTCTACATAGAAAAAGCATGAAAATTGATCTTTACCTCATACACAAAACAACCTTCCACAAATTAGGAATTTAAATGGCAAAGGCAAAAATAACAACTTTTTAGTAGAGTTAATTTGTTTCAGATAAAGTAAAATCATGTGACATTTCGTTTCTGCACACCCAAATTTGCAGTACCATCTTCATATCTGGTTTACTTTTAAGTATTGAGCCCATATTTATTATTGGACACAGACTCTAGAGGAAATCTCTTGAATAAAAAATTCTCACGTTTTTGTTTCTTTGTAACAAATAATGCCCACCTTTTTTCCATTGCTCTCTCATTTCCAATCCTTCTGATTACCAGGAAAGAAAATCCTAAATTAAGTATTCATGTCATTAACCTTTGCAATGTTTTTATAAGAAAAGAAGGGTGTATCCACGGGAGACAAGCGATGTTGGAGCAGTGCTGAGGAAAGCAGGAGGCAGCAAATATGAAAAACTGGATTCTGAGTATGTATTGAGTTCTTACTTGAGGCAGATATTGTATGTTGACTCTCTCAACACCCATTCCAACTTCTTTTTACTTGCCTTCCTCCATTTTGGAAGCTTAAAAGCTAAAAGCTCATCTTTTCAGTTCTGGCCAATGAGACATCAGCTTTGAAAGACTTCAGTACTTTCGGTTAGGGCTGCCTCTTCTCTTTCTTCCTTTCCACTGCCCAGAATGTTATTAGCCATCCCACGGTTGAAGCAGCCCTTACTAAGGATGATGGAGCAGAAGAGCAAGAAGCCTCCTTTCTCGATGGCATCCTTGAGCCCCTACACACTCCCTAGACCTACCTACAACTTTTTGTTACGTTAAGTGAAATAAACCTGTTTCTATTAAGTTACCATTGATTGAGCTTTCTCATACTCATTACTGAATGCAATCCTAATCAAAAGAGTGTATAGTACTAATTCACATGTATGTACCTGAATACAGTGATTATCATTCATTAATATGAGTGCATACAACTTCAGTATACCTTTCTCAGAATTTGACAGTTCCTGTAGACAAAGATTAAGTAGTAAAGATAAACAGGAATTGAATCATACAATTAATACGTTCAAGTAATAGGCATAAATAGGCACTTCTATTCCTCAAAAAGAATAAATGTTATACACTCTGAAGTTTCACAAGAACCGATCGTGAATATGATGACAAAAAATGTTAAAATTTTTAATGGTACTGTCAGCTTTTCATGGGTCACATTCTCTGGTCATGCACCTATAATCTTTGAAATAAATAGTAAATAAGCAAATATAAAATTCTGATTTCTTGGAAACACACTTCTAGAAATATTATGTTGGGTCAATAAGAAAATGAAAAACGAAATTACATGCTATCTGGGAAACAATGAAAATGAGAATACTTCATCCCAGAAGCTGTGATACACAGCAAAAGGGACTCAAGACAAAACTAATAGTATTAAATTTCCTCAATGTTAATGAGGAAAAATAAAGGGATTAGAAATTTGAAAAGAAACACGAACCTCTCACACACACAAAAGAAAAGAAAATAAAGGAAATTTTAAAATATAAACTGGATTTAATAAAATTTAAAAACAACACTTCATAGGAAAAGAAAAAAATAAATCTAAAAGATTTTTTTGAAAACAATAAAACAGATAAGCTGGATTACTTTAAAAAGAGAGAAAACAAAAATATATAAAATTAGGAATGAGAAAGTAGATGTAAGTATGAATATAGAAGAGATTGAAAAGAATTATACAAGACTGCATCTATTTTGACAATGAACTTGGAGACCTAGAGGAGATGGATGATTTTCTAGCAAAAGATAAAATACCAAATTTGACCTAAGAAGATGTAGGATCCTTGAATAGAACAATTACCGAAGACAAGATTGAAAAGGTGAATAAAGATGTACCATTCAAATACACACCAGGGCCAGATGAGTTCTCAGCCAAGTTTTATATAACCTTTAAAGGAAAGTTATTCCAGATTATTTAAACTATGTCAAGCCATAGAAGAAGCTAGAAATCATTCTCATTTATTTTATAAATCTCACGAAATAACAAAACTTTATCAGGTACCAATATAGTTACCAAATAAAATGAAACTCATTTATTAATATAGGCAAAATTATAAATAAAATATTGGCAAGTAGAATATATCAAAAGAATAATATATTATCACAAAAGTAACTCAGGAATTCAAAGGCAATTCAATATCAGTATAAACAAGTTTAAGAGGAAAAGATCATGATATAAACAGTGCTGAAGAGGCATTTGATAAAATAAAGCAATTTTTCCTAATAAAAAGTTAGTAAAATTGGAAAAAAACCTACTTAAATGTCCTAACATGTTTTACTGTATACCCATAGTAAATACCATTCTAAACAGAAAACTAATTCTAAATCATGAAAACTTTCCAATGAAATCAAGAATAAAAATAAATAACTAGCACTTTTTTAGTGTTTACTATGTGTGAGCATGGTTCTAGGTACTTTACATATGTAAATCTTCACAAAAATAATACATAATATCATACAGTACGATAATCCCCACATTGCAGATTGGAACACTGAAGGACAGCGAAGTTGAATAACTTGCCCAATAGCAAGTGGTAAATTTGTGATTCAAAGCTATGCAGTTGTGCTCCACAAATTGTACTCTTAGCCACTATGCTATATGGTTTTTGCACCTAACCAGAGATTCATATCATTGTTACTTTTCAACATTTTTGAAGCGCTCAAAACTGTAATAAAAGCAGAAAATGAAAGAAATGTTAATGTTGAAAAACAGGGATAAATCAACATATTTCAGATTGCATTTCTTGAAAACCAAAGAACATCTAGGAAAATGCTACTAAAGTTAATACAGAAATTTGGTAAGGTAGCTGGACAAAAGGTGAGCAAAATTGATTTCCTCTACTCTTGCAATACAAAACCTAGAAATGGAAAGGGGGGAAAGTATTTTGCTCACTACAGTCAGATGCAGAAACATAAACACATATACACAAATAAAATAATTTTTAAAATTGACAAAACTTTGATAAGAAAAGCATGGGATTGATATGAAAACTATAGTCTTAGAAAATATACGAAGAAGATTTAAACAAATAGAAAAAATCTCAAATTGAAAGATTATTATTTAATATCTCTATCATCCAAAATTAATACATAATTTTAATAAAATTGTAGTAACAAGATATTTTGGGCATTGGATATAATAGTCTTAGCATACATAAAAGAAAAATGCCCCAAAATAGCCAGGAAACGTGTGAAATGAATGAAGAGTGTAGGGGAAATTTCCTTACCAGGTATTCAACATAATCAGTATGGGTATAGGGAGAGACAAATAGTTTGAAACTCAAAAATAAATCTCAGAGTATATGAGAATTTTATGTTTTATGAGTGAGGGATGAATTTAATGGGAAAATGATGAATAATAAATGGTAATATCACAATTGCCAATCTAACTGGAATAAAAAATTTAGAGTTGTCTTTAATTGGCCAGTCTGTAGTTTTTTCAAATGGCAGACCAAATAGCCAGGCTGTTGCCAACAACCCAAGAATTAGCAAAAATATAACAAAATTCATCAAAAGAGGTACTGGTTCAAGCTATGAGAATGGCCTGGGTTCTACCTACTGAGTGGCATAACCATGCCCATTTTTAGCTTTCCATAGCTGGTGCGGGGGTTGAAAAGCTGTTGATTCCAGTGGACACTGTTAGGTTTCAGCTCAGCCAAACCATTAGCGAACTAGGCCCAGGCACTTTGGTGAACCTCAGTGCATGGAGAGACCCATTGAGCCTGCAGTTTCCTTCAGGTGACAGAGTGGAGAATAAAGTTTCTCCCAAGCAAAGAGCTGCCATTTTTTCATGTAATGTTGAGATGTCACTTAAACTGTGCCAGATATGGTCTTCAATATACCATTTCCATGTGACAATCAATGCTTGTTAGGCCCCTCCCATCTTTTTGCTGAATATAAGTTGATCCACTTCAAAATGAAAATATGAGGCCCTAGAAAGTCACAAGGTCTCCATGGCCAGGCATTCAGTTTTAACGAGGGCTCAGGAACAAGCTGGGGTGTTCTTGGTAGCCATTTCAAGGAGGAAACAAGTTTAAAGTCACGAGGGATACCTTTGGGTGGTGACTGTCTCTCTTTGCCAGAGGCTTCACTTGAAAAAAATCATCAGTCTCAGAGATACGAAGTTCAAAAGGGTTATCAGGAGTATAGGGCCCAAAGGTTGAGAGCCAGCCATAGCTTGCTAGACCGCTTCCAATGCCACCTATTGGTGTGGGCCCAGACTCAAGGACGCTGATATAAACATCCAAGTAGAATGCCCAAGTGAGCATATACTGTCTCCAATACCAAAGTATTGAATTAAGGTGTTGTTCTCCTTTTTGGTGGTTGGAGGCCAGAGGCAGCAGTTTTTCCTTGGCTGTCAGAGGCATTGAACATTCTGATTCTGCCTACATAATCCCAAGAAGCCTTATTCACCTAGCAGATCCCTGAATTTTTTTAAGGTTCATCAGCCACCTCTGCCAGCACAAGTATGATAACACTGCAGGTAGAGTGTTTAAAACTGGATCTTCTCACTTGTCAACTAAATAATATGGTCTATATAGCGAAAGCTTTGGCTATCAGAGGGTAGAGGCATTTGTACTAATCCTGACACACCCACTGGTGGTAAATGGTAGGGGAGTTTAGGTACCCCAGGGGGAATATTGCAAGCCAGTGGGCCAGAAAACAAGGTGCTGGCAATGTCTAAGACATTATATCAAGTGTCATGTACAGTAGATGTACAGTAAATGCCATTACAGTTATAAGGTCTATATACAGCCAGGGATTTGAGAACAACAGCTGAATTCAATAAGCCTCAAGCCTCCATTGGCCTTTTACACTGGCCATACAGAGTTATTATTTTGAGCTATTGCACCTCTTACTACCCCTGCTGCCTTTAGAATAAGGCTTCAAAGCTGTGATTTCCCTTTTGCCTCCTGGGATACTATACTATTTCTGTTGGACCTGGAAGGGGACAGGGAGATGATTTGAGGAGAACTTCACAGTTCCCTTTAGCACTTCTCTACATGTTGCTTTTCCCACTTGGGAGACTCCCTCTAGTATTTATGGGATAGGAAATTACAAGCATATAACACCTCAATTCTTACTATACATGCAGATGTAGAAGCAATAGTAACAGTACATTCAATTGGCCCAAAGTTCCTTAAGGTGCCATGAAGTATTTTCTTTCTCACCGTGTACCCAGCCCAAACCCCATTAACTGAATCTAAGTGCCTTTTCCTTCCCCACTTTCAAGTAAGATAGTGATTTGATTGTCTATTGCCAAGATAATCATACAAGTTATAATCCCTCCCACCCTGAAATTCCCCAGGATATTCAAACTGGTCTGTACGGCTTTTGGCTTGCCCTTTGCAACAGGGAGACTTGGCCTAGTCCCTAACCATTTTTCTCCTTAAAACAGCTGAGATAGGGGTCTGGGGGAGGGAGGGGATGACAGAATATAGTGGGAGAGAGCAGCAATATGACATTGAACAAGGTTTTACATTTACATTTGGTTTCAAACAGCACAGCAGCTGCTAGTAGCTCAACCAGAAAAACTTCCAAATTTTTTTGCCCTTATCCCAATCCAAGCCCCATGTTGAGTAGCAAGATCATTATTAGTGACACTATTTTGGCTCTGGGGATCCCTTGACACTACAGCCACATTGTTTTTTGAATGGGACGGTCAGATTTGCACCCTTTGTAGATTTGCGCTTAACTCACACACAAACAAATTTTTAAAAAGAGGTACACTTTAATCTGGGTCAATTTCTGCCCTATTTTTATAACATCTCTTAACATAAAGACATAAAACATATGTCCAGTTTTAACATAAGGAGTGGCAGAGTTTTCCAGAGGAATGAGGCTGATCATGAGAATATATCTAGAGTCCTTTGGGTTAATTTCTCATTCTCCATTGATTCATCAGCACTGTAAAACCAATTTAGGGCAGAAAGAGCCTGAATACTAGTCAATGACTCATCCGTGGTTTTCTCTTGAAGTTTGTCTTTCTCAAGGAAATCTCCCCAAGAAGGTCAAAGGTCTCTCATAGCAGCCAAGACCCACTGAAAAAACTCAGTCTTTTTCCTGCCATTTGAATGGATCTAAGATTGACTTGATGGCCTGCAGAGGGGGCTGAGACATAAAAGATATTCCACCTTTAGTCATTCATCCTTAGCAAGCATTATGCATCTGACACCCTCAACTCCCCGGTGACCCAGCGGAAGCACTAACAGCCTGGTTTTCTGCCACAGTGATTGCATATTTGCCTCCTTTCACACTCCACGTCGATGCTTATGTCTGTCATCTGAAAGGGACAGAACCTTCATATCAGGATGAATCTTAGGACTAGTTGTCACAATGTAGAGGACTTAAGGCTGACAGCCCAACTGGTAAGAAAGTTCACCTACTGGTAGAACAACCTCTGCACCTTTTGGGCAGTCACTTGTCTCTGAATTAATTTCCCAGTACTCATTCTGCAAACATATCCTTAATTTTTCCTCATTAACAGGCATTAAGGTGGAGGACCACTTATTGACCAAATACATTTGGTCAGCATATCATGAAAGTCCTTCAGTTGGTCCAAAAGGTCCTCCCCTCTCTTCCACAAAATCATGGCTCTATCAGCATGCTATCCTTATCATAAAAATTGGTAAGAACTGTGACAAATCTAAGGTTTTACCTGATTTTTTCCTTCCTTACTTCCTTCCTTCCTTTTCTCTCTTTCTTTCTTTCTTCTTTCTCCTTCCTTCCTTTTCTTTTCTCTTTCATTCATTCTTTTTTCTTTCTTTCTCTCTCTGTCCCTCTCCTTCCCTCCTTTCTTTCTGTTTCTTCCTTTTCTTTTTTCTTTCTTTCTTTTCCTTCCTTCTTCTTTCTTTCTCTCTCCTTCCCTCTTTTCTTTCTGTTTCTTCCTTTTCTTTTCTTTTTTCTTTCTTTTCCTTCCTTCTTTCTCTCTCCTTCCTTCCTTTTCTTTTTTCTTTCTTTTCCTTCCTTCTTCTTTCTCTCTCCTTCCTTCCTTTTCTTTTTTCTTTCTTTCATTCTTTCTTTTTTCTCTTTCTTTCTCTCTCTCCCTCTCCTTCCCTCCTTTCTTCCTTTGTTCCTTCCTTTTCTTTTCTTTTTTCTTTCTCTCTTTTCTTTCTTTCTTTTCCTTCCTTCTTTTCTTTCTTCCTTCTTTCTTTTTCCTTCCTTCCTTCGTCTTTCTTTTTTCTCCCCTCCCCTCCCCTCCCCTCCCCTCCCCTTTCCCTCCCTTCCCTTCTTTCTTTTTCTTTTGATAGGGTTCTGCTCTGCCACCCAGGCTACAGTGCAGTAGCATGCTCTTGCCTCACTACAGCCTCTGCGTCCCAGGCTCAAGCCATCCTCCCACCTTAGCCTCTGCAGTAGCTGGGGCTACAGATGTGCACCACCACACTCAGCTAATTTTTAATTTTTTGCAGAGGTGAGGTTTCACTTTATTGCCCAGTCTGGTCTTGAACTCCTGGGCTCAAGCAGTCTTCCCAACTCAGCCTCCCAAAGTTTATAGGTGTAACCCACCATACCCAGCTTGGTTTTACCCAATTTTCAATCTACTATGTTAGCCTGCCAGAGTTTGGTGGTGGTGGTAGAAGATATGAGTCTCCTGGGTTAGAGATGAAAGACAGTTCATTACTCAGAGCAATAGCAATAGCCAGAGTATAGCACTAGCATTTTTTGCACTGATTATCTGAACCCCAATTCTCATATCTGGTGTGGAGAGCCCCAGATGACACCTGCATACACAGTGAGTTGGATTATAGGAGAGAAACTTTGACCTTAGGGAACCTGAATCTTTTTTAAATGAGCAGGAAGTATGCCTGGACTTTGCTGCAGAGGGAGACACTTTATCTTCTAAGAATGTAAACCAACTTGTCTTTTGCTCTAGAGGGAGATATTAGTTCTATCTTTCAAGGCTGTTTCCTATACAAACATCCTTGGAAAGGTAGTATGGAACACAAAGGACATTCAGGTGTAACTCTGAAGATACTCAAGAATGTGAGAGGCCGGGAGCAGTGGCTCACGCCTGTAATCCCAGCCTTTGGGAGGCCGAGGCGGGTGGATCACGAGGTCAGGAGATCGAGACCATCCTGGCTAACACGGTGAAACCTCATCTCTACTAAAAAAAATACAAAAAATTAGCCGGGCGTGGTGGCGGGCACCTGTAGTCCCAGCTGCTAGGGAGGCTGAGGCAGGAGAATGGTGTGAACCTGGGAGGCGGAGCTTGCAGTGAGCCGAGATCACGCCACTGCACTCCAGCCTGGGTGACAGAGCGAGACTCCATCTCAAAGAGAAAAAAAAAAAAAGAATGTGAGAAACCCATGGAGAATCATCTCCTAGTGATGAGTATATATTCTTTGCCAGAATGGAATAAAATTGAGAACTAAAATTTTACAGCATTTAAATCAAAGGAAACATTTAAAAAATCATAAACTTATTTGATGAAAACTGTTATGATTTACAGAGAAGGGTCCATTGAAAGTGTCAACAATTTTAAATATGTAATTCATAAATTTGTATACATTTTGAAGAAGATTTCTGGAAATTTCATGAAAAGGAAATTATAAAGACATTGATTCTTTTTTTTAGAAAAAATTCTAACAATCTGATATTTCAAACAGCTATAGCTCAGAAACTGGTTATTCTCCTAATATTATTTTAAATGTTGAGATAATCAATATAACAAAGTTTTGAAATATTTTCTTCAGATATACACAGATGTCATTTTTATTTTCATGAAGAATTTTAATTTTGAAAATAACTTTTGAATAGAACCATTTATAAATCTACCCATATAATAAAAAAATTGATAATAACATGTTTTCCAAAACAACATATAATTTCAGTTATTTAAGGGTTCCTTTTCAGGATCAAGAATGTCCTCCTAGCTTGGATGAAAAATTATCTGTTCATCTGAGTATGAATGAAAGTTACCTGGTAAGAGGAAGGAATTGAGTGATTACAGGAGACCAATAAAGAGTAGGGAAGTTTTAAAAAGCTTTCGTGAGAAATGTGAAACTGATCTCATACAAGATATGCACAAAACAATGCTGTTCAATTCATTTATGTTTTCACCAATCATTTAGAGAATCATTGAACTTTTGAGTTGGAAACTTAGAATTTACCTACTATAATGTTCAACCCAATGCAATATATTTTAAGACACCCTTTACAGATTTAAATTTTATTTTAAAAGCATTATATATATTTTAAAATAATTTAGGGGGCATGTGAAAAAGTAATATCTTGAATACATTCAACATAAAAGTCTATTGTATTCATACTGTTTCTGTTCTATTCAAAAAATCACTCATATTTTCTCCTAATGTTGACTTTCCACCTTTCAGCTGAGCGTAGTTTTGACTCTCTTAATTAAAAAGCTGCCTTAATTTGGGGCATTTTCTATACCTGCAATAAAGTTAGCTTCTTGATGTCTTCTTCCTTTCCATACATAATTGCAATTGGATTTTAACACCACTTTTGGTTGCTAAGTAATTTAATCATGAAGATTAGTATGATGGGAATATAGCAAAGTTATTAAAAATTGAGACTTTGGGGTCAGTTGGAACAAGGTTTGAATTTTAATTCCACCTCTTATAAGCCATGGGGCTTGAAGTTATTTAATCTCTCAAAGTCTCAACTGCCTCATCAGTGAAATGGGGATAATAATGACAATACTTTCCTCACTGAATGGTTGTTAGGGTTGAATGCTGTGACATACTTAACAGCTTAGCATAGTGCCTGCCACATGGTTAACACTGAATAAACATGATCAATGATGATGAGTATGATGACAATATGAACATAACACAAAACCAAAGATCTAAAAAACTCAACACAGTCTTAATTTTTAAAAAGCCATTAGTATCAAAATCTAATTCTAACTTTATTTTATTTATTAATTTATATATATTGCCTTCCACTTCATGGAATTATTTCAGTAGAGATGCCTAATGACATCTTCCACTTGACTATTTTCTCACCTGAGAAAACCTAGTGTGTGGGAGAAGGGAATGAATGGTCTGAGTGGGAAAGGATGGTACTTGGACAGATGGACAGGAGTACATCCTTTGCCTGAGTGTGATTTTTGCAGCTTGATGATTTTTCAAAAGCTGTTTGCAAAGCTAGGATAACTAATCTGGACCATGGCCTTATTAGTAAAGTCAATATTTTTATCCCTGTTTTACATATAGAGGAACTGAGCCAAGACATGGTAAATGTCTTTGTCAAGGTTATGCGGAAAGTCAGGGCAGAACTACATATTTATTTTAGAGTATTGATTCTAAAGCCAAAGGCATAGGCTGCATAATCCTGCTAATGTGCAAAATAACTGAAAACACACCTTTATATAGTGGATGTTTTAAAAATATAATAATGCAAATATCATTTTCAAAATCTCCAAATTAATGTCACACCTGTGTAATCACTTATTTCTAACATTACGCTGGTGTTAGTTGAAGCATGAAAGAAAACGTATCTGCAAAAAGAAACTACTAATTGTATTGATAAAGCAGCTTTTGGAAAAAGACTAGAGCTGGAGGAAGAAGTAGAGAAAGGATAGAAGAAGGAATTGATTTAATACCTTTAACACATCTGTACCTGATGCATTTTAATATTGAACTGAAATTCATGAATAAAAATTACCGGTGGGGTTTCCCACTGACATAAATGGCAGTACTGAATTTCCTTCCTCGTTTGCAGCTCTAGCTCATCCGGATCTCTATGGCTAAATGAAGGAGGATGCCAGCCAGAGAATTCATCACAAAATGTAGTAATTCTTGTCCAGCAGAAAAGCGCTATTTATTTCTTTGGTAAAGCAGGGTGTGGATAGACAGTTTAATTAGAAGTACATCTAGATGCAGGAAATAACTATATTTCCTTTCTCTATTTTTGTCTTCAGTCTTTTGCTGAGATGTGTGATCGAGCCGCTCCTGAAAACCATTTTAAATTGGCATAGATGGATCTTCCTTGGCTAAATTTAGCAGGATAGTCAAAATTTTAGTAGTCTGTCTCACCCACTCTAAGTTAATTTCCCACTAAGCATTTATGCCTGCTAACTGGCTGTTGTTTGTATGGAAATGTATAATTTTGCTTTCCAAGTGAAGAGTTGGCAGTGGGGTAGAGTAAGCCCCGAAACAGTTCCTATGCCAGGATTAGACATTATTTTCATCTTCTAGGGGGAGGTAAACCAGGCATGTACAGACAACTCTTCTACAAAAGCCCTCTGTAGAACATATTCACTTTCAGTATTGCTATTTCAGATAAATTGCATCTCCAAATACTTTGTATGAAAACTTTCCAGTAACTAAATTTGGTTAAAAAATATTACATTTGGATGGTGGATACAAGTATGTCATCGTGGTTACATCTGATACAATAAAAATAGCCCATGTGGATAACTAATTTAAGAAAGAAAAATCTATCGTGCTTTGGTGCTAATTTCAAATAGTCTGTTTCTGTGCTCAACAAGCCGGATTCTATCACCACTCACAATAGGAATTTGAACTTGACTTGGATAGTAAATCTATTATGGCTATTAACGATCACACTGGAGTCCAAACAGTGCACTGATTTTTTTCCCCACTAACCAGATGATTAAATGAAAAGGGAGCCACCCCCACCCCAGCTCCGTGGCGTAACCCCTGCCTGGTGTGGCTCTACCTCCTACTCAGGCTCACCTTTCCAAGCTGTGTCTGCCGCCCTCTCTGCTGCAGGCCCCCAGCTGAAGCTTCTTGACTAGCCACATCCATCTTTGTGTGAGCCTGGGTTGGGACTTTTTCTCCTTTTCCTGGGAAATTTCCTTTGGTTGGTTTCTGGGTTGCTCCCTCATAGTCCCTATTTCTGACCTGATTCCCTTTCATTTATGTGGAATTATATCCTCTTTGGTAGGAGTATTTGATTAATTTCTTCCATCCCTCTCCCCAGACCATAAACTCTTTAAGAGCAGAAAATATTATTGTATCCACAGTACTTAGTCCCTTGCCTAGCAGCTACAAAGGGGAAACATCCTAAGTATTTGTTGAGTGAATGACTGAATAAATGAATGTTAGGGGAACTTCCCCCAAATCAAGTGCCAATAAAATGCAGACAAAGTGTTGTGTCTCTGAATGACCTCAGATAATGGGAAAACAGAAGAGGCTAAAACCTAGAAGACAAACTTCTCTAGTCTCACAATTTTACTTGAGGGCTCACCCTGTTACTGAGTACCCAGGTGCCTTGGGACATGTTTATAGCATTAGTGTCAGATTTATATCAGTAATATATTGTGAAAACCCCGTTCTATTAAAAAAAAAACAAGCTTTTTCCACAGGAACTGCTCCAGTAATGGAAGTGATTTTTCTCCAGCAGAGCTTGATAAACTTAACTACAACCCAGTTAGAGAACTGAAAGGAGCCCCCAGGAGAAAGGCACAGCCAAATGGAAATAACTTCAGAGCAGCAGTGCCTGTGAGATTTGGATTCCAGGGTCACTTTGCAGGAGTGTTCAGGGTGCCTGTGCTGATACATGAGAATCCAGGTAGCATCCTTTCCCACTCCCTGTTCCTTCACTCTCCTCTGGCATTGTGATGACTGGAGTCAGGTCTAAGCAGACATCTTTGATCTCAAACCTCTGCATATGAAAGCGGCAGCATTAGTTGAGTTCGCATGCAGAGGACAGGTAAAGTATGCAACAGGAAGGAGATCTTAATAGCAAAACACATGTAATTCTTTTTGGTAGTTGTGATTTTTGTTTGTTTGATTTGGGGTTTTGTCTTGTTTTATTTTAATGAGACATGGTCCTGCTCTGTTGCCAAGGCTGGGGACTTGGGTGCAGTGGTACAAACATAGTTCACTGCAGCCTGAAACTCCAAGCTTTAAGTGATCCTTATTCCTCGGCCTCCCAAGTAGCAGGACTACAGGGACGTGACACCACACCTGGTTAATTTTAAAACTTTTTTTGGAGAGACCCGCTATGTTGCCCATGATGGTCTTGAACTCCTGGCCTCAAACAATCCTCCTGCCTCAGCTTCCCAAAGCACTGAAACTACAGACATGAGCCGTGGCACTCAGCTGGTAGTTGCTTTTTTAAAGGTGTAATCTTGGGAGTACTGGCATCTGATTTACCTATGTGCTTTCAAAAATTCAATTTGTGCCTCCTCAGCCGCAACCGAATCAGAATATTCTGTTGGTTGGGGGCATGGGAGGTGAGTGTGGAGTTGTATTAGTTTGCTAGGGCTGCCATAACAAACTACCAAGAATTGAGTGGCTTAAACAACAGAAATTCATTTGCCCAGAGTTCTAGAGGCTAGAAGTCCAAGAACAGTTGACAGCAGATCGAGTTCCTCTGGAGACCTCTCTCCTGAGTTTGTGGACAGCCACCTTCCTGCTGCTTCTTTACATGGTCCCTTTCTGTGCCTGTGCACCTCTGATGTTTCCCTATGTGTTCTAATTCCCTCCTCTTAGAAGGACACCAGTCAGATTGAATGAGGACCCACCAAAATGACCTTATTTTCAGTTTTAGTGAACTCTTTAAAGGGCCTGTCTCTAAATACAGACACATTCTGAGGTACTGGAGGTTAGGGCTTCAAACATATAAATTTTGGGGGACGCGATGCAGTTCACAACAGGAATGTTAACTTAAAAACACCTCAGATGATTATAAAAGCACGAATCTGAAAAGCAGTGGTTATTCTTCACCCCTGCCTTGTGGAAAATTATAGGGCTTTTGCTAGTCCTTGGCAGAACCAGGAAGCTCCCGGCTCTTGCTGCTCTAAACTCATTAGGCACATCTGTGTGTCATAACCATCAAGGTCAGGGAATGCCATGTACTTTTTAACCTAATGTGATGACTCTTTCCTCCTGCACTTAACTATCTCATTAGCAACTCTCAGAATGTGAAAACAACTTGACTTGGGGGCTAAATAGTATTTACACTCATAATTTTTATTTTGCCAGGCTCAACAGACTTTTTTTTATGAATTAACAATCTCTAATAGAGACATTGACCTCCTTCCATTTAATAAACCAATAAGTGTTACACTTCCATGTACAAAGAATGCAAATAACCTGTGACCAGTGCAGCCTAGATGCCAGTGTGCTGAGTGGCCATGCCCACGGGGTTCAGTGTGTGCCATAGTCTGAATGTGTCCCCCTCAAAACTTCATATGTTGAAACAATTGCCAATGTGATAGTATTAAAAGGTGGGGACTTTAGGAAGTGATCAGGTTATCAGGGCTCCACACTCGTGGATGGGATCA
The DNA here is from genome assembly GCF_000001405.40 of Homo sapiens. Lineage (NCBI taxonomy): Eukaryota > Metazoa > Chordata > Mammalia > Primates > Hominidae > Homo > Homo sapiens. The sequence goes on along the minus strand of NC_000006.12, from coordinate 82,581,839 downwards.
GTGCCTTATTAGAAAGGCATCACACAGCATTATCCTTTTGTGCTCAGCCTTCCACCATGTGAGGACGCAGCAATAAGGCACCATCTTGGAAGCAGAGAGGGAGCTTTCACTGGACACCAAATCAGCCAGAACCTTGATCTTAGACTTCCCAGACTCCAGAACCGTGAGAAACAAATTTCTATTGTTTATAACTTACCCAGAGTTTGGTATTTTGTTCTAGCAGCAGGAGCAGGCTAAGATTGTACTAGTTAAATTTTGCAATTATGGGTAATTTGCCTGTGCCTGTGTGATAGAATTGATCATAGTATATCATAGTTAATTGTTCATATATTTGTCTTTTTTGCCCACTGGTAAGTTTCTTGAGAGCAGGGGTGGGAACTAGACCTTATTCAGTTTCGTTTCTCTAAAATATTGCCTGGCATAAATATTTATTGGATAAATGAATGATCAATGTATTTGAGAAATATCTTTAGTTTGAGATTTGTCTTCACCCATCTTCTTTGCTAGTCTCACTGAATTATACATGTGTGTTATTTTAAATCTCTGCCTATGAAGGTGAAAAAAGAAAATCTGTCTTTGCACAATCTCAAAAACAACTAAATGTAAACAAACATGAATAAAATTCCAATCTATTTCTTTAATAGAAAAGCCCAGTAGCAAACCAATATGATTTGAACAAGGGAATTATCTCATTATGGAAAACACATTATGCCCGTATCAACCATTTGCCTTTTTATTGTGGCACAAACAGAAATAAAATGGTCCTGGAATGAAATGAATTGAGTCTTTGAGGGAGAGGTTGCAAAACGGCCCCCTGCCTCCTTCCAGCAGAATGATTTGTCAATACAGAGAGGGCCCCTTCTGGAAAAGGATCTCCTTTCTTTGAAAAGAGCACCTGAAACAAGTGTTACAGCTCCGACCTGGTTACTGAGACCTCCCAGGGCATGCACATATTCTTTCACTGTGCTGCCACAAATAGGCAGGTCTTCACTGGGGACTAGGAGTCTATATTTAACAGTAAGAGTTCATTTTATTCATTATAACATCATGGAAATGACATTTGGGACATTTTATCTGCATAAAGTAGAATCTTTAGAAACTTCTGTTTTGAAAACCATTTCATATCCTCTCAAAACAATGCCTTTTGTTAAAATATTTCTAGTATAGGACTAAATTATGAAGCATTTACTGAAGAAATGAAAATATTCCAGACAGCAAGCAGGCAAGGCAATGGCAATGGCTCAAAAGAACTGAGTTATAAAAAAAATTATCTAAATAGTGTAACATCTCACTTATCAGGACTCCCTTAATAAATAATTTTTGACAATTCTGATAAAATTGAAACTGAAAATAACTTCTACTTCTGTAGAAGAACAAGACTTTTCTTTCTTAAGTAAAGAAATAGCATAAATATGATGTTTATTTGGGAAGAGTAAATAAAAGCCCATTTAATAAATACCTATTTGATAGCCATTTTCAAGTACTTTGGCCCCACAAACCTACATGTACTAGGCGTATTATAGTATAACATTTTCTTTATTCCTTTAACTTCTCTTCTTCATTATCATTGGTGAGAAGGTTTTGTTTTCGTTTTATTGCAAAATAATACATCAGCCCTGAGAGATGATGAATATTGGCCAAAGAAGAATCTGTTTAGTCTTATAAATACTCCACAAATGCTCCCAGAATGGATCCAGGAATAGCTTTCCATAGTTTGACAACAACAAGCAATAGCTGGAAGTAGCTGAGATGCTATGGGAGGACTGAAGGGAAAATAGATTTTGGGGTGCCCATTCCTAGATAACTCTGAATGACCTGACAGGGACCCAGAGGAGACAGGACAAGGGATGTTGTGACTTTCCTTTGGAGTCAGAATGTTTTGAATTGGCTGCTTATAAATTTGTGTTCTTTCTGACCATGGTCTTATTGGCATGCCCTTCCAGGTAAGTAGGTCCTTTTGGCAAGGTTACACTTACCCCATTGTTAAAGGTGTCCTTTTGCATAATTCTCCTCAAGCACTCATAAACAATAAAAATGTATTCTTTAAACATATGTTAGAAATCACATTTTAATTTTTACTGGCCTTCCTTTCTGTTAGCTTTGCTCATCTCTGATCTCCGAATGCTCTGATGTTTCCAAACAGGCAAGTCCTTCAATGTTCTCTCATTTTCCTTGTTTGTCTACCTCCTCTGGCTCTGCTGTAGATTGGGGTCAAGTTACTTCACAGTAGTAGGTCCTTGTTTTACATTCTTATAATCTCCAAAGAGCAGAGTATATAACAGGAACATAAAAGTGTTCAATAACATGTATTGCTTGTTTGAAATTTTAAAAATCGGAAAGCATAAATCAAACAAGGTTCTTCTGATTTCAACTCAGTCTTTTCTCTGCTTTTCTTAAATCTCTTCTTGAAAATTTTAAGAAAAAGATGTAGGTATTAAAGTCACAAGTTTAAAAAATCAGAATAATAATAATAAAAGACCTTCCTTTCTGCCAGAAGCAAGAGTGATACAAACGTGAATGCACTGAATCCTCTTCACCCACATCGTGCCATAGAGCCTGTTTTATAAGTTAGTTATAAGCTGAGCTCTGTTGTTATTCAACTGATAAAATATGTGACATGTTTCATGTCAGATACAACTACTCAGCAATTTTTCACCCACTGTGTCTTCTTGCTGCAGATCAGCATCCCCCTACAACCACCGACTGAGAACCTTCATCGTTCTCACCCCCTGCCTCTTCTCCACCCATTATGCACAGTACAGCAAGAGGAAATGGTAGCTCTCATCTTAGAGAAGAAATGGAAAACTCTTTCTTTCTCTTCCCTTCCTTATACTAGATGTTCCCAAAGGGTTATCCCACCACCGATCATCACATTTGCTAATGTGAAGCCACAGCAGTTCCTTTGTTACATGCTTTCATCATCAGCCCCATGTCCTAATGAATTGACTTGAGTATGTACACCATTGCTCTCCAGAGGAATATAATGGGCCTGCTTAAAAACAACCACCCTTTCCCATGCTGTGCTAGTTCATTTTCAGTAAACACTCTATATCAGAAAATGATTTTTTGCTCTAGCAGTGATTTTGTGAGAAAAGATTGGGAAACACTGCATATTGATTATTGCTGAGAAAAATATGAAAATTAACTGTTAGTTTTTTTCTAATTGTTGGATAGATATTGAATTGAAAAATAATAATAGTAAGATTACTGGGCTATTTGTTAAGAAACTGGACTATCTCTTAATGCCAATATCATTAGAGGTTCTTTTTTTGTTTGTTTAAGTTTCTTGGTAGTTTTATATCATAGAATCATAGAATCTTAGAAGTAACCTTATAAACCCTCTAATCCAGCCCCATTAATTTAACTTGGGAAAAAGTTAACAAAAGAATAAATACTCATAATAGTATATTATACTTCTTTTTTTAAGCTTAAAAATTAAATCTTAAATTTTAGAAAAGATTTTATTTACAAGACATTGCAAAGATAGTACAGAGAATTCCTGCATACCCAAAGACAATTTACCTTATTATTAATGTCTTAAGTTAATATGGCACATTTGTCACAATTACTAAACTGATATTGATATATTAGTATTTATGAAAGTCAATACTATATTCAGGTTTTTTTAGTTCTTTCCTAATATCTTTTTTCTGTTCCAGGTTCTCATCCAGAATACCACATTGTATTTATTTGTCATGACTCCTTAGGCTCCTCTTGGTTGTGCCAATTTTTCAGACTTTCTTTGTTTTTAATGACCTTGACAGCATTAAGGAGTACTGGTCAAGAATTTTGTAGAACACTCCTCAGTTGGGATTTGTCTAATGTTCTTCTCATGGTTAAGCTGGGGTTATGGGTTTGCGGGAAGATACCGAGGTAAACCGCTCACATCCATTAAGGATACGTACTATCAACATGATTAACATTGTTAATGTTAACCTTAACTATCTGGCCAGGGTAGTGTCTGCCAAGTTTCTCCACTACAGTCACACTTTTTTTTTTTAAACCATTTTACATATTGTACTCTTTGGAAGAAAGTCACTTTGTGCATCCCTCTACATAGATTATTTGGAATTCTTCTGCATGGGAGATTTATCTCTTCTCCCTCATTTATTTATTAATTCCAATATTTTATATACATATGGACTCATAGATAATTACTTTATACTTTGAGATGTGATATAATACTATATTTATTTTATTGGTTGAATTGTTCCAGCTTTGACAATTGAGAGTGCCTTTAATTGGCTTCTGTGCACTTTTAATATAATCTCATTGGTTTGTGTTTTTGTTTTTTTGGGGCATTTCCTACGTTCTGGTAATATAGATATTCCAGGCTCATCTTAAACATTTCCTGCTCCAATCCTAGAATCAGCCTTCTCTTCAGCTATCCCTGGTTCATTTTATTGGAGAATGATATTAGAAACTAGTATCTGGATACCGGTTTTACTCAATGCTATTGGAATGTCATTGCTTGTATGCACTGTGAGCTGGCACAGCAAGGAAATACCTGCATATGGGTATATACTAATCTGATTATATACACATATCTATAAATATTTCTATATTTTACCAACCATATAAATATTAAGCTAAACATGATTTCATATTGATGTCTCCAACTCTAATCTGTTACCCCATGGATTGTTCCAGACTTCTCCCCTTGCTTATCTATGACCTTCCATTTCACCAGTGAGAAATCTGGCTTTTACCACCTGACATCTACTTAGGTAATTGTTATATTCCACATATACTGATTTTAGAATTACTAACTTATATCCCTGTGGGAAATAACTTTATCAACTATAGAACAGTGCTTAGGTATAGTTCCTTCTGCCTTTTGTCTTATAGACACACTCATTTCCAAAATCACCTAAGTTAGTACCTTTTTCCTTGTTGATGAGGTTATTTCATAGCTTTGTAACAAAATTAGATTTTTTTTTGGCAGGGGGTCACAGTCTATATTCCATACTGGGATCCTTCAACCTTTAAATGATTTCTGTTAAATTTGCATATAATAAGGTTCACACTTTATACTCTAAAATTCTATGGGTTTTCTCAAATGCATTGTGTCATGTATCCACCATTAAATATCATAAAGAATAGTTTTACTGTCCTAAAATATCCCATGTGCTTTAATTATTTCACTTTGTCCTAATCCACCCCTTCCTGAATCCCTGGAAACCAGTAATCTGTTTACCATCTGTATAGTTTTCCCCTTTTCAGAATGTCATATAAATGGAAAGATACAGACTGGCCTTTTCAGGCTGGCTTCTTTCTCTCAGTAATATACATTTAAGATTCATCCATGTCTTCACATGGTTTGATGGCTTATGCCTTTTTATTGCTGAATAGTATTCCTTTATATGGATATACCACAGTTTGTTTATCTATTCACTTGTTGAAGAACATCTTGGCTGCTTCCCATTTGGGGTATTATAAATAAAGCTGCTGTAAACAGTCTTATTTAGTCCAGTGTGGTTTAGGTGTCAGTTGCGGGTATGGGATGGGAGCTCTTCTCCATAAGATCTTCCAAGGACTCAGGTCAATAATTTACACATTGAAAATATGTGTATCTCTCAAGTTTTCTCTGGTGTTGACATACAACTAGCAGCTAGGGAGAGGACATGAAATAGTGCCATAGATTTTGTGGGCAAGTTCTGGATATGGTATATGCTTCAATTATGCCTACATTCCTTTGGTTAGGACTCAGTTGAATGACCGTGTTAACTGTGATGGCAGCTGGACTCTATGCACAGGAAGAAAAGAAAATAAGTTTGGTAAACACATAACATTTTCTCTGCCATGTCACCCCCATTTGGTCACCAAATATCTGTTTTACTCTTCCTTCCATGCATAAAACACACTGACATCCTCCTCAAGCTACACAATTCAAAGTCCTATAGCTACCGCATTCAGCTCAAAGTCTAGGATCTCAGACTGATGTGGAGGTCAAGATGTGGCACTTCATGGTGTGGTGACTTTTGAACTCTAAAGATACCACACAATGATGGAGCAAGGGGAGGAAAGTCACAATAAACACTATGAGAAGAATGGAAGACATAGCAGTCACTGGTGCAGAGCAGTGAGGGAATCCTGTAGGTCAGGCATTGTGAAGTTTCTCTGCCTTGGAAATGAGAGAAGTTTCTGATTAGCTCCTGTTTAGACTTGATTCTGCTCTCTGGTAGGAACTCCGTGGCCCCTGGATCCATTCTCTAGGAGGTTCTTTCTTTTTTCCCCCTCTTCCTTGGCCACATCTGCAATAGCATTTGGTATGCCCTTGTTGGAAGCTATAGAGCTCTCTGCATGTGGAAGATTGAAGGTTCAAGAATTATTTGTAAGTCACAGTTAGAAATGTGCTAAGTCCATGCTCCTAGCTTATTTGGTCATATAATGCTCTTAAAACCTTAGTTGGCTACTGATCCAATTTTCTAGTTATTCCACATGCCAGTAACCTACCATAAATTCTTTATTGGATATGATTCTCAAATTTATTTTATTTATTGGCTTCCTCTCTATCCTTGCCAGTCCTATTTCTCCCAACTAATGGTAGATATTTTGAGGCTATTATTCTTGAAAGAGAAGGCCACATTCTTAATTTCATTTTGTTGCAAAACTGGGTTTTAAAGGTTTCTCTGACTCAATAGCTGTCTCAACTCAAATCCTTAAATCTTAAAATTAAGATGTAGAAGCAGTTGGTTTTCCAACTCTGGCCAAATTTTTAGAAACTGGCCAATTCTCTATCAAGAACATCTTTTTCTTGCACTCCCATGCCACTTTCAGCCAAGGCAACCAACACACCCTTATTCATTCATTTGATTTCCAAACAATTCATTCAGAATGGCCACTTCAGTAGAGACATGGTCTGTTTTCCAAGTTACTGCCATTTTCCAAATGTTTTGCCACAGTATATCATTGATTACCATCCTCCTGGCACCTGATATTAGTTTCTTTGCTAATGTCACATATTTTAGATTTGTGTTACAGCAGCTCCCTGCATCAAAGGTATCGATTCCTGTATTTGGCAGGATAATTATCACTGCTTTTGGTTTTCAACAAAAATCTCCAAATAAAAATGTCAGTGAGTTAACCCATTAACAGTATATTAATTGCTCCTGCCACATTACAATATGGTCTGCAGGGGGAATTGCTTCACATAGCTATTTAGAAAACCAAATTGACAGACACCTCTCCATCTTTAGTCTGTGTCTCACAAGGCCATCTTGCATATAAATATCCAGCAAACAGATGGGAGGAGAGACCTCATTACTTCTGCCTATGTTCTACTGGCCAATAAACTATGTGGTTCTATTTAATTGCAAGGCAGAGAAAGAAGTGTGGTCTAGCTCCAAGAGGAAAAGGAAATAGGTTTGGTTAACAGGGAGCATTGATTTTGCCATAATGTCCTTGAATTTCTGTCATCTTATCAATAAAACAGGGCCATTAATAACTTTCCTCATTGGGTGTTGTGTATGAATGCTTTAATTTATGTGAGCATTATTTAAGTTCTAGATGTGTTTTCATATTTCAGAAATGGGGATAATCATACTTACATTCTGCATTATCTCTCTCCCTTCTTCTTCCTCACCCCTGCCTTTCTTTATAAGAAGTAACTTCAGCCGTGTTCTTCAAATTAGTGAAGTTAGAACTTAATGATCTTTTATTGTACGTCATATGATCAGTGGAATGGTAGCTGATTATAACTCAGTATTTGAATTTGGTTTTGTCTCTCTCTATGTCTTTCTCTCATTCTTCAGCTATACTTATTTTTTCTTTTTCTGTAGCAATACTTATTCCAAAAAGCTTGTTAATTTCCATCAAACTAACTGGGTTCCATGTGTTCTTTGTAGCCTTCTTATATAAGGATGCTAAAAACGAAGAAGGCCTTCCTGGTCTTGTTGTTAGATCCTTGGATTTTGTCCTCATCAAAAATCATGAGTCCTGGAACACAAACTATCTGTAATTGAATTCACCCAGACTTTTATTCATTTATAAGCCAAACACTGGAGATAATGATCATAACCAGATCATCACTCCAGATATGTCAGGCAGCTCCTGGTGACAGGCTGTGGGAAATTACTATCTTTTCCCAGGATAGGTATCAACATATCAAGCTTTTTAAACTAATACATCATGATAATCAGTGCTTTTAAAAATACTGAATGCTGCCTAATGAAGATACAGAAACACCAGAAATCCTCAGCAATTCTTCACCCTAATTGTCACACAACTGAAAGCCTGGGATCTCCCAACAGCTGGAAGTTGCTGCCATGGAAACAATGTTCCATTATCTAAGAGATTAAAAATTGAGACTATTAATGGACCTGACAGTAGTTTGCATGTTTCATTAGTAAAAAATGCCATTATTCTAGGGCTCCGGGGAATTAGATTTTTGAGTGATGTGTTTTATTCTCTATTAAAATGGTCCAGGCATAATTTGGATGGCATAACAGAAGAAAGAAAACAACAGAGGAGGAATTAGGACATTCTGGCAAATCAATGTTTTTCTTCTTCTTGACGTTCCTCTGCTGATTGATTGTTTAACTGGGAACAGGTGGAGGTTGGAGGATGGGCAGGAAATGAGAGAGCAGAGAATTTCAGATTCCATTCCTTTCCAGTACAGGCTCCTTCTGAATCCCAGGTCTCCCCTTTATTTGGGGAGCTAGGGTGTGCTAACTAGCACCCAGCATAATGTAGTGCAGCAGCATTTGGAAAACTGAAGGCCACAGCCCATTAGTAGAATAGGTAATAAATGGAATTCAGTGTGTCTCAAGCAGCATTTATTAAAAATGAAATGGAATCAAATAAAATGAAAAATACCGAAAGGTGTTCCATATTGTTTGGATAAGTATTATTTTTTAAAACTCCTTCTACTGGCTCACAATCTATAGTTACTTCCATTATGAATTGTGACCACAAACGTTTGGAAAAAATGACTACAGTGCATGGTTAAGAGGCCAGGCTATGAGGCTAGAATGTGAATTTCACTCCTGACTTTATCATCTGCTAGCTATATAAGCAAGTCACTTCACCTCTCTGTGCATTCATTTGCTTCTCTCTAATACAGGTATGATAATAGTAAAACCATAAGGTTTTCATGAAGAGTAAATAATTGAACTATGTGAAGCATTTGGAATATGTCTGGCACATAGAAAGTGCTCACATGACAGCTGTTGAAAATACCTCATTGATTACTTGAAGAAATTACATCTCTTGGTCACTGAACATGTCTATCTTTTCATATTTACATTTGTGAAATAAGGCTAATCCTCACCGTTGTTATAAATTACCCTGTTAGACCACATGATACATTGTATCGCCTAAATAGCTCTTAATATCATTTTGCAGCTTTTATTCCTGTCTCTTGATACCAGAATCATAATGGTGTTCTACAGTATCAGTAGGTCCTTAGAGAAATGCTATAAAGACAAATGCAAATATTACACATCTTTTTTTTCCTAAGAAAGAGTCTTTAGTCCAGTTTCTCCTTATATGCTGCATCTTGTCTGAATGGACCACTGGGGTACCATTTAGTGTGTGAAAACATTAATCCACTAAATGGTGCCTGAAAGGTTAATGCCACCTCTGGAAATGACTGACCTATTCCCAGAGGCCTGTCCTTGGCCTCTAAAAGATGGGATATTGCCCTGGACTGCCAATCAGCAGAGAGCAGCAAAAAGTCTTTGAAATAGACACATGGGCTCTGCTGGTATATGGCCCCTCTTGGGATCAGGCTGTATGTAGGGGTTGCCTTATTTCTTAAGAGTAAAAGGTGACCTAAATGATTCCCAATGTCCTATTTAACACACTGAAATATTTTTAAATATAATTTATTGAGAACAGGGTTATCCTGGCACTAAAAGGTGATGTTAGTATTGTGTTTGAACTTTTTACCCTCACCAAATCACCAGACGGGAGAATGATCTCAAAAGCACAATCACATTCTAATTTCCATAGGTGTTGCAGTTAAGTACAAATCAAGGGACATTCACAGAATGTTAGAGTTGGAAACAACATTACAGTCCAATCTTCTCCTCAGCCTCATTTTAAAAATAAGAGAACTGAGGCCCAGAGAGTTTGAAAGGGGAAGGGGGCTAGTGATAATCATAGCTGCCCTTCCCTGAGCACTACACTATTGTAACTGTACCAGGCAGGCACTGCACTGAAGGCTTTGTATTTGTGTGCTAACCGAATACCAACCATGGCTCTGTAATGTAGGAATTGTTTGTCCTATTGTCAAAAGGAGGAAACTGGGGCTTTGAAAAAGTGTTGAATATATTACCAAAGACAATGTAGGTATTGTGCTTTAAAACTGTCTAACTGCCTTACAATGTAAAGTTACTCCCTGTTATGAATCACAAATATAAATGTTCGAAAAACATGACTATAGTAATTATTCTAGCATCTTCATTTTAATGACTGATAATAGAGACCTTCAATCCATTGACCTCATTGAGTTTTTTACTCTCCATCACCTAACCACCTGTATCCTCACTTCATTCCTAAGATTCTAAGCTTGCTTTCTTTTTTCCTTCTTTTTCTAAAATCACTGTCTTACAAAAGCCTCTCCCCTTGCATCTCATCCCTTCACTGTGTTCACCTGGGGAAACTCCAAGGTTGGTTAAACCCAGCGTTCTGCCTGCCCCACACCTGTATTGGAGCAGCCGTCTATCATCTCACACAGCTGCTTCACCAACTAGTTCTACTGATCTTCCTCCAATAAATAGAATTTGTCCCCTTCTCTTTCTCTCCACTGCTACCACTGTCATCTCTTGCCTAAACTGTGGTGGTCTTTAAGCAACCTCCCTGCTTCCACTCCTCCTCCCTACACTCTTAGAGCTGCCAGAACAGTCTCTTAAACAAGTATTCAGATTATGGCCTCTGTGTGCCTCAGACCCTCCGGTGGTTTGCCACTTATCATGGAACAAAACCCAAGGCCCGCCATCATTAAGCCCCTGCCTGCTTTTGGACCTAAGCTCAAATCATTCTCCCTGTGGCTCACCATGTCCTCGTCCCACTGGCCTTCTTTCCGTTTCTTGGACACTGTGACCTTGCTCCTACCTCACAGCCTTTGCACTTGCTCTTTCCTCTACCTTATCAGCTCTTTCTCCGGACCATCCCATAACTGGCTGCTTTTTACTATTCAAGTCTCTGCTCAGATCTCACCTGCTTTAAGAAGGCTTCCTGGATATTCAGTGTGAGGGGCCTGTTACATCGTAAAGAGTTCAAACAGCTCCCCACGGAAGCACAGAGAGGGCAGAGCAAGGCTTTTTCATTCCTGCTCCTATGTTATTTTTAAGTATTTATTAATTTAAAACATAAGAAACTTAGTCCAGATCTTTCAGATTATCACTTTGATCAAGATTATAAAATCCCAGCAGAACAAATGGCAGAATTTTCTTTGGTGAATTCTCAGGGTTGTATCCTCTGCTGCTAGTTGCTCCCTGGAGTCCTAAGATTAGGCCTGCTCTCAGCTGGCTCCCCACTCACAGACAGACAGGCAGCTTTGAGGCCAGCTGTACAAACATGGGTAAATACTGCTCCAGTGCTGTGTGGAGGAGAAACTTCATGCCCCGCTGGTATATCTGCATTTTTTATCTTCACAAAATCAACTCATGTCATAATGACCGATTGTGCACTTGATGTTCATGTGTACATAACCAAAAACAAATGCGGCCTTTTATTGAAAGTATGCTCTGTGTTGGGTGATTTTACCTATATTATTCCTAAGTTCAGAGAAGTAGAAAAACATATTTAAGTTCCCATCTGAGTGATGCCAGGGCCTGTGTTCTTCCTAGAACATCGTGTTGTCTTTCAAATAATATATGATCTGGTGAGTTGCCCTGAAGGTATAATTTTCAATTAATGCTTTCAGTCTCTCCATTCCACCCCTTTCTTCAGTCTTAGGATCCCTGACATAACCAGCCCAAGGCTTCTACCTGTTTCTTATCTGGCCAATATCTAAACTTCGTGAAGGTATTATTTGATATGGACCACTCTAAAGAGGTTGAAGAGAAGTCAGGTTATTATTTTATTAGGGCAATAACAATCATACTGAGAAGGGAAAAGAGAATGAGACAGATTTTATGAGGGTCTCACCATGAAGTCCCTCAAATGGTACCACATAAATAGCCACTGTGTTCTATTTATGTGCTAACTCCTTTTCAGATGATATACCCATGTCCATGTCCAAATTCTAATATATCCACTTGTACCTGATCCTGGAACAGTGTTTCTCATGCAAAGTAACCAGCCCAAGTAAGAATTAACTCTGATCTTAGTTTCATTAACACAGATTCTAACTAGTAGAACTAGCTATTTCAGACCTAATATCAGGAAACACTTTTGATAATGTATATTTAGTAGCTGTTAAACATCTGAATGAATATCTTCTTATATGATTTCTTAGATTTTTTGAGCACAAAAATTATTTAAGAACTAAATAGGAGAAATCATGACTATTGTTTTTTTTCCTGACTGTTTAATGACACTGTACTGGCTTGCCACTGGTCATGTTTTCTGAAAAGCTACTTTCCATGTCTTTTGGACAATAATCATTACCCATTACTAGTTTCTTGGCATGGTTTTTATTTGCTAGGGAAGCTATTCAGAAGCTCCCACACCCTGCTTGTGACCCAGAGAGTAAGATAATACCAACATCTCTGCAGTGCGCATTACCAAAACAGCAATCTGGCAGCATTGATTAGTAGGAAGGATAAAGTGGCATTTTAAAATTCTGTTCTGAATGTTAGAATTCTTTCATTTTAAAATATTTTTTAACCTCTTTAAAAAAAATCAGGGTGTAAAACCTCTAATAAATTCTATGGTGGAGTTTGTGCCAGGATAAATATGAAACATAGCTAAAACAAAATCAAATGCTAAAGCAATCAAAAGTGGGCAGAAAAGAAAATGTAAGTAGTTTTATCTTCCAACTTCAAGTTGCTTAAATTATCTTGATGACTCTTTACCTTTGATTTGATGATGGATCTGAGTATGTTTTATTTTCTGTGTTATTTACCTATTGTCCCTCGGCTCCATATCTGCCATTCTCTATTTGTTTTGTGCAACTGGGACTGGTAGTCTGAAATCTACATTTCCCAGGCTCCCTTGCCAGCTGCCTTCCCATTAGGTTTTTTTTAGTGGGAGACACTGGTGGGAGACCCTGGTGGGAGACCCTGGTGGGAGACCAGAAGGCAGAAAGAAGAAAGATTTCCGTTTCTGGCTCCCACTCCATGGCAGGGACTAACAGTTGCTGGTACTTTCTGAGAGTGGCAGAAGGGTGATGGTAGTTTCCCCAGCAGCACATCCTTGCAAGTAGTCCAGTCCTGGCAACAGACCAGGGTATTTTCGGCCCCAGTCACAGTGGTTTCAGTACTGACAGTGTCAGCGTCTTCAGCGGCAAGGCAGCAGGTGCAACCCAGTGGGCACCAGCTGAGGGCACATCAGCAGCTTCCTGATCTCCAGATACCCCCACTCCTTCCTTTTCCCCTTCTAACCCTGTCAATACCTTTGTGGGGAATCCTCTCTATTTGAAATACGTAGCATGGGTTCTGTTTTCCTGCCTGGATTCTGACTGATACATTTATAAACTACTCCAACATCCAATACAACTCCAAAGTATTAGCACATTGATTTTGAACTTTAAAGGCTCAAGGGTCTTACATTTTGTTTCTCATTTTCAGCTACTGAGTGTTTTACTTAAATATTTAAGTAGAAAATACTAATGAAAATTAATAATAATAATGGCTGACTTTATCAATCATTTACTATGTGCTAAGTGTTGTTCTAAGCCCGTATATTTTATTTTAGTCCTCACAACCCTATTAGATATGTACTATTTTTTAATCTCGTTTGACCCTGGGAAAAGTAAAGGACAGAGAAGTCCATTGGATTGCCAAGGTTTACTGCCACCCAGTGAAGAAAGCCAAAATTTGACCCAGGACTGCCTGGCTCTGTAACCTGAAATCTTAATTGTTATGGAATATTGCCTCCAGTCACCCTGTGTTCTAACTGAATGCACTTATAGATCATGAAATCTTTGGCTGAACCACAGTCTTTTATGAGAGGCTTTGCAGATGTGCTTCCTGAGATCACTTCAGGAGTTGAGTAATTCTTTAAGTAAATAAAGAGTGTAACATTAAGTCACTTATAGATTGTTAGCTACATGAAGCCAGAAATAATTTCCTGCCTTGTTCATTACTCTATCTTCAACACCTAGCAAATTTCTGACACATTTGAAGCTCTAATAATATATTTGCACAATACATGTTTATATAATAGATGTTTACACAAATAATAAGTCATACATCTAAATAAATTGTACTTACAACAAACAATAAATCAGTGAATTGAAGCCTGCATGGACTTGGATGAGCTTAACATTTCATGGCCACAAAACTGTTTTAATTGCTAAATACTTTTACTTGAAAAGACATCTAGGTAACAGAAAGGCAAAAAAAAAAAAAAAAAAAAAAAAAAAGGCTTAAGGTTCTTTTTCTCAGCCAGAACACATTACAGTCTAAAATTTTCCTAAAGGCAAAAATATGGCCCAAGAACATCAGGAATGAAAAGTGGGAAATTACTTTATCATTAAAGTATCATTACTTCATCATTAAAAACTATTTAATGATGTCTCATAAGTCCATAGGAAGTATATAAAGAAATAAAGAAGATGAAATAATACTAAGATATAAGAAAGCATGGCATGTCTTTAGAAAGAGGCAACAAAGAACAAACTTGACCCCCATGTATCTCCTTTGGAAGGAAAATGTACTATGTTGAGAGCAAGCAGACACAATGAAGGCTTGAGCCTTTGCATGTTAGGTTCAGTGATATCATGAAACAAGAGGAAGGATACCTTTGGGGAAGTCATTCACTGACATAACCTTGGCAGGGAGAGAAATGAATGAGATAGAAGCAAGACTCTCTAAATAGAGATCTTACTGAGTTGGCCATCCCAGGTCAAGCATTCAGGGTTTGTTCTGAGAATTTTGCGAATATAGGTCCTGGGTAAAGAAAGTTTGTGCAGTAGACTTCTGTGGAAAAAGTAGATAACTGTATTTGATCTATGGTTGAAAGTAAAGGGATTATTTTAAATTACTGTAAGAAGAATATGATCCATCAAGACTGCAATCCAACTTCATCAAGTTGGAGGAAGTAGCATACTGAAAGTTGAGTCATTGGGATCAATCTACCTGAGATACAGGCAATAAGGGGGTACATTGTCTATAAAGAAGGTAAAAACAATAATAAAACCAATTAAGAGTTGGTCCATTTTTGTTATCAATGTGGCCCACAAGTCTAAATATTCTCAGTGGGAAAAATACTCTTCCCTGAAAAAAATATTTTGTTGGCTTAAGATTTAATAAGTAGAGAAATTACTGTTGTGTTTTAATTACATATATATATATGTACTTGAAATTAGCTCATTTTAAAAAACTTATTTTTTAATGAATATTGTATTTCATATGCAAGTTAATTAGAGAATTTCCATATGTGAAGTTGGCCCCTGACATGTGGGACTCAGCCACAATATATTTGTTTCAAGAGAAAGTTTGTAATAGTTTGGAATCATTGGAGCTTTCTTGGCCACAGTTTGTAACGTTACATATTCCTGTGTCAAAAATGTGGATTTTAAATAGGAATTGTAGGTATAATTAAATGGAGGTTGAGTTATTTTAATTCCATCATTTTATGTGACCACTTGGAGTTATTTATACTTAGAATTTTAAAATTAGTGGAAGCTAAGACTCAAAAAGAGAAATTATAATGTTAACTATTCATTGCTATAACAAACCAATACATAAGTACATTTTCCTTTTATTTTAAGTCAAGAACATTGAGAAAGTAATCCAATACTTTTTCTTTTTTAGTACTGTAACATTTATTTATGTATTTATTATATTATTATGTATATTAAGTTTAATAAAGAAAAATTTTCCTTGTATTTTTTCCAGGACATTATTTTAGTTTCATATGATAGTTCTTGCTGAAAATAATTTTGTCATACAGAGGAAGAGGTTACTGAAAAATGATCTTCTCTGAGTATCAAATATACTGGGCATGTCACTGGTTAGAAGTATGTGGATTGCTTGGCAAACGTCTCCAAATTGTTATTGCAGATGAAGCCCATCAGACCCTGGGTAATGGAAGTGCTCTTAATTATGTTCTCCCTCTGTGCTAGTTAACTAATTTCTTGATAGAGAGGAAGAGTAATGATGGTCTATTCTTTGGAACCAGCTCCATGTCTCATGAAAATCTTAATGTTTTATTCACTTAAGACATTTTGGTGACTGCTTTTATTTTTATTTATTTATTTATTTATTTATTTTTATAATTCTATGTTTAATATATTTAGAAGCCATCAAATTATTTTCCAAAGTGGCCAAATCTTGCCATAGAGTATCTAACTGTGGTTTTGATTTGTAGTTGCCTGATGAGTGATGCTATTGAGTATCTTTTTATGGGATTATTGACCGTTCGTGTATCTTCTTGGGAAACACATCTATTCCTATCATTTATCAGTTTTGAGTTGGGATATTTGTTACTGAGTTAAAACAGTTTTTCTATATTCAAGATACATATATATACAGACATATAGATACGTGTTTTTCAAATATCTTCTCACAATTTTTGAGCTGCCTTTTGACTTGCTTGGTTGTCCTTTGAAACACCAATGTCTTTAATTTTTAAGAAATTTTAAATATCTAATTTTTATTTTGTTGCTCATGTTTTTGGTGTTACAGCTATTTCTTTGCTAGATCCAAAATCCTGAAGATTTTCCCATATGCTTTATTCTAGCTCTTGCATGTGTGTCTTTAATTCATTGGAGTTAATATTTTTGTATGCTTTGGGGTAAGGGTTCGAATTTATTATTTTGCAAGTGGTGATCCACGTGTACGTTGTTGACCCAGTTTGTTCAAAGACTGTCTCTTCCTCATTGAATTGCACATGGCACCACTGTAAGAATCCATTGACTATAGACACATAGTTTTATATATGGACTCTCAATTCTCTTCCATCAATCTATATATTTTTCCTTCATCAGTATTGTGTTGTCTTGATTACTGATACTTTGCAGTAAGGTTTGGAGCATGGGGGTGTGAATTATCCTAATATGGTTTCTTTTTTCAAGATTATTTTGGCTATTTTGAGTCCCTTACAATTCCATGTGTATTTTAGAATCAGCTTGTCAGTTTCTAGACAGAAGTCGGTTGGGATACTTGCAGGGATTTCATCAAATCTGTAGTTCAAATTGTAAAGTACTACAATATTAAATCTTCCAATTCATGGCTGTAAGATGTTTGCTAATTATTTACATATTCTTTAAACAATAATTTTTAATTTTCAGAGTAAACTCTTGTATCACATTTTCCAAATTAATTATTATTTCTTTATTTGATGCTATTTTATTTTTTTATTTTTTATTTTTTATTATACTTTAAGTTTTAGGGTACATGTGCACATTGTGCAGGTTAGTTACATATGTATACATGTGCCATGCTGGTGCGCTGCACCCACTAACTCGTCATCTAGCATTAGGTATATCTCCCGATGCTATCCCTCCCCCCTCCCCCCACCCCACAACAGTCCCCAGAGTGTGATATTCCCCTTCCTGTGTTCATGTGATCTCATTGTTCAATTCCCACCTACGAGTGAGAATATGCAGTGTTTGGTTTTTTGTTCTTGCGATAGTTTACTGAGAATGATGATTTCCAATTTCATCCATGTCCCTACAAAGGACATGAACTCATCATTTTTTATGGCTGCATAGTATTCCATGGTGTATATATGCCACATTTTCTTAATCCAGTCTATCATTGTTGGACATTTGGGTTGGTTCCAAGTCTTTGCTATTGTGAATAATGCCACAATAAACATACGTGTGCATGTGTCTTTATAGCAGCATGATTTATAGTCCTTTGGATATATACCCAATAATGGGATAGCTGGGTCAAATGGTATTTCCAGTTCTAGATCCCTGAGGAATCGCCACACTGACTTCCACAATGGTTGAACTAGTTTACAGTCCCACCAACAGTGTAAAAGTGTTCCTATTTCTCCACATCCTCTCCAGCACCTGTTGTTTCCTGACTTTTTAATGATTGCCATTCTAACTGGTGTGAGATGGTATCTCATTGTGGTTTTGATTTGCATTTCTCTGATGGCCAGTGATGATGAGCATTTTTTCATGTGTTTTTTGGCTGCATAAATGTCTTCTTTTGAGAAGTGTCTGTTCATGTCCTTCACCCACTTTTTGATGGGGTTGTTTGTTTTTTTCTTGTAAATTTGTTTGAGTTCATTGTAGATTCTGGATATTAGCCCTTTGTCAGATGAGTAGGGTGCGAAAATTTTCTCCCATTTTGTAGGTTGCCTGTTCACTCTGATGGTAGTTTCTTTTGCTGTGCAGAAGCTCTTTAGTTTAATGAGATCCCATTTGTCAATTTTGACTTTTGTTGCCATTGCTTTTGGTGTTTTAGACATGAAGTCCTTGCCCATGCCTATGTCCTGAATGGCCTAGGTTTTCTTCTAGGGTCTTTATGGTTTTAGGTCTAATGTTTAAGTCTTTAATCCATCTTGAATTGATTTTTGTATAAGGTGTAAGGAAGGGATCCAGTTTCAGCTTTCTACATATGGCTAGCCAGTTTTCCCAGCACCATTTATTAAATAGGGAATACTTTCCCCATTGCTTGTTTTTCTCAGGTTTATCAAAGATCACATAGTTGTAGATATGCAGCATTATTTCTGAGGGCTCTGTTCTGTTCCATTGATCTATATCTCTGTTTTGGTACCAGTACCATGCTGTTTTGGTTACTGTAGCCTTGTAGTATAGTTTGAAGTCAGGTAGTGTGATGCCTCCAGCTTTGTTCTTTTGGCTTAGGACTGACTTGGCGGTGCGGGCTCTTTTTTGGTTCCATATGAACTTTAAAGTAATTTTTTCCAATTCTGTGAAGAAAGTCATTGGTAGCTTGATGGGGATGGCATTGAATCTCTAAATTACCTTGGGCAGTATGGCCATTTTCACGATATTGATTCTTCCAACCCATGAGCATGGAATGTTCTTCCATTTGTTTGTATCCTCTTTTATTTCCTTGAGCAGTGGTTTGTAGTTCTCCTTGAAGAAGTCCTTCACATCCCTTGTAAGTAGGATTCCTAGGTATTTTATTCTCTTTGAAACAATTGTGAATGGGAGTTCACTCATGATTTGGCTCTCTGTTGGTCTGTTGTTGGTGTATAAGAATGCTTGTGATTTTTGTACATTGATTTTGTATCCTGAGACTTTGCTGAAGTTGCTTATCAGCTTAAGGAGATTTTGGGCTGAGACAATGGGGTTTTCTAGATATACAATCATGTTGTCTGCAAACAGGGACAATTTGACTTCCTCTTTTCCTAATTGAATACCCTTTATTTCCTTCTCCTGCCTAATTGCCCTGGCCAGAACTTCCAACACTATGTTGAATAGGAGTGGTGAGAGAGGGCATCCCTGTCTTGTGCCAGTTTTCAAAGAGAATGCTTCCAGTTTTTGCCCATCCAGTATGATATTGGCTGTGGGTTTGTCATAGATAGCTCTTATTATTTTGAGATACGTCCCATCAATACCTAATTTATTGAGAGTTTTTAGCATGAAGGATTGTTGAATTTTGTCAAAGGCTTTTTCTGCATCTATTGAGATAATCATGTGGTTTTTGTCTTTGGCTCTGTTTATATGCTGGATTACATTTATTGATTTGTGTATATTGAACCAGCCTTGTATCCCAGGGATGAAGCCCACTTGATCATGGTGGATAAGCTTTTTGATGTGCTGCAGGATTTGTTTTGCCAGTATTTTATTGAGGATTTTTGCATCAATGTTCATCAAGGATATTGGTCTAAAATTCTCTTTTTTTGTTGTGTCTCTGCCTGTCTTTGGTATCAGAATGATGCTGGCCTCATAAAATGAGTTAGGGAGGATTCCCTCTTTTTCTATTTATTGGAATAGTTTCAGAAGGAATGGTACCAGTTCCTCCTTGTACCTCTGGTAGAATTCGGCTGTGAATCCATCTGGTCCTGGACTCTTTTTCGTTGGTAAGCTATTGATTATTGCCACAATTTCAGCTCCTGTTATTGGTCTATTCAGAGATTCAACTTCTCCCTGGTTTAGTCTTGGGAGAGTGTATGTGTCGAGGAATTTATCCATTTCTTCTAGATTTTCTAGTTTATTTGCGTAGAGGTGTCTGTAGTATTCTCTGATGGTAGTTTGTATTTCTGTGGGATCGGTGGTGACATCCCCTTTATCATTTTTTATTGTGTCTATTTGATTCTTCTCTCTTTTTTTCTTTATTAGTCTTGCTAGCAGTCTATCAATTTTGTTGATCCTTTCAAAAAACCAGCTCCTGGATTCATTAATTTTTTGAAGGGTTTTTTGTGTCCCTATTTCCTTCAGTTCTGCTCTGATTTTAGTTATTTCTTGCCTTCTGCTAGCTTTTGAATGTGTTTGCTCTTGCTTTTCTATTTCTTTTAATTGTGATGTTAGGGTGTCAATTTTGGATCTTTCCTGCTTTCCCTTGTGGGCATTTAGTGCTATAAATTTCCCTCTACACACTGCTTTGAATGCGTCCCAGAGACTCTGGTATATTTTGTCTTTGTTCTCATTGGTTTCAAAGAACATCTTTATGTCTGCCTTCATTTCGTTATGTACCCAGTAGTCATTCAGGAGCAGGTTGTTCAGTTTCCATGTAGTTGAGCGGTTTTGAGTGAGATTCTTAATCCTGAGTTCTAGTTTGATTGCACTGTGGTCTGAGAGATAGTTTGTTATAATTTCTGTTCTTTTACATTTGCTGAGGAGAGCTTTACTTCCCAGTATGTGGTCAATTTTGGAATAGGTGTGGTGTGGTGCTGAAAAAAATGTATATTCTGTTGATTTGGGGTGGAGAGTTCTGTAGATGTCTATTAGGTCCGCTTGGTGCAGAGCTGAGTTCAATTCCTGGGTATCCTTGTTGACTTTCTGTCTCGTTGATCTGTCTAATGTTGACAGTGGGGTGTTAAAGTCTCCCATTATTAATGTGTGGGAGTCTAAGTCTCTTTGTAGGTCACTCAGGACTTGCTTTATGAATCTTGGTGCTCCTTTATTGGGTGCATATATATTTAGGATAGTTAGCTCTTCTTGTTGAATTGATCCCTTTACCATTATGTAATGGCCTTCTTTGTCTCTTTTGATCTTTGTTGGTTTAAAGTCTGTTTTATCAGAGACTAGGATTGCAACCCCTGCCTTTTTTTGTTTTCCATTTGCTTGGTAGATCTTCCTCCATCCTTTTATTTTGAGCCTATGTGTGTCTCTGCACGTGAGATGGGTTTCCTGAATACAGCACACTGATGGGTCTTGACTCTTTATCCAATTTGCCAGTCTGTGTCTTTTAATTGGAGCATTTAGTCCATTTACATTTAAAGTTAATATTGTTATGTGTGAATTTGCTCCTGTCATTATGATGTTAGCTGGTTATTTTGCTCATTAGTTGATGCAGTTTCTTCCTAGTCTCGATGGTCTTTACATTTTGGCATGATTTTGCAGCGGCTGGTACCGGTTGTTCCTTTCCATGTTTAGTGCTTCCTTCAGGAGCTCTTGTAAGGCAGGCCTGGTGGTGACAAAATCTCTCAGCATTTGCTTGTCTGTAAAGGATTTTATTTCTCCTTCGCTTATGAAGCTTACTTTGGCTGGATATGAAATTCTGGGTTGAAAATTCTTTTCTTTAAGAATGTTGAATATTGGCCCCCACTCTCTTCTGGCTTGTAGGGTTTCTGCCGAGAGATCCGCTGTTAGTCTGATGGGCTTCCCTTTGAGGGTAACCCGACATTTCTCTCTGGCTGCCCTTAACATTTTTTCCTTCATTTCAACTTTGGTGAATCTGACAATTATGTGTCTTGGAGTTGCTCTTCTCGAGGAGTATCTTTGTGGCATTCTCTGTATTTCCTGCATCTGAATGTTGTCCTGCCTTGCTAGATTGGGGAAGTTCTCCTGGATAATATCCTGTAGAGTGTTTTCCAACTCGGTTCCATTCTCCCCATCACTTTCAGGTACACCAATCAGACGTAGATTTGGTCTTTTCACATAGTCCCATATTTCTTGGAGGCTTTGCTCATTTCTTTTTATTCTTTTTTCTCTAAACTTCCCTTCTCGCTTCATTTCATTCATTTCATCTTCCATTGCCGATACCCTTTCTTCCAGTTGATCGCATCGGCTCCTGAGGCTTCTGCATTCTTCACATAGTTCTCGAGCCTTGGTTTTCAGCTCCATCAGCTCCTTTAAGCACTTCTCTGTATTGGTTATTCTAGTTATACATTCTTCTAAATTTCTTTCAAAGTTTTCAACTTCTTTGCCTTTGGTTTGAATGTCCTCCCGTAGCTCAGAGTAATTTGATCGTCTGAAGCCTTCTTCTCTCAGCTCGTCAAAGTCATTCTCCATCCAGCTTTTTTCCGTTGCTGGTGAGGAACTGCGTTCCTTTGGAGGAGGAGAGGTGCTCTGCTTTTTAGAGTTTCCAGTTTTTCTGTTCTGTTTTTTCCCCATCTTTGTGGTTTTATCTACTTTTGGTCTTTGATGATGGTGATGTACAGATGGGTTTTTGGTGTGGATGTCCTGTTTGTTAGTTTTCCTTCTAACAGAGAGGAACCTCAGCTGCAGGTCTGTTGGAGTACCCTGCCGTGTGAGGTGTCAGTGTGCCCCTGCTGGGGGGTGCCTCCCAGTTAGGCTGCTCGGGGATCAGGGGTCAGGGACCCACTTGAGGAGGCAGTCTGCCCGTTCTCAGATCTCGAGCTGCGTGCTGGGAGAACCACTGCTCTCTTCAAAGCTGTCAGACAGGGACATTTAAGTCTGCAGAGGTTACTGCTGTCTTTTTGTTTGTCTGTGCCCTGCCCCCAGAGGTGGAGCCTACAGGGGCAGGCAGGCCTCCTTGAGCTGTGGTGGGCTCCACCCAGTTGGAGCTTCCAGGTTGCTTTGTTTACCTAAGCAAGCCTGGGCAATGGCAGGCGCCCCTCCCCCAGCCTCGCTGCCGCCTTGCAGTTTGATCTCAGACTGCTGTGCTAGCAATCAGCGAGACTCTGTGGGCGCAGGACCCTCCGAGCCAGGTGTGGGATATAATCTCGTGGTGCACCGTTTTTTAAGCCGGTCGGAAAAGCGCAGTATTCGGGTAGGAGTGACCCGATTTTCCATGTGCCATCCGTCACCCCTTTCTTTGACTCAGAAAGGGAACTCCCTGACCCCTTGCGCTTCCCAAGTGAGGCAATGCCTCGCCCTGCTTCGGCTCGCGCACGGTGCATGCACCCAGTGACCTGCCCCCACTGTCTGGCACTCCCTAGTGAGATGAACCCGGTACCTCAGATGGAAATGCAGAAATCACCCGTCTTCTGCGTCGCTCACGCTGGGAGCTGTAGACCGGAGCTGTTCCTATTCGGCCATCTTGGCTCCTCGATCTCCGGTGACTGCTTTTAAGTTGCATGTATGAGTTACAGCATTTCTTTAAGGGTGACTTTGTTTAAATGCACATGATGCCTGCTAGTGTCATATTCCTTTTTCTTCTTCAGAGCCAATGAGTTAAGGACACTTCGCTAGGGATGGACCATCAATGAAGAGTTCTGAGTTGGATACCTGTTTAGAAGCTAATATTAATGTATAAACCTGCCAATGTTAGGAAGAAAATGCTAAAGTTCAATAAAAAACATTTTCTTTTACTCAAGTAAACATTTGATATCATAACCAATAGACTTTATGTTTACCTTCCCTTCAGGATTTAACCTCCAGGTAAGTTTTCTCGTATTTGATTGTGGAGTAGAGCAAGGCTAATAAAAATCATATCACAAAGTGTATGATTCAGAGGGATACCAAAATCAGTTAATAAGCACCCTGAAGAGGACTGAAATATAAGGAATTATCATCATTGATTTGTAAAGAAAAAGTCCTGTTGGTTTAAACTTTTATAACAAAATATCTGGCTAGGGTACAATGCAAAATAATAGATATAATCTTTCCTGACTTTGCAAGACTTTTGAATTTGTCACATATAACTTCTTCAGAAACCTGGAAAAATATAGGTACATCATTACCTGGTATCTGAATTAGTTGGGCTTTGACATGTGTGATAGGATTAAAGGGGTTTCACAGAGGAATTAGGGCCTCTGGGATATGGACAGAGCTGAGGAGTGAGGGTTAGGGAGGCTGTATAGGTTAGAGGCTAGGGAAACAGTTACCTTAACCTAAAATGTATGTCCTCTAAATTTTGGGGGGAAATGGATGAAATTCCCAATACTCTCTAGAAAAGCTTCCACCAACAGAGCAGTCTGAAGCAGCAAAGCAGGCACTCTGAAGAAGCCTAAGGAACCTGTTTACCAACACGTTTGGCCTCCGCAACAATTGTTCTTGGGCATAATGGCTTCTCTTCCCTCTGCCTTCCCAATCTTGCATCAATTGTTTTCACTGGCAAATTCTAATATGCAATCACACAAAAAAGAACATTCTATGCAATGGATTTCCCTACACATCTACATCACATAGGAGGGAATGCATGATGTCAGGTTAACAACAGACCATCCAGCAGTCTCCAAAGAGTGACTACTACTTGTCACCTCAAACAAATCAGACTTTGGCTTCCCCATGCAGACCACACCGAAGAATATTATCAATCTTCTGTTGACAAATGATATAAAGGAGACCATTCTCATTTATTCATTTATTTTCCCATGACAACAAGCTAGACAGTAAAATGAGAGATTGAGTGGCCAACATGTTGAACTGGAATTAGGATTAGAATCAAAAATTAAGCATATACAAAATGCTAGATTTTTATAAAGCACAGTCATGTGGGAGAAATGCAAAATTGCACACATATAAATAAAAATGGACTGACTAAATGTGTTAAAAAAAAAGAAACTATTTGGTGATATTATGAAAACAGAGTCTTAGAACTTCTGGAAACTTTAGGAATTGTTCAGCCTTCCTTTTGCCTAAAGAAAAGTACGAAGAACTCAAGTTTGAATAAAGCATCCAGGGAGGAAGCAATGATAAGGCTCTAGGAGGTGGCATTCACCTCTGCCCTGGGTCTAACTCTGTCTTACAGATGCAGAAATTTGTTTTCTTTGATGATATAGTTGATTAAATATAGAGCAGGCTGACACAAATTGGGTGCTAACAGAATACCAATTTGTTAACTTTCTATGAAAAATATAACTGCCAGAGACCAGAAAGTCATGTTGGTCTGAATAGCACCTCTGCTTCCTATAGGCAAGTGACAAGGACAGCCAAATCCCCAGTGGGTTCCATGGTTGGTGTAATGACAGCAAGATTTCAGAGCTACTATAGCAATCTCCACAAGGAGACCATCGTGGCCAAGTGTCAGAATAACCTGACCAACACCCTCTTCCCTGGATATTGTTTGGGTGGGCATTGCCAAGATCTAACTCTGTGATTCTCCCTTTTCAAGCTTTCCTGGTTGATCAACACCTCTTCTGAGCAACACCATCTTTCTCATAGTATGTGATCTTTAATCAAATGACCATCCTGTTGGTTCTGGATTTTTTTCCCATTAAATCTGTCTTAATCTGGGATGTTTTATATTAATTTTATAATTTCACTCTCATAGGGCAATCCTATAGTTCTTATTTCTGGCAACTTACTATTATATGTCATATAGGCTGTGGTAAGCCAATGACCATAGGGAAGTCTACCAATCAACTGAGGGCTTTATCAATCTCTTTCCAGTATCCTCACTTCTGAATTTAGAGAAAAGCGTAAAAGGGAAATAATTCAAAGGAAAGCCAGTGAAGATGATTTATAGTTTTGAGAATGACTCATGGAAGAGTCAGAAGTACTGGGAGAAAGCTGAGGATGGATATAATAACAGTGTCCAAAAATGCTGCATTGTTAAACATATGAGACCAAATTATTTTGCAGCATGAGGGAGTTAGGCTTGACATAAAGAAGAACTTCCTTATGGTGAGAAATGTGACAGATGAATAGGCTACCAAAAAAGGTTTGGCAATCTGCTCTGCAGAGGTTGAAAAATGAATATATTTTCACTTATTTTAGGCCATAGTTCTTTCTGAAAGCAAATAAATGGGACACATAGCATTTCAATTTTTTCTAGGTCTGAGATTCGTGGATTAATTTTCTCAGGAATAGAGTAATGAATCCTTTCACAGTTAAGTGAACTCAGAACTTCAGTTGGTGATCCAAGGTAAACTACAAATAAATTCCTTTTTGTGCCCTGGTTTTAACTTCCTTTGGGCAAAAGAAAAAAAAACTATTTGAAAAACTGATATAACCAGACTGCCACACATGCATAGAGTTGAACATGCCACATATTGTAGGTAATTTCAAGGGATTCATGAACTCCGCACAGCTTATACAATGAGCCACTTAAGGGTCAAGGGACTCAGGTTAAGAATAAAACAAAACACACAACACTCTTCCTGGAAGAAATGTATTCTTAACCCAGAAATGGGCAATTCTATTTTTACATTTATAGCAAAATTCTTCTGGAATCTTTTCCACCTCATGTATGCCTTCGCACCATAAGAAACATATGGCTTGAACATCTCTTCCTTCTCACTTTTTTCTCTTTTGTTCTGCCTCCTAATTTTTTTCTTCCTCCGATTCTCTCATACCCTCTGCTGTCTTCTTTTGTTCCTTCCACTCTGTCAGGGTCAGCCTAAAGTTTCTTCATAGCTCCCTAAAACTAAATCCACAGCAATGACAGGCTCTTAAAAACCATATTTCCTAAGTCCAGATTTATGTCACACCTACAAGTATGTGTGGCAGAACATCACCTATGAGTAATTGTACAGAATTTACATGAAAATCCCATGTTTTTCAACTTCTTGCGATTTGGGATCTGAGTGGCCTGAAAAACATAGAAGACATATGACAGCCACATGGCTTAAGTGTTTAGATCTCAGATGTTTCCCCATGGAGCCTGGCCAATGAGGAATTCTTTTGGTAGCACTTAAGTTGCCTCATTGCCATCTTTAGAAGAGCTCCTCAGGTTCTAGAGCCACTGTTGTTTTTCTAGAAAATCTGGACATTCCCTTGGGGAGCACATACTAGGCATGGTTTAATAGAGACTGGCTACACAGCTGGGGGTTGAAAGCTATGGTATAGGGTCACCACAGCATCACCATTTAGGAATGAGTGGGCTCATTTGTTTTAAAGGAATAGTTTGGGAGGGCAGGAGATTTTTATCGAATAAGGTATTAAGGAGTTCTTCCAAGTGTAGCATTTTTTTTCCCTCTGGTGTCTACACTGGCTGCTTGTTTATGTATTTTTCTTGGGCCTGAACAATTTTCAACTTTGAATTTCTCCTCTGCAATCTGTGAATAAAGAAAATGGCTCTGGATAGAGTAACTCGACTTCTCTTTGGCAGATCTCATGTATCCCAGAAAGTGACAAAGGAGAGAAAGATTGGAGAGGTGAAGGGAATTGCCAAAGGGGCAGAAATGAGAAAAGAAACTAAATTCCTTGAAGTCTTCCCTGACCCCTGGGTGATTAGAACTTTCACCTTTTGAGAATCCAGCACTGTAGGGATTCCTTAGATTATAGATAGAGCAATTATAAATCTGGAGACTGGTTAAAGGTTGATAATAACAAAACTTTAAAGATAAGCCTTCTGCTAAAAGACATAATCTGTTTCAGTTTCAGAAATCTTTTAGTAGAATCTTAGAAATGCTTTTTCCCATTATGTTCTGTCTTTTCCCATAAAGAATGCAGCGAATGAACTGAGTTCTGGAATGTATAAAGTGCAAAATAAGATCACAAAGAGAAGTAAGCCATCCAGATAAGGAAAATAACTATATCCTGCTCTTCTGCTGGCAGGATACTTTGAGTCTGGAGTTACTCTTGTTATGTGATGGTCATAAGACAACAGTGGGTGGTGAAATAAAGCAATAGCATTGGAGAGAACCCTGCTGTGGGCTTGAAAGATTTGGCATGATGACTATATTTGAGGACTCTGATGTTAAAACAGATTTGGGGTTATTTGATGGGCAGTTACTTGAACTCTATCTCCATTTCCTAATCTCTAAACAGCACAACAATACTGTTTAACAAACATTACATGAGATACTGCATGAAAAGCACATGGTGAGTACCTGGCACATAGTAAGTGCTCAATAAATAGTGGCTATTATTATTTATAGTTATTAACTTTTTTGAGAATGCAAGATGCCCCTTTTTATATCTAGATTTCAAATCTGTGTTAGAAATAATTATGCCAGCAGTATTTTTACCTCATTAGAAGAAAGTGTCATTTATTCAGTTAAAAGAAAAACTTTAGATAAATTTAACAGAGTTTAAATGAGCAAAGAATAATTCACAAATCAGACAGTTCCCAGAACCAGAATAGGTTCAGAGTGACTCCAGGGCTGCTGCATGGTCAGATAACATTTATGAACGGAAAAAGGAAAGTGATGTGCAGGAAACAAAAGGGAGGAACAGAAACAGCTGGATTGGTTACGGCTTGGAGTTTGCCTTAGCAAACCTGCTTTGAGCAGTTGGCTGCCTGTGGTTAGCTGAGATTTGGCTATTAGATTTGGCTGTAAGAGTAGGTTGCAGTTTGCTTACGCATCAAATTAGGTTACAGTTCACTCTGTATTATTATGTATTATGTATTATGTATATTATGTATTATGTATTAATGATTAATAACTAGTACTATAGATATATCAAAAGCAATGCAGATGGAGCACTAGCTTGACCCATAGTTAGACACTTACACATATTTGTTGAATTGAAAAGTATGCAAATAATTGGAGAAACTGCTCTCTCTAAATCCCGTAATTAACAGGTGGTGGCCACTTGCAACTAGTACCATTTGAATGTGAAGGTGTTCATTATTTTATGGTTGTTGAGTTATTTTCTAATTAAAATAATTTTTAAATGATGTGGAAAAACTTCATCTGTACATAGGGCAAGACCTAGTGTTTGCTGGCTAACTCCCATAAGCAGGTCACTGGCTAATTGTATTCTGGGCTCTCTCTTCCCTTCTCTCTTTTGCATTTTTCCTCTTTTTTGTCCTGCCTTCAGGGTCCTCCTGCTCACCCCTGAAGCTACAAAGTCTACCATTGTATAGCCCTGATGAGATAAGCACACTGAAACTTTTGTCCCTTCCTATCCTCACCAAAGCCAAAATGTACTTATCCAGTGTCCAATTTTCTCAGAGATCTGCTCTTTTGATAACTGATAGACTATTTGAAACTAAAATGTGGAGTAACTCATAATAACTTTTCATATTATACCTCCCGGATACCATCTGTATTTGTTGCCATTAATGTATTTATAAAATATCATTTTTGGTCCTCATTTATTCCTTTTAAATTTTTTTTATTTTGAAATAATAATAGATTTACCAAAAAAGTGGCAAAAATAGTACCGAAAGTATCCATATATTCTTTAGCAAGCTTATCGAAATGTTAACAGCTTACGTATTTCCTCATGTTTAAATTCAAAATGTTAACAGCTCGATATTTCCTCATGATTAAATTCAGGTTATATAATTTTCTCAAGAATACCACAGAAGTAGTGCTGTATTCTTCTCAGTGTATCATCTCAGGAGGTACTTTCTGTCAAATATAACATAATGAGTAGTGACCCTAACCATGATCACTTAGTTCAGTTGGTGTCTACCAAGTTTCTCCACTGTAAAGTTACTATTTTTCCTGTTGTAATTAATACATATCTTGTAACTGTCATCCAAGATGGATGAATAGGAACAGCTCCGGTCTACAGCTCCCAGCGTGATCCACACAGAAGACAGACGATTTCTGCACTTCTGACTGAGGTACCTGATTCATCTGATTGGGACTGGTTGGACAGTGGGTGCAGCCCACAGAGGGCAAGCCGAAGCATGGCAGGGTGTGGCCTCACCCGGGAAGTAGAAGGGGTCAGGGGATTTCCCTTTCCTAGCCAAGGGAAGCCGTGACAGACTACCTGGAAAAACAGGACACTCCCGCCTAAATACTGTGCTTTTCCCATGGTCTTAGCAACTGGCAGACCAAGAGATTCTCTCCTGTGCCTGGCTCGGTGGGACCCATGCCCACGGAGCCTTACTCACTGCTAGCACAGCAGTCTGAGATCAACCTGCGACGCTGCAGCCTGGTGGGGAGAGGGGCATCCACCATTGCTGAGGCTTGAGTAGGTAAACAAAGCGGCTGGGAAGCTTGAACTGGGCAGACCCCACCACCGCTCAGCAAGGCCTACTGCCTCTATAGACTCCACCTCTGTGGGCAGGGCATAGCTGAAAAAAAGGCAGCAGAAACTTCTGCAGACTTAAACATCCCTGTCTGACAGCTCTGAAGAGAACAATGGTTCTCCCAGCATGACATTTCAGCTCTGAGAATGGACAGACTGCCTCCTCAAGTGGGTCTCTCACCCCCCTGTAGCCTAACTGGGAGACACCTCCCAGCAGGGGCCAACAAACACCTCATATAGGCAGGTGCCCCTCTGGGATGAATCTTCCAGAGGAAGATTGAGGCAGCAAGATTTGCTGTTATGCAATATTTGCTGTTCTGCAGCCTGCATTGGTGATACCCAGGCCAACAAGGTCTGGAGTAGACCTCCAGCAAACTCCAACAGACCTGCAGCTGAGGGACCTGACTGTTAGAAGGAAAAGTAACAAACAGAAAGGAAGAGCATCAACATCAATAAAAAGGACATCCACTCCAAAACCCCATCTGTAGGTTACCAACATCAAAGACCAAAGGTAGGTAAAACCACAAAGATGGGGAGAAACCAGAGCAGAAAAGCTGAAAATTCTAAAAACCAGAGCGCCTCTCCTCCTCCAAAGGATTGCAGCTCCTCGCCAGCAACAGAACAAAGCGGGATGGAGAATGACTTTGACGAGTTGACAGAAGTAGGCTTCAGAAGGTCAGTAATAACAAACTTCTCTGAGCTAAAGGAGCATGTTCTAACCCATTGCAAGGAAGCTAAAAACCTTGAAAAAAGGTTAGATGGATAGCTAACTAGAATAAACAGTGTAGAGAAGACCTTACCTGACCTGAAGGAGCTGAAAACCATGGCATGAGAACTTCGTGACACATGCACAAGCTTCAGTAGCCTATTCGATCAAGTGGAAGAAAGGATATCAGTGATTGAAGACCAAATTAATGAAATAAAGCGAGAAGACAAGTTTAGAGAAAAAAGAGTAAAGGCCGGGTGCGGTGGCTCACACCTGTAATTCCAACACTTTGGGAGGCCGAGGCGGGAGGATCATGAGGTCAGGAGATCAAGACCATCCTGCCTAACACAGTGAAACCCCATCGCTACTAAAAATACAAAAAATTAGCCGGGTGTGGTGGTGGGCACCTATAGTCTCAGCTACTCAGGAGGCTGAGGCAGAAGAATGGCATGAACCCAGGAGGGGGAGCTGGCAGTGAGCCAAGATCACGTAACTGCACTCTAGCCTGGGCAACAAAGCGAGACTCTGTCTCAAAAAAAAAAAAAAAAAAGAGTAAAAAGAAATGAACAAAGCCTCCAAGAAATATGGGACTATGTGAAAAGACCAAATCTATGTTTGATTGCTGTACCTGAAAGTGATGGGGAGAATGGAACCAAGTTGGAAAACACTCTTCAGGAGATTATCCAGGAGAACTTCCTCAACCTAGCAAGGCAGACCAACATTCAAATTCAGGAAATACAGAGAACACCGCAAAGATACTCCTCGAGTAGAGCAAACACAAGACACATAAGCATCAGATTCACCAAGGTTGAAATCAAGGAAAAAATGTTAAGGGCAGCCTGAGAGAAAGGCTGGGTTACCCACAAAGGGAAACCATCAGACTAACAGCAGGTCTCTCTGCAGAAACCCTACAAGCCAGAAGAGAGTAGGGGCCAATATTCAGCACTCTTTTTTTTTTTTTAATTATAATACTTTAAGTCTTAGGGTACATGTGCACAACATGCAGGATTGTTACATATGTATACATGTGCCATGTTGGTGTGCTGCACCCATTAACTGGTCATTTAGCATTAGGTATATCTCCTAATGCTATCCCTCCCCACTTCTCCCACCCCACAACAGGCCCTGGTGTGTGATGTTCCCCTTCCTGTGTCCATGTGTTCGCACTGTTCAATTCCCACCTATGAGTGAGAACATGTGGTGTTTGGTTTTTTGTCCTTGCGATAGTTTGCTGAGAATGATGGTTTCCAGCTTCATCCATGTCCCTACAAAGGACATGAACTCATCATTTTTTATGGCTGCATAGTATTCCATGGTGTATATGTGCCACATTTTCTTGATCCAGTCTATCATTGTTGGACATTTGGGTTGGTTCCAAGTCTTTGCTATTGTGAATATTGCTGCAGTAAACATACATGTGCATGTGTCTTTATAGCACCATGATTTTTATTCCTTTGGGTATATACCCAGTAATGGGATGGCTGAGTCAAATGGTATTTCTAGTTCCAGATCCCTAAGGAATCACCACACTGACTTCCACAATGGTTGAACTAGTTTACAGTCCCACCAACAGTGTAAAAGTGTTCCTATTTCTTCACATCCTCTCCAGCACCTGTTGTTTCCTGACTTTTTAATGATTGCCATTCTAACTGGTGTGAGATGGTATCTCATTGTGGTTTTGATTTGGATTTCTCTGATGGCCAGTGATGATGAGCATTTTTTCATGTGTTTTTTGGCTGCATAAATGTCTTCTTTTGAGAAGTGTCTGTTCATATCCTTTGCCCACTTTTTGATAGAGTCGTTTGTTTTTTTCTTGTAAATTTGTTGGAGTTCATTGTAGATTCTGGATATTAGCCCTTTATCAGATGAGTAGATTGCAAAAATTTTCTCCCATTCTGTAGGTCACCTGTTCACTTTGATGGTAGTTTCTTTTGCTGTGCAGAAGCTCTTCAGTTTCATTAGATCCCATTTGTCAATTTTGGCTTTTGTTGCCATTGCTTTTGGTGTTTTAGACATGAAGTCCTTGCCCATGCCTATGTCCTGAATCATATTGCCTAGGTTTTCTTCAAGGGTTTTTATGGTTTTAGGTCTAAATAAATGTAAGTCTTTAATCCATCTTGAAATAATTTTTGTATAAGTTATAAGGAAGGAATCCAGTTTCAGCTTTCTACATATGGCTAGCCAGTTTTCCAAGCACCATTTATTAAATAGGGAATCCTTTCCCCATTTCTTGTTTCTGTCAGGTTTGTCAAAGATCAGATAGTTGTAGATAAGCGGCATTATTTCTGAGGGCTCTGTTCTGTTCCATTGATCTATATCTCTGTTTTGGTACCAGTACCATGCTGTTTTGGTTACTGTAGTCTTGTAGTATAGTTTGAAGTCAGGTAGCGTGATGCCTCCAGCTTTGTTCTTTTGGCTTAGGATTGACTTGGCAATGCAGGCTCTTTTTTGGTTCCATATGAACTTTAAAGTAATTTTTTCCAATTCTGTGAAGAAAGTCATTGGTAGCTTGATGGCGATGGCATTGAATCTCTAAATTGCCTTGGGCAGTGTGGTCATTTTCACGATATTGATTCTTCCTACCCATGAGCATGGAATGTTCTTCCATTTGTTTGTATCCTCTTTTATTTCATTGAGCAGTGGTTTGTAGTTCTCCTTGAAGAGGTTCTTCACATCCCTTTTAAGTTGGATTCCTAGGTACTTTATTCTCTTTGAAGCAATTGTGAATGGGAATTCACTCATGATTTGGCTCTCTGTTTGTCTGTTGTTGGTGTATAAGAATGCTTGTGATTTTTGCACATTGATTTTGTATCCTGAGACTTTGCTGAAGTTGCCTATCAGTTTAAGGAGATTTTGGGCTGAGACAATGGGGTTTTCTAGATATACAATCATTTCATCTGCAAACAGGGACAATTTGACTTCCTCTTTTCCTAACTGAATACCCTTTATTTCCTTCTCCTGCTTGATTGCCCTGACCAGAACTTCCAACACTATGTTGAATAGGAGTGGTGAGAGAGGGCATCCCTGTCTTGTGCCAGTTTTCAAAGGGAATGCTTCCAGTTTTTGCCCATTCAGTATGATATTGGCTGTGGGTTTGTCATCGATAGCTCTTATTTTGAGATACGTCCCATCAATACCAAATTTATTGACAGTTTTTAGCATGAAGGTTGCTGAATTTTGTCAAAGGCCTTTTCTGCATCTATTGAGATAATCATGAGGTTTTTGTCATTGGTTCTGTTTATATGCTGGATTGGGTTTATTGATTTGCATATGTTGAACCAGCCTTGCAATAATTAATAGCTTACCCACCAAAAAAAGTCCAGGACCAGATGGATTCACAGCCGAATTCTACCATAGGTACAAGGAGGAGCTGTCACCATTCCTTCTGAAACTATTCCAATCAATAGAAAAAGAGGGAATCCTCCCTAACTCATTTTATGAGGCCAGCGTCATCCTGATACCAAAGCCTGGCAGACATACAACAAAAAAAGAGAATTTTAGACAAATATCCCTGATGAACATCGATGCAAAAATCCTCAATAAAATGCTGGCAAAGCGAATAGAGCAGCACATCAAAAAGCTTATCCACCATGATCAAGTGGGCTTCATCCGCAGCATTGTTAAAGAAAATAATTTTCAACCCAGAATTTCATATCCAGCCAAACTAAACTTCATAAGTGAAGGAGAAATAAAATCCTTTACAGACAAGCAAATGCTGAGAGATTTGTCACCACCAGGCCTTCCTTACAAGAGCCCCTGAAGGAGGCACTAAAAATAGAAAGGAACAACCAGTACCAGCCACTGCAAAAACAGGCCAAATTGTAAAGACCATTGATGCTATGAAGAAACTGCATCAATTAATGGGCAAAATAACCAGCTAGCATCATAATGACAGGATCAAATTCACACATAACAATATTAACCTTAAATGTAAATGGGCTAATTGCGCCAATTAAAAGACACAGACTGGCAAATCGTATAAAGATTCAAGACCCATCAGTGTGCTAAATTCAGGAGACCCATCTCAGATGCAGAGACACATAGGCTCAAAATAAAGTATGGAGGAAGATCTGCCAAGGAAATGGAAAACAAAAAAAAATCCAGGGGTTGCGATCCTAGTCTCTGATAAAACAGACTTTAAACCAACATAGGTCAAAAGAGACAAAGAAGGCCATTACATAATGGTAAACAGATCAATTCAACAAGAAGAGCTAACTATCCAAAATATATATGCATCCAATGCAGGAGAACCCAGATTCATAAGGCAAGTCCTTAGAGACCTACAAAGAGGCTTAGACTCCCGCACAAGAATAATGGGAGACTTTAACACCCCACTGTCAATATTACACAGATCAATGAGACAGAAGGTTAACAAGTGCATCCAGGACTTGGCCTCAGCTCTGCACCAATCAGACCTAATAGACGTCTACAGAACTTTCCACCTTAAATCAATAGAATATACATTCTTCTCAGCACCACATCACAGTTATTCTAAAATTGACCACATAATTGGAAGTAAAGCACTCCACAGCAAATGTGAAAGAACAGAAATCACAACAAACTGT
Organism: Homo sapiens; assembly: GCF_000001405.40. Taxonomy (NCBI): domain Eukaryota; kingdom Metazoa; phylum Chordata; class Mammalia; order Primates; family Hominidae; genus Homo; species Homo sapiens. The sequence goes on along the minus strand of NC_000006.12, from coordinate 82,546,366 downwards.
CTCACAGACCACAGTACAGTCAAATTAGGACTCAGGATTAAGAAACTCACTCAAAACCACACAACTACGTGTAAACTGAACAACCTGCTTCTGAATGACTACTGGATAAATATCGAAATGAAGAGAGAAATAAAGATGTTTTTGAAACCAATGAGAACAAAGTTACCATGTACCAGAATCTCTGGGACACATATAAAGCAGTGTGTGGAGGGAAATTTATAGCACTAAATGCCCACAATAGAAAGCAGGAAAGATCTAAAATTGACACCCTAACATCACAATTAAATGAACTAGAGAAGCAACAGCAAACAATTTCAAAAGCCAGCAGACGGCAAGAAATAACTAAGATCAGAGCAGAACTGAAGGAGATAGAGGCACAAAAAAACCCTTCAAAAAATCAATGAATCCAGGAGCTGTTTTTTTGAAAAGGTCTACAAAATTGATAGACCACTAGCAAGACTAATAAAGAAGAAAAGAGAGAAGAATCAAATAGATGCAATAAAAATGATAAAGAAGAGATCACCACTGATCCCACAGAAATACAAACTACCATCAGAGAATACTATAAACACCTCTATGAAAATAAACTAGAAAATCTAGAAGAAATGGATAAATTCCTGGACACATACACCCTCTCAAGACTAAACCAGGAAGAAGTTGAATCTCTGAATAGACGAATAACAGGGTCTGAAATTGAGGCAGTAATTAATAGCCTACCAACCAAAATAAGCCCAGGACTAGATGGATTCACAGCTGAATTCTACCAGAGGTACAAAGAAGAGCTGGTACCATTCCTTCTGAAACTATTCCAATCAATAGAAAAAGAGGCAATCCTCCCTAACTCATTTTATGAGGCCAGCATCATCCTGATACCAAAACCTGGCAGAGACACAATAAAAAAAGAAAATTTTAGACCAATATCCCTGATGAACTTTGATGCAAAAATCCTCAATAAAATACTGGCAAATCAAACCCAGCAGCACATCAAAAAGCTTATCGATGACGATCAAGTTGGCTTCATCCCTGGGATGCAAGGCTGGTTCAACATACGCAAATCAATACACATAATCCATCACATAAACAGAACCAATGACAAAAAAAACCACATGATTATATCAATAGATGCAGAAAAGGCCTTCAACAAAATTCAACAGCCCTTCATGCTAAAAACTCTCAATAAACTGGGTATTGATGGAATGAATCTCAAAGTAATAATAGGTATTTATGACAAACCCACAGCCAATATCATACTGAATGGGCAAAACCTGGAAGCATTCCCTTTGAAAACTGGCACAAGACAAGGATGCCTTCTCTCACCATTCCTATTCGACATAGTGTTGGAAGTTATGGCCAGGGCAATCAGGAAAGAGAAAGAAATAAAGGGTATTCAATTAGGAAAAGAGGAAGTCAAATTGTCCCTGTTTGCAGAAGAAATGATTGTATATTAAGAAAATCCCATTGTCTCAGGCCAAAATCTCCTTAAGCAAACTTAAGAAACTTCAGCAAAGTCTCAGGATATAAAATCAATGTGCAAAAATCACAAGCATTCCTATACACCAATAACAGCCAAATCATGAATGAACTGCCATTCATAATTGCTACAAAGAGAATAAAATACCTAGGAATCCAACTTACAAGGGATGTGAAGGACCTCTTCAAGGAGAACTACAAACCACTGCCCAATGAAATAAAAGAGGACACAAACAAATGGAAAAACATTCCATGCTCATGGATATGAAGAACCAATATCATGAAAATGGCCATACAACCCAAGGTAATTTATAGATTCAATGCCATCCCCATCAAGCTACCAATGACTTTCTTCAAAGAATTGGAAAGACCTACTTTAAAGTTCATAGGGAACCAAAAAGCAGCCCACATTGCCAAGACAATCCTAAGCCAAAAGAACAAAGCTGGAGGCATCACACTACCTGACTTCAAACTATACTACAAGGCTACAGTAACCGAAACAGCATGGTACTGGTACCAAAACAGATATATAGACCAATGGAACAGAACAGAGCCCTCAGAAATAACATTACACATCTACAACCATCTGATCTTTGACAAACCTGACAAAAACAAGCAATGGGGAAAGGATTCCCTATTTAATAAATGGTGCTTGGAAAACTGGCTAGCCATATGGAGAAAGCTGAAACTGGATCCCTTCCTTACACCTTATAAAAAATTAATTCAAGATGGATTAAAGACTTACATGTTAGACCTAAAACCATAAAAACCCTAGAAGAAAACCTATGCAATACCATTCAGGACATAGGCATGGGCAAGGACTTCATGACTAAAATACAAAAAACAATGGCAACAAAAGCCGAAATAGACAAATGGAATCTAATTAAACTAAAGAGCTTCTCCACAGCAAAAGAAACTACCGTCAGAGTGAACAGGTGACCTACAGAATGGGAGAATTTTTTTGCAATCTACCCATCTGACAAAGGGCTAATATCCAGAATCTACAAAGAACTTCAACAAATTTATAAGAAAAAAAAAAAACCATCAAAAAGTGGGCAAAGGATGTGAACAGACACTTCTCAAAAGAAGACATTTATGCAGCCAACAGACACATGCAAACATGCTCATCATCACTGGTCATCAGAGAAATGCAAATCAAAACCACAATGAGATACCATCTCACACCAGTTAGAATGGTGATCGTTAAAAAGTCAGGAAACAACAGATGCTGGAGAGGATGTGGAGACATAGGAACGCTTTTACACTGTTGGTGGGACTGTAAATTAGTTCAACCATGGTGAAAGACAGTGTGGCGATTCCTCAAGGATCTAGAACTAGAAATACCATTTGACCCAGCCATCCCATTACTGGGTATATACCCAAAGGATTATAAATCGTGCTAGTGTAAAGACACATGCATACGTATGTTTATTGCACCACTATTCACAATAGCAAAAACTAGGAACCAACCCAAATGTCCATCAGTGATAGACTAGATTAAGGAAATGTGACACATATACACCATGGAATACTATGCAGCCATAAAAAAGGATGAGTTCATGTTCTTTGCAGGGACATGGATGAAGCTGGAAACCATAATTCTCAGCAAACTATCACAAGGACAGAAAACCAAACACCACATGTTCTCACTCACAGGTGGGAACTGAACAATGAGATCACTTGGACACAGGGCAGGGAACATCACACACAGGGGCCTGTTGGGGCATGGGGTCTAGGGGAGGGATAGCATTAGGAGAAATAGCTAACGTAAATTACGAGTTCATGGGTGCAGCAAACCAACATGGCACATGTATACATATGTAACAAACCTGCACGTTGTGCACATGTACCCTAGAACTTAAAGTATAATAATAAAAAAGGGGGCATTATGGGGCATACACCATATAAAAAAATAAGTATCTTGTAGAGATATTTGGAGACTATGCAAATATCATGCTTCTCATCTATCTTTGTCCACTAATTTTAGCAACCATCAAATGCTTCTTGCCTACAAGTGTTACTGTGGTGTTTGTCAATTATTCCTGGGTTTGTCTATTTCATTAATTCTTTTTACATTTACAAATTAGAATTTTATTATAAATAAGAGTTGTCCCTTCTTCCTCATTTATTTATATATTATGTAAATGGTGTGAACAAGTGGCAATTAACTTTTTCTGTGGGCTATAATCCATAACTGTTATTTATATTTCAATAAATAATTGAGCTCCCTCAAGAAGGCTCTTTTGTCCTATTAACATGCCTCTACTTTTTTTTTTTTTTTTTTTTTGATCACTTTTTCTTTTTGGTACCACAAGGTGTCCCAAGCTCATCTTGTAATATCCCTGCCCTAGCTTTGGAATCAGAAATTTGTCCAAAGAGCCCTGGTTCTTTTTATTAGAGGATGCTGTTTGAAAACCAAGATATGAGTGCTATTACTTCAGGACCCTTCTAGTGAGCAAATACACACCACACATTTACATACCCTTTTATGTATATGTACACATACATATTTGTATTTCTGTGTCTGCATATTATTAAAAACTATTTTTATGCTACCTCTGATTTGTATCCAACATCAAAGGAAACTTCCCCATCCTTATTTGTAATTCCTGTTGCTGTGAGATATCTGGATTTCATTATTTGAAATATATTTATGATTATCTCAATGTTAGGATGCATAAACTTAGTTTCAGAATTACTCATACCACTGTGAAAATAAAATGTACTAAAAAGAGTAAAATATTTGACTTTTTTCTTTAGCTTTATATAATAGACGTTGTTTTCCAACGCTACCCTAGCATAGTTCTTTTCTTCACCAATTCCTTTAGTGTGGCTATGTTATTCATCAGTAACACAGTCAGGTTAACTCTGTTGGAATTCCATTTTGGACTCTCTCCCATGTCCTGGTTGATTTTAATTATTTTTGGCTATGTGAAACATTAACATGGTCCTAAAAATCAGAAATATACAAACAATGTATACTTTCCATTATTTTCAACACTTTATTCCACCTGCCCACTGTAAAAAACTATTCCCACTAATATTTCTGATTTTTGCTTCTCATATTTCTTTTTGTATACTGCCTTGTTTTATTGTTTAATGAAGATAACAGACTATAGACAATGTTTTGCACTTTGCTTTCTGTGCTTAGCAATATATCCTGGAAATTACTCTGCATAAGTCCATAATGATTGCCCTTATTCTGCAGTTCCATAGTACTCCATCGTGTAGATGTACCATGGTTTATTCAAACACTTTCTATGTGTGGGTAAGTGCATATATGGCTTCGTTACATATTGCCAAATTCCCCATCTCCAACTGAAAATTTGTTTCAGTTGACATTCTTAGAAATTTAAGAGAATGCATATTTTTTCATAGTCTGGCCAGTAGCATATGATGTCATATTTTTAGATTATTTTCCAAACTGATAGGTAAAAACTGATAATTCAGTGTTGCTTTAATTTGTATTTCTTTTATTATGAGGGAGTTTAAATATCTTTACGTGCGTTTAGGAGCCATTTGTCTATTCATATATTTTTACCATTTTTTCTCTTGGGGTTGAGTCTTTGTCCTCCAGTTTTTTTGTTTGTTTGTTTTCCTGAGACGGAGACTTGCTCTGTTGCCCAGGCTGGAGTGCAGTGGCATGATCTCGGCTCACTGCAATCTCCGCCTCCCAGGTTTAAGCACTTCTCCTGCCTCAGCCTCCGGAGTAGCTGAGATTACAGGCACGCACCACCACGCCCAGCTAATTTTTGTATTTTTAGTAGAGATGGGGTTTCACCATGTTGGCCAGCTGGTCTCAAACTCCTGACCTCGTGAGCCACCCGCCTTGGCCTCCCAAAGTGCTGAGATTACAGGCGTGAGCCAGGGCTCCCAGCCTGCCCTCCAGTTTTTAAGAGCTCTCCTTACATATGAGGTATTTTAGCCCTTTATTGGGATAGGTCTTGCAAATATTTTCTACCAGCTTGTCAGTTGCCTTTTAACTTTGTTTATGATATTTGCCATGTAATTTTAAAGAATTTTTTGTGGAAACATGGATGGAGCTGGAGGCCTTATTCTTAGCAAACTGATGCAGGAACAGAAAACCAAATACCATGTGTGCTTACTTAAAAGTGAGAGCTAACTGATGAGAAAGTACGAACACAAAGAAAGGAACAACAGACACTGAGGCCTAATTGAGGGCGGAAGGTCCAGGAGAGAGAAGAGCAGAAAAAATAACTGTTGTGTACTGGGCTTAATACCTGGGTGATAAAATAATCTGTACAACAAATCCCTGTGACACAAGTTTACCTATGTAACAAACCTGCACATGTGCCCCTGAACTGAAAATAAAAGTTAAAAAATAAGAGAATCGGCCAGGCGAGGTGCCTCACTCCTGTAATCCCAGCGCTTTGGGAGGCTGAGGAGGGCAGATCACCTGAGGTCGGGAGTTCGAGACCTGCCTGACCAACATGGCGAAACCCCATCTCTACTGAAAATACAAAACCAGCTGGGCGTGGTGGGAGGCGCCTGTAATCTCAACTACTTGGGAGTCTGAGGCAGGAGAATTGCTTGAACCTGGGAGGTGGAGGTTGCAGTGAGCCGAGATCATGCCACTGACTCCAGCCCAGGCAACAGAGTGAGACTCCATCTCAAAATAAAATAAAGATAAAATAGTTTTATATAATCAAATTTATGAATATTTTCTTGTATTGCCTCTGACTTTTGAGTCATATTTAGAAAGCCTTTTCCTACACTATGGTTAAAAAAAAGACTTATCCCGCCTGGGTGCGGTGGCTCAAGCCTGTAATCCCAGCACTTTGGGAGGCCAAGGTGGGCAGATCACCTGAATTTGGGAGTTCAAGACCAGCCTGACCAACATGGAGAAACCCCGTCTCTACTAAAAATTGAAAATTAGCCAGGCATGGTGATGGGCGCCTGTAATCCTAGCTACTTTGGAGGCTGAAGCAGGACACCTGAAGTTGGGAGTTCAAGACCAGCCTGACCAACATGGAGAAACCCCGTCTCTACTAAAACTTCAAAATTAGCCAGGCATGGTGACGGGCGCCTGTAATCCTAGCTACTTGGGAGCCTGAAGCAGGAGAATCGCTTGAACCCAGGAGGTAGGGGTTGCAGTGAGCTGAGATCGTGCCATTGCACCCCAGCCTGGGCAACAAGAGGGAAACTCCATCTCAAAAACAAACAACAACAACAAAACAAAAACAAAAACAAAACACGACTCATCCATCTTTTTGCCTGATCTATTTGGAGTTTGTTTATTACTATATACAGAGTGAGATAGGATCTAATTTCATCTTTTTCCAAATGGCATATTTATTTAAAAGTTTATCATTGCTCTGGCTGGGCAGTGGTTCAGGTCTGTAATCCTAGCACTTTGGGAGGCCAAGGTGGGCAGATCACTTGAGGCCAGGAGTTCAAGACCAGCCTGGCCAACAAGGCAAAACCCTGTTTCTACTAAAAATACAAACAATTAGCCCAACATGGTGGTGCACACCTGTAGTCCCAGCTACACAGGAGGCTGAGGGAGGAGAATCACTTGAACCTGGGAGGCAGAGGTTGTGGTAAGCCAAGATTGTGCCATTGCTCTCCAGCCTGTGTAACAGAGTGAGACTCTGTCTCAAAAATAAATAAATAAATGTAAAAATAAAAGTTTATCATTGCTCTAATTATTAAAGATGCACATGTATCATATACTACATTTCCATATGTACTTGGATCTATTTATCTTCTTTTCCTTCAGTCTGTCTATTCATGTACCAGTATCACAATGTTTAAATCATAGAGGCTAGTTTCCTCTGATAGTTTTTCTTTTTCAGTGCTTTTCTGAGTATTCTTGTAATTTGTTTTCCATACGAACTTTAGTATCAACATGTCCAACTCCATGAATCTTGTTAGTATTGTACTGCAACTGCTGTAAATTTATGAGTTAACTTAGAAAGAGTTGATATCTTTATAAGGTTGAGTTGTTTTACCCAAGAACAGGGGAGGTCTTTCCATTTGATCAAATCTACTTTTATGTGTTTCAGGAGAGTGCCATTCGTGTTTTAGTCCAAAGAAGAGACTTATAATGAAAGGTTCAGGAGTCATGGGGCACCACCTTTAAACACAACATGCTGGTGATTGCACCCTCCTTGATATCAATTCAACTAATATTTACTAAGCATTTGTCTACCAGATGGTAGGATCTATGCTAAGACCTGTGGATACAAAAGTAAAACAACTGGTTCCTGCCTAGGAGGTGCTCACAATTTAGTAGGAGGACGTTTATTAAATTGACAGTAGTGATTACTCTTTTAAAGGACAGCCCAGTCTTTTCATGGGGAGAACTAGATTCAGTGTCTGTGAGACGTTAAGGAGGTTGTCAAAACTGGTTGTGTGAAACCTAGCTGGAAATTTGTTTCTCAATGTCATTTATGCATGAAATAACTTTTGCTTACAGCTGAGTCTTACAGAAGATAATTTGAAAGTCTAATTGTAAAGTGTTGAAGCCCTTCTTGTTCTTGCATGTGTATCCAGTGTGATATCAAGTGGAATGTTGTAATTAGTTGACTTCAGCAGCAGCTGGTACTCAGCAAGATTTTCTTCTTAAATCACTTTACTTTCCCATGGTCATTAATAATTTGACTAAAAAGGAAGCAAATCCTTAAGACCTTTATTATGCTTCCTAATTTTTTTCTATCAGTTCTTGCAATGACTAGCACTTTTTCTGTGTGTGATAACAATGTCGAATATTGTGTTTGTATGCTTTCAACAAAATATAATTGTTGCCCAAGTTGAGTGAATCATCACTTTAAAAGTTGTTTTTACTATGGCTCCTTCAAACTTAATTCACATCTTATTTTGAGCTCATGGAGAGTCAAGCAGGATCTTGAAAAAAGGGTGATCCAAGGTAAAATTAATTAACCCTTTCAGGATTGTCAATGTTCCTAGAAAAAGAGATAACTTATTTTCGGACTGTTCTTTGGCCAAATATCTAATATAGAATTTCCAATCTTTCATTCTCTTGCTAGAATAGAATTCTAGTTTTCAAAATGGAACTAAGACAATGATAAGATGCTAATATGGATGCATGCTTATGACTTTAGAATTAGAAGTGTGATTGCAAATACTAGCTAGGAAAAGGAGATGGGGTCAGAGAAGGGAAGAAATCTTATTCTTTTTGATCCTTTCTTATCTCAGCTTGAAAGTAAAAGGAGACTTGTTCACTACAGCTTTTCAAAAAGCAAAGACTGTTTCTTCAGGGAGTCCAAGAGTCCAAGAGAGAAAAATGATGGAATGTGGTCTTAGAAGCTTTTCAGAATGAGAAGCAGGTGGCTATTATTAAAATATGAGCTGAAAGTAACCTTACATGGAACTTACTCACAAGTAACTCCCAGAATTTTACGAGTTTTTTTTTTTTTGGTTAATTTTAAACTTCCTCTTTTCTGCACAGCACTGTAGTCATTCAGTTAAATCAATTCATTCCCAATCCTGCACACTTCCCCACCCCCACTCTGGTCTCTGACCCTTTTCTCTACCCTACTTGTACTTTTCCTCTTTTATTTTCATTCTAAAGTGGATGCTACAAGAGAGCTATGTAGGCTCTAAGTCTTTGTGGCTTTGTGGCTTGTCACTATCCTTAACAATCTGCAAAACTGGTTTTTGTTTTTTTTCTTGGTTATTATATCTAGATCACCTAAAGTTACTGATCACATCAATTAATATCATCAATTTTCCTCCATCAAACGAGCGTATTTATTCCAAAATAATGCTAACACTTAAATAATGACAACATTTTTAGTCAGAAAATTACAAAAACATAGAAAAGCGAGGTGACTGTGTCAAAGAATTATTACATACTGACTGACAAGCTGGAAAATGTGAACTATGGAATGAAATATGAATTTCAGTAGCAGTCAATAGTAACTGCTCCCCACTTGACTTCTGAGAGTGTGAATACAACATTCCCCTCAACCCTCACCCCCAAACCCCCAAACCTAGCAAGGGAAAAAAAAGCTTCTCACCACCATTTTTTGAAATCTTGGCTGAGCTAGTGTTAGTATTTTAACCTCATCCAATGCAATCACATTCATCATTGCATTTCATAGATGAATTCCTGCTCCTTAACAGCCTCTCCATACCTAGCTGCTTCTATTTCATTATATATTAAGATTTGACAATAACTTATTAAAAAGGAAGCATGTCCATATTCACTTGCTACATCACTGCTCTCTTTCCTTCTGTAGTTTGTATTTTTTAAATGCATGTAGAAGAAGAAGAGGGGTTGTTTATAAATTTGGTTTAAAATTGTTATAAAGAGAAGGATTGTTTTAGACTTCTTTCTCCCAGAGATTCAGGATTTGGATTTTATCATGTTTGAACTAAACATAGAACTATACAGTAGTTATAACTGCATGGAACTTACTGGTTCATTGTCTTCCATGGAATTAGAGGTTACTACACCTTTAATCTTAGAACAAGCTTACATTCATTTAATTACTGTAATTCAGGACCAGCCATGCTCAAACTGACAGCACTGCCCATATACCTATCTGAGTTCTAGCCCAGGGGAAAGTAGAAGAGAGAAACACCATTGTGAAATGAACACTTCTTGGCTATGAAAGAAATTACTTCAAAATTTTTCCTAACCCACTCTCTTCCCTCTCCTTCTGGGACTCCAGTTATATTTGACTGTTTGATATTATCTCATTGTTATGGACAGTCTGTTGGTTTTTAAACAATATTCTTCTTATTTCAATTTAGGTAATTTTTATTGACTTGTCTTCAAGTTCACTCATTCATTTTTTTTTTCCTGCAATATCTAATCTGCTGTTAAGCCCATCCAATAAATTTCGACTTCTAATATTGCATTTTAAAGTTTTAGAATTTCCATTTTGTTGTTTCATAGAGTTTCCATTTTTTATAGAAAACCAAGAGAAAAGTCTATTTCTTCATCCATAATATGCATTTTTCTGTAAATTCTTTGGCAAACATAATTATTGTTGTAAAGATTTTGTCTACTGATTTCAATAACTAGGTTATTGGGTCTGTCTTTACTTCCTCTCAATTTTTTCCTGATTATCATGTTTTCCTGCTTCCTCACATTTTATATATGTCCCTCCTCTATTACTACTCTCTCACTGTGAGGAAAGCTGGATGAATAGACTTACTGGATTGAGTTCTTCCAGACTCCAGACTCCTCCTACCCTGTCCTTCAGCCCATTCAGGGAAGGCCTGGCTATTTCTTCTCATTCTCAGAAAGTCTCCCCATCCAGGTGTGGAAGCTGCTGCCATTTTCTGCTCATTTCTCTCTGGAACATAATTTATCAAGGCTTCTTTGCTGCCCTTGCTCTTCACTAATTCCTTAGAAAACAATGGTTTTTATTTTATCTAGGTCTTTTCTTGCAGATACTATGAGAACAAAGGTCTTTTGCATTATTCTACATCCTAACTCAAAGCAGAAGCCTAATCTACTTCTTTAAATCAACATGTAGATGTCCTGGCAAAAGACACAGGACACTGAGGAATATTCATAAAGTCCCCAGAGAATCTGTGGCATCAGTGGTTTCTGGTAAAAAGTTGGGGGTTGGTTGGGGGCAGGGAGATGGATAATGAAATTTCCTGGGAAGATGTCATTTATGATTATATTTTTCAAATGAGATAACAAAGGGAAATATAGGGAGAGAACATGAATAAGCACAGGATCATTAAAGAGTCAGCATCACAAGATTAGAGAGTATGAAGTTACCATGCTATTATAATCACAATAGTTTCCAGCTAGTAGAAAACCTTAGGTAGTCTCAAGTCCAAACTCATCTGATAGATGGCGATAGTTATTTGAGGTTGACTTGATAGACTGAATGTTTCTTTTGCTTTCTCCAATGTCCTAGGAAGCCTGTGACTAAACATCAGCGTTTCTTCATCAGACCTATAATGAAGGCCTCTCCTTCCTTTTTTATTTCTCATAACCAAAAACCCCAGGAAGCATTTATCTTTTTCTGAGTTCTAAATTGGAAATCTTTTTTCAAAAAAATAAAACTTAGACCTTGTAACCTAGGAGAAAAAAATCACACCCTCTCTGCACAATGGAAAACAAGTTTTGTTAAGTGGTGTTATCAACTTTTGATAAAAGATAACACCTCAACTTAGTTTACATGAGGCAGGGCAGGTCTGAAGGATCAAAGGCATTTTGGGATGCATGTGAATCCTGCCAGGTCTGTAGGATAGCATAGGAAAAAATGCGTTAATTAAGAATAGACCTCAAACTCTTCAATGCTGACTCACAGGCTCAGTGACTAGAAATTCATGCTTTGGGCACGTAAAAACTAAAATCAGAACTCATGGTAATTGAACAATATTTCCACAGTCTAAGAATTAAAGTCGCCAATGATTCTTATTAGGATATGGTCCACTGTTAGGTTTCTAATTTGTGCCAGGGCATGTAACCTTGCATTCATATGCAGTGTTTCTCGAAAAGTTCTAGGAGAAGGTGCTTAAGAGTCACCTCATGATCTAACAGGAGATCAATAGTTTATATCCTAAGGGAATTTCATAGTTCCAAACAGCTTAAATATTTCAACCAGAAAAAGCCAAGGAGAGAGAAAAACAGTGCACTAATAATACATGCCCTAGGGAGTAAGCTTAGGATACAAGAGAAAACAGAAAATGTAGGAGGTGTGCACATTTTTAGGAAAAGAACGTCTGAAGGTTGAGTTAATACAAAAGTATAATCTGTGGTTATATCAGCTGTGATAAGAAGACCTGTGCTATTTTTTCAGAAGATAATTTGTTTATTGAATGTGGCCAATGCCTTCTTTAGAATCTATAGAAATATCATACACTAAACTTATATGAACATCCTTTCTCTCACAGGAAAAGGTGATTTAATTATTGAAAGAGATTTTAAAAATGGAAATTAAACTCTTCTGGCTTTAGAGCAGCTCCCAATTGAGATGTTTTGGTAAGGTAACAGAAAAATATCATGATTGCTACATCCAACCATCTCCAAGTTTCTTAGGGACACTTTGTGGTTTCCTAACACAACGCATTAAATGTAAAAACTTTGTTTGCAGACTATTCTTTTATCTTGACTTGTTTTGGCTTCTTTTGTTTTATTTTATCTTGTATCATTCATTTATTATTATTTTTATTATTTTAACTTTAAAAAGTTTTTGTCTTACCTTTTCTCCTAGTGAATGCTCCAGAGGGCATTGGCTATAAGATAGCAGTGAAAAAATTAGAAGATTTTATTCCTTGTAGCTGGGGCCAGCAGGATTTAATGAAAGGGAATTGAAGATTAACAATATTATTGTTTTAAAATATTCAAACTGCCTACAAATTGCACATCATCTGCAACAATGACTTGAGAATATTGTTAGGGAAAGTAATAATTTATGACTCCAGACAAAAACTTGCTTAATATCCCATGGCAATTTACAAAAAATAACATGTTCCTAACATTTTATTTGTGAGTGATCATCCATTCATCCTTAATCATAAGGGTGTCAGAGAAACCAGAAAAAAATAGAAGAATATATCAAAATATTCTTTTAATTTACAGTATTGTTTATATTCAAGCCAGGAACTAAGACAACTTTTCTCTACTGGCCTAGTTTTTCATCTACTTCTGTCACATTTTTGACAGCCATATTTTTAAAAATTGTATGTATATGTGTATTATGTGTGTGTGTCTTCACTCTTCCAAGTCATATTAAATTGAAAGGCTCTATGTCTACCTATCATATCTGTCTACCTCCATGTAAAGGTCATCCCATGATACTACAGGTTCCATTTAAGGCTCTGGTTAAATTCCATTTTCTCCATGAGCTCTACAGCTTTTCCTGACCTTCTATTGATCTTATTTTCCAAAATGCTCACCTGAGAATCATGGGATGCTAAGTATATTGACTTATACTTCTGTGTTACATAATTTTAAACTCCTGTAATATATTTTAACATTTGAGTATCCACATATTTTCTTCTCTAAGAAAGTTTTATGCTCATTTAACACTGTATTCTTTATAGTTTCCTCAGCCCCTTGTACAGTGTCTGCCATAAAGTTGGCCCTCTTTAGCAGAAAAAAATACCAGACCATGTAAATTCTCTGAATTTCTAGCTAGAACACTCTTTTTCATAAGAATTTCTGAGATCCCAAATCTGGAAGACTATGATTCTCTCTCTAATAAAACATATAATGATCTTCAAAAAAAATTAAAAAAATCCATGGTAAACAATTTATGGTAGGTAACAATCCACGGTAGGTAAATAAATAAATAAATAAAACAATCCATGAGAACATTTCTTAGAGGAACAATTGCTCTAGCACTAGCATAGAGCCTTGAAAACTAGAGGAGCTATTGCTAGAGCAATAGTTCCTCTAAGAAATGCCCTCATGTCCTGAAATAAGTCAGCAGTTCCTTGAAAGACAAATGGCTTACTGTTACCACCTTGGTACCCTCAGAAAGTAGCAGAAAGTAGTGCATTGGTAGTCTCTCCGTTGAACCCTAAGAGTGGCAACTACAGGACAGTCTGGCTCCTTCTAGAAGATTAAATGAAAAATGTGTAAAGTCTCCTACATAGCATCAGAAATATAATCTCATATCTGCTTTAGTTTAGTTTATTGTAGTAGTTGGGGTTCTCCAGAGAAATAGAATGAATAGGATGTGTGTGTGTGTGTGTGTGTGTATGTACACACACACACACACACACACACACACATATATAATGATTATAGAGGCTGGCAAGTCCAAGTCTTCAGGGTGTGCCAGCAGGTTGGAGACCCAGGAAAGAGCTGATGTTGCAGTTCAAATCTGAAGGCCCTCTGCTCCAGAATTCTCTCTTGCTCGGGAGAGGTCAATCTTTTGTGCTATTCCGGCTTTCAACTGAAGGCCCACCCACATTTTGGAGGACAATCTGCTTTACTCAAAGTCCACTAAGTTAAATGTAGATCTCATCTAAAAACACCCTTACAGAAACATCCAGAATAATATTCAACCAAATATCTGAGCACGCTGTATCAGCCAAGTCGACACATACAATTTACCATCACATTTAGTTTTTATTTTATTTTAACCCCAGGTACTCCCACACTCTCTTGGCTCAGTGTGAACTTAATCTACCTGAGGGTGGGGACCCTCTGCAACTTATTCATCAGTGTATCCACAGCACCTAGCCCGACAGATGAATAAATCACTGCATACTACTAGCAGCCATTCTCAGCCATCCTCCTTCTTTTCTCCCACTCCCAGTTGCATTTCAGGCAGCATCTGACTTGACAGTAGTCCCCAGTGCCTTCATGTATACCCCACACCACACGTACATGTTGCCTCACTTGCTCATAGGCCACAGAGGCATATATTAAAAGTGGATCATCCTAAATATGCCGTCCATAAGCAAACTGATATCTAATCAGACATTGGCCAAGTAACTTTATCCTACATTGTTACAGAAAGCAGGGATTGTCTTTGTTACTTGGTAAAGTGCCATCTACTTCCCTAAGCACACTTACGCTTCTTTTTGATACCTTGTTTTTTCTTGCTCCTTCCCTTGTTACTTGGCCTTTACACACACACACACACACACACCCCTACCTTTCTTCCTCTCTATTGTCCTTTTTTTCCAAACTTTTCCTTACCTTCATATATTTTCCCAAGAGTGGAATGGAAATAATATTAATGCTAGGATTTGCAGAGCTGTTTGTGAAGCTCTCTTGTCTTCAGGGAGAATTGTCAGCTGTTCTTTTGTCTCCTACCTTCCCTAGGGTGTAACTCACTGCACTGTTCAATGTCACAGGCTTCGGTATCACATTCAGGCTTGTGGTAGTTGTGTTGCTTGTATAAGTGTGAAAATAAATACTGGGATTGGTGCCCAGATAGTTCTGATGAAACAAGGCAGTAGACCTAGAAGCCACTTAAGTGTTCCTTGTTTCTGCTACTTTCTTCCTTTTCATCTGTCCTTTCTCAGAGCTGTATTTACAGATGAAGTCTGAATTTAGAGATCAAGTGATTTTGTTATTGAATAGGAAGTGGATGGAAATGCTTGCAAATAAAAGATTCAAAATCAGTGGACACTTTTTGAGTATAATAATTTTGAAAAAAATTCTCTATACTATACTTTGTTTTGTGTCTTCTTCCCCACAAAAATTGTGTAATATGTAGGCCACTCAGACAGAAACATCCCTGTTCATGCATATTTTTATATGTAGGCTGTTTTATATGTGGGTTTTCTTGCTCTGTACACCAGAATCTTGACTAGATGAATGAGGTAGACCAATTCTGATATTTATCCAAAGTACCGGTTCTTTACTTTTTAGAATCACAGACATCTCTAAGGGTCTAAAGAAAGCGATGAATCCCCTATATACACATGAAATTTTGCATAGAATTTTAGCTTTGACCCAAAGATACCCTTCAAGTCTATCCATGGGACTACAGATAAGAATCTCTAAGTGTTGTTCCCCTCCCTGTGTCCATGTGTTCTCATTGTTCACCTCCCACTTACAAGTGAGAACACGCTATGTTTAGTTTTCTGTTCCTGCATTAGTTTGCTGACGATAATGGCTTCTAACTCTATCCATGTCCCTGCAAAGGACATGATCTCATTCCTTTTTATGGCTGCATAGTATTCCATGGTGTATATGTACCATATTTTCTTTATCCAATTTATCATTGACAGCATTTGGGTTGATTCCATGTCTTTGGTTTTCTGTTCCTGCATTAGTTTGCTGAGGATAATGGCTTCCAACTCTAACCATGTCCCTGCAAAGAACATGATCTCATTCCTTTTTTATGGCTGCATGGTATTCCATGGTGTATATGTACCACATTTTCATTATCCAGTCTATCATTAATAGGCATTTGGGTTGATTCCACATCTTTGCTATTGTGAATAGTGCTGCAATGAACATATGTGTGTATGTATCTTTATAATAGAATGATTTATATGCCTTTGGGTATATACCCAGTAATGGGATTGCTGGATCAAATGGTATTTCCAGTTCTAAATCTTTGAGGAATCATCACACTGTCTTTCACAATGGTTGAACTAATTTACATTCTTACCAACAGTGTAAAAGCATTCTTATTTCTCTGTACATGTACCCTGAACTTAAGAAAAATAATAATTTTTTTAAAAAGAATCCCTGATCTATGCACCACTTCATTCCAGCTTAGGCAACAGCATAGGACCCTGTCTCTAAAAAATTTTCTAAAAAATAATCCCTGATCTATGATAAAAAATTCTGCTTACTCTGAAATTTATAAAGGATTAATTGAATCCTTTATAAAGGATGAATCCACTCATATTACATAAGTTCTGTATATGTCACTAAATTCTTAACCTAACAATGAAACTCAAATGAATGTCAGTGGTGTTTGCCACAAAATTTATATTTCTTTCTCTCTGAGACTTGGTGAATTTAGGGAATAGTCTCTGCCCTGGTGTGGCCCAAACTCCATGGTCCCTCAAGCTGTAACAAGACCTGTTGATATTCAGCATATTCTTACGGAGCCATACTGGGAGACACAGTTTCATATTCAGAAGCTAACTTTTACTTTATGCACTTGTGCAAATTTCTTTTAAAGTATAAACTCTCTATTGTATTGCTAAGTTCTTTCTCTCTTAAAAAATGTCTGCTATCCCTAAGCTCCCAAAGGACTTTTCTCTCTGTTTGCAGGAATCTGTGGCGTAACCTCTCTCTGAATTGAGTGTTTTCCATCCGTCTGTGATCTGTACTCTTTGCTATCTTTGGGGGTTGGAAGGATAGAAGGTTTTGAAACATCCTTTGGCTAAAAGAGCATTTTTGTAGTTGAAACTTGCACTAAAAGCAGATCCCTTGCCCCAGTTGGGGTAGAAATATGGAAACCGTGACACCTCCTGTTCCTCTCCCCCTACCCGGAGGCTGAGGCAGTTAAAGGTGTATCTTCCCCTAACGTCATCATGCTCAGTAGGCTATGGCAGATTGAAGAGAATATTTAAGCAGAAAATCAAATTACTTTATTTCATAGTTATCCAGTCTTATATCTTTTTTTAAAAAAAAAAAGAGACAAAGTCTCACCCTTGTTACCTAGGCTGGAGTGCAGTGGTGCAATCCTAGCTCACTGCAACCTTAAACTCCTGAGCCCAAGCCATCCTTTTGCCTCCGCCTCCCGAGTTTGAGATTACAGGTATGAGCCACTGCACCCAGCCAATCTTACACTTTTTAATCCATCTATTTTAAAGCAAATGTTTTGTGTGTGAAACATTTTGAATCCCAAATTTAAGCAAATAAAATTCGAGAAGGCAAAAATTATTTCCAAGTCCTGTAAGTTGAGAGGCAGTTAATATACTCATTCATTTGATTCATTAATTATGTATTATATAATATAGTGTAAATATGAGGCAAATCTTCTACCTTCTCAAAGTTTTGAGTGATAAAAACTAAAAATTCAGTTAAGAGGAAAATCATTAGCTTTGAATTGAATCTGCATACAGGCCTCAGGGAACCAAATGTCAATCTCAATCTTTTAATGATTATAACAATCATCTCAGGAGCTGGTAGAAGCTGACTCCAGTATATCATACATCATGCCCAATCCACCTATTGGGCTTTCTATTCTGTTTAATTGGTCTACTTATCTAGTCTTAATTGACACTGATGAATAATAAGTATTTGGTAAGCCAAATCTTCTCATTTTACTCTTTTTGGGGGAGCAGTGTTGGGTATTTGTGGGTTTTTGCTTTTCCATGAAGAAGAGCTGTTTAGAATCTAGTGTTCAAGTTCCAAAACCCCGTTAGTTTTTTGTTATAATTGAATGAAAAACATTGTTGAAAGAAACTAATCAACCGGTGGTGGCTTATGCCTATAATCCTAGCACTTTGGGAGGCTGAGGTGGGCGGATGGCTTGAGTCTAGCAGTCTGAGACCAGCCTGGGCAGCATGGTGAAACCCCATTTCTATTAAAAAAAAATTTATTTATATATATATATATATAAATTATCTGGGTATGGTGGCACACACCTGTGGTCCACGCTACTTGGGAGGCTAAGGTGGGAAGATCACTTTAGCCCTGGAGGCAGGGTTGCAGTGAGCTAAGATTGCACCACTGCACTGCTCCAGCCTGGGTGACAGAGTGAGACCCTGTCATACACACATACACACACACACACACACAGAGAGAGAGAGAAACCAATCAGATCTAAATAAATAGGAAGACATTTCATGTTCATGGATTGGAAGACTTAATATTGTTAAAAGGCAATACTTCCAAGTTTATCTACAGGTTCAACAGAATTCCTGTCAGAAACCCACCTGACTTATTTGTATAAATAGACAAGCTGATCTTAAAATTTATATGGAAACTCAAGACACCCAAAATAAGCAAAACAATCTTGAAAAGGAATAAAGCTGAAAGATTCACACTTCCTTATTTCAAAACTTATTACATTGCTAGAGTAATGAAGATGGTGTGGTACTGGAATAAGGATAGACGTATAGACCAGTGGAATGGAATTGAGAGTCCAGAAATAAACCCATGTATCTATAGCCAATTGATTTTCAACAAGAGTGCCAAGGCCATTCAGTGGCAAAAAAATAGTCTTCAGCAAGTAGTGCTGGGACATGTGTGTAGCCATATAAAAAAGAATGAAGTTCGGCCTACATCACATGATATACACAAGTTAACTCAAAATGACAAATAATGTATCACCTCATTTATCTGCAGGATCTACAAATGACAAACTTTTAAAAGCAGAGAGTAAAATGGAGTTGGCAAAGGGGCTGGTGGGAGAGAAATGGAGAGGTGGAGATGTTGGTGAAAGAGTACAAAGATTAAGTTAGACAAGATGAATAAGTTCTAGTTATCTATTGTACAGCATGATGACTATAGTAATAATAATGTATTATATACTTGGAAATTGCTAAGAGAATAGATCTTAAATGTTCTCACCACAAAAAATGAATATGTGAAGCAATATTTTAATTACATTGATTTAATCATTTCACAATTTATATATATATATCAAAACATCACATTTAGTGGGGTTTTTTGGTCAATTATATCTTAAATCTTAATAGAGAAGGGAAAATGAAATAAAATAAGAAAATAAAAATAAAATAATAAGCCACTAAAAAAAGTAACTCAAAATGAATAAAAAACCTAAATATAAGAGCCAAACTATAAATCTCTTAAAAGAAAACATTTGGATAAATCTTTGTGACCTCAGATTTGGTAATGGAGTCTTAGCTATGACCAAAAGCACAAACAACAAAATAAAAAAATAGATAAATTGGATGTCATTAAAATTAAAAATTTTTATGCTTCAGAGGATAACAATCAAGAAAGTGAAAAAGACAACCCACACAATGAAAGAAGCTATTTACAAGTCTATGTCTGATTAGGACTTGTATCTATACAAGTATATAAAGGAATCACAACTTAAAAACCAATTTGGTTCTGATGGCTCTGGGACCTTCAGTAACTGTCACACAAGGGAGAAGAGAAAGGACCTGGGCTTGCCCAGATGGCCTGTCGCTACCCTCCCATCTTCAGTGGCAGCGCATGGAGCTGCCTGTCACACAAGCAAAATTATGGGAGTGTACTCTTCATGGTAGATGAGAATTCCATGGTATGAGACCACTTCAAGTGGAAGTGGCTATTTCCTGTGTTCTGTTTTTGAGATTAGATCAAATTTCAAGCCTTTTCATTATAGCTGAGTTCTTTACCTTAAGAAAAGCTTAAATGCTAGGCAGTAGTTCTTCACATCACATTAAAGTGAAGTGAACTTCACAAAAAACTTCAGCTGCACATTAAAATTACCTGGGAATGTTTTGAAACATGCCCATGCCTGCTTCCCAATGCAGGTCAAATAAATCAGCATCTCTGGGGGTGGGTCACGGGCATGCGTAAATCAAATGTGCAGCCAGGGCAGTGAGCCACTGAGCTAGAATCTTCTTTAATTCAGTCCAGCTCTTCTCCAATAAATAGAGTCAATGTGTTTAGAGTTACTGTCAGCCATCTACTATAACAGATGTCAGGAAACTCTTATCTGTTTCTAATGAGACTTGCTTATCTGTCAGCTCTGATATTGAAAAAGAGAAGCATAGTGATGGGATTATTTCTTTTCAGAATAAGACCTTATTTTTCTATTGTTAATGTGATTTAATATTGAAATGAATAAATTTTGGTGCTACAAGACACTCTTTTGTATTCTATTTGCAATTAAAAGTATGTGAAAATACCATTTTCTCCCAAACAAAGCAGGTCAGAATATTTTTAAAAACTGATTCTATAGGTCCCTTTGAGACAATCATTAGTAAAAGTGTAAATAATATTACTTTCAAATTTTAACTTAGAAAGAATGCTAAATTTGGATCTCAATTGCATACTTCTCTCCCAATTGTATTAAGTAATTAATTTAGAGAGGCTAGAGAGAAGGGATCCAAGAAAGGGGACTCATCTTAAATGAGTACAAACATGCTATATATCTTATCTTAAAAAAAAAAAACAGCAAAACCTCTCCTGGATCCTATACCTGTATACATATAGCATATCTGTATCTCTTTAGAAAGAGTTGTTTATGGCCGGGTGCAGTGGCTCACGCCTGTAACCCCAGCACTTTGGGAGGCCGAGGCAGGCGGATCACCTGAGGTCAGGAGTTCGAGACCAGCCTGGCCAATATTGTGAAACCCCCATCTCTACTAATAATACAAAAATTACCCGGACTTGATGGTGTGCACCTGTAGTCCCAGCTACTGGGGAGGCTGAGGCTGGAGAATCGCTTGAACTCAGGAGGCGGAGGTTGCAGTAAGCCAAGATGCACCACTGCACTCCAGCCTGGGTGGCAGAGTGAGACTCTGTCTAAAAAAAAAGAAAAGAGTTGTTTATAATACTAACACTGTTTTTTGTTTTCATTTTCATTTCTCCTTCTATTCTTGCTTTAACCCTTTAGAACTAGATTTTTGTGCTTATACTCCACTGAATCATCTCTTGTAAGGGTCATCAATGACCTCCTTGCTTCCAAATAAAATGGTCACATCTCAGCCTACATCAGCAAAATTTGGCCAAGTTGTTACTCCCTTGATCCGAAACACTTCTTCTGGTTGACATCTTGGATGATACTTTGTTTTGGTTCCCATCCCACCTCCCTGACGGCTCCTCTCCATTTCCTTTGCTGGTTCCTCCTCATCCCCCTGATTATTTAGGTTGGATTGCCCCAGAGTTCTGTCTTCCTTCCCCTTCTCTCTCTGTACCCTTGCTCTAGAGCTTAGAATATTTCATATCTCCTAAAATTCGACATATATGTTAATAACTCCCAATTTATATTTCCATTTTTTACCTCTTTCCTGAAGTATAGGTTCATTTCTCAGAATCTTCTCTTCACTACTAATAGACATCCTTAGTTTAATATATTCAAAATTAACTTGGTTTTCTCTTCTCCAAACTATTCTTCTCACAATCTTTCCCATTATAGTAAATGACAACTCCACTTACAAGTTGCTCAGGTAAAAACCTTGCCATCTTCCTTGATCTATTTCTTCTATACTGCACATTCAGTTTACCAGTTAATCTTGACAGGTCTACCTTTGAAGTTTATCCAGAATACCAGCACTTCCACGCTACTGAAACAGGAAAGGTTCCCTTGTCCCCCTCACAGGGCATGCGATGGGGGTGTGGCTCGCTTCTTCAGTGCCCCGCTGCTCAAACCTCCAGGGGAGCTTACAGACGGGCAGGCTATGGGCTCCGACCCCACGGCAGTGTCTAGGGGTGAATATTTACAGCACCTGAAGCCCCAGTGGGCCTGTGTTACAGGCTGCTCTTTCAGTTTTGCCGTCTATAGGTGGCTTGTGTTAACCAGCTCAATTAAGCCTCTACCTTGCTCTACCTTGTTGAAAGGACAGAGGGCTTTCTGTATCCCCGGTTCTTGCTTTGGTGTACTGGGAGAATCGGATCATACCTGGGTTTGGAGAATGAGTGCAAGGTTTTATTGAGTGGATGTAGCTCAGGGGAAGTCAGAAGGGGAGGGAGTGGGAAGGTTTTCCCCTGGAGTTGGGCCATTCGGTGGCCTGGGCTCTCCTCCGACTGCCCCAGCCAAACTCCAGGTTGTTCTGCTTCTGCTGGTCACTGGCCTGCCAGCATGCCGGTGCCTATTGGTGCATTCCTCTCTATGTCTAACCACCTGTGTTCCTCTGCTGATGTGCTCCTCTCAATGTCCAGCCGCCTATATGTGTGGCTGCCAGGGTCTTGGGGGTTTTTATAGGCACAAGATGAGGGCATGGCAGGCCAGGGTGATCTTGGGAAATCTCCAGGAAATGCCTGTCCTCACCTAGGTCTGTTGGGGTGGAGCCCTAGCCAGGGACCACCCTTGTCTCTACCCAGCACTTCCCTTCCCTGCTTCCCTATCATTTAAAGGGACCAAACTCTTCCCTTTCCAGCACTTCTGTAACACTACCACCCTATTCCCACTACTACCACCTCTCACCTGGATTACTGTAGTGGCCTACTTACTGATCTTTATGTTCCCATTCTTATCAACCCCTCTCCTACACTCCCCCCCACCCTCTCCCCACAACACAAGTCAGGCTCTATCACTCCTCTGTTCTAAACATTTTTTTTTTTTTTGAGACAGACTTTTGCTCTTGTTACCCAGGCTGGAGTGCGATGGCACGATCTTGGCTCACCGCAAGCTCCACCTACCGGGTTCAAGGGATTCTCCTGCCTCAGCCTCCCAAGTAGCTGGGATTACAGGCACGTGCCACCACCCCTGGCTAATTTTGTATTTTTAGTAGAGTCGGGGTTTCTCTATGTTCGTCAGGCTGGTCTCAAACTCCCGACCTCAGCTGATATGCCCGCCTCGGTCTCCCGAAGTGCTGGGATTACAGGTGTGAGCCACCGCGCCCGACCCTCTGTTCAAAACTCTTAGTAGCCTCCCACGTCATTCAAGATAAAAGTCAAATCCTTACAGTGACCTCTAGGGTCCTGTATGATAGGGGCTCTTTGGCCTCATCTCCTAGAACTCCCACACATACCCACTGGCTGCAGCATACTAGCCTTCATTCTGTTCTCAAACACTCCCAGCATGTGTCCTCTTTTTCTGGAATAGTCTTGTTCCCTTCTCTGCCCTTTCCCAGAATGTTCTACACACAGCAGACACATAACTCACATCCTTGCTTCTCTATGCAAATGTCCCCTCCTCAGAAAAGACCATCCCAATGATCTCAACTGAAATAGCAATCACCCTCCACTTTTCTCCCCAACTTTATTCCTGCTTTGTTTTACTTCGTAGCACTTATTATCAACTGACTTATCATACATTTATTTATTGTCTATTTTCCCTACTATGATGTAAGTCCACAAGGATTGTTTTGTTCACTGCTATATCCTTAGCATCAAGAATACTGATGGGTAAACAGTAAATGCTCAATAAACATGTATTGTTTATAACTCTGATTTCTTAGCTTTTAGCAAATTTCTTTCTTACTGCATGTTCTAAATTTTTATCATTTGATTGCTTACTTTTTAT
This sequence comes from Homo sapiens, assembly GCF_000001405.40. Taxonomy (NCBI): domain Eukaryota; kingdom Metazoa; phylum Chordata; class Mammalia; order Primates; family Hominidae; genus Homo; species Homo sapiens. The sequence continues at coordinate 82,522,421 of NC_000006.12, read as the reverse complement.
TTTTAACTAAAATGCATTAACAGTTTACCCCAAATCTGGATGAATCACTCATTAGGTACAATTCAGCACCATATTTTGTTGGATATAAGAAACTATCAACTATAAAATACATGATTATTTTTTATGCCACTAAGAAAAAATGCTGCCATTTAAGGTATGACATGCTATTTATTGAAAGAAGCATTTTTATTTAAGAGTTATTAAAGTATGAAGTCATATATGTATCATAGAATTAACGAAATATGGTATTGAGAATCTTCTGTAGGGCAGATATTGCCCCTCTCTTCCCTGAGTAAGGAGTACAGAGGCTGGTGAGGGGAAAGACAGGTTTATGTGTGATAGCATAACTCATAATAACAGGAGTCATGAAAAGCGAGTAACCATAGAGATTATTTGAGTGCTTCATACACTGGAGGGTAGGGTGAAAGATGATTTTATCTAAATGAGTCTATCTCATTTTGTGTTTTGTTTGCTGTTTTTTTTTGGTTGTTGTTTTGTTTTTCAGTTTTTTTTTGTCTTTTTTAAAGCTCATTTTGTGACTGTTGAAGGATGTTTACTTCTTAAGGGATAAACTTAGGCAATAAAAAACAAAGACCAAGACAAATAATTTGGAAATTAATCCAACCAATTTCTTTTCGAACCAATAAAGTCAGGTATTATCTTTTGCAAAAGAAGCAATTTAGTTTGCTTTCATTTCAAAAGCATTTGAAGCTTTCCCAAAAGGATACTGCTGGTGAATAAAATGGAAATTCAAGATGAAAAACTGCCAGGTCAGTTATCAGAGTTTGATTTATTCCTGAGAGGCAGTTGACTTAAACTGTGCATGTCTGCAAGTCATTGCATCATCTGCAGTTCTCCTGAAATTACTTGGTAGGTAGATACTGAATCATCTTACATGGCAGCTGGTCATAAAGGATCCAAGGCTTAAGAAACCACGCAATATTAGATTAGCTATAGTGTTTTACAGGGACATTATCACTGGGAACAGACAAAGACATTGAAGGACAAAGAACAATTCTATCCTAAGGTACACATTGGATTCCTACCCAACAATAAGTGGTTTTAGTGTCTTCAGAGAAAATAAAATATCTTTTCTCGTAAGATCATTTCCCATAGGATCTGTTTAACCTTAGTCCTTGCCTCATACTCACTGCTACTTAGATTCATTTTCCATTCTTGAAAGTCCATAATATATGTATAATGTAGGAGAAAGCAAAAAAGGGAACTTGAAAAGTATGTACAAACCTCTCCTCTCTCCTGGCTCCTGAATCCTTTGTTGGGGCCCTTTGACTACTAGGCCTTTATTGGACTGATCACTATAATGAACTGTGGGAAGAAAACGATTTTTAAAGCCAAAACAAGTAGAATATAAAGTTATATTTAAGATGGGCTTAAGCTACTTGGGAAGGAAGTCCCAGGGTCAGTGAGGAATCTAAAGGTACACAGAGAGAGAAGAGGGGACATGAGTTGAAACTTGACAGCTGGTGGTTGAGAGCAGCTTTGAGCAATTTCCATGAGAAGTAGAACTTTTGAGAGAGGAAAAGCTCTAAAGACCCCGTTTAGAAACCTTGCTATGCTATACATGCTATGCATGCACCTATATGCTACTTCTGCCTCTTGAAACTTCAGTAAAAGCCTATAAGTCTTTCAATGTTTTTTTGGAGTTAGGTGTGTGCCTTTTTCTTTTTGATGTAATGGCATATTGAGATTGGCCTAAAGGTAAATGTAAGGCAGCCCAAAAATTCCAGCTTTATTTGTGTTAGATTTACTTTTATTTTCAAGCTCTAACAGGGCAGCAGGCCCCCCTTGGTAGAAATGCAAAGTGTGCTTAAATTTGTCTAGTGACATCTCCCTCATTCTATCTCAACATCTCCACCAAGGTACCACTAACCCTTGAGCTGCCCACTTGGACTGGCCCACATTCTCACATCTTCTCTTCCATTCAACAGAAGTACCATGCCCCAAATCCTGTTCCATGAGAGACATAGTAATTGAGTGGCCAGTTAAAGCGTGAGTAACTGGTGGGAGAGTGCAGTGCTTAGGAACATGGAGTATGGAATCCAACAGACTCAGGTTTGAATTGACTCTGGTCTTTCCTAGTTATGTGAAATTGGACAAGCTTCTTAGCCAATGCTGTGGTTTGGATATGGTTTGCCTCCACCAAAACTCATGTTGAAATTTGATGTAGCAGTGTTGGGAGGTGGCACTAGTGGGAGGTGTTGGGGTCATAAGGAAGGATTCCCCCATAATTGATTAACTTGCTCCCTTGGGATCAGTGAGTTTTTGCTCTTGTAGGAATGGATTAGTTGTTAGAGAGCAGGTTGTTATAAAAGCAAGTTCAACTTCCTAGAATCTCTCTTGCTACTTCTCTCACCCACTGATCTCTTTGCATGTGCCTGATCACTTTTCTGCTTCCCTGCCATGTTTTGACACAGCAGGTGGCCCTCACCAGAAGCTGGCCAGTTGCGGCACCATGCTTTTGAACTTTCCAGTCTGCAGAATCATAAGCTGAATACATCTTTTTTCTTTATAAATTACTCAGCCTCAGGTATTCTGTTGTAGCAACACAAAATGGACTAAGACACTCCCCAATCCACTGTTTTCTTCAGGTGAAAGGGAGTGGATGCCTATCTTTTGGTTATGGTGTAAGGATTTTCAATAAAACAGTGTTTGCATAGCAGACTCTACTGCTTTGGTCTCCTTAGCACACTTTCTTTCCTTCTCCTAGTGACAGTCTGCCGCTGGTACAATACCTTATCTTCTGGCTACAGTGATTTTATTTACTCTGGGCCATTGGAGTCTATCCCAGGGATATTTGCTAGACTGGAGCTAAGGTGAGGACTGCTCTTTGTGCTCTTGTCGTGATGAAAATGGGCTGACGGCCATGTCGTCTGTTCTGTGAAGAGGCCAGGCTCCAAGAATAAAGCTGAGGACTTCTGTTTGGAGTCAGATGGCATATTAGGTTATTTAAGTAAATTCTCCCACTGAAAAACAAATAAAAAACACTGTAAATTGTTTTTAAGTTATCTTAAAATCAGTGAAGAGCTGACCAAATAGTAAGGTTAAAATTTAACTGAAAATGAGAATTAATGGTGGTAAACTGAAATCCAAAGCTGCTTATATTAATAAAAGATTCAGAAAACTGAGGATGTGAACTTTTGTTTTAAATAAATCAAAATTTCAGGGAACAGAAACCCAATCCTATGGTACATCAGATTAGGGAGCTGAATAGGAGATGTATCTCTATAAACCCAAGGCCCCAAAGGACTCCCACCTCAGTAAAGGAGTAACCTTGAAGTAAAAGTGGCCCACCATCTCACCATCACCACCACCAGAGACCACAAAGGAAATTACCTTTGGCATAGTCCAGAACAGGAAAAAAGAAGTTCCTGAGAATTCACAACTGCAAGCTTGTTTTCCTGCTTTCCTGCAGATTTGCAGCTGAATTTTTATCACCTGAATAGTCCTAAAATATCTCAGTCTCAAATTTAGTTTAAAGTGGTCCTGGGCTGGTAAAGACGTGGGAAAACAAAAGAAACTCTTCACTAAAAACATATTTTATCATAGGCCTTATGAACGTTCCACAAATAATTTTTTCAGGAAAAAATGTAAAACTCACAGTAAAAAGTAAAATTTTAAAAAGCACACAAGGAAACAGAGCAATATGAGTAAAACTACAAAATACTAGATAGAAGAAACAAACTAGAAAGATCTTAGGTATTAGAATTACCAGAAGAGAATTATTTTTAAAATGTGTACCATAGTTAAAAACAAGTTTGTAAACATTATAAAGCAAATTTTAAAAGACTAACTCCATACCATGCGTGATCTTGGACCACAGTGCAAATAACTTTGCAATAAAAATTAAAAAGACAGCAATAATGTTCCTATGTATTTGAATATTAAGAAACACATGATTACAAATTGAATAGAAAAAACTATGAAAATTAGAAAACATTTTTAACTGGGTGATACTAAAAATACTACTTTTGTTTTGCTTTTTTAAATTATACTTTAAGTTCTGGGATACATGTGCAGAATGTGCAGGTTTGTTACATAGGTATACACGTGCCATGGTGGTTTGCTGCACCCATCAACTGGTCATCTTCATCAGGTATTTCTCCTAATACTATCCCTCCCCTAGCCACCAACCCCTGACAGGCCCCGGTGTGTGATGCTCCCCTTCCTGTGTCCACGTGTTCTCATTGTTCAACTCCCTCTTATAAGTGAGAACATGTAGCGTCTGGTTTTCTGTTCCTGTGTTAGTTTGCTGTGAATGATGGTTTCCAGATTTATCCATGTCCCTGCAAAGGACATGAACTCATCCTTTTTTATGGCTGCATAGTATTCCATGGTGTGTATGTACCGTATTTTCTTTATCCAGTCTATCACTGATGGGCATTTGGGTTGGTTCCAAGTCTTTGCTATTGTGAATAGTGCTGCAATAAACATATGTGTGCATGTGTCTTTATAGTAGAATGATTTAGAATCCTTTGGGTATATATACCCAGTAATGGGATTGGTGGGTCAAATGATATTTCTAGTTCTAGATCCTTGAGGAATCACCACACTGTTTTCCACAATGGTTGAACTAATTTATGCTCCCTCCAACAGTGTAAAAGCGTCCCTATTTCCCCACATCCTCTCCAGCATCTGTTGTTTCCTGACTTTTTAATGATCACCATTCTAACTGGTGTGAGATGGTATCTCATTGTGGTTTTGATTTGTGTTTCTCTAATGACCAGTGATGATTACCTTTTTTTCATATTTTTGTTGGCTGCATAAATGTCTTCTTTTGAGAAATGTCTGTTCATATCCTTTGCCCACTTTTGATGGGGTTGTTTTTTTCTTGTAAATTTATTTAAGTTCCTTGTAGATTCTGGATATTAGCCCTTTGTCAGATGGATAGATTGCAAAAATTTTCTCCCATTCTGTGGGTTGCCTGTTCACTTTGATGATAGTTTCTTTTGCTGTGCAGAAGGCCTTTAGTTTAATTAGATCCTATTTGTCAATTTTGGCTTTTATTGCCATTGCTTTTCGTGTTATAGTCATGAGGTCTTTGCCCATGCCTATGTCCTAAATGGTATTTCCTAGGTTTTCTTCTAGGGTTTTCGTGGTTTTAGGTCTTATGTTTAAGTCGTTAATCCATCTTGAGTTAATTTATGTATAAGGTGTAAGAAAGGGATCCAGTTTCAGTTTTCTGCATATGGCTAGCCAGTTTTCCCAACACCATTTATTAAATGGGGAATCCTTTCCCCATTGCTTTTTTTTGGGTCAGGTTTGTCAAAGATCAGGTGGCTGTAGATGTGTAGTGTTATTTCTGAGGCCTCTGCTCTGTTCCATTGGTCTATATATCTATTTTGGTACCAGTACCATGCTGTTTTGGTTACTGTAGTCTTATAGTATAGTTTGAAGTCAGGTAGCATGATGCCTCCAGCTTTGTTCTTTTTGCTTGGGATTGTCTAGGCTATATGGGCTCTTTTTTGTTTCCATATTAAATTTAAAGTAGTTTTTTTCTAATTCTGTGAAGAAAGTCAATGGTAGCTTGATTAGGGATAGCATTGAATCTGTAAATTACTTTGGGCAGTATGGCCATTTTCATGATATTGATTCTTCCTATCCATGAGCATGGAATGTTTTTCTATTTGTTTCAGCCCTCTATTATTTCCTTGAGTAGTGGTTTGTAGTTCTCTTGAAGATGTCCTTCACATCCCTTGTGAGTTGTATTCGTAGGTGTTTTATTCTCTTTGTAGCAATTGGGAATAGGAGTTTACTCATGATTTGGCTCTCTATTTCTCTTTTATTGGTGTATAGGAATGCCTGTAATTTTTGCACATTGATTTTGTATCCTGAGACTTTGCTGAAGTTGCTTATCAGGTTAAGGAGATTTGGGACTGAGACGATGGGATTTTCTAAATATGCAACCGTGTCATCTTCAAACAGAGACAATTTGATGTCCTCTCTTCCTATTTGAATACCTTTTATTTCCTTCTCTTGCCTGATTGCCCTGGCCAGAACTTCCAATACTATTTTGAATAGGAGTGGTGAGAGAGGGCATTGTTGTCTTCTGCCAGTTTTCAAAGGGAATGCTTCCAACTTTTGAACATGCAATATGATATTGGCTGTGGGTTTGTTCACAAATAGCTCACATTATTTTGAAATACGTTCCATCGGTACCTAGTTCATTGAGAGTTTTTAACATGAAGGGATGCTGAATTTTATCGAAAGCCTTTTCTGCATCTATTGAGATAATCATGTGGTTTTTGTCATTGGTTCTGTTTATGTGATGGATTATGTTTATTGATTTGCATACGTTGAACCAGCCTTGCCTCCCAGTGATGAAGCCAACTTGATTGTGGTGGATAAGCTTTTTGATGTGCTGCTGGATTCAGTTTGCCAGTATTTTACTGAGGATTTTCACATCGATGTTCTTCAGGGATGGCCTGAAATTTTCTTTTTTTGTTCTGTCTCTGCCAGGTTTTGGTATCAGGATAATGCTGGCCTCATAAAATGAGTTAGGGAGGAGGAGGAGTCCCTCTTTTTCTATTGTTTGAAATAGTTTCAGAAGGAATGGTACCAGCTCCTCTTTGTACCTCTGGTAGAATTCGGCTGTGAATCCATCTGGTTCTGGGCTTATTTTGGTTGGCAAGCTATTAATAACTGCCTCAATTTCAGTACTTGTTATTGATCTATTCAGGGATTCAACATTCTCCTGGTTTAGTCTTGGGAGGGTGTATGTGTCCAGGAACTTATCTTTTTTTTCTAGATTCTCTTGTTTATTTGCGTAGAAGTGTTTATAGTATTCTCTGATGGTAGTTTGTATTTCTGTGGGATAAGTGGTGATCTCCTCTTTATCATTTTTTATTGTGTCTATTTGATTCTTCTCTCTTTTCTTTTTTCATAGTCTTGCTAGCAGTCTATCTATTTTGTTAATCTTTTCAAAAAATCAGCTCCTGGATTCACTGATTTTTTGAAGGGGTTTTCATGTCTGTGTCTCCTTCAGTTCTGCTCTGATCTTAGTTATTTCTTATATTCTGCTATCTTTTGAATTTGTTTGCTCTTGCTTCTCTAGTTCTTTTAATTGTGATGTTAGCTTGTTGATTTTAGATCTTTCCTGCTTTCTCCTGTGAGCATTTAGTGCTATAAATTTCCCTCTAAACACTGCTTTAGCTGTGTCCCAGAGATTCTGGTATGTTGTGTCTTTTTTCTCATTGGTTTCAAAAAACTTATTTCTGCCTAAATTTTGTTATTTACTCAGTAGTCATTCAGGAGCAGGTTGTTCAGTTTCCATGTAGTTGTGTGGTTTTGAGTGAGTTTCTTAATCCTGAGTTCTAATTTGATTGCACTGTAATCTGAGAGAGTGTTTGTTATGATTTCCATTCTTTTGCATTTGCTGAGGAGTGTTTTACTTCCAATTATGTGGCCAGTTTTACAATAAGTATGATGTGGTGCTGAGAAGAATGTATATTCTGATGATTTGGGGTGGACAGTTCTATAGACGTGTATTAGGTCCACTTGGTCCAGAACTGTGTTAAAGTCCTGAATATCCTTGTTAATTTTCTGTCTCATTGATATGTCTAATAATGACAATAGGATTTTAAAGTCTTCCATGATTATTGTGGGGTAGTCTAAGTCTCTTTGTAGGTCTCTTTAAGAAGTTGCTTTATGAATCTGGGTGCTCCTGTATTGGGCGCATATGTATTTAGGATAGTTAGCTCTTCTTGTTGCATTGATCCCTTTACCATTATGTCATGCCCTTCTTTGTCATTTTCGATCTTTGTCGGTTTAAAGCCTGTTTTATCAGAGACTAGGATTGCAATCCCTGCTCTTTTTTTGCTTTCCATTTGCTTGGTAAATCTTCCTGCATCCCTTTATTTTGAGCCTATGTGTGTTTGCATGTGAGATGGGTCTCCTGAATACAGCACACTGATGGGTCTTGACTCTTTATCTAAACTACCAGTCTGTGTCTTTTAATTGGGGCATTTGGCCCATTTACATTTAAGGTTAATATTATTTTGTGTGAATTTCATCCTGTCATTATGATGCTAGCTGGTTATTTTGCCCATTAGTTGATTCAGTTTCTTCATAGTGTTAATGGTCTTTGCAATTTGGTATGTTTTTGCAGTGGCTGGTACCGGTTTTTCCTTTCCATATTTAGTGCCTCCTTGCTCTTGTAAGGTAGGCCTGGTGGTGACAAAATCTGTCAGCATTTGCTTATCTGTAAAGGATTTTATTTCTCCTTCATTTATGAAGCTTAGTTTGGCTGGATATGAAATTCTGGGTTGAAAATTCTTTTCTTTAAGAATGTTGAATATTGACACCTATGCTCTTCTGGCTTGTAGGGTTTCTGCAGAGAGATCTGCTGTTAGTCTGATGGCTTCCCTTTGTAGGTGACCTGACCTTTCTCTCTGGCTGCCCTTAACATTTTTTCCTTTATTTCAAACTTGGCGAATCTGACGATTATGTGTATTGGGGTTGCTCTACTCGAGGATTGTCTTTGTGCTGTTCTCTGTATTTCCTGAATTTGAATGTTGGCCTGTCTTGCTAGGTTGGGGAAGTTCTCCTGGATAATCTCCTGAAGAGTGTTTTCCAACTTGGTTCCATTCTCCCTGTCACTTTCAGGTACACCAGTCAAACGTAGGTTTGGTCTTTTCACATAGTCCCATATTTCTTGGAAGTTTTGTTTGTTGCTTTTCATTCTTTTTTCTCTAACCTTGTCTTCACATTTTATTTCATTAAGCTGATCTTCAATCTCTGATATGCTTTCTTTCGCCTGATCAATTCTGCTCTTGATACTTGTGTATGCTTCACGAAGTTCTCGTGCTGTGTTTTTCAGCTCCATCAGGTCATTTATGTTCTTCTCTAAACTGGTTATTCTAGTTAGAAATTCAACTGACTTTTTTCAAGGTTCTCAGCTTCCTTGCATTGGGTTAGAAGCTCAGAGGCGTATGTTATTACCCACTTTCTGAAGCCTACTTCTGTCAATTCGTGAAACTTATTCTCCATACTGTTTGTTCCCTTGCTGGTGAGGAGTTGTGATCCTTTGAAGGAGAAGAGGCATCCTTATTTTTGCAATTTTCAGCCTTTTTGTGCTGGTTTTTCCTCATCTTCATGGATTTATCTACCCTTGGTCTTTGATGCTGGTGACCTTCGGATGGGGTTTTTGTGTGGACATTTTTTTTTGTTGATGTTGATACTATTCCTTTCTGTTTGTTAATTTTCCTTCTAACAGTCAGGCCCCTCGACTGCAGGTCTGCTGGAGTTTGCTGAAGGTCCACTCCAGACCCTGTTTGCCTGGCTGTTTGCCTCACCAGTGGAGGCTGCAGAACAGCAAAGATTGCTGCCTGTTCCTTCCTCTGGAAGCTTCGTCCCAGAGGGGCACTTGCCAGATGCCAGCGGGAGCTCTTCTGTATGAGGTGTCTGCTGGGAGGTGTCCCCCAGTCAGGAGGCATGGGGATCAGGGACCCACTTGAGAAGGCAGTCTGTCCCTTAGCAGAGCTTGAGCACTGTGCTGGGGGATCCACTGCTATCTTCAGAACCGACAGGCAGGAACGTTTAAGTCTGCTGAAGCTGCCCCACAGCTGGCCTTTCCCCCAGGTGCTCTGTCCCAGGGAAATGGGAGTTTGATCTATTAGCCCCTGACTGGGGCTGCTGCCTTTCTTTTAGAGATGCCCTGCCCAGAGAGGAGGAATCTAGAGAGGCAGTCTGGCTAGAGTGGCTTTGCTGAGCTGTGGTGGGCTTTGCCCATTTCAAACTTCCCAGTGGCTTTGTTTACACTGTGAGGGGAAAACTGCCTACTCAGGCCTCAGTAATGGTGGACGCCCCTCCCCCGACCAAGCTCCAACATCCCAGGTCAACTTCAGACTGCTGTGCTGGCAGTGAGAATTTCAAGCCAGTGGACCTTAGCTTGCTGGGCTTTGTGGGAGTGGGATTTGCTTAGCTAGACCACTTGGCTCCCTGGCTTCAGCCCCTTTTCCAGGGGAGTGAATGGTTCTGTCTCGTTGGTGTTCCAGGAGCCACTGCGGTATGAAAAAAAAACTCTCGCAGCTAGCTCAGTGTCTGCCCAAATGGCCGCCCAGCTTTGTGCTTGAAACTCAGGGTGCAAGGCTCAGAAAATAGGCTACTGAGTTGGGACATGGAATCTGTGGTTTTTAAAAAATTTCATAGGAGATTGTGATGTACAGTCATGTTTGGAAACCACTGACTTAAAAGATAGCTACACTTTTAGCAAGAAATAATTATTTCCTATAACAAATTTCACATACTTTATAAGGGCAATATAGCCATGAGATACTTTTTCACCATTTGTATTACCATTTACCACAAAATGACTCCCACAACCTATGTAAAAGTGGACTTTAAATTCTACCCCGTTAGGGATTTTTCTTTCCAGTTAGGAATACTCTTTTCACTTTTCCTTGCTCAAGTGCAAATGTCCCTTAGTAGGGTAAAATATAAAATCACTAACTGATTTATACAATTTTCCTTATGAGATACATTTATGTTATGCTTAAAAGCATCAAAAGGGATGAAGAAAGAGAAAGAAGAGGATGGGAAAGAGGTGAAAGGCTGGTCTCAATGCTTTTACATTGTTTTAAATTCACATGTACGCCAGACTTTCCATTCACTACAGACTTGTTCCAAAAGTTGAATACATGACAATGAGCAGGAAACCACAAAGTTCAGATAGTGGCATGGCACTCCCATATCCGCCTCAAGGTGTATGCTTTCAAATGTGAATCTTAGTGAAATGATAAAAAAAATCTATACCATAAAATATGCATGAGTTGAGTGAGAAAAAAAGTCTTCCTACACACCCATGCCTCAAAATAGCTAATATTTTAGTTTAACAATTCTGTGAAACTTCAAACAAAGAAAAGCTACATGTCCCCGCCATCATATCCCTCCAAAGTTCTGATTTATCTATTAAATTTATGAAGGTTTATGGTTCAATCGAAGAGATATTTGCAACAAAAAAGATAAAGCCTAGATGATGGTTTTCTATTGTCTGGGATCTCTGTTGTCTGCTATCCTCTTTTTGGGGTTATTCTTATTCTAGGGACTTCATAGATTGCAAAGTGGAATAGCCAGTATGACTGGGCCATTCTCCCAGATTTTATCAGCTGCTCTTCACAGAAGACATGTAACTTGCTTAGGTGCTCTGGTGCTTGGACTGTAAGACCTTCCTCTGTGGTTCCTAGAATTCTGTTCTCTAAAGTAATGAAATTTAAAAGTTAGCAAAATTTGTCATTAGCACCATTTCCCTTCCTTAAAGTCTTCATCTCTCCTTCCCAGAGGCCCCCCTTTACCTGCTGCCTTCTCTTTGCTGCATACCTTCTTTTTATAACACCCTAATCTCTACTGCTGTTCTCAAATAGTTTGGGGGGTTCTGGACCTCCTCTACTAGTTCCAGTTACAGAGGTGCCCCAATCCTAGCTAGCAAATCTAATGAGCTAGTTTGTTTAAAGTGTTAATAACCAAAATGATTTAGGTGCTACTTCCTTGAGGCTAGGTACTTATTTGGCCTGAACCTATCTAAGCTTTATTTGGGAATAATAGTATTAAATAACAAATTTTATATTTTTAAACACTCATGGATACTGAATTTTCTGAGAACTAAGGTGAGAAATTTTCTATTTTCCATAATCAAGAGTGTCTTCTCAAAATCTAATAAAATTTAAAGAAACCATCTCTGGTTTTAAGTATTAGAAATGTGTAATGATTTACTTTTCTTGTTTAAAATGAGTATTTAGGAGGTCCTATTTCTGCAACTGAAAATAATCTTAGTCCATAAAAGTCTTAGTTTGATATGTAAAATTGCCACAACTTTAGTCTTTATCAAGAATAAGATATATGTATAGATATGACTAAAAACTACTAGCCTAAGCAAGATTTGAAGGTTAGCATAAGTGTCACTGAAAGAAATAGAATTTTTTTCAAATACTTTGCAAGACTGCTCAAGTTAGGAATAGCAATGGAATTGCTCTCACACAAATCATACTGTTGCTTCCAGAATCTGGGACTGGCAAAATGACCTTTGATAGTCAAAGTTCATATACATGCACATGACTAGTCTCTCAATTCTAAATAAGAATTAAAAGTATTAAATATCTTTAGTTCATACTTTTAGGTATTTGTTAAATTAATAGGAAGATGAACAATAGTCCTTTCATTTTATGAATGAGGAAATGGAAAAACAAAAAGGCAAAGTGACTTTCCTGTGGCCACAAGGAAAGTCAGTGGCACATTTCCAACATATTTGATCTGACCCTTCTTGCTAGACTATGCTCCATTTAACCAGCTAAAGCACAGCAAACTATAGTATTTGCTCCCATAACTTTTTTCTTTTTCAAAAAAGGTGTAAAAACACTACTGAAGTGTTAAGGTTGGGCAGCAAAGCCAGATGTGGGCAGATGGCAGACTATGTGTGAACAGCCCTGATGCTTGCAAGGTCAACAGAAGGCTGTGGGGTGTTCATTTGAAATTATATGCAAGTTTGCACTCTCTTGAGGCACAGTAGGAGGAAAAGCCTTCCTGCCTTCCCATGACAATTCAATATAAATGAAAATATGTATTTCTGTAGGTAAGTGAGGGACCCGAAAAGAAAAGAGTTAATACTGACATATGCATTCTCTGCTTCTTGCTGTCAGTTTAGCCGTGCACTTGCCTTTTAATCCTACAGATCCACATGTGCATAGGGGGACATATATACCAGGTTATTCATTGTAACATTGTTTATTAACAGGGGGCAGAGGAAATAAGATTGCTATCCATCAGTAAGCTAATGGACTGTATTTAGTCAGGGTTCTCCAGAGAAACAAAATGAAAGGCATAGAAACACACACACACACACACACCTCAAAAAGTTCATTGAAAAACAGAATTAAAAGATAAAATATATAAACTATTTCTCAACATAAGCTCTTTCAAGTTCAAGACACTCTTGTAAGCAATGATACCAGCCATTTAGTCCATCCTTTAAGAACTGAAAGTTGTGGGAATTCGCAGTCTTTTTTACACATTATTACCTTAAGAAAAATTGGTGCCCTTTAGAGATTTTTTTAAGATAAGGAAACAAAAAGAAGTCAGAGGGAGGCAAATCAGGACTGTAAGGTGGATGTCTAATGATTTCTCATTGAAACTGTCACAAAATTACTCTTATTTGATGAGAGGAATAAGCAGGAGCATTGTCATGGTGAAGAAGGACTCTCTGGCACTTTTCTGCTAAAACTTTGGCTGTTTCAAAGCCCTCACATAATCAGACATTATTGTTCTTTGGCCCTCCAGAAAGCCAACAAGCAAAATGCCTTGAGCACACCAAAAACTGTTGCCATGACTTTTGTGCTTGACTGGTGTGATTTTGCTTTGACTCGACCACTTCAGCCTCTTGGTAGCCATCACTTTTACTGTGATTTGTCTTCAGTATTGCACTTATAAAGCTGTATTTCATCTCTTGTTATAATTCCTCAAAGAAAATCTTCAGGATCTTGATCCCACATATTTAAAATTGTCATTGAAAACTCTGCTCTTTTCTGCAGTTAATCTGGGCACAACAAATTTTGCACCCATTGAGTTGAAAGTTTGCTTAACTAATTTTTCAGTCAGAATTGTGTAAGCTGAACCAATTGAGATATCTACGGTGTTGGCTATTTCTACTGTTAATCGTTGGTCTTCTTCAATTAGGGCATGAGCAAGATAATTTTTTCCCTTGAAAATTGACGTGGATATTCTTCCATTGCAGGCTTTATCTTCAACATCGACTTGTTCCTTCTTCTTCTTTTCAACTTTCATTTTAGGTTCAGGGGATATATATGCAGATTTGTTGCATGGATAAACTATGTATTACAGGGATTTGGTGTACAGATTATTTTGTCACCCAGGCAATAAGCATAGTACACAATAGGTAATTTTTTGATCTTCACTCTCCTTTCACTCTTCACCCTCAAGTAGTCTGTCGTGTCTATTGTTACCTTCTTTGTACCCACCCACTTATAAAAGAGAACATGTAGTATTTGGTTTTCTGTTCCTGTATTAATTCACTTAGAATAATGGCCTCCAGCTGCATCCATATTGCTGTGAAAGACATGACTTTATTTTTTTATGGTTACGTGGTATTCCGTGATGTATATGTACCACATTTTCTTTATCCAGTTGATAGGAATCTAGGTTGATTTCATGTCTTTGCTATTGTGAATAATGCTGTGATGAACATACAAGTGCATATGCCTCTATGGTAGAACTATTTATATTCCTTTGGATATATACTCAGTAATGAGATTGCTGGGTCAAATGGTAGTTCTGTTTTAAGTTATTTAAGAAATGTCCAAACTGCTTTCTACAATGGCTGAACAAATGTACATTCCCACCAGAAGTGTACAAATGTTCTCTTTTCTCTGCAAACTTGCCAGCATGTGTTGTTTTTTGACTTTTTAGTAATAGCCATTCTGACTGGTGTGAAATGGTATCTCATTGTGGTTTTGATTTGCATTTCTCTAATGATTAGTGATGTTGGGCATTTTTTCAAATGCATGTTGGTCACTGTATGTCTTTTTCTGAGAAGTGTCTGTTTATGTGTTTTGCCCATTTTTTAATGGGTTTTTTTTTTGCTTGTTAATTTGTTTTAAGTTCCTCTGGATTATAGAGATCAGACTTTTGTTGGATGCGTAGTTTGCAAGTATTTTCTCCCATTCTGTAGGTTGTCTGTTTATTTTGTTGATGGTTCCTTTTGCTGTGCAGAAGTTCTTTAGTTTAATGAGACCCCACTTGTCAAATTTGTTTTTGTTGCAATTGCTTTTGAAGTCTTCATTATAAAATCTTTGCCAAGGCCTATGTCCAGAATGGTATTGCCTAGGTTTTTTCCTAGGGTTTTTCTAGTTTTAGGTTTTATATTTAAGTCTTTAATCTGTCTTGAGTTGATTTTTGTATATGGCAAAAGGAATGGGTCCAGTTCAAATCTTCTGCATATGGCTAGCCAGTTATCCCAGCACCATTTACTGAATAAGGAGTCTTTTCCCCATTGCTTGTTATTGTCAACTTTGTTGAAGATCAGGTGGTTGTGGGTGTGTGGCTTCCTTTCTGAGTCGTCCCTTCTTAAAATGAGTAGTTCATTTGTAAACTGCTGATTTCCCTGGGGCATTGTCTCCATAAACTTTAGTGAAGTATTATTGCTTTCACCATTCTTCTACCCAAGCTGCATCATATATTTGATGTTTTTTTTTTCTTGCTTCAGTTTTAGCAGAATTTATGTTACTCTGATAGGGACCCTTTTCAAACTGATGTCTTATCTTTCTTAGTGTCTCAAACTAGATCCTGTTCAGAAATGTTATAAAAATTTGAAATCCTTGCATACTTTTTACATAGTGTGCATTTTTCATAAACTTTTAAAGACACCGTGTGTGTGTGTGTGTGTGTGTGTGTGTGTGTGTGTGTGTGTGTGTAGAGAGAGAGAGAGAGGAGGGGAAAACTGGAACTATTATTATGAGGAATTAGCTCAGGAAATTATGGAGCCTGAGAAGCTGCAGACCTAGGAAATCTGGTAATGTAATTCGTTCTGAGTCTGAAGGCCTGAGAACCAGGGGAGCCAATGGTGTAACTTCCAGTCCCAGGGAAGAAGATGAGATGAGATGTCCCAACTCAAGCAATGAGTCAGAAAACAGGGGCAAATTTCTCCTTTCTCTGCCTCTGTTCTATTCAGGTCCTGAATGAATTGGATGATGTTTACTCACATTGGGCAATCTCCTTCACTGGGCCCACCAATTCAAATGCTAATGTCATCTGGAAATACCCTTACAGACACACCCAGAAATAATGTTTAATCTGGGCATCCTGTGGCCCAGTAAAGTTGACATGAAATTTGTCATTATGTGGAAAGATTATGGTTTATTTGTTAAATGGGAAATCTTAAGGTAGTTAAAATAAATGAACTACATCTGTAAGAATTGCTAAACCTCAAAAACAAAATGTAGAAAGAAATAAGGAAATGGAAGTTGTTGATGCTTTTTTTTTTTTTTTGATGGAATCTTGCTCTGTCACCAGGCTGGAGTGCAGCGGCATGATCTCGGATCACTGCAACCTCCGACTCCCTGGTTCAAGCAATTCTCCTGCCTCAGCCTCCCGAGTAGCTGGGATTACAGGCACACGACACCACACCCAGCTAATTTTTCTATTTTTAGTAAAGACAGGGTTTCCCCATGTTGCCCAGGATGGTCTCTATCTCCTGACCTCGTGATCTGCCCACCTCTGCCTACCAAAGTGCTAGGATTACAGGCGTGAGCCACTGCACCCAGCCCTGTTGATGCCTTTTGACACTCTCAATGGTGCCCCTTTTCTTGTGGTCATGTAATCTCAATCAAAACAAGATGAAGTTGATTTTTTTAAGAAGAATCTTGAAAAGATTTTGGACTAAAGATGTTTATTAGAGTAATTGGTTTCTTTTTCCCACTCTGTTAGTAAGCTGCCAATGCTCATAAATTCTGTATGCAGAATTCCCAAGAAGATGTGGGACTGAACTACATACTATTTTTTTGTATTTAAAAAGAAAAATTAAATGTAAACTCTTTATTAAAAGACACATTTTCTAATAATATTTCTAAACTTTTAAGTTATTAATAAACAATACACATGAATAATCCAAACATCAAGAATTATCAAAGGGTATGTAGAAAAAGTTTGTCCTACCAGTGTCTCCTATCTACTCAGTTTTCACTCTTCCAACAAACACTGTTATTATTTTCATCTTGAAATAGATTTTTAAATCAATTAAAGAGATGTGTAATAGCTATGTTACCATAATAATTTCTTTATTAGGAAATTTATGTAAACATATTTAAGGAGAAGCTGGGACATATAAAACAATATACCATTCCAAGATAAGTAATACCCATTTAATACCACTGACAAACCCATCATCTAGTAAGAAAAATCAGCAAATGCGCCCATAATAAAAGCCCCAATACAGTCAGTTTTAGGTCCACCCATTGTCAGAATCCATGACAGGTCACAAATTCTGATTTTTGTTCTGAAAGCCTGATTATTATAGTCATAATCATAAAGGCTGTACAAAATTACCCCTGATTTGTTAAGGAGAGGGAACATATGCAATGGCCGTATTAAATGATGGGTATAATGCTGACATTGAAAGGAAAGGCATTACAAATGGATGGGACCACATTAACAAGCATGTAAAGCTAGGACAGAATGGGCACACTTAAAAAATTACAGGTAACCTGTTTTCATTGAAGGGTAGTATATAGCCGAGATTTTCTTTATATTTGGGGAAATAATGAGAGAGAAGCCAGGAAAATTTAATTTGAGAACATACTGTGGGAAAACCCTAAATCCTGGGATAATTCAGATTCCATAGGGAATCGATTAAAAGCTTTTGCACAGGTGTGTGTGACAGGATCAGGGCTGGGTTCCAGAAAACAAATTCAGTATAAACTTGAATTGGAGAATGTAAAAACTGGACACAAAAAAGATGAGTTGGGATGGGATAAGCATACCTTCAGTTTTCCTAGGTTGGTTATAATGTATACCTATTTTCCTTACATAATTATTAATAGCACATTATTTCCATCTCAAAAGTGTCCTGGTTTGGATGATTAATTAATATGCTCCCTCTAGGAGACTTTTACAACATTATAGGCATGTAAAGATGAGAACTGGAACTGGGCATTTTCAAGACATAGGAGTAAGCTTTATTATGCTTGGTAATAAGATGTGAGAGCAACAGAAAGAGTCTTGTCAAAGAACCATTTTAGGATTTTGAGCCCATTAAGTGAAGGGGAGATTGGTGGTACCAAGAAACAAAATAAGAAAGTTAGGAAAAGCAGTAAACTTAGAGTAGTGTAAGAAACATTATTATTGGTGGCCTATGTCAAGTTTTCCCTTACTTCCATGTCTTTCTTATGGGAAGAGACCCACATTTGTTCAGTTATTCACCTTTTGTTGCATAACTCCATTCTCAGGGAAAAGGAATCAATATTAGTCTAAACTCATAATGGTAACTCTTTAATCATTGCCAGTGATTGGCTTGGAAAGGGTCATGTGACCTCGTTCTGGCCAGTGAGATATGAGGGGACACCTACTGGGAAGGAAGATGTATGAGAAAGATTTATTAGTTCCTATACATAAACATAAAGCAGACAGAGAGCCTTGTTCCCGCCTTCAGACACTGGTAAGAGAAAAAATGGGAAGCCTGAAGTTGCTGTAATGATCTTGGGACCATGATGGTATGCATACGGAGTAGTGAGAGAAAGGCAGAGTGATGAGATAAAGGAATGCCAAGGATACTGGGCATGGAATTAATCACTTCTGGAGCCTCCCTACCTCAATTTGTTTTGTGAAGTGAAAAATCCCCTTAGTGTTTAGAACATTTTGAATTGTGTCTTCTGCTACTTGTATGCCCCAAATCCTTCTAAGTGATACAGAGGTAAGTACAGGGATATGGTAGGGAGGGAGGAAAGTCATGAGTTTGACTTCTGATTAATATCTCAAGCTGGAGTAAGCATTTCATCTGAACTTCCACAGCCTTTCATCCATACTCATCTGCTCTCTCTTTTCCATTTCTAACCAATACTGTAGCTATCACAGTAGATGTCTTGCTTTTCTGATGAGATTATATTAATAAATCTTTCTAGATTAAATTGAGTTTCAGATTCATGTTGTATCTTTGTACCACAAAGGCCAGTGCTCATATAATGGAAGTCCTGAATAAATATTTCTTCAATTAGTGAATATATTGAGCAAAACTAAGTAATAGAAATCCTGAATAAGTATTTCTTCAATTAATGAATACACTGAACAAAACTAAGTAAGGCACTTAGTCCCAAATGACAAAAATAAATGTATTATGTAGCCAATATTAGTGGGGTATGCAGACAATTAGAGATGTTTGAGAAAAGGTTATATCTGCCATTTTGTGTACTGAGCTCTCTGGGTGATTGTGACAGTGAAATTAATGTTTTTCCAGGGTAATTGATCAAAATGTGTAAAAGTGTTTTAGACAACTAGACATACTGTTCTGGAAAAGTACAAGAAGCATGAGACTTAATTTCAATAGAATAGGCACATTGGGCTTTAAAATCTATTCTACTATGATGATGAGGATAAATAACGTGTATGTGAAATCGCTTTGCGTTCTTTGGAAGCTGCTATATGAATCAAATATATTGTAAATACTGATGATACATATTTGCAGTTGCCAGATTTTTATCAGTGTTAAATTGATGTCCATGTCCAAAACAAACAAACAAAAAAAGCCGACGTGTCTTATTTCAGAAAGTGAAGAAAAAATAACAATACATAGAACTGCAAATGATGGTCATTGCTTTGCATAATTGTTATTTCTTTGGAACTTTAAGACTTCACATCATTTTGACCCTGGAGATAATTTCATGCTTTCTAACACTTGAAGCTACTTACACTAACACTTGAAGCTGGAGAATTTTGGGTTTGTCAGATTATAAATATGAAGAATGGCAAGGTTCCAAAAAAAAACCAATCTATTAGTAGTATCCCGAAATAAAGGCTGATTTTTATAGGATATAAAATTGTTTTGTGAAGGATATAGAGGGAAAGAAGTAGACTTGAGATGGCCAGGACCAAATGAGAAAAGAACCATAGACAAAGTGACTAATTAATTATCTAAATATAAGATGTGTTTTACTTTTAAAGGGATCCATAAAAATAATTAAAAGTATATCATTTTTGTAGTATCTATTTATTGGACAAGAAATTGGTTTTATTATATAGATAGATCTGTAAAACATATATTTAAAATATTTTCAAATAAATATGTCTATGAAATATATTTAATAAATATTAAATATAACCAATACTGGGTGGAGCCAAGATGGCTGAATAGGAACAGCTCCAGTCTACAGCTACCAGCATGAGCGACACAGAAGGTAGGTGATTTCTGCATTTCCCACTGAGGTACCGGGTTCATCTCACTGGGGAGTGTCGGACAGTGGATGCATGACAGTGGGTGCAGTGCACCAAGCATGAGCTGAAGCAGGGTGAGGCATCGCCTCACCTGGGAAGAGCAAGGGATCAGGGAATTCCCTTTCCTAGTCAAAGAAAGGGGTGACAGATGGCACCTAGAAAATCGGGTCACTCTCACCCTAATACTGCACTTTTCCATGGTCTTAGCAAATGGCACACCATGAGATTATATCCTGCGCCTGGCTCAGAGGGTCCTATGCCCGCAGAGCCTCGCTCATTGCTAGCACAGCAGTCTGAGATCAAACTGCAAGGTGGCAGCGAGGCTGGGGGAGGGGCACCTGCCATTGCTCAGGCTTGAGTAGGTAAACAAAGTGGCCAGGAAACTCAAACTGGGTGGAGCCCACCGCAGTTCAAGGAGGCCTGCCTACCTCTGTAGACTCCACCTCTGGGGGCAGAGCATAGCCAAACAAAAGGCAACAGAAGCCTCTGCAGACTTAAATGTCCCTGTCTGACAGCTTTGAAGGGAGTAGTGGTTCTCCCAGCACACAGCTTGAGATCTGAGAACAAACAGACTGCCTCCTCAAGTGGGTCCCTGACCCCCAAGTAGCCTAACTGGGAGGAACCCCCCAGTAGGGGCAGTCTGACACCTCACACGGCCAGGAACAACTCTGAGACAAAACTTCCAGAGGAACGATCAGGCAGCAACATTTGCTGCTCACCAATATCGACTGTTCTGCAGCCTCCACTGCTGATACCCAGGCAAACAGGGTCTGGAGTGGCCCTCCAGCAAACTACAACAGATCTGCAGCTGAAGGTCCTGACTGTTAGAAGGAAAACTAACAAACAGAAAGGACATCCACACCAAAACGCCATTTTTACGTCACCATCATCAAAGACCAAAGGTAGATAAAACCACAAAGATGGGGAAAAAACAGAGCAGAGAAACTGGAAACTCTAAAAATCAGAGTGCCTCTCCTCCTCCAAAGGAATGCAGCTCCTCACCAGCAATGGAACAAACCAGGATAGAGAATGACTTTAATGAGTTGAGAGAAGAAGGCTTCAGATGATGAAACTACTCCAAGCTAAAGGAGGAAGTTTGAACCCATGGCAAAGAAGTTAAAAACCTTGAAAAAAATTAGATGAATGGCTAACTAGAATAACCAATGCAGAGAAGTCCTTAAAGGACCTGATGGAGCTGAAAACAATGGCATGAGAACTACATGATGAATGCATAAGCCTCAGTAGCCGATTCGATCATCTGGAAGAAAGGGTATCAGTGATGAAAGATCAAATGAGTGAAATGAAGCGAGAGAGAAGTTTAGAGAAAAAAGAATAATAAGAAATGAACAAAGCCTCCAAGAAATAGGGGACTATGTGAAAAGACCAAATCTACGTCTAATTGGTGTAACTGAAAGTGATGGGGAGAATGGAACCAAGTTGAAAAACACTCTGCAGGATATTATCCGGGGGAACTTCCCCAACTTAGCAAGGCAGGCCAACATTCAAATTCAGGAAATACAGAGAATGCCACAATGATACTCCTCGAGAAGAGCAACTCCAAGACACATAATTGTCAGATTCACCAAAGTTGAAATGAAGGAAAAAATGTTAAGGGCAGCCAGAGAGAAAGGTTGGGTTACCCACAAGGGGAAGCCCATCAGACTAACAGCTGATCTCTCGGCAGAAACTCTACAAGCCAGAAGAGAGTGGAGGCCAATATTCAACATTCTTAAAGAAAAGAATTTTCAACCACAATTTCATATCCAGCCAAACTAAGCTTCATAAATGAAGGAGAAATAAAATCCTTTACAGACAAACAAATGCTGAGAGATGTTGTCACCACCAGGCCTGCCCTACAAGAGCTCCTGAAGGAAGCACTAAACATGGAAAGGAACAACCGGTACCAGCCACTGCAAAAACATGACAAACTAAAGAACATCAATGCTAGGAAGAAACTGCATCAATTAACGAGCAAAATAACCAGCTAACATCATAATGACAGGATCAAATTCACACATAACAATATTAACCTTAAATATAAATGGGCTAAATGCTCCAATTAAAAGACACAGACTGACAAATTGGATAGAGTCAAGACCCATCAGTATGCTGTATTCAGGAAACCCATCTCACGTGCAGAGGCACACATAGGCTCAAAATAAAGGGATGGAGGAAGATCTACCAAGCAAATGGAAAACAAAAAAAAGGCAGGGGTTGCAATCCTAGTCTCGGATAAAACAGACTTTATACCAACAAAGATCAAAAGAGACAAAGAAGGCCATTACATAATGGTAAAGGGATCAATTCAACAAGAAGAGCTAACTATCCTAAATATATATGCACCCAATACAGGAGCACCCAGATTCATAAAGCAAGTCCTTAGAGACCTACAAAGACACTTAGACTCCCACACAATAATAATAGGAGACTTTAACACCCCACTATCAACATTAGACAGATCAACAAAACAGAAAGTTAACAAGGATATCCAGGAATTGAACTCAGCTCTGCACCGAGCGGACCTAATAGACATTTACACAACTCTCCACCTCAAATCAACAGAATATACATTCTTTTCAGCACCACACCACACCTATTCCAAAATTGACCACATAGTTGGAAGTAAAGCACTCCTCAGCAAATGTAAAAGAACAGAAATTACAACAAACTGTCTCTCAGACCACAGTGCAATCAAACTAGAACTCAGGATTAAGAAACTCACTCAAAAACTGCTCAACTACATGGAAACTGAACAACCTGCTCCTGAATGACTACTGGGTAAAGAATGAAATGAAGGCAGAAATAAAGATGTTCTTTGAAACCAACGAGAACAAAGACACAACATACCAGAATCTCTGGGAAACATTCAAAGCAGTGTGTAGAGGGAAATTTATAGCACTAAATGCCCACAAGAGAAAGCAGGAAAGATGTAAAATTGACACCCTAACATCACGATTAAAAGAACTAGAGAAGCAAGAGCAAACACATTCAAAAGCTAGCAGAAGGCAAGAAATAACTAAGTTCAGAGCAGAACTGAAGGAAATAGAGACACAAAAAACCCTTCAAAAAATCAATGAACCCAGGAGCTGGTTTTTTGAAAAGATCAACAAAATTGATAGACCGCTAGCAAGACTAATAAAGAAGAAAAGAGAGAAGAATCAAACAGATGCAGTAAAAAATGATAAAGAGGATATCACCACCGATCCCACAGAAATACAAACTACCATCAGAGAATACTATAAACACCACTATGCAAATAAAGTAGAAAATCTAGAAGAAATGGATAAATTCCTCGACACATACACCCTCCCAAGACTAAACCAGGAAGAAGTTGAATCTCTGAATAGACCAATAACAGGCTCTGACATTGAGGCAATAATTAATAGCTTACCAACCGAAAATGTCGAGGACCAGATGGATTCACAGCCCAATTCTACCAGAGGTACAAGGAGGAGCTGGTACCATTCCTTCTGAAACCATTCCAATCAATAGAAAAAGAGGGAATCCTCCCTAACTCATTTTATGAGGCCAGCATCATCCTGATACTAAAGCCTGGCAGAGACACAACAAAAAAAGAGAATTTTAGACCGAGATCCCTGATGAACATCGATGCAAAAATCCTTAATAAAATACTAGCAAACCAAATCCAGCAGCACATCAAAAAGCTTATCCACCATGATAAAGTGGGTTTCATCCCTGGGATGCAAGGCTGGTTCAACATATGCAACTCAATAAACGTAATCCAGCATATAAACAGAAGCAAAGGCAAAAACCACATGATTATCTCAATAGATGCAGAAAAGGCCTTTGACAAAATTCAACAATCCTTCATGCTAAAAATTCTCAATAAATTAGGTATTGATGGGACATATCTCAAAATAATAAGAGCTATCTATGACAAACCCACAGCCAATATCATACTGAATGGACAAAAACTGGAAGCATTCCCTTTGAAAACTGGCACAAGACAGGGATGCCCTCTCTCACCACTCCTATTCAACATAGTGTTGGAAGTTCTGGCCAGGGCAATCAGGCAGGAGAAGGAAATAAAGGGTATTCAATTAGGAAAGGAGGAAGTCGAATTGTCCTTGTTTGCAGATGACATGATTGTATATCTAGAAAACCCCATCGTCTCAGCCCAAAATCTCCTTAAGCTGATAGGCAACTTCAGCAAAGTCTCAGGATACAAAATCAATGTGCAAAAATCACAAGCATTCTTATACACCAATAACAGACAAACACAGAGCAAAATCATGAGTGAACTCCCATTCACAATTGCTTCAAAGAGAATAAAATACCTAGGAATCTAACTTACAAGGGACGTGAAGGACCTCTTCAAGGAGAACTGCAAACCACTGCTCAATGAAATAAAAGAGGATACAAACAAATGGAAGAACATTCCATGCTCATGGGTAGGAAGAATCAATATCGTGAAAATGGCCATACTGCCCAAGGTAATTTATAGATTCAATGCCATCCTCATCAAGCAACCAATGACTTTCTTCACAGAATTGGAAAAAACTACTTTAAAGTTCATAGGGAACCAAAAAAGAGCCCACATTGCCAAGTCAATCCTAAGCCAAAAGAACAAAGCTGGAGGCATCACGCTACCTAACTTCAAACTATACTACAAGGCTAAAGTGACCAAAGCAGCATGGTACTGGTACCAAAACAGAGATATAGACCAATGGAACAGAACAGAGCCCTCAGAAATAATGCCGCATATCTACAACTATCTGATCTTTGACAAACCTGAGAAAAACAAGCAATGGGGAAAGGATTCCCTATTTAATAAATGGTGCCAGGGAAACTGGCTAGCCATATGGAGAAAGCTGAAACTGGATCCCTTCCTTACACCTTATACAAAAATTAACTCAAGATGGATTAAAGACTTAAATGTTAGATCTAAAACCATAAAAACCCTAGAAGAAAACCTAGGCAATATCATTCAAGACATAGGCATGGGCAAGGATTTCATGTCTAAAGCACCAAAAGCAATGGAAACAAAAGCCAAAATTGACAAATGGGATCTAATTAAACTAAGGAGCTTCTGCACAGCAAAAGAAACTACCATCAGAGTGAACAGGCAACCCACAGAATGGGAGAAAATTTTTGCAATCTACCCATCTGACAAAGGGCTAATATCCAGAATCTACAATGAACTCCAACAAATTTACAAGAAAAAAACAACCCCATCAAAAAGTGGGTGAAGGATATAAACAGACATTTCTCAAAAGAAGACTTTTATGCAGCCAAAATACACATGAAAAAATGCTGATCATCACTGGCCATCAGAGAAATGCAAATCAAAACCACAAAGAGATGGCGATCATTAAAAAGTCAGGAAACAACAGGTGCTGGAGAAGATGTGGAGAAATAGGAACACTTTTACACTGTTGGTGGGACTGTAAACTAGTTCAACCATTGTGGAAGTCAGTGTGGCAATCCCTCAGGGATCTAGAACTAGAATTACCATTTGACCCAGCCATCCCATTACTGGGTATATACCCAAAGGATTATAAATCATGCTGCTATAAGGACACATGCACACATATGTTTATTGTGACACTATTCACAACAGCAAAGACTTGGAACCAACCCAAATGTCCAACAATGATAGACTGGATTAAGAAAATGTGGCACATATACACCATGGAATACTATGCAGCCATAAAAAAATGATGAGTTCATGTCCTCTGTAGGGACATGGATGAAGCTGGAAACCGTCATTCTCAGTAAACTATCGCAAGGACAAAAAACCAAACACCACATATTCTCACTCATAGGTGGGAATTGAACAATGAGAACACATGGACACAGGAAGGGGAACATCACACACCGGGGCCTGTTGTGGGGTGGGGGGAGTGGGGAGGGATAGCATTAGGAGATATACCTAATGTAAATGACCAGTTAATGGGTGCAGCACACCAACATGGCACATGTATACGTATGTAACAAACCTGCACGTTGTGCGCATGTACCCTAAAACTTGAAGTATAATTAAAAAAATAAAAAATAAAGAATAAATATAACCAATACTATATTAATATTTAACCAAAATGCATTTATTAAATATATTGCATTTACATAATACATTTATAACATATAGTCAAGAATAAATTATTTCATTAATTTTTTTGTTATGGTATTTATAATTGTTATTTATTATAAATTCATACGTTCATAAATCAAATAAAATATTTCTATTACACTAGTATACATTAAATAAACATTTTAATAAATAAACCTCCTTTATATCATTACCTGAACATTAAAAATTTTAAAAGCAGGTAACAATACTTGTGTGCTTATATAATTTCTCTAATTCTCTTTATTAATAGTATTTTGTTTAAAAATTTAGTGTTTTTTCCCATAAAAATGCCTGAAATTGTCTTCAAGTTTCAAATTATGGTTAATTGCATTTTCAGTTGGTTCTTTTTCTATAGACCATAATCTTTTTAATAGGGAAAATATTCTCTTCTAGTGCTGTTGTAATGTAAATTCAGATAAAATTCTGTCAAATGGAGGGCAATGTCAATTCTAATTGTTTATGTTAAATGTCTAAATATTTCCACAAGCATTTTATGTTTGTCTCCATTTAGAGTATCTTTCTCCAACAAATATATTTATGAGACAAAACTCACCAATAAGTTTTTTCATTATTCAAGTGTTTTGCCAAATTTATATACTGCATTATCATAGGTCTTCTTAATTTTATTTCATCCTATTGCAAAATAGACATTTATATAATAAAAATATATGCTGCATCAAGATTCTTTGCAAAAGTCAAGGGATTTAAAAGTACAATTGTATAATTTCAAAATCATACCTTGTACATTGAACTCTCTTGGTTTAATTTGTCCTCTTTTGTTCACAGAATATATTTCGGTGTATTCTATTTACAAATTTTATTTTATATTATTTTATTTTATTTTATTTTATTTTTGAGACAGAGACTCGCTCTGTCACCCAGTCTGGAGTGTAGTAGTTGCACCATCTCACCTCACTGCAACCTCTGCCTTGTGGGCTGGAGCAATTCTCCCACTTCAGCCTCCTGAGTAGTTGGGCTGCAGGCACATGCTGCCAAGCCCAGCTAATTTGTATTTAGTAGAGACAGGGTTTCACCATGTTGACCAGGCTGGTCTTGAACCCCTGAGCTCAGGCAATCCACCCTCCTCGGCCTCCCAAAATGCTAGGATTACAGGCGTGAGCCACTGTGCCAGGCCACAAATTTTATTTTTATTAACTATAATTTGCTAACAGGCTCAAAAGCTGAAGTTTTTTTTCCTTGGTGGGATTAATAGTTTTTCAAACCTATGGTGATATTCTCTCCCAATGAACCCCTTAGAGCACTGGAACATCTGTGAGCCAGAAGTCCTCCTACACCCTCACTGAGAATTATTGAAGGCATTTCCCTCCACTCCTTACCACATTTCTGAAATCTTACTTTTCTTATCCATACTTTCTTTGTTGTACAGTATTGGACCAGGATGGAAAGTTAAAAATCCAAATTAATTTTTGAAGGATGAAAGGGAAAGAGTAATATTCTAAGGATGTGTATAATTTCGTTTTCTCCAAGTATGTGATTTTGTATTTGTGCAATGGCTTGATGTTATTTTTTAAAAAGTGGCTGACATTCTGGGCAGAAATTGCTTCTGCCTAGAATCAGGTGTTAAGAAATCAATTTTCTACATTATGCTGGCTAAATACATGAACACATAGTGGCACACACACAAACACATATTCTTCATATGAGGATTTAGAGGGTAGCTAGTGGAATCTTTTCATTTGGGGGCTGCCATCAATCTTTGGAAACCTGTTGTAATTGCCTGTATGGTATGTGTTTGAAGTGTAGTGTTTCTGGCAAATGTAAGTCACCAGGAAGGCCAAGTGCAGCACCCTGTACATAATAGGATTATGCAGAGGCATGCTCACTCTGTCTGTGACTGCTAGAGCAGGGAAAGCAGGCATCCCCAGCTTAACTAATAACCTTCATTCACCTACTCAAAATGCTTTGTGGCAGGCTTCCTGTTTTTCTTCAAACCACTGCTTTTTAGACTTTTACTTTCCTGATTCTTTCTAGGAATTGAGTGATACAAAAGATTCTTTTTAATAATTAATTTGGTTTGTGTTATTTGTCACATAGGACTGTTTTGGAAGTTTTTATTTGACGTAACGCTTGATATTTGCAATTTGTACTTTTTCTTTTACTGTCATAAGTTTAAATATTCTTTAAATACATACACACAGTGTCACAGTCTCACACATATAGACTCATGACACATACAAAAGGAAAATCCTAACCTTTAAAAGCTACTGATAACACTATTGGAATTCAAAATCCCTAATGTTTCAAAATCTTTACTATGACCAACTTAAATTCTTATATAAATTCTAAAATTTAATTTAAATGGGACAAAGGAAAGAGGAGGATAAAAGATGACAAAAGGGAGAGCCTGGGGGTAAAAACCCATGACTAGATCTGTATCTAGTTAAACTAGAAAGATATACAGATTCGAAAAAAATCCTCCAAAAAGAGAGAGAGAGAAAAAGAGAGAGAGAGAGACAGAAAGAGACTGAGTTTTTTAAGCCCAAAAGGGGAATTGGTGTGATCAAAGTGATAATAACCCAGAACAGGACAATCACTTCTAGTCCCTGACAGAGCTGAGGGCAGCTGAAACCTTTCTTAGGGGAACGTTAGAAAATTCCTTTTTTCCAGAAGGAAACACATTATTTCATCAACAGATTAGGACTATCACAAGCCACAGCCTATCAAACAGACTGTCCCTTGGCTCTCATCCAGTTCTAGTGCCAATTTTCTTTGTATATATGAACAAAGACACAATCCTTTGTGTCTATTTGTCTTCAGAAGATGGCATCTGTGTTGCTTAGTTCACAGTAATAGTCATCCTGCTGCATGCACCACAAGACAACACCCTGATGGCCTATGTGTTACCAGCCTATTTTTGAGTGCTGGACTATTTGAGATATTAAATCAGGTTCCACTATGTTTGCACTCCCTTAGTTGAATGGTAATAATGATTTCTTGGGGTTTTACATCCATTTGTTTAGGTCACTATCTCATCTATCCCCCATAAACTAGCCTCTGAAATATTATTACTCCGTTTTACACAGACATCAGGCTCAAATTGGAAATGCGTATATTTATATTTTGTATTCAGTGTCAGTGATTGCCTGTCTACCCATGTCCACTCCTAAGAAAACTGCCCCGTCCACTCTCATGGCTACATTGGTGGCCATGTACTGTAGTAGTAGACCCATTCTCTACTCCCATTCAAATCCCCCACCTTGATCACACACGACTGTTTGGTTCTGACATAGTTGACTGACCAAGGGACCTCTCCAATGAATATGCCTGCCAGCAACCAGTAAAACTTCTGGAATGAAATGCTTATCTTAGCCAATCCGATTCTTGCTCTTGGGAATCAGAATTAGGAAACACACAGATGAAGTCAATGACAGGAATAGCAGAAGCTAAAAAGTCATGATCAGGGACAGCTTTGTGGCATGTATTCTGTGCAGTCACCCAGGACTCCAAGCTTAGAAAGGTCCCAGCCTTGGTTTAATCCTCTACTGTAGCCATCTTGAAATCCTTAATAATGTTTGAAGAGGGACCTTGCATATTCATTTTGAACTAGGCCCCACAAATTATACAGCATGTCCTGGTCATGATGTAGAAATTAGAGCAACAATTTTTAACTTGAGGAATGGGCTCTTAGAGAAATACTAGAATCTATGGGAAGTGGAGGGTGGTTGGAGGCAAGTGAAAAATTTGAGAAGACATGTTCAATTTTATAATTTAGTTTTATCTTATAAAAACATAACAAAACTATTATTTTTATAATGGCAACTTCAGAAAACAAAACACAACCACATTGTTTTTGCTGCTGGGTTACAAAGAAAATACAGAGTTTCCTAACTGAAGTTTCCACTCCCCTAATCCTGAGGAACGTGTTAGAATTTCTGGGGAAAGTGTGAATAAGATGTTTGTATTTATGAAAAGTTGGCATTGATTTAAAGGGTTGAGAAACACTGGAGTAGGAAGAAATTGGGCAGCCGTGATGAAGCCAGTGGGAGCTGGTTACAGGGGGTGGACTGGAGGAACAGAGGGTTGGCAGTGCTAACCTCTGAATTCAGACCTTTCCTACCAGCCCATTTAATCAGCTCATATGCCCTGTCTTCAGATATCTGAGATCCACATGCTGCCTGCTGCTCATTGATAGAGAACAAAAAAGTGTACTTAGTGTTTACAAAGAATGTGGACTCATTTCTTTCTCTATACACACAATTAGCAGGGGCCTGATTATTTTTGAAAACCAAATAAAGTTAGCATCTAATTGATGTAATTACAATGTTAATATCTAAGCTCTTTCTTTTTACCTAGAGGTCGAGAAGCCCTTTCAAATCCACACACTCTCTGCCTCCTCCCCACAGCTCTAGGATAGTTAGAAGAGAAGGAGATTTTGCATTGATTTGAGAAGAAAGCTTTCTTTTGCAAAAGACCAGGAACACCTTCCAGCTCCTCTAGTGGCACCTATAACATTAATTGAATAAAATTCTTAGGACATCAGGAAAATAGCTCTTCACCTGTAAGTACAAAAACACAGTCTCAAATTAAAGAAAAATAATCATTAGGGCTTTTAGCTGTTTCAGATGATCTATTAATGAGATAATTGAGAACTGCTTGAAAATGTGAAGTTCTTTTTTCATTCAAAATGTGCCAGGTGTTTTATGTTGATTTAGATGCCAAGACTCTGGTATAGGACACTTTGTAATTCATTTGGGAACCAGCATTGAATGGAAGTTTAAATACCCTATAAGCAATTTCCAGATATTTTGTTTATTTCAAGTGTGAACATTTATCTTTGTCTCTTTTACCAGACTAGAAAATGTCTGTATAGCAAATATGTATTTTTTTTCAATTTAAGTAACTTAAAATGTTATTCTGAGGAACTTTTCAGAATTGCATGACACCTTTTGAAATAGCTAAAGATCCCTGGGGTGCTGTAAATCCAAATAATGAAAATGTTAAAAAATAGTATGGAAAAGTCATCTGAAGCAACTAAGGATGAAACTTTACACTTCTGTGGAATGTACACACACACACACACACACACACACACACACACCATCTTTTCATCATCAAACACCCACTCCCATGTTCACCTTAAGCCAAAATTTCATCTTTCCAGAGTTTTAAAACACTGTAACAATATGCTCATGACTTAATACTGATCATTTACTTTACAGCATTAGGTATGTTTTTCCAATGTAATTTCCTGGGAGATAACAATAACAGTGTCCAAAATTGTATAATGATGAAGAAACGAGGCAAAGGAAAAGTAGTTTGCTTTTTCCTCTAACCAATTATAAAATAAAGCATTTTAACTCTGTTTAAAAAAAGGGAAAACCCAGCATTTTTGTAAAAAGGGGAAAAAACAGCATTTTAAGAAAGAAGTGAGGGAAAAGTAGGTATAGTGGCTTAAGTGATTAAACTGTATTCTTCAATGATATGATTTTTTAAAAATTCCTGTGTTAAGGTCTTGACCCAAGACAGTAGAGATCTGTCTCTCATGAAAAAAAGTTAAGATGATTATTGAAACACAGAATCTTAGCATTAGAATGAAAGTTGGAGATAATCTAGACCAGTGGTTCTCAAAGTGTGGCCTCTGGACCAGCAGCATCAGTATCACCTGAGAACTTGTTAATAATGCAAATTCTTGGGATCCTCTGCAGACCTACTAAATCAGAAACTCTGGAAATGGGATCTAGCAATCTATGTTTTAACAAGTCCTTCATACTGAAGTTTGATAACCACTGATCAATACCATCCTTCCAGCTGCTAGTGAATTCCCTACCATGGCAATTCTAAAAGAAATTTATCCATGCATATGATAACATATGTAAAGTACCACAATCAGAGCCTGGTGATGTACGATTTATTTGCTCCTTAGTTCAGCCAAATCTGGGTTCTTGTCTCACAACCAGGAAAAATTAGGCAAGTGAACACATTGAAAGGTGAAGAGGGCTGAATTTATTAAGTGAAAGGAAAGCTCTCCATAAAAAAGAGGGGTCCGTCATTCAGGTTTCTACCTCACAAATTGAATACCAGGCCACTACACATGAGCTGAAGAGGCCAGGTCCCTTCCCTGCATAAGGCGTGGATTCCTGGTGACTCCACCCCATTCTTCCAGTGTTCTTGTGGGCCCTTAGTCTGAGCCACTTGACATTGATTTATTTCCCTTACTGCACGTGTGTTAAGGGACAGAAGTTTTCACCGTAGGCATGGTTAGGCAAGCCCCCTCTGCACAATGACCTGGGTGGGTCGGAGACTCTCTGGGTACCCTTCCTTATCTGCCTAGGCATTTGGCTGTCTCCTGCCTGTATCATTCCCCCCTCTAAAGAAGTACATCTAACAGCCATTAGAATAAGGATAAGGATGATGATTGACCTTAACTGCTTTCTGCTGACAGGGGGTGCTGTTTTCAAATAACAGCAGTCAGATCTCCCTCAGAGGCCTATCTAAGGGTCTCTGGTAAAAGGGGGCCATCATTTGAGGCTCTAGTTGCATGATTGTTTGGAGTTCAATGGCCTAAAGGCAGGAAGAGACAAACCAGGTTATTAGAAGACATGTATCAAAACAAAACAAAAGGTAAAGGTAAGGAGAGCTCAAAAATTCCAAGGCTACCAGCATGCCCAGATAACTGGTGGCTATAGTTACACCTGCTAAGATTTGGGTGCATGGGGCTTGGCTTTGGTGAGCTCCCTTGGTCTTATTTTCCCAAAAAAAGAAACCTCCAGGTTATGGGCACCCCATTTACCCCCATCACCTGGCAGAAACTGCAGGATAATTTCCCAGAACTAGAATATTATCCAGATTTTTATACTACCCATCTCTTTTTGTTTCTTCTGAGCTGCAGTTGGAGACTGCTGGTTGGTTCACAGGAATAAGCAGGGTTAGTTTAAAATGTAGGTGAAAAACTTAACAACAACTAATGAGTCTAGAATTTAATGACAAATGTATAATAAGTCTTGAAACATAATTTCTCAGTCCTCATTTTTGTTAAAAACAAATCATGATAGGACTGAGTTGTTTGCAAAAATAAACTTTAGTCTTATACTTGGCCTTATTACTTGCATAAAGTGCAGCAAAAATAATTATTTTTACAGTCTTTTTAAATTGGCTTTGATAGAACTTTGTTCCACAAGGAATCTCAGATAGGACTTTTAAAAACCAAGCCCAGCCATGGATTTGTCCCCTCAAATACCTATGAGTTGAGTGAATTATTCTCCTCTTGGGATCCCAAGAATATGGGGTTCTTGGGCCTATTAGAAAGTGACACTCTTTACTCACTACAGATTAATAACCCTGTACAGGGACTGTGTAGACAAGATATGAGGCCAGTTTCCCCAAGGGGCTTTTATCAGCTCCACAAGTCAAGCTCAATTCCTTAAAGGAAAGTATACCCTTCCAGTCAAAGCCTTGGTAGAACAACCAGCTTCTCCAATTGCATCCTATTGCAAAAGAAAATAGATTCTTATTGCACTGATGAAAATAACCATATTGCCATAAGAATACTCACAGATAGTTTCCAAATTCTATAGGAACCATGCAAAGAGAAACAAACATGCTCCAAATTTTGTTCACAGGAGTCTACTTTACTCAATTATTAAAGACTGTAAATAGCTCAAAATAAAAGTTTCCTTGACTCTGAAAAACAAAACAAAGATCAGCAATGTTTTAAGCAAAAGTTTTAAAAAAGATTACTTCAGTTTTCTATTAGTTTAGTCCTTTTAGTTAACTCTTGTATTGATATTTCTAAACATTTCAGTTCTTCATTAGCCCTGTGTGTTTTTCCTTTATACCAATGTCACAATTTACAAAGTTATCAGTAACCTGCATTTGAGAGAACCTGTCAAAGTTCTATAGCTTATTATATACCATCGTTTAAAGAGGATCAAACCAAGACAACAATTGTCTATGAATAACAAAATGTCCAGGGTAGTTACAGTCAAAAACATAATTGACAAAGAAATTTGGTTATCTCTGTGGTTTACAATAACTTAATATAACACCCTGAATTGTGATTCATAAATATACTCATACATTAGAATTTTTAAAATCCTGTACTATTTTGGAACAGATATTAATATTATTCACTAAAATATAACCTGAAGAATATTAAACATCATTTTGGCAATCCCATGTACCTAAAGACATCAGGTAATCCTGTCTACCCTCTTTGGATGCTTCAGGGGCCGTCTGTAGCATCCAAAAACTAGGGGTCAGGACGGACAACTTGAAGCCAAAATTTGGTTTTGGGAAGCCTATTAAATATGTTAGTGGTTTAAAACACTTGATGCTATGAAATAGAATTCCAGATTACCATCAGTTAGTTATTTTGCCAAAATTACATCACAAAAATTTTTAAACCAGGCAAAAATCTTTGCTCATTAAGAGGGAAGACTTAGCTTTTCCTAACAATTTGTCTCCTGTCTTCTCTTTCATTTCCTTAGGAGTCCATCTGCAAGGCAAATGAAAATCTTTCATTATTCTTTACTATTACATTAAAATCTTGTACAAGTTAGAGAACGTCAACTTTTACCCTTACATTAGTTTACTATTAATGTCAACCCAATTTTTTAAATGAAACCTTATGGACAATTCTATCCAGTCTTAACCAGTTTGACCATGAGGTGAGATTCATATAAATCTTTTATAACCCTTTACAAATTTTGCTAAAGGGCAGGTTAGTACCTTAAGAAAACCTTGTTGTGCTTTTATTTCAATGATCAATTTACAGAAAAACCATATAATACCCTTTTGAATTTAGTCAATGTTGACACACAGAATTTCTTTTGCAAGATTAATTTTTAGAAACTTTCCATAACTTTTTTAAACCTTTAGCTTCATCTTACCTAACTTAAAACAATCCTTTAACCCTAGGCAAAAATTTACATTTCCATGCTGTCTTACAATCTTTTACTAAAAACACATTTTACTGTTCTTACACACTTTGCATGTAAATCTATTTTCAGTGGTCTCAATCACATGTTATAATGGTATATCTTACCAATTTTTAATTTTAATGTAAAATTTGGCAATTTGTTTTAGTTATGCACTAGGCATCAATAAAGTTTGACTCCTTCCAGCATAGTTAAGGGTGTGGTTAATTCCACATGTCCCCAGGCCTTAGCAATTGTGAGGCTGGCAAGTGGAACAGTTCTCAACAGCTAAAGAAGCAATTTATAACCTTAAAACATTTAGCAAACGTAGGATCTGAGCTGTATAATTTAGAACACCTATTTACATTTTAACAACATTTGCATTTTACCAATAATCATTAAGACTGTTTTTATTTCTCAAAGATTAAAGTCACATGAAGTAAAAGGCATTAAACCTTTTATTTTTCCCTCAAAAAATATTTGATCTAATCACTTATTTTTCTTTAGGACAATTAATTGGCGCTCTTTTTGTTATAGACATCACACACAACACCTATATAACTACGCAGATAGAAGAAGATCCAGTAGCTATAAAATTTTTCATTTGCCAATCTCCTAGTTGAATTATTGGTCTCTGGGTGGGGCCCATTAAGGGCAGGACTAGGAAAGCATGCAGTTTCTATAGCCTAATAAATAGGCATAGCTGGAAGACAAAAACAGATTTTGAGAGGGATCTATCTGCCTCTAATTCCTGGGGTTCCATAAGCAAAACAGGTTTCTCCTAAAATGGAATCTGTGGCACCTTTTCTGTTTTTCCCAAGGAGTCCCATGGCATTAGAAGTTATCTTAGGGCCTACTATGCATGCATTGAGTGGCAAGACAAAGAGGAGAAAAGCAATTCAGTTAACTGAGAAAAAACCTTTTTCCAGCAAAATAAGATCCAAGAAGAGAAAAACAAAGGCCTTTTAAATATACCTATAACTTGGATATTCACTTTTAATTAAGTTGCATGCTCTTTAAGGAAATCATTTTAAATTCCTTATTGCCTTTGGCAACACCAAGCAGCCAATACTTCTGGCTTTTGAACTTTACCAAAAGTGACCTCACAAGTGAAACCACCAAGCCTCAATGAAGACACACAAAGCATACCAGATTGGCTAGAGCTTAAGACCAACCTCATAAATTCTTTTTCATTAATCAAAACTTTACAGAGAATATAAAAAGTGATCCTTATCATTACTTGCACCAGTTTGCACAGGGAGAGAGAAGATAAAAGTCCAACTAGTTAAAAAAAAAAAACTTTTACCCTTTTGCCAGCATGTCAGGCTTCTGGATTCCCTTTCCCCGACCTCAATTCTAAGCCAACCAGTTTAAGGTTTGGGAAATTAACTTTTCTCAGTTTGGAGGATACATCTGAGGGAAGTGTCCTGGAATACGGGAACACAATTATCCATCTGTAAAGAGAGGATCAAGGAGGAAAAAGGGACAAAGAAGACTTTTTGTTTTCAAAGGAGCCCCAGGGGTTCAGGATGCATTCAAAAGGGGGACAGACTGAACATGAATGGCTACTCATCTAGAAAGAGGGGAGCTAGGCATCTCTGGTTCCTTTATCTTCCTAGCAAATACCTGGGGTTTATGAGGGCGAGAAGGAAAAAGCATCCTCTTTCCTTCTTTCATCCTTATATTCCCGAGTCCCAGCAACCTCAACAGGGTGCTGCCCATGGGTGACAATATGGCTTTCACCCATGCTAACACTGCAGGAGGCTAGGGGGTGGGAATATCTGCTCTTACCCATGTGCTGCCTTTCCTTCTGGTGTCAGTAGCCTTTGAATTCTCTAGACCTCACTTATGCCATGGATACTAGCATGACCTTTATCCATGAAATGGGAGGCTTGGCTTAATTGGCAAGAATTAGTCATGCTCATTTGTGCTGTGCCTTTTAACTTCCGTTGTCATCTGCCTCTGGATCTCTCAGATCCAGTTTTCTTTCCTAGGGCTTTGTCCCAAAGCTTGGAATTCAGTTGGGACAAAAGAACTGACTCAGGGAGTGCACGGACTCATCAAGCCCCAGGTGTCCCTCGCCAGATTGGCAGTTGCCTCCTTATCATAAGCCAAATGTTAAGGTGAAGCTGAGGAACTGCGTCCTTCTGAAACAACGGAGAGGAAACAGGTGTCCTGTGAATTGAGGTCCTGGTCTAATAAGATGCCTTTCAAGAAAGGAAAACCTCTCCCTTAAAAGTTAACTCCTGACAGGGTGGAGAAAAGAAAAAAAGGCTTAAGTGTGGGGCTGTGTTAACTGCTGACAGAGTGCAGAAAAGGAAAAAAAAGCATAAATGCTGGGTGGGGAAGATGCCTGGGGGAAGAACCGCTTATTCTTATGCAAATGGATTTCTCCAACAGGGAGGGAAACTTTTAATTGCTGTCAGACTGAGCTGTACCCTTTAGCTGGGGGAGGGAAAGACTATGGATGGTGGCAGTGGCAGGGAATGTTGGCTAGCTGGCTGAGCAGGACCCAGGCCTCCAAGGCCACCCTGGGGCCTGGGCAGCAGCTGTGGCTCATTCCCGCCCTATGTGGCTATTGACACCACACGCACATGCAGTGGACATGGCCATGCACCCCAGCTGGGAGGGGAGGGTTAGGGGAGCTGCCTCTCACTGGTCCATCCTAAGCACATGCCTGTGGCCACTGGGGTTGGGGGTGGAACATCCCCAATATTGTAAAAGAAAAGATAGGTGCCATTACATTCCCCCCCGAGTAAAAAGGAAAATGCCACAGAAAAGACTGGGTTGGACTGAGGCCGATATTCCAACCCCTGAGAGCGACAGAGTGGGTGGTGGGGGAAGTTTCTCCTGCCCTCAGAAAAAGTCTTAGGATAAGAAAGCTCAGAAATGAAAGGGAAATAGATTTTTGGGTCCATGTTTTACTCACCCTTCCTCATGTCCCCATATGGGCCACCAAAATGATGCAGGATTTTTTGCTCCTTTGCTCAGCTAAATCCGAGTTCTTGTCTCAACGACCAGGAAAAATTAGGCACATGGACACATTGAAAGGTGAGGAGCACAGAATTTATTAAGCAAAAGGAAAGTTCTCCACAAAAAGAGGGATCCTGCACACAGGTTTCCACCTCACAAATTGAATACTAGGCTACCACATGAATTGAAGAGGCCAGGTGTCTCCCCTGCATAAGGCGTGAATTTCTGGTGGCTCCACCCATTCTTCCAGTGCACATGAGGGCCCTTAGTCTGAACCACTCCACACTGATTTATTTCCCTTACTGCGCATGTGTTAAAGGATGGAATTTTTCACCTTAGGCATGTTTAGGCAAGCCCCCTGTGCACAATGATTCAGATGGGTTAGAGGTTCTCCAGCGACCCTTCCTTATCTGTGTAGGCATTTAGCTGTCTCCTGTCTCTATCACTAGCATATAGTGGACACTTAATATATTGTAATGATAATCATAACATCAACATATAATAGAAATCACCATTACCATTGTTGTCATCATCATCATCCAGCCAATTCTTGAATAATATTTCGATTGTCATCCTGCTTACTAGCTATCAACACCCTAGTCTTTCATGATGCATCTAATTGTTAGAAAGTTCCTTCACGTCTAGTTACAACTTTACCTCTCTGTAATGTTTATTCATTAATTCTAATTCTGTTTTCTGTAGTGAGACCAATCATATTCTTTAACCCATTACTATAACTTTTCAAATGTTTGCATAGAAGAAGGATATGATTTCAGAGATGATATAGACCCCATTAATTTCAAGCCCTTTCATTTTATACAAGAAAAATCTGAGGCTCAAAATAGTTCAATGACTTGAAAGCCAGTCTACGTGTTTATCACTGTCAACCCTTTTCCAGAAAAAATTTGAAGCTCCCTCAACCATTTTCTAATTGACATGACATCCAGGGTCTTCGTCCTTTGTTCATTGCTTATTGAACATGCTCCTGTTTGTCAATATCTCTCTTAATATGTTGCATCCATAATCTCACACAAAACTCTAAATATGGTTTGACCATTGAAGGGTACATTAGGAATCTTTCTATGATTTGAGGCTTTCTTTCTTTTTTTAATGCAACTTAAAGATTGTATTTGCTTTTTAGAAGGTGGCTAATATCCTACTCAGCTCAAAGATGGCATTTATATTCACTATGATTGATCTTCCAGATGCCAAGCTACTTTACAGCACAATCATGCATCTCCTTTTCCATCATCATATCAAGTATGTTATGAAACAGTCAGTCCATTGTTTTGCCGGCATAAAAATATGCTATATTTTTAGTACTTCTTGATAAATGCATGAAAAAACTTATATAAAATGTTAATAGAATGAGTTTAGGCAATTTACTTTTTTTCAGTGGACTCATCTTAACTGTAGTTTTTCAGTATATTATTTTCTCATAGACCTGCTCTACAGGTTTCTGGGGGGTTGATGTCTAGGGGTTGTGATTTCTGAGATTACCATTGCTTAGCCTTTTGACTACGGCTTTTGCCTAAGACTGAGGGCACTTTCCCATCTCCAGTCTTCTGCAGATATTTTCCAATACTCCATGATATCTCCACTGTGACTGATAGTGGCTCCTAAGTGGTTACCTAAGGCTGCAATATCATTTTCTGGGTCTGAGGACTTGACTTTATTTAAAGAATTTACAGGGTGTTTTATTCTTCCATCTCTTGTCTTGATTTTCAGTTTTCCCTTAATCATATTTTGCCATTCCTAATTTAGAAAAAAATACTCAATTTTCTGGAAAAGGTAGTAACAAAATAACCTGGCAGTTATCTCTGTTATCTGTAAACCGTAATCCATCTTACACAAGGCATAGCAAAGTGGTATTGCTTAGTGGTTAGGAGCTCAGGCTTGAGGTCAGGTTAAAAAAGGGCTTGTTGAGATCTTTGAGATGGAACCAAATAAGAAATAGAACCCAAAAAGGTAAGGCCAATGGGAAACAAACATATCTGCATGACTGATAGAGCTGATGTTGGAGTATTTGACATGTCTGGGAGCTAGTGAGCTGGAGCTACAACCCAGGATTTGACAGACCTTCCCAGACAGTCACAGGCAGCTCTGGGCTATTGCAGATCTTCTCCCAAGAAGCAAGGCCTTAACCTCTAAGTTATCTCAAGGCTGAGAGCATCTGAGGACATGTGCTTGCTGGGTCAACTCTCAAGAGAGAAGGAGGAAGGGGCTGGTTAGTATAAATTATCCCTCCAAACTTATCAGTCAGGTGTTTGCTCCTTCATCATCGCAGTGGAAGGATGAGAGAGATGAAGAAGGCCAGGTTAAACGATGTTCCTCCACATGCAAGGAGATATGAATAGGAAATAGAAGTTCTTAACTTGTTTGAAATCTCTGCTCCACTATTTACACGTTATATGATACCGTAGAAGCTACATTGCCTGTTTGCCCCTTAATTTTCTCCTCTATAAAATGGAGGAAATAACAATATATACTTCATGGTTTGCATAACTTGACATTTATCAAGTGTTGTTATTTTTAGGCTGATAACCCTTTTGTTCTCTTTCTTAATTCAAGTCTCGGTTTACTTTGATTTTTCACTTCCCTGACACTATTCCTAACAGTTTGCACTGTTGTTTGCCCTTGCCTTTGCTTTTCCTTGCTTTCCTCCATCTTTGACTTAGGTCCTTTAAAATCCTGGACTTGTTAGGGAGCTGCCTACACAGCCATGCCGGCTTCTCCTGATGTCCATCCCTGGCATCCCACAACCTCATCTCTGTGAATTGTTTTAATATATGGTCAGAATTTCATTTCTCAGGATCTTTGATCTTCATGAGTCATTTTTTTTTCCTTTGTACCTCTGGCTGTTGGCATATACTGATTCTCCCTAGAACTTTCTGAAGTTAGTCTGCAGTGTATGTCCAAAAATGTCCAGCACTGCACTCTCTTACTTTTGTGAACTCCAAGATGACATGGCCAATTTTCCCTGTTTCTGTCACTCCCATGTTGTCACCAAATCCTTCTTTGTGGATCAAATGAAGTCCAGAGAGGCATTTCATGTCTTTTCTTGTTTTATGACATTTTGCTTGAGGTCCTGGAATTTAAATTAATAATTCTGGGTGGAAGTAATTTATATGGCCTTGAGCTGTATTATGTCAAACATTCACTCATTCTTTAGATTTTTGTCATGTTTCTTCTCTTTATCTTGCCTGTCATTATAGTTCCCTAAAAACTCCTATAGGTATCTCATAATTCGTTTCCATACTCATCTTACTTTAATAGCCTGGTTTTCAAATAAATAAGTACTTTATGTACTAAAAGATCTGAATTTTCTGGTAATAGGCTTAGTACTTGCCAACAGTTTAATGATTCATAAAAACTCTTAAAAAGTTAAAAATCTTTTGTGGTTCATATTTGTAAAAATTTATATTTTTTCTAAAGTAAATATCCTTAGAAGGTAACACCATTAAGAAAAGACAACTGGCAAGAAAAAAATGGATTAAAAGAATGTTTTCAAGCTAAATAGATAATAATGTTCAAGAACATTATTAATGTACTAAATTAACATTTGCTTATATCTTTGTTTTCATTGTTTTGAATAGTCGCTAATAATTATGGCAAAGACCATGTTATATATACTTAGGAAAAGTATGAGATTATATAATGGAAGGTCTATTACTTTAATACATGTGTAACACAAATTAAACATAATGCCATACTCTAACCTGGTTGTTGCTAGCCTTTGGGGTGGGGATAGCAGAGTAATAGCTCATTGAAAATAGTGATAAACTCTCTCCCCAGAAAAGGCATGTATGAAATTACACATAAAATTTTTCATAAAACTCTAGCTCTTCCAAAAACCACTTGAGTGGTTACTATGTGCCAGGTACTTAGCTTATGTGTGTTGGTATTTTATTATTTGAGAAATTGGACTATTAATCTGTGGGATTCAAACCGTGTACAAAAAAAAGTAGCTGGTTAGTTTTATACTTTATATTTGCATAATCATTAATGTACA
Source organism: Homo sapiens (assembly GCF_000001405.40). Classification (NCBI taxonomy): domain Eukaryota; kingdom Metazoa; phylum Chordata; class Mammalia; order Primates; family Hominidae; genus Homo; species Homo sapiens. The sequence continues at coordinate 82,480,525 of NC_000006.12, read as the reverse complement.
CCAGACACAGCTATTTGAGAGTAGACATGGGGATAATTAAAATGTCTAAACAATTTAAATTATTCAATTTTGTTACTGGTTTTATTGTTCCTTTTGCCAGACTACAAAACTTTCACAGGTGGCAAGAATTTGGATGATTTAAAGGTCTCAGCTCACCTATCAACTGGATACTCAACTAAGTAATAAAGAACTGATTGGAATGGAAATCGACTAGGCAAGTTGCCACTATGCCTGGTCACCAGTGAATTTAGAAGGCTTTATAGCATGCTACATCCTATAAGCCTCCCACTTCCCTGTCTTCCTCCCTGCCTCTCTGCTCCACTATTTTAATTATTAAAAAGTCTCCCAGGAAGCTATTCACTTGCTAGGTGGGGGAGTCCATTCCAGAATTCTCTGTGTATACAAGAAGATGTATACTGCCTTGATCCCTCAGCATCTTCCAAGATTGGGGAAGGTGACATCAGGCAGGACATGACAGGGTTAAAATAGGTTAGCTCACACAGGGCTGCCAGGGATCTGGAGCTGGCTGAGTAGAATGGGGGAGAACCAAGGAAAGATGCCACAACTAGCAGGAAACAAAGAGTCTCCCCTGCTCTCTCACTGCAGAGAGGAACATCTGAGGCCCCAGAGCCTTGAGGCAGGGTGTGGGTGAAAAGCTCACTCTATGCTAGCTGGCAAATCTCTGTGTTAAATACATTGAGGGCAGATATTAACAGAGGCCATGGCACCCAATTTCTCAGAAGTTTCACCATTTCCTCCAACATCAGCCAGTGATTTCATAATTAGACACTCCATTCCCCAGACTGCTTGGGAGTTATCTATAGATCTCACTTGGAAGGTAGTACTTAACTTAGAGGCACCCGCCAGTCTGGGACATTCTCTGGCACTTGCTGCTGGAAAAGGATTTCGACAAGTGGCATCTTTTGGACCAGTGGAATAATCAGTAAATTGGAACACCATTTTAATGTTATTGTAGTTGCTGTTTCTCCTAGTACACAGAGATGTCTTTAAGAAAAAGTCAGGAAATAGCCCTTCTTATTTCTGTCAATGAAAGTCAAGTCATTTCCCTGGTACAAGAGTATATCAGGAGCTTGTGTGCTTTATTACGTCTTCCCCTTTTGGTACTTCTTGGTTTGTGTACTGGAAGGTGAGTAGAGGTTAAGCAATTTTGCAAAGATATCAATTCCTTGGGAGAACTGGAATGAAGACTATGACCACTTGCCTTCTGAGGTCATTACAAGATCCTTTCTGTTGGGCTGGACTATTCCTACCTGAGATTTGCTACCAGAAGATGACACAAAGGGCCTCTTGCAGGGATGCTTCAGGTAGTGAAGGGAGTGTGGCATAATGCACTTGCACTGTGTTCTGGGGTGGAAGCCCGGCTGCCCAATCCTGCATCTGCAGAGGGAAAAATGCTGCAGCCAAGTGTTGCCATTTCTCCCCCATCAGACTAGCAAAAATTAAAAAGTGTAGGACAGTGTATTTTGTTGGCAAAGCTGTGGGAAAACAAGAGCTCTTATCCATTGCTGGTAGGAATGCAAACTAGTATAATAATTTAGAAGAGAATTTGGCAATAGCAACGAAATTACATACTCATGTACCTTTTGAGCCAAGAATCTCACTTCTGTTAATTTCACCTGAAGAGACACTTCCAGCAAAACAAAACTGCATTATTTTAAGGAAACCCTAGGGCTAACACAGTCTGTAGACCACCAGCAACATCACTGCAGCAGGTCACAAAGACACTGGAATTGCAGAGGTACCTTTTCAGAAACGTCATCTGACCTTTGCCCAAAACACAGCAGCAAATATCTGGCACATAATTGGACTTCCTGAATTTATCTTCACCTAGTGTTTGGAAGCATGACCAGAATATTTAGGTCTGATTAACAGCAAACTTGGCCCTACTCCCCTACAACAGAGCTCTTAGATAATCTAGGAAAAGTAATAACAAATGAATCAAATGACCAATTTTAATATTAAAAAGAAGCTCATTGAAACATACTGGCAGGGTGTGGTGGCTAATGCCTCTAATCCCTTGGGAGGCTGAGGTGGGTGGACCACCTGAGGTCAGGAGTTCAAGACCAGCCTGGCCAACATGGTAAAACCCCATCTCTAATGAAAATACAAAAAAAAATTAGCTGGGCCTAATGGTGGGCACCTGTAATCCCAGCTACTCAGGAGGCTAAGGCAGGAGAATCGCTGGAACCCGGGAGGTGGAGGTTGCAGTCAGCCAAGATCGTGCCATTGAATTCCAGCCTGGGCAACAAGAGCGAAACTCCATCTCAAAAAAAATAAATAAATAAAAAGAAAAGAAACATACCATTAACCTCTACAATTAAGCATTGAGGAACTGGCACATGACTAGACAAACATACCAGTATTAGAATAGAAAGTTAAGACATAGATCCAAGTACACATGGAAATTTAATATGTGGTAAAGGTAGCATCTCAAATCACTGGGGCAAAGATGAACTTTTTAGCCCATCACCTTAATAATATTGCTGGAACAACTGATAAAAGTATATCTTTATATCACATCAAATACAGGAACAAGCTCCAAATGGATTGGAGACCTACATGTAAAAAATATAAAACCATGCAAACACTACAAAAAAATGAGTAAATGTCTCTATAGCATGTAGAAAGGAAAACTTTCTATGACCTAAAACCCAGTTGTAATTTTAAAAAATCAATAACTTGGATTTCAAAAAAGGCTTTTAAAAAAAACTGCATGGCAAGAAAAAAACCCACCTATAAACAAAGTCAAAAGTTCTCTGACAAACTGGGAGAAAATATTTGCAACAGAACACAAAGAGCTGATATCCCTAATATATAAAGAACTGTTCAAAACTGAGTCAAAAAAGACCAAAGACTTTCTTAAATTAATAGGCAAAATACACAGTCAATTTAGATAAACAAAATATGTACACATGGCCTGATATGGTTTGGATGTTTGTCACTTCCAAATCTCACATCAAAACATGATCCCCAGTGTTGGAAGGTGACTGGATCGTGGAGGTGGATCCCTCATGAATGGCTTAGAACCATCCCCTTGGTGATGAGTGAGTTCTTGCTCAGTCAGTTCATGTGAAATCCAATTGTTTAAAAGAGGCTGGGATCCCTTCCTTCTCTCTCTCTTGCTCTCGCCATTGCCATGTGACATGATGGCTCACCATCACCTTCTATCATGATTATAAGCTTCCTAGGCCCTTACCTCAGAAAACTGAGCAGATATTGGTGCCATGCTTGTACAGTCTGCAGAACCACAAACCAATTAATCCTCATTTTAAAATAAATTACCCAGCTTAGGTATTCCTATATAGCAATGCAAAAATGGCCTAAAATGTGGCCCTTAAACTTAGGAAAAGATATTCAATCTTACTCATAATTAGGAAAAAAGACAAATTTAAAGATCACACAGATACCATTTATGACCAATCAGACTGACAAAAACTAAAATGTGTTATAACACATTCTGTTGGCACAACTGTGACAAGACAGGTACACTCACACATTTTTAGTGGGAGTACAAATAAGTACAATCCTTTTAGAAGGAAATGTGGAAATTTATAACAAAACTACACATAAATTTATTAATACCTTTTGACCCAGCAATCCCATTTTCAGGAAATTATCCTTAGGATATACTTTCTACAATACAAAAACACATTGCAACATTGTTTGTAATTGAAAAATATTTGAACGAAACAAAAAGCTCATACATGGGAGAATGGTTATGTAGACTTGTTACATCCACAAAATGGAGTGCTGAGCAGCTATAGAAAAGGAAGAGGGAGATCTCTATCAACTGATATGAAATGATTTTTAGAATATATTAAGTAGAAGAATCAAATTGAATAAACAAAATATGCTACCTTTTGTGTAATAAAAAGAGGGAATAAGAAAGATATAGTAGGATAGAGTAGTGGGAATAGGATAGAAGGACTTGGGGAAGTCCTTTCTTGAAAGACCTTTTTACATGAACCTAACATTCAGAACCATATTAATATTTCATTTCCTCAAAAAAAGAAAACGCACACACACACGCATCAAAAATCGAATGACATGGCAACTCTAAACAGAATAGAGACAGAAAAAAATGATCCTACTGTATTTCAAAGGAATAACACAACTACCTTGTAGTATGAGGGAAAGGTGCTTAGAAAGTAATCCAAGTAATTTTTGAAAATTTACCATGAAATAATTTACCATGAAAGACACAGGAATAAATAGAAAGCCTGAACAATACTATTCAATTTTTGAAAATTTACCATGAAATAATTTACCATGAAAGACACAGGAATAAATAGAAAGCCTGAACAATACTATGTCAAATAATGAAACTGTGTAATTCAAAGACATTTCACAAAGAAATATCTGGGCTGAAATGGCTTCACCAGGCAGTTTCTCCAAATATTTAAGGAAGAAATAACACCAACCCTACCAAACTCTCCCAGCAAATTGAAAAAGGGTGAATACTTCCTACTTTTCCTGTTAGGTCAGTATCACCTTAATAACAAAACTTGACAAAGATGTTACAGGAAAGCAAAAACACGAGCCAATGTTAAGTTTGTTCCAAGAATGCAAAAATTAACATCTAAAGTCAAATTAATGTAATTCATCATATTTGCCAAACAAAAATAGAATAATTTTAACAGATACAGGAGAACAATTTGATAAAATTCAATATACAGTCACAGTTTTTTTTACACAAGAAAAAAAGAGAACCTCCTCTAGCAACCCAGAAACAGGAGGAATTTCCCTAATCTTATGGAGAGTATCTATTTGTAAAAGTCTATAGCAAATATTGTGCTCAATGGCAAAATATTTAAAACTTTCCCCCTAAATTTGGGAACACCACTTTTTTTTTTAATTTTATTATTATTATACTTTAAGTTTTAGGGTACATGTGCACAACGTGCAGGTTTGTTACATATGTATACATGTGCCATGTTGGTGTGCTGCACCCACTAACTTGTCATTTAGCATTAGGTATATCTCCTAATGCTATCCCTCCCCCTCCCCCCACCCCACAACAGGCCCCGGTGTGTGATGTTCCCCTTCCTGTATCCATGTGTTCTCATTCTTCGATTCCCACCTATGAGTGAGAATATGCGGTGTTTGGTTTTTTGTCTCTGCGATAGTTTGCTGAGAATGATGGTTTCCAGCTTCATCCATGTCCCTACAAAGGACATGAACTCAACATTTTTTACGGCTGCATAGTATTCCATGGTGTATATGTGCCACATTTTCTTAATCCAGTCTATCATTGTTGGACATTTGGGTTGGTTCCAAGTCTTTCCTATTGTGAATGGTGCCACAATAAACATACATGTGCATGTGTCTTTATAGCAGCATGCTTTATAATCCTTTGGGTATATACCCAGTAATGGGATGGCTGGGTCAAATGGTATTTCTAGTTCTAGATCCCTGAGGAATTGCCACACTGACTTCCACAATGGTTGAACTAGTTTACAGTCCCACCAACAGTGTAAAAGTGTTCCTATTTCTCCACATCCTCTCCAGCACCGGTTGTTTCCGGACTTTTTAATAATCGCCATTCTAACTGGTGTGAGATGGTATCTCATTGTGGTTTTGATTTGCATTTCTCTAATGGCCACTGATGACGAGCATTTTTTTATGTGTGTTTTGGCTGCATAAATGTCTTCTTTTGAGAAGTGTCTGTTCATATCCTTCGCCCACTTTTTGATGAGGTTGTTTGTTTTTTTCTTGTAAATTTGTTGGGGTTCATTGTAGATTCTGGATATTAGCCCTTTGTCAGATGAGTAGGTTGCAAAAATTTTCTCCCATTCTGTGGGTTGCCTGTTCACTCTGATGGTAGTTTCTTTTGCTGTGCAGAAGCTCTTTAGTTTAATTAGATCCCATTTGTCAATTTTGGCTTTTGTTGCCAATGCTTTTGGTGTTTTAGACATGAACTTCTTGCCCATGCCTATGTCCTGAGTGGTATTGCCTAGGTTTTCTCTGAGGATTTTTAAGGTTTTAGGTCTAACATTTAAGTCTTTAATCCATCTTCAATTAATTTTTGTATAAGGCGTAAGGAAGGGATCCAGTTTCAGCTTTCTACATATGGCTAGCCAGTTTTCCAAGCACCATTTATTAAATAGGGAATCCTTTCCCCATTGCTTGTTTTTGTTAGGTTTGTCAAAGATCAGATAGCTGTAGATATGTGGCATTATTTCTGAGGGCTCTGTTCTGTTCCATTGGTCTATATCTCTGTTTTGGTACCAGTACCATGCTGTTTTGGTCACTGTAGACTTGCAGTATAGTTTGAAGTCAGGTAGCGTGATGCCTCCAGCTTTGTTCTTTTGGCTTAGGATTGTCTTGGCAACGTGGGCTCTTTCTTGATTCCCTATGAACTTTAAAGTAGTTTTTTCCAATTCTGTGAAGAAAGTCATTGGTAGCTTGATGGGGATGGCATTGAATCTATAAATTACCTTGGGCAGTATGGCCATTTTCACGATATTGATTCTTCCTACCCATGAGCATGGAATGTTCTTCCATTTGTTTGTATCCTCTTTTATTTCATTGAGCAGTGGTTTGTAGTTCTCCTTGAAGAGGTCCTTCACATCCCTTGTAAGTTGGATTCCTAGGTATTTTCTTCTCTTTGAAGCAATTGTGAATGGGAGTTCACTCATAATTTCGCTGTTTGTCTGTTATTGGTGTATAAGAATGCTTGTGATTTTTGCACATTGATTTTGTATCCTGAGACTTTGCTGAAGTTGCTTCTCAGCTTAAGGAGATTTTGGGCTGAGATGATGGGGTTTTCTAGATACACAATCACGTCATCTGCAAACAGGGACAATTTGACTTCCTCTTCTCCTAATTGAATGCCCTTTATTTCCTTCTCCTGACTGATTGCCCTGGCCAGAACTTCCAACACTATGTTGAATAGGAGCGGTGAGAGAGGGCATCCCTGTCTTGTGCCAGTTTTCAAAGGGAATGCTTCCAGTTTTTGCCCATTCAGTATGATATTGGCTGTGGGTTTGTCATAGATAGCTCTTATGATTTTGAGATACGTCCCATCAATACTTAATTTATTGAGAGTTTTTAGCATGAAGGATTGTTGAATTTTGTCAAAGGCCTTTTCTGCATCTATTGAGATAATCATGTGGTTTTTGTCTTTGGTTCTGTTTATATGATGGATTACATTTATTGATTTGCATGTGTTGAAGAAGCCTTGCATCCCAGGGATGAAACCCACTTTATCATGGTGGATAAGCTTTTTGATGTGCTGCTGGATTCGGTTTGCCAGTATTTTATTGAGGATTTTTGCATCAATGTTCATCAAGGATATTGGTCTAAAATTCTCTTTTTTTGTTGTGTCTCTGCCGGGCTTTGGTATCAGGATGAGGCTGGCCTCATAAAATGAGTTAGGGAGGATTCCCTCTTTTTCTATTGATTGGAATAGTTTCAGAAGGAATGGTACCAGCTCCTCCTTGTACCTCTGGTAGAATTGGGCTGTGAATCCATCTGGTCCTGGACTTTTTTTGTTGGTAAGCTATTAATTATTGCCTCAATTTCAGAGCCTGTTATTGGTCTATTCAGAGATTCAACTTCTTCCTGGTTTAGTCTTGGGAGGGTGTATATATCGAGGAATTTATCCATTTCTTCTAGATTTTCTAGTTTATTTGCATAGAGGTGTTTATAGTATTCTCTGATGGTGGTTTGTCTTTCTGTGGGATCAGTGGTGATATCCCCTTTGTCATTTTTTATTGCGTCTATTTGATTCTTCTCTCTTTTCTTCTTTATTAGTCTTGCTAGGGGTCTATAAATTTTGTTGATCTTTTCAAAAAACCACCTCCTGGATTCACTGATTTTTTGAAGGGTTTTTTGTGTCTCTGATTCCTTCAGTTCTGCTCTGATCTTAGTTATTTCTTGCCTTCTGCTAGCTTTTGAATGTGTTTGTTCTTGCTTCTCTAGTTCTTTTAATTGTGATGTTAGGGTGTCAATTTTACATCTTTCCTGCTTTCTCTTGTGGGCATTTAGTGCTATAAATTTCCCTCTACACAGCTTTGAATGTGTCCCAGAGATTCTGGTAGGTTGTGTCTTTGTTCTCGTTGGTTTCAAAGAACATCTTTATTTCTGCCTTCATTTCGTTATACCCGGTAGTCATTCAGGAGCAGGTTGTTCAGTTTCCATGTAGTTGAGCAGTTTTGAGTGAGTTTCTTAATCCTGAGTTCTAGTTTGATTGCACTGTGGTCTGAGAGACAGTTTGTTGTAATTTCTGTTTTTTTACATTTGCTGAGGAGTGCTTTACTTCCAACTATGTGGTCAATTTTGGAATAGTTGTGGTGTGGTGGTGAAAAGAATGTATATTCTGTTGATTTGGGATGGAGAGTTCTGTAGATGTCTATTAGGTCCGCTTGGTGCAGAGCTGAGTTCAATTCCTGGATATCCTTGTTAACTTTCTATCTCGTTGATCTGTCTAATGTTGACAGTGGGGTGTTAAAGTCTCCCATTATTATTGTGTGGGAGTCTAAGTCTCTGTAGGTCACTAAGGACTTGCTTTATGAATCTGCGTGCTCCTGTATTGTGTGCATAGATATTTAGGATAGTTAGCTCTTCTTGTTGAATTGTTCCGTTTACCATTATGTAATGGCCTTGTCTCTTTTGATCTTTGTTGGTTTAAAGTCTGTTTTATCCGGGACTGGGATTGCAACCCCTGCCCTTTTTTGCTTTCCATTTGCTTGGTAGAACTTCCTCCATCCCTTTATTTTGAGCCTATTTGTGCCTCTGCACGTGATATGGGTTTCCTGAATACTGCACACTGATGGATCCTGACTCTTTATCCAATTCGCCAGTCTGTGTCTTTTAATTGGAGCGTTTAGCCCATTTACATTTAAGGTTAATATTGTTATGTGTGATTTTGATCCTGTCATTATGATGTTAGCTGGTTATTTTGCTCGTTAATTGATGCAGTTTCTTCCTAGCATTGATGTTCTTTAGTTTGTCATGTTTTTGCAGTGGCTGGTACCGGTTGTTCCTTTCCATGTTTAGTGCTTCCTTCAGGAGCTCTTGTAGGGCAGGCCTGGTGGTGACAACATCTCTCAGCATTTGTTGTCTGTAAAGGATTTTATTTCTCCTTCACTTATGAAGCTTAGTTTGGTTGGATATGAAATTCTGGGTTGAAAATTCTTTTCTTTAAGAATGTTGAATATTGGCCCCCACTCTCTTCTGGCTTGTAGAGTTTCTGCCGAGAGATCAGCTGTTAGTCTGATGGGCTTCCCTTTGTGGGTAACCCGACCTTCCTCTCTGGCTGCCCTTAACATTTTTTCCTTCATTTCAACTTTGGTGAATCTGACAATTATGTGTCTTGGAGTTGCTCTTCTCGAGGAGTATCTTTGTGGTGTTCTCTGTATTTCCTGAATTTGAATGTTGGCCTACCTTGCTAGATTGGGGAATTTCTCCTGGATAATATCCTGCAGAGTGTTTTCCAACTTAGTTCCATTCTCCCCGTCACTTTCAGTTACCCCAGTCAGACGCAGATTTGGTCTGTTCACATAGTCCCCTATTTCTTGGAGGCTTTGTTCATTTCTTTTTATTCTTTTTTCTCTAAACTTCTCTTCTTGCTTCATTTCATTCATTTCGTCTTCCATCACTGATACCCTTTATTCCAGTTGATTGCATTGGCTACTGTGGCTTTTGTATTCGTCACGTAGTTCTTGTGCCATAGTTTTCAGCTTCATCTGGTCCTTTAAGGACTTCTCTGTTTGGTTATTCTAGTTAGCCATTTGTCTAATTTTTTTAAAGGTTTTTAACTTCTTTGCCATTGGTTCGAACTTCCTCCTTTAGCTCGGGGTAGTTTGATGTTCTGAAGCCTTCTTCTCTCAACTCGTCAAAGTCATTCTCCGTACAGCTTTGTTCCATTGCTGGTGAGGAGCTGCATTCCTTTGGAGGAGGAGAGGCGCTCTGATTTTTAGAGTTTCTGGTGTTTCTGCTCTGTTTTTACCCCATCTTTGTGGTTTTATCTACCTTTGGTCTTTGATGATGGTGACGTACAGATGGGTTTTTGCTGTGGATGTCTTTTCTGTTTGTTAGTTTTCCTTTTAACAGTCAGGACCCTCAACTGCAGGTCTGTTGGAGTTTGCTGGAGGTCCATTCCAGACCCTATTTGCCTGGGTGTCAGCAGCGGTGGCTGCAGACCAGCGGATATTGGTGAACCGCAAACCCTGCTGCCTGATTGTTCCTCTGGAAGTTTTGTCTCAGAGGAGGACCCGGCCATGTGAGTTGTCAGTCCACCCCTATGCGGGGGTTCCTCCCAGTTAGGCTACTTGGGGATCAGGGACCCACTTGAGGAGGCAGTCTGCCCGTTCTCAGATCTCAAGCTGCGTGCTGGGAGAACCACTATTCTCTTCAAAGCTGTCAGACAGGGACATTTAAGTCTGCAGAGGTTACTGCTGCCTTTTGTTTGTCTGTGCCCTGCCCCCAGAGGTGGAGCCTATAGATGCGGGCAGGCCTCCTTGAGCTGTGGTGGGCTTCATCCAGTTCGAGCTTCCCGGCTGCTTTGTTTACCTACTCAAGCCTTGGCAATGGCAGGCACCCCTCTCCCTGCCTTGCTGCCACCTTGCAGTTTGATCTCAGACTGCTGTGCTAGCAATGAGCAAGGCTCCATGGGCGTAGGACCCTCTGAGCCAAGTGCGGGATATAATCTCCTGGTGTGCTGTTTGTTAAGCCTGTTAGAAAAGCGCAGTATTGGGATGGGAGTGACCCGATTTTCCAGGTGCCGTCTGTCACCCCTTTCTTTGAGTAGGAAAGAGAATTTCCTGACCCCTTGCACTTCCCGGGTGAGGGGATGCCTCGCCCTGCTTCGGCTCATGCATGGTGTGCTGCACCCACTCTCCTGCACCCACTGTCCTGCACCCACTGTCTGGCACTCCCCAGTGAGATGAACCCGGTACCTCAGTTGGAAATGCAGAAGTCACCTGTCTTCTGTGTCGCTCACACTGGGAGCTGTAGACTGGAGCTGTTCCTATTTGGCCATCTTGGCTCCACCCCTCCACCACTTTTATTTAACATTGTTCTGAAGATCCTAGCCAGTCAATAAGGCATAAAAAACAAACAAATTTTATAATGATTGGAAAGGAGGAAATAAAACTCTGATTATTTGCAAATGACACAACTGTAAACATAAAAATATCCAAAAGGATCAAAGGATCTATAGAAAACATAGCAACTTTGTTGGAATAATAATTTGATTTCAGTTTTGTACTTATTGGCTCTACGTGGTGATTGATGGGCTACTTGTGAATATCCACAAAGCTGCTGTTTCTGCTGGTTCTGAGGCACTGCCACAGTCACCTTACATCTCTTTCAGCTATCTTTGGAAATGCTAATGAAACACCAGGAGTTTGGTCTAGGACCTGTTGCTTGCCACACAGAAAGCCATTCACTATGACAATGAGTACTGCCAGGGAAGAAGGCTTCATTCAGGTGCTACAGCCAAGGAAATGAGAGATCAGTCTCATATCCATCTCCTCAACTGACTAAAATTAGGAGTTGATGTAGCAGGGAAGAAATGTAACTGTGTAGGGAAAACAGGAATTAGGAAGGGGTAAGGTAGAGGAGTTGGTCAACAGGAAGCAGGTGGTTGGTTAGGCAGTCATGATGGGCAAGGGGCCTGGTGTCTCATTATCCAAATGTGGTGATATGGTAAGTTTCAGTTCCTTGATACTCTGTGGCAGAACTGATAGTTGGTTTCCTGGGAAAGCAACTCAGATTAAGACAAATATAAGTTTCTCAAGTTTTAAAATTGTGAGGGTCAATTTCTATGTTTATTCCAAAGAAATCATAAATATCAGTTATGTGGGACAATTGGGCTGGTTTCAGTCCCTCTTTTATATTTATGTTAGTAAATTCCTCAATCCTGGGGAATCTGGTTGTCAATATCTCTGGCTGCTTCATGCTGAGGAGGGTTATCATAGGCAGCTCTATATCATAGGTGAACACATGGCCACCCAACAATCAAAGGTTAATCTAATGCTAGAGTTTTCTTTTGAAACACAATCTTTCTCTCTCTAGTCCTCTAGTTCCACCAAAGATGAATCACAGCAGGACCAACCTACCTGCAAAATAAGCTTCAGTCCCACTATACTTGACCGGATTACCCACACAAAGTGCAGCAAGAATCACTGTCAATATAAGATCTCCTAAAGTGGCTTTGCTGGAACCTCTCACAAAGAATCTCAGACTTAACCTCCAATAGCCTCTTGAGCCAAGCCAAAGATGCATCTGCACTTGCAGATACCTACATGGATTTGGAAAATCCCTCTCTTCATGAGGCCTCAGAACAACTTGAAGTTCATGGGCCTGTCAGAAAGTGGCACTCTAGGCCAGCGCAGTGGCTCACACCTGAAATCCCAGCAGTTTGGGAGACTGAGGCGGGCAGATCACTTGAGGTCAGGAGTTTAAGACCAGCCTGGCCAACAGGGTAAAACCCTGTCTCTACCAAAAATCCAAAAAAAAAAAAAAAAAAATAGCTGGGTGTGGTTGCACATGCCTGTAATCCCAGCTACTCGGGAGGCTGAGGTAGGAGAATCACTTGAACCCAGGAGGCAGAGGTTGCAGTGAGCCAAGATCACACCACTGCACCCCAACCTGAATGACAGAGTGAGACTCCATCTCAAAAAGAAAAAAAAAGAAAAAAGAAAGTGACACTCTACTTACCACAGGCCAGGAACCCTGTGAAGGAACTGCATAGGCAAGGTATGAGGCAGTCCTGCTAAGGGATTCTCATTGGCTCTATAAAGTCAGTTTCTCAAATCAATCTGCTCATATCTGAAAACATGCCATTCCACTCAAAGCCCTGGGAAAATAACCAGCTCCTCCAACTGTGTCCTATTATAAAATAAAACAGATTTTTATTGAAATTATGCAAGCAACCACATTGCTGTGAATTAAGAATATTCACAAATAGTTGCTGAATTCTGGAGAAATCAGGCAGAGAGAGAGAAATCTCAAATTTTGTTCAGAGGACTTAGTCTACTCAATTGTTAAAAGCTATGGGTAGCTCAAAAGGAAAAAAGTTCTCCATACTCTGAAAAATGAAACAAAATAAATCAGCAATGTTTTAAACAAACACACAAAAAGCCATAAAAATTTATTTCAGTCCTCCATTATTAGCTCAGTCCATGCTAAACACCTGCTCTGTTTCATATTGGGTTAGCAATCTTTGTGAACACATCCACCTTTAAATTTGAAGTCCTGGAAGTTTTCTCTGTAGTTCAATGGCACAACCTCCAAAGTTATTAGAAACCTGCATTCAAGAGTCCTTTTCATGAACTCTCCCAAAAAAAGCAAGCTCTGGTCTGTGGCTGATTGCAAGCTGCTTTTGAGAAGAATCAAAGCAAAACAACTGTGGATGACAAAAGTTTTAGGCCATAATTAAATACACAATTGACCAGAAAATTTGGTTATTTCTGTGACATACTGACAACATATATTAAAGCATATCAGAATTTCAGGAATCTCATACAATCCTGAAACACATATTAACAGTACATCTATAGATAGATCTATAGCTCAAACAAAGGTAAACACCACCTTACATTTGACAATGTTTCCTGTATAGTTCTAACATACCAAATAAACCTAATATGTCTCTGTTGGACTTCAGAGGACCCACTATCCAAAAAAAAGTTAGTTTGAGGTAAAAAAAAAAAAAAAAAGACTGAATTTAGCACTTGAAATTTTGCTTTTGGAAAATTTGTCAAGTATCAAAGATTTAAGACACTTGATATCACAAAATAGGATCACAGGTCACTATAAAATAGTCATTTAGCCAAAATGATTAAACAAACATGTTTCCTCTTTGATAGATAGAGACTCAGTTTCTCAAACAATAAGACTTAATAAAGACAGCATGCGGCAAACTAAATCTGTCTCTCTCCCCTCATTTTTTCCTGCAGTTTACTCAAAAGGTAAACAAAAAATATTTTATCATCTCTTAATATTTCACAGAAATTTTGTTCAAAAGAGAAAACCAAATTTTACCTTTATATAGTGTATTATTAATGTTAAAGCTAATTTCTATAAAACCTTATAAACAAATCTAATTTTAATCAGTTTGACCATAACATATGATTTCCATAAACTTTTATAATCTTTTACAATTTTCTATTAAAGAACAGATCAATGATCCAAGAAAACTCTGTTATTCTGACACAGGGGCCCAGATACTGGCCTTGCATCAGTGTGCTTTCAATATTAATGTTTAATTTATAGAAAAACTCTTACCTAATTTTATCTCAAAGTTGGCCCTTACAATCTCAACTGCCCACTTCTTCCATGATAGTCTCTGGGCCTAGAGGGATTAAATAGTTTAAAAATTTCTGGCCCTGTGTCTCATGAAAGCAATTCATTTTGATTGTCACCTTCTCCAGGGTCAGAAGATGAGGCTTTGACTAGTGTCAATGCTCAAGAGTTAGCAGGAGTTGGTGCCTTTTTCACACCCAACAGTCAAAACCTTAACTTAGCAAAAGGATTAGTTAATATGATATTTATACTGCAGAAAGTCCTATCATGCTAACATATCACAAGTTAAAACACTGTGATTTCGTGTCTACTAGTTACTGCCTCCATCACTTCAAACCACTGTATTAAAGTGGTTAGGTTACTCCTTGCACATGTCTAATTGCTAGTATTCTAGTGACAAAACTCTGACCAAAAGCATAAGAAATGTGATAGGTCTTATGTCAAACTTATCAAAATAAAGGAATTAGCTTTTCTTCATCCAAAAAATGGTAAATAAAAATTCAGTTTTGGAAACTCAGAATGAGGATAATCTCCTTTTGTTTAAATACTATACGACAAAACAAAGTAAGAACAAGCACACAACCATTTCTTTTCAGCTGTTTTAAGAGTATCATTGGCCGGGTGCAGTGGCTCAGGCCTGTAATCCCAGCACTTTGGGATGCCGAGGCAGGCGAATCACGAGGTCAAAAGATCGAGACCATCCTGGCCAACATGGTGAAAACCCATCTCTACTAAAAATACAAAAATTAGCCAGGAGTGGTGGCGTGTGCCTGTAGTCCCAGCTACTCAGGAGGCTGAGGCAGCAGAATTGCCTGAACCTGGGAGGCAGGGGTCGCAATCATCTGAGATCATGCCACTGCACTCCAGCCTGGTGACAGAGTGAGACTCCACCTCAAAAAAAAAAAAAGTATCATTATACATTTCCAAGATTGGTTTTTAGATACAGTACTGACTACTGATTATGTGATTTTCAACACTAGAATCTTCAAACAAGTGCAACACTTGTACATATTTTGTTTTTAAGTACACACATGAAGGCTCAACAGTGATAAAAGGCATGGGATCAAAAATCACTAGAAAGTGCCACTTTTTTATTACTACTTAATCCAAGTGAATTTCACTTAATTTTAATAATGATAAACACAACTAAAGTAATTCGAGAGAAATCCTCCTCAATGTAATTTTCTTAAGGACAAGGCCAATATTTCCTGAACATTAGAACTTTGTATCCATATCACAGTTTCCACAGGTTTTCCTCATTACCTAAAGGAAAAGACCTGAAACCAACTCAAATTATTGATTGAACTGAATTACCTTACAAATAAACACCATTTAAACATTTCTATTCTCACTTACTTTTCAAAATAACAAAATGAATTATGTACTATTTCTATTCAGAACTTATAAAAATAAGTCTTCTATTTTTTTTTTTTTTTTTGCCATAACCTTAAAGCTCTGATGGCTCTCTAGATCATCAGAGGTAAGCAAAACTGATCCAATTTTAAATAGCTGGCGTGCACTGTCATTTTCTGGTAGCTTGACAAAGTTAGCTTAGGAATTTTAGATAAATAGAGCAAATGATGACTTGTTGGAAATGCATAGGAAACAAAATGACTATTCATAGAACCAAATACAAGCTTTCCATTAGAAACAAACAAAAAAAATGGTTTTATATATGTATGTACAAGTAAAGCCCAAAGTAGAACAAACAACAAATAACTAAAAATTAAGAGCAAAATCAAATAAATAGGAAACCAACCCCCAATTTTTCTCCCATTCAGTTTACCTTGGAGATTACAGTGTTACCAGAGCCTAAAAAACTCCAAAACAAAAAACCAAAAACAAAACACATGATGGATATTTTATTATTGATATACAAATTCCTGATATACAAACTTAAATCCACCAGCACTACCATACAATTTGCACAATTAAGAAATTTACTTCAGGCATGTGACCAGTAAATATTTTAGTGCTAGTCCTATCCATGCAGAATAGCTAATACAGTGTGGAACAAAGCAATGCAAGCATTTATGTGAAATTTGGCTTCATGCTAAATCTGGCTTCATATTTAACTATGTTAAAAAAACAATTACCAAACTGCCAATGTATTTCTTTACAATATTTCTCGTTTTACCAGCATGAAGACTATGAGCTTTATGAGCAACGTTAATTAGCCACATTTATCTAATTTTCTATCATATTTAAAAAAATATTTTACTATCTAAACTTTTCCAACTTTCTATTTTCTCTGTTTGTGGATGAAGATAGACACAAAGACAAACAGGACAAAATGTGACTTACACAGACCACACATGACATTCTTGGACTAGGAAGCATGAAATTCTGAACTATCAGATATTAGTATTTTTTACATGAGAACTTTCCACAATTTTAAAAAACATATTTCCCCATATACAAACCCTTTCTTAATTGGAAATGACCCAGGCATCCAATGAGCAACAAAAGTAATTTTAACATTTTAAATTCCACAAAAAGTTTACCTACAAGCATTTATCTCATTTACATTACTCATTTTTTTCATTTTGAAAAACAGTTTATCTCGATTACTTCTGAAAACTGACATATTTGACAAAGCTAGTCATAATTTCAAATTAGTTCCTTCATAACCTTTTTTTTTTTTTTTTTGAGACAGAGTCTCACTCTGTTGCCCAGGCTAGAGTACAGTGGTGCCATCTCGGCTCACTGCAACCTCCACCTCCTAGGTTCAAGTGATTCTCTAGCCTCAGCCTCCTAAGTAGCTGGGACTACAGGCACACACCACTGTGCCCCAGTAATTTTTTGTATTTTTAGTAGAGATGGGGTATCACCATGTTGGCCAGGCTGGTCTTGAATTCCCGACCTCAGGTGATCTGCCCGCCTCAGCCTCCCAAAGTGCTGGGATTACAGGTGTGAGCCACCGTGCCCAGCCTTGTTAACCAATTTTAAACAGTCTGCAAATATCAGGTATTCACCTAAGTAAGTACTTAAACTTAAATACATGAGTATTTTTGCCAATAGCAGATTCAGCTATTTTTATTAAACAACATTAATTTTGTCTTATTTGTCAAAAAAGTCACATAAAAATCATTTTGTTTTGGCTGGGTTAATAGTTTTATAACCTTCTGTGACAAACTCTGACACTTCAAAATGTCTAGCACAGGCAAATATGAATCCAGACAAAAATGTATGCTGACAATTCCAAAGACATTTCTATTTTTATTTTACCAATAATTTCAAAGCCAGCTTATTTATTAAAGATTTATTTAAGTCAGGTAAACTTAAAAATTGCTTGGACTTATTTACCTAACCTATGAGTATTCTTTTACTTATAAACCAAATTTGGTAGACATGACATCTAATATAATAAATGTCCATACACATAAACATATCTAAACATGTATACACCCCATGCACACAAAAATCCAATAGCTTGGAACTTTAGTAATAAGATAGAAATGCAAACTCAGTCTACAAACATGTTTACATAGCTAAACTTTATTTGCCCCAGTAGGTAATTCAACGAAGCCCCAAATAAAATCAAATTTGTGAACCAAAATTTGGGGCAGTTTCCATGGCAGTTTGATTTTTAAAGGCCAAACTTCCCCAGACTCCAAAGAACACTGGGGACAAACAGCGCTAAAGAATATCATGTACTAACCAGACTCAACTCTGTTTAGAACAGCAGCATAAAGCCTAAGCACATGGAATTCCATCTCGTTTTCCCATTCAATAGCAAAATGAAGCCCACGGAGAGGCCAAACTTCTCCAGATTCCAAAGTATATTGGGGCCAAACAATATTATGAAAAAAAATAGTTTATCAATTTCTGATTTCCCATAACTATATGGATGCATGCATATTAGCAAGCAATCACCAAAACACAATCCAACTACTGCATCAACAAGCCCCATGGATGTCCAAACTGAAACAGTCAGCGTACTTTCCTCTCTCAGTTGAGCTTGTTCAGTCTGCAAATTGAAATTCCTTTGGAATGTCCCAAACTGAGAGGAGAAGATCCCACTCTCTGGGCCCACAAAAGACAATTGATCATCTAGATGCACATGACAAGTTTCAAAGGCTGTTTTTCGTTAGCAATCAGGAGTATGGTTGGGCCAGCAGTGGCGGGGCCAGAGAGAGGGAGACTGAGACCCACCTCTAGACAAAAAAGAGTTAGGAAGCTGCTTAGGAGGACTGCTTAAACTCAGCCCATGGCAGCTGAGCAACAAGCAACATGTTCCCAGTCAGGAAACCAAAATCCATTACCAAAACACTAGGGATTCAGTTTAGGTCCTGCTCCTGACCACACAGAAAGCAAATCACTGAGACAACAAGTATTGACAGGGAAGAAGGCTTTATTTGAGTGCTACAGCCAAGGAGAAGCAAAATCAGTCTCAAATCCATCTCCTCAACCAATGAAAATTAGGAGTTTATGTAGCAGGGAAGAAATGTAACTGTGTGTGGGAAAATAGAAATTAGGAAGGAGTAAGGAATAGGAGTTGGTCAGCAGGACGCAAGTGGTTGGTTAGTGGGTGGTCATGATGGGTGAGGGGTCTGGTGTCTCATTGTTCAAATATAATCTGATAAGTTTCAGTTCCTTGATACTCTCTGGGAGGTCTAATTGTTGATTTCCTGAGAAAGGGACTCAGATAAGACAAATGTAAGTTTCTCACATTTTGAGACTGGGAGGGTCAATTTCTATGTTTATTCCAAAGCAAACATAAACATCAGTTCTATGGGACAGTTGGACCATTTTCAGAAATTCACACTCTATCATATTCATTTCAACAATACTCTCAAGTGATGTTTTTCCACATTTAAAAAAATTTTCATGGTCACAGATGCTTGTGCAATAGATGCCTAAATCAAGTCTTTCTCCTTCTCCTGGAGTGCTTCTAACATTTATTTAGAAAATAAATAACTATGTTTCACAAACTTAGAAAAGTATTATGAAACTCACTGAAGACAAATATGAAGTCTAATGTATTCATTTTCAATTTTTTATTGAAAAAATGTTACGGTATATGTAGTTAAAAATAACAAAAAAAACCTCCTGACTTAACAGCTTACCACCTGGAAGGGAACATATTTTTCGTGTGATTAAGAAAACAGGAAAACAAAAATATATACATTTAAAGTTCAGAGGTTGTAAAAATTTCTTTGTACATATGGTAGTTTAGAATGGGATGGCAAACCAGTCTTTTAAATTTTTTAACCAATGATAACATCTCCTTCAATATTTTAGGTGGGCTTATTTATATTATTTTTGTATAGATCCCAAGTCAAAAACCTTTCATATACTCTTTAATAACAAAAAAAAGAAAGAAAAGGAGCTTTTCTGAAAAATCACTGCTTTATAGACCCGAGCACGGTGGCTCATGCCTGTAATCCCAGCACTTTGGGAGGCTGAAGTGGATGGTTTGCTTGAGCCCAGGAGTTTGAGAAGAGTCTAGGCAACATGGCAAGACCCCGTCTCTACAAAAAAATAAAAAACATTAGCCAGGCATGGTGGCACATGCCTGTAGTCCCAACTACTTGGGAGGCTAAGGTGGGAGGATTGCTTGAGCCTGGGAGGTCAAGGCTGCAGTAAGCCACGATCATGACACTGCACTCCAGTCTCAGTGACAGAGCGAGACTCTGTCTCAAAAAAAACAAAATTAAATAAAAATAAAATTAGTATGTATTCATTAAAGAAAATCTGTAAAATTCAGAAGGTAAGCAAAAGACAGAATAGTAATTTCCTGTGGTCCCAAGCAAAACCACTTGTACAATTTGTGTATTACCTTCTCTATTCATCTTACTCTTTATATAACTATCAGCACAGAATAATATGTATATCATACATGTGTATACATTTGTATATATACAAATTTTGTATTTTCCTTTTTTCCAGTATCATTATATTTCCAAAAACAGCTTTAATAGTTGTAAAATATTGTGTCCAATAAATGTAGCATAATTTATAACCATGTTCCTGCACTTAGGTAGTTTTTGCTTTTTTTCCTACTGTAAATAATGCCATAGCATATACCTTTGTAGAGCAATCTTTTTCATATTTAGGATTCTTTTTATTTCTTTATTTTTTCATTCAGGATGTTGCCGGAGTGCAGTGGTGCAATCGTGCCTCACTTACAACTCTTGGGCTCAAGTGATTCTCCCACCTCCCAAGTAGCTCAGACTATAGGCACATGCCACCACATCCAGCTAATTTTTACTTTTTTTTTTTGTAAAAACAGGGTCTCACTATATTGCCCAGCCTGGTCTCAAACTCTTGACCTCTAGTCATCTCCCTGCCTCAGCCTCCAAAGTCACAGGATTATTATTTGATAATATATGTGAGAAGGAATATTATAGAATCCATGTGATATGAGCATTTTTAAGGCTCTTAATTCATTCTAACATGTTTTTCAAAAGGTTTATACTGATTTATACTACCACAGGCTATGCATGAAGTATTCATTTAACTACAGTCTGGTAAACATAGATAATTACTGTGTGGAAGGCCAGTGAGAAGGTGGAGGTGGGTATACTATTTGGCTGTAATATTAATTTATTTGATACAATGAGATTGGATACTTTTTCAGGTGTTTGTTGACTAATAACTACACAGTTATCTTATTAATCTGGGGTTTTCAGTGGTCTGCCTATTAATGCATCCAACAAATATTTATTATACATATTATAATATGTGCTAGACATTGTTCTAGGCACTGAGGATATAGCAGTGAACAAAACAGACAAAACCCCCTGCCCTCAGGAAGCTTGAATTCTGGAGGTCTTATTTTATTTATTATGAGTGGTTCTTACATAATTAATTTAAAACTACCATTTATTAAGTGACTACTATGTGCCTGGCATTGTCCCAAACACGTACATTTACCTCATTTAAAGGCAATCTGAGGATGTAGATTAAGAGGCTTTTAGCATGCCTCAGCCACTTAGAAATAGCAAGATAATGCATAAACATCAACTCTGTGAGCTTTAATTCAAGAAGCAAAGTAGGAATACATGGGAATTGTGAAGGACACTCCAGATCATGGGCAGGAGAATACCAACAAACAGCCCTCATGATAGCAACTGGCTGATGAAGTGAGTAAAGCCCCAGTATATGAGAGAGGCAGAGAGCCTCTAGCCTCTCTCTGTGACTTACTTTTCCACTGGGGATCCAAGCAACCCAGACCAAGGGACAGTACTTTGTTTTTCCCAACCCCTAAAGCTAACTTAGGGGAAGGCTTGGAGACGTTGTGAGGGAAAGACACCAGGAAATGCTGCAGACATTTTCCCAGACCTGTGACCAAGAGCAGGATACCTTTTTAAATATGGGTGCATGCAAAATCAGCCATTTTGTGATGACTCAGCAGTGTGGCAACACAGACATTTTAGTCTCCGGCCAGAGACTGAAGCACCTGTTCTGGAGTGAGGTAGGGGCCTTCACAGCCTTTCCAGCAGCACTTACTGCTGGAGAACATCTCAGCAATAGATGCTGGAATTGGGCTCTCATTTATCACAGCCTGGAGTGGGAAGAGAGCTGCTACAGTTGCAGTTTCTCCCAGGAAGGGAGATTTGCAGCCAGGGCCAACTTGGTAACCCAGAACCTGTCTGCATGTGCCATTGTTGGGTGTTCCAGCCTGTTCCCCTGAGATTGAGGTGCAGCAGAGCCCTCTTTGCTCCACCCCCAGGCAGATCTCCAGGCATTTAAAGCATCAGTTCATCTGGTCAGCAGCCTGACCTGACTCACTTCTCCTGTGCAGAGAATCTGGTGCAGGGGGCCCTCTCTGCTCCACACTCAGGCAGTTCTCCAGGCATTTAAAGTAGTCATTTGCCTGGTTCAGCAGCCTGAGCTGCCCCACCCTTCCTGGACATAGATTATGGTGCAATAGGGCTCTCTCTGCTCATGCCCAGAAAGATCTCCAGGTACCTGAAGCACCTGCTCACCTGAATCAGCAGCCTGACTCACCCCACCCTTCCTGTGTAGAGATCCCAGTGCAGAGAGGCCTTGCCTGCTTCAGGCCCAGACAGATCTCCAGGCATTCAGAGCACCATGGCATATAGCCACAAGACTGTCCAAGGTCAATGCTAAAGAAACAATCTTAAAGGCAGCTAGAGAAAAAAGTCAGATTATGTACAAAGGGAACCCCATCAGGCTAACAACAGATTTCTCAGCAGAAACCTGATGATCCAGGAGAGACTGGGGACCTATTTTCAGCATTCTTAAATAAAAGAAATTCTGGTCAAGAATTTCATATCCCACCAAACTAAGCTTCATAAGCAAAGGGGAATAAAATATATTCTGGACAAACAAGCACTAAGGGAATTATTTACCACTAGACTGGCCTTACAAGAGATCCTTTAGGGAATTCTAAACATGGAAATGAAAGAATGATACCTCCTACCATGAAAACACACTTGAATACATAGCCCACAGACCCTATAAAGCAGCCACACAATATAAACTACAAAGCAACCAGCTAGGAACTTCATGATAGGATCAAATGTCACATTTCAGTATTAACTTTGAATGTAAATGGTTTAAACACCTCACTTAAAAGGCACAGAGTGGCAAGTTTGATTAAAAACAAAATGTAAGAACTATCTATCTGGTGTCTTCAAGAAACCTATCTCACACATAAAAAAAAAAAAAACCCATGAGCTTAAAGAGTTGGAGAAAGATCTACTATGCAAACAGAAAACAAAAAGGAGCAGAGGTGACTATTCTTACATCAGATAAGACAGACTTTAAACCAACAACAGTAGAAAAAAACAAAGAAGGGTATTACACAATGATAAAGGGTTCAATTCAGCAAGAAATCTTAACTATCCTAAATATATATGCACCCAACAATGGAGCATCCAGATTACTAAAGCAAATACCTCTAGACTTATGGAAAGACTTATATAGCCACACAGTAATAGCAGGGGACTTTCATACCCCATTGACAGCATTAGACAGATCATTTAGGCAGAAAACTAACAAAGACATTCTGGACTTAAAAACTCAACACTTGACCAACTAGGCCTAGCAGACATCTACAGAATACTCCACCATTAACTATACAATATACATTCTTCTCATCTGCACATGGAAAATACTCTAAGATTGACTACATACCCAGCCATAAAGCAAGTTTCAACAAATTTAAAAAATTGAAAACACAACAACGATAATCTCAGAACACAGTGGAATAAAAATAGAAATCAATACCAAGAAGGTCTCTCAAAACCACACAATTAGATGGAAATTAAATGAAAGAATGATACCTGCTACAACAAAAATACACTTAACTTGCTCCTGAATGACTTTTGGGCAAACAAGAAAATTAATTCTTTGAAATAAATGAAAACAGAGACACAACATACCAAAATCTCTGGAATGCAGTAAAAACAGGGTTAAGAGGAAAGTTTATTCCACTAAATGCCTATGTCTAAACATTAGATCTCGGCCAGGCGCGGTGGCTCACACCTGTAATCCCAGCACTTTGGGAGGCTGAGGTGGGCGGATCACAAGGTCAGGAGATCGAGACCATCCTGGCTAACACGGTGAAACCCCATCTCTACTAAAAAAAAAAAAAAATACAAAAAATTAGCCAGGCATGGTAGCAGGCACCTGTAGTACCAGCTACTCAGGAGGCTGAGGCAGGAGAATGGCGTGAACCCAGGAGATAGAGCTTGCAGTGAGCCAAGATTGTGCCACTGCACTCTGGCCTGGGCAACAGAGCGAGACTCTGTCTTAAAAAAAAAAAGAAAAAAAAAGTTAGATCTCAAATTAATGATCTAACATCACTGCCAGAGGAACTAGAAAAGCAGAAACAAACCCCAACACTAGCAGAAGAAAAGAAATGACTAAAATCGAAGTGGACCTGAACAAAATTGAAACTCAAAAATCCATAAAAATAATCAACAAAACCAAAAATTGGTCATTTGAAAGGATAAACAAGATTGATAGACCACTAGCTAGATTAATAAAGAAAAAAAGAGAGAAGATCCAAATAAGCACAATCAGAAATGACAAAGGTGACATTACAACTGATCCCACAGAAATATAAAATATCCTCAGAGACTATTAGGAACACCTTTATGCACATAATCTAGAAAATCTAGAGTTAATAAATAAATTCTCGGAAACACACTATCTCCCATGATTGAATCAGGAAGAAACTGAAACTCTGAACAGACCAATATCAAATTCCAAAGTTGAATTGCAATTTAAAAAACCTACCAACCAAAAAAAAAAAAAACCCAGACCAGAAGGATTCACAGCCAAATTCTACCAGACATACAAAGAAGAGTTTGTCCCAATTCTACTGAAACTATTCAAAA
The DNA here is from genome assembly GCF_000001405.40 of Homo sapiens. Classification (NCBI taxonomy): domain Eukaryota; kingdom Metazoa; phylum Chordata; class Mammalia; order Primates; family Hominidae; genus Homo; species Homo sapiens. Next base: position 82,455,935 of record NC_000006.12, on the reverse strand, counting down.
AAAATTGAGGACGAGGGACTCCTCCCTAGCTCATTCTACAAAGACAGCATCACCCTAATACCAAAATCTGGCAAAGACACAATGAAAAAGGAAAACTATATTCCAATATTCCTGATGAACGTAGATGAAAGAATCCTCAGCAAAATACTAGCAAATAGAATCCAACAGCACATCAAAAAATCAATTCACCATGATCAAGTAGTGTTCATTCCTGGCATGCAAGGTTGGTTCAACATATGCAAATCAATAAATGTGATTCACCATAAACAGAATTCAAAATACAATTGAAAGCTTTATCAATAAACCATGATAAAGGTTTTATGTGATTCACATAAACAGAATTTTTAAAAAACATATGATCATCTCAATAGATGTGGAAAAAACTTTTGATAAAATCCAATATCTCTTTATGATAAAAACCCTCAATAAACTACACATCAAAGGATCATACCTCAAAGTAATAAGAGCCATCTATGTCAGTTTTTGCAGAACTAGAAAATCTATTCTAAAATTCATATAGAACCAAAAAACAGCCCCAAACAGCCAAAGCAATCCTAAGCAAAAATAACAAAGCCAAAGGCATCACATTACCCAACTTCAAAATATACTGTAAGGTTACAAAAATAAAAACAGCATTATATTGGTACGAAAATGGACACATAGACCAGTAGAACAGAATAGAGAGCCCAGAAATAAAGCCACACACCTACAGCCATCTGATGTTTGACAAAACCAATAAAAATAATCAATGGGGAAAGGACTCCCTATTCAATAAATGGTGCTAGGATAACTGGCAGCCATATGCAGAAGAATGAAATTGGATCCCTACCTTTCACCATATGCAAAAATCAACTCAAGATAGATTAAAGATTTAAATGTAAGATCTCAAACTGTAAGAATCCATGAAGATTACCTAGGAAACACCATTTTGGACATCAGCCTTGGAAAATAATTTATGATTAAGTCCTCAAAAGCAGTTGCAACTAAAACAAAAATGGACAAGTGGGATCTAATTAAACTAAAGAGTTTCTGCTATACAAAAGAAACTATCAACAGAGTAAAAAGAATGGGAGAAAATATTGGCAAACTATGCATTTGATAAAGGTCTGATATCCAGAATCTCTAAGGAACTTAAACAAACGAACAAGCAAAAAACAACCGCATTAAATAATAGCAAATGACACGGACGTGTCTCAAAAGAAGACATATAAGCACCCAACAAATCTATGAACAAGTGCTCCACATCACTAACCATCAGATAAATACAAATCAAAACCACAATGAGATACTATCTCACAGCAGTCAGAATGGCCACCTCGGGAGGCTGAGGCGGGCGGATCATGAGGTCAGGAGATCGAGACCATCCTGGCTAACACGGTGAAACCCCGTCTCTACTAAAAAATACAAAAACATTAGCCGGGCATGGTGGCGGGCGCCTGTAATCCCAGCTACTGAGGAGGCTGAGGCAGGAGAATGGCGTGAACCCGGGAGGCGGAGCTTGCAGTGAGCCGAGATGGTGTCACTGCACTCCAGCCTGGGCCACAGAGCAAGACTCCGTCTCAAAAAAAAAAAAGTCAAAAATACAACAGATGCTGGCGAAGCTGCAGAGAAAAGGAACACTTATACACTGTTGGTGGGAATGTAAATTAGTTGATCCACTGTGGAAAACACTTTTGAGATATCTCAAAGAACTTAAGACAGAATTACCATTTGACCCAGCAATCTCATTACTCAGTATATATCCAAAAGAAAACAATTCCTTCAACTAAACAGACACATGGACTCACATGTTAATCGCAGCACTACTTACAATAGCAAAGACATGGAATCAATGTAGGTGCCCATCAATAGTGGACTGGATAAAGAAAATGTGGTACCTATATACCATGGAATACTACACAGCCATTACAAAGAACAAAATCATGTACTTTGCAGCAACATGGATATAGCTGGAGGCCATCTTCTTAACCAAATTAACACAGGAACAGAAAATCAAACACTGCATGTTTTCACTCATAAAAGGAAGCTAAACAATGGGTATGCATGGACATAAAGATGGCAACAGTAGAAACTGGGGATTACTACAAGGGGAGGAAGGAAGGGGGCAAGGGTTGAAAAACAAACTATTGGCTGGGCACGGTGGATCACACCTGCAATCCCAGCACTTTGGGAGGCTGAGGCAGGTGGATTGCTTGAGCCCAGGAGTCCAAGAGTAGCCTGGGCAACATGCCAAAAACCCATCTCTACTAAAAATACAGGAATTAGCTGGGTGTGGTGGGACATGCCTGTCATCTCAGCTACTTGGGAGACTGAGGTGGGAGGATCACTTGAGCCTGGGAAGTGGAGGTGGCAGTGAGCCCTGATCATGCTACTGCACTCCAACCTGAGTGACAGAGTGAGACCCTGTCTCAAAGAAAGAAAAAGAAAAATGAACTATTGGATATCATGCTCAGTACCTGGGTGATAAGATCATTCGTAATCTGAACCTCAGCATCATGCAATACATCCAGGTAACAAAACTGCACATGTACCCACTGAATCTAAAATAAAATTGGAAGAAAAAAATAAAATAAAATGTAGTCAGTTATTTCTTAAAAAAAAGAAAAGGCAATCTGAGAGAGCACTGCCATTTCTTATTTGTTGATGAGAAAAAGGAGCCATAGAGCAGGTAAGTAACTAACCCAAAGGCATGCAAATAGTAACGTTCATCCTATGTCAGTCTATAACTCCAAAGTTCATGTCCTTTCTCCTATGCATAATACCCATTGTCATAGACCATTGTTTGTCTGTTATATTTAGTAAAGATATTTATTCTAGTTTATTATTGGTTTTCAAATTTTTGTTATTTTTTTAATTTATATACATAATTTAACATTTTTTATAGAATTAAATTTGGGAGAATTTTCCCCTTACTAATTTCTAGTGTTTCAAATTTAGAAAGTATTCTTCTCAGAGGTTTGTTAAATATTTATTTTTTTATTTCTCTATTCTGGTTAAAAAAATTAAGTGTTAAAACTATCTGAACTTTATTTTAGTGTGTAGTATAAAGCAAGAATATGATGTTCATTACCCAAACTATAGGAATCATTTCTTGATTAATCCTTTACTTTTTCAATAATTATTGATGAAGATGTATCTTCTTCAGATTAAAATCCTGGAAAAGTTACCTATCCAAACCACTTTTCGTAAATCTATCTTGGATAACTTCTTAAATCATTAGAGTTCATGCTATATTACTTAAGTTATAAAAGTTTTGCCTCTCTATGTGACACACACACACGCAATCTTAAATTCCAGAAGCAGAAATATTTGTTTTATATCTAAATTCAGATTTCATTACTTAGTTTTATTCCTAATTGTATCTTCCTTAGCCTATTTAAATAATGGGTAAACAAATATTTATTTTAAATGACTATAAGATGTGTATGCATATGTAAACTATGAAATGCAAAAAAAGAAAAATCAAACATGGCCCTTATCTTCAAAGAACATATTGCCTAACCGAGGAAAATATGAGATTCATGAAATATTAACTCAGAATAAAAGCAGTGTTTGAAATGCCAGGTTTTCTGACAGTATGCGCTACAGAAGTTCCAAAGGAAGGGTGATACCTGTGGGCTGGAGTAGACCAGGAAGCTTCAGGGAGAAGACGGGAGTTACCTGGGCACAGATGAATTGGTAGGAATTTGATAGCTGGAGATGAAGCAGTGGAAGTTATGCACTAGGAAGATAGAATGAGCCCAAATACGGAAGCAGATGTGTAAGTCATGTGGGTGTGGAGTACAAAGGGAAGATGTGCAAAGAAACAAGAAAGCCTGCACCAGAGACTCATGCTTTCAAGAACTTATTTCATTCTACAACCCAGAAAACACCCAAGATTGACCCACAGGAAGAAGGAAGAAACCTGTAAACATTAATAGCTTTAACTGTAAATTAGTACCCATTTTTTTTTTTTTTTTTTTTTTTTGAGACGGAGTCTCGCTCTGTCGCCCAGGCTGGAGTGCAGTGGCGGGATCTCGGCTCACTGCAAGCTCTGCCTCCCGGGTTCACGCCATTCTCCTGCCTCAGCCTCCCAAGTAGCTGGGACTACAGGCGCCCGCCACTACGCCCGGCTAATTTTTTGTATTTTTAGTAGAGACGGGGTTTCACCGTTTTAGCCGGGATGGTCTCGATCTCCTGACCTCGTGATCCGCCCGCCTCGGCCTCCCAAAGTGCTGGGATTACAGGCGTGAGCCACCGCGCCCGGCCTAGTACCCATTTTTTAAGTTGGGGGTTTGAGTGTATAACACAAGGGTCAGATGTTCAGACAGGATTAGCCTTCAGCCGTAGTGATTCCCATGGCTAACTTCACCTTCCAATTCCTCTCTATTGTCCGGATGTTTAATTAACTTTCTAACTCAGAAATTTTAGAATTTGAAATATTCTTTCATTAAGAGGAATCTTATTTCAGGAAAAAAAAGAAGTTTTGAAAAGTTAAATGTCTATCAATCATGCATATATTATTACAGGCTAGTTCTACCTCTGGACTGAGATCAGCTTCCCCATATGTGCAGGTTGGGGTGAGTTTATGTGAGTAAGTGAGTATATTAATCAAGGGTCCCCAGAGAAATAGAAATCAGAGACAGGGAAGAGTTGCAGTTCAAGTTCAAAGGCAGTCTGCTGGTGGAATTCCCTCTTCGTTTGAGGAGGTCAGTCTTTTTCTCATAAGGCCTTCAACCAATGGAATGAGGCTCACTCACATCATGGAGACTAACTTGCTTTTCTTAAGATCAACTGGTTTAAATGTTAACCTCATCTAAAAAATACCTTCACAGAAACATCTCCAAAAATGCTGGACCAAATATCTGGGTACTGTGCCTAACCAAGTTGATACATAAAATTAACCATCCCAATGAATAATATGTGAGACCTGGTGGTGGCAAGAGCCCACGTTAGCTCAGGTAACAGAGGTCTGGGAAGAGGAGCCCTGGGACATGCAAGAGGAGTTGACCCCATCGTGGCCTATTTCCAACATTTCTCAGAACCAAAGCTGCATCCAGGAACAGGGCAGAGGTGCTTTTCTTCCTTTTCTCTAGCCCTGGTTTCCTCCTAATTTTTGAGACTATTAGAACTAAGGCTGATTCTGTCATGACTACGATTAAGTACATTCTTAGGCCAACCAGCTTTTGATGGGCTTGCGCAGGGACCCAAACAGCATTCGTGACATGGCATTTCTAGGGGACAAGGCATTCAAAATTTCAAAATTCCAAATAACTGGCTGATAATGAGGGTTTAGACTAAAATCAGGTTTTCAGTTGGGGATATATATATATATACATATAAAGAGAGAGAGAGAGATGGAGTCTCTGTCACCCAGGCTGGAGTGCAGTGGCGTGATCTTGGCTCACTGCAACCTCCACCTCCCCGGTTCAAGCAATTCTCCCTACTCACCCTCCCGAGTAGCTGGGACTATAGGCACCTGCCACTACACCCAGCTAATTTTTGTATTTTCAGTAGAGACAGGGTTTCATCATGTTGGCCAGGCTGGTCTTGAACTCCTGACCTCAAGTGATCCTCCTGCCTTGGCCTCCCAAAGTGCTGGGATTACAGGCGTGAGCCACCATGCCCAGCCAGGACTCTATATTTTTATAAAGATGGTTTAGTGAGGTGCTTAGGGAAATAGCCCAGTTTAGGATCAGAACTGGCTTCAAATCCCTACAATTCTACTCCTAGCCCTGGACCTCAGAGAAGCCTCTGAACCTGTTTTCTCATTTTAAAGTGGTAATGCCCAGATCATAGACCTTTTTAGAAAATGAAGTCAGGAAAAGAAACTTAAAACATATAAAAAATAAGATGTTGTTGCTTTGGTCAGTCTAGAATTCAATGCTAGCTAAGCCTGTCTTGAACCGTACCAAAGGGATTTATTACTCACTAGTATTTTTATAGCATTTGCCTGTGATATAGTCTAGGGACTTGTCCCCACCTAAATCTCATGTTGAAATGAAATCCCCAATGTTGGAGATGGGGCTTGGTGGAAGGTGACTGGCAGGGTAGATTTCTCATGATTGGTTTAGCACCATCCCCTTGGTGCTGTCCTTGTAATAATGAGTGAGTTCTTGTGAGATCTGGTTGTTTAAAAGTGTGTGGCAACTCCCCTCTCCCTCTCTTGCTCCTTCTCTGGCCATGTGAGATGCTGGCTTTCCCCTTCACCTTCCACCATGATTTAAAACTCCCTGAGGTCTCTCCAGAAGCAGATGCCAGCACCATGCTTCCTGTAAAGCCTGCAAAACTGTGAGCCAATTAAACCTCTTTTCTTTATAAATTACTGTATCAGGTATTTCTTTATAGCAGTACAAGAACAGCCTAATACAGCCTGTAACATAAACAGTGCTAGTGAGTTAGTGCATTTGTGAAGTACTTATAAAAAAAGTTTTTTGATGCTCACGACAACCACTACATTGGCATTTCAATACTTGTCTGCAACACTAACCCAGAGCTCAACCATCTGTATTAAAGCAAGTCTCCATTTTTTTTAATAGTTACTGTCTGAAAAACACTACTGATTTTACAGAAAAAAAAGTCATTGAAACCAATTAATGAAATAATTTAAATACCAAGATCAACAACTTCTTTCTCTAGAAAGGTCCTTTCAGGGTTGGTGATGGAATTTCTCTTTCTTACTTATAACCAGGCCCATCTCAAAGGAGAAAAGTATCTGCCAGAGAAATAACCTTTGGAAAGAGTCAAATCTAAGAGCATCAGGATTCTTAGTTGTCTAAACCTTGGGTATCTAGAATAGTCAATTACCTAAACCAGCCCAATGCTCTGCCTTTCTCCTTTCGCTGTGCCCAAATGAACTAGCTCTCCAGGTCATAAGCTACCCCAAAGTAGTCAAAGCTTTTAGTCCTTCCTAGCCTAGAATTTAGGTACCTATTTGATTCTCTGTAACTTATTTTTATCCCAATCAGACTAATTTTACTTTAAAAGATTGATTTTTATTTGGACTTGTTCTTAGTGCTTCTTAATGGTTTTATCAATTGAGCTTTTATTTTATTTTACTTTATTTTATTTGAGACAGAGTCTTGCTCTGCCACCCAGGCTGGAGTGCAGTGGCTCACAGCAACCTCCCTCCACCTCCCAGGTTCAAGCGATTCTCATGCCTCAGCCTCCTGAGTAGCTGGGATCACAGGCACGCACCACCACACCCGGCTAATTTTTTGTATTTTGTATTTTTAGTAGAGACAGGGTTTCGCCATGTTGCTCAGGCTGGTTTCAAACTCCTGAGCTCAGGCAATCCTCCCGCCTCGGCCTCCCAACGTGCTAGGATTACAAGTGTGAGCCACCACGCCCGGCCAATTGAGCATTTTTTGCTATCTGTATTTGCTAGAGGTGAAATAACGTAACATCCTGCTTTGCCCAAAACAGTTCTGGTGTATGCCTATTGTCCTGGCATAATTACTAATAGCACCCTGTTCCACTTTTACCCAGTTTACTTGCTCTATAAACACTTTGTAAACAGATTATGTGAATCTGAATGGATCCTTTCAGGAATCAATTTTAGTATTTTGAGAATTTTGTTACCTTTTCCCCAGGTGCCTTCTGGTTTTTCTATTTGAAAACATTATTATTTAACTGTGATTATCAAAAGTATCGAACTTAGTTATCATTATGCATTTCACTTTGAATGTAAAGACATGGAACATAATTGATATCTACCTCTCTCTCTGTCACACACACACACACACACACACACAACCCTATCTCTATCAAGTAATGCACAGAGATTAAAACAATGAATACGTACCATAATGTCCTCACCTGTGAAATGTTTCTAGTATAGTGGGGAGACATAAAAAAAAAATCACACAACTATAACACAGCTGATGAGTGTCATAATAAGGATGAGCATAGGAGTGCTTTGGTAGTACATAAGAGAATAAAAATAACAGCAAGCACTTAATTATAAAAATTAAAGTCTTGGAAGTCTTAGTAGTATTTTTTTTCTTGCTTATATATAAACATAATGAGATAATTATCCGGTGAAATTTGCATAGTCTACTAAAACATCATATTAACATTAATTATCATAACATTAATACTCATAATTGGCGATGTGTCTTTTCCAAAGAAAAACTGTACTTCATAAATAAACATAAAATAAGCTTTAGTATATTACTTATATATGAGGTAGAAAAGTATAAATAACCATAATTTTTAAATGTTTTTCAATGTCATGCAATGATATTTATGATTAATATTTATATTTATGATTTTTAATAAATGAGCAAGGGACACCTGTAGACAGAAAAATGCTTCTTTGATAATCAGAGGATTGAGAATTTTTGAAGGGTAGATTACATGAGATCAAGTTTTATCAGAAACTTTATCAGATATCTATCCTGGAATATCTTCTTCAAATGTTGAGAGACTTTTTGTCCTTAAGGATTTCAAGCATTATTTTGTAAATGTGGCTGATTAAGAACATTGATGTACATTTCTCCTTTCTCCTAATAGGTAATGGTGCTCCAGTTTATTACAGAGAGTAAGACTTCCATCATGTAAAGCATTTTCAAACAGTATTGCACACATCTGGTGCATGTGACTGTGTTGGTGTAGACATGTGCCTCTGTGTATCAGAATCCAGGTGGTGGGTCAGACAGATGAGTTGCAGTCAGTAACTGGGGGACTCTTGTTTACTAGAAGCCTTAGCCCTATAGCTAAATTTAAGGGAGGAGACCACCCCTCATATTGTCTTATGCCCAATTTCTGCCTCCAAAGATAGAAAAAGTAAAAACTAAAAGGCAGAAATGAAATCCACAAGCAGACAGCCCGGCGCCACACCCTGGGCCTGGTAGTTAAAGATCGACCCCTGACCTAATCGGTTATGGTTATCTATAGATTACAGAAATTGTATAGAAAAGCACTGTGAAAATCCCTATCCTGTTTTGTTCCGACCTAATTATGGGTGCATGCAGCCCCCAGTCACGTACCCCCTGCTTACTCAATAGATCACGACCCTCTCACGTGCACCCCCTTAGAGTTGTGAGCCCTTAAAAGGGACAGGAATTGCTCACTCGGGGAGCTTGGCTCTTGGAGACAGGAGTCTTGCCAATGCCCCCAGCTGAATAAACCCCTTCCTTCTTTAACTCGGTGTCTGAGGAGTTTTGTCTGCGGCTCATCCTGCTACAAATTGACATACACTGGAGGCATCCACTATAGCTATAAAGGAAAGAACAAATTGTGAACATGTATCTGAGGGCAATTAGATCATAATATTTAGTGACATCATATTCAACTTATAAAATAGTGGGTGTGCAATTTGTTGATGTGCATATTATAAACATGTTGGTTGAAATGTGATTTTACTTTTAAAAATATTGAATTATACATATTAAATTCTCTGAAATAATGTTGATAAAGAAAATACAATACAATCACTCTGCCTCTGGAGATATTCAGAGATGTTCAACTGTTCAGAGGCAATGATAGATGAATATTTTATAGCCAGTAAGATAAACAGATGTGGTAGCTTTACTTTTCTTCAGAAAATGAGGGTGCCCAACAAGATCACAAGCTCCTTGAAGCAGAAACTTAACCAACCATCACTGCTGACACCTGAAGCGGGCGTCGAAATTTATTACGTCAATGACTTAGGGAAGTCCTAAGTTAGAATGGGAATCCTGGTGTTACCAGTTTCAAGATCGGTGTGAAAAAACCTTACACCTGGAGATGTGCAGTCATTTGCCTGCATCTACATAACTAGTTATGTGTGGAAAAGAGAAAGTAGAGCTTTGGATTCTGGCTTCCTACTGACATGAATTAAAATATTATTTCTTCTTTCCAGGAACTAGTGTGTTTCCTCTTACAGTATCTGAAATTGAGCTATCCTAAGATGCCAATTCAAGGATTTACTTTAAGAAGAGGTTCTCTGTTAATGTTGCATATGAAAAGAAATTACTTTAACACTCCAGAATGCTTCAAATGGCCCATTACCTAATATTTGAATATCGCCATCCTGCTAACTATTGCATAGCCTCAGTTTCCCCAAGTTTAAACTGTGGTGATATGAGTTGTTAGAAAAGAAAATTAATCCTGGATTTCAGGCAGTAAAAAATAGGGAGAGGAAAAGGATAAAAAACTTAGGTGGACTTTAGGTTTTCTTTCCTTGTTAATGCCACACTGCAGAAGTCAAAAGCTCTTTTAAAAAGGAAAAAGAGGGGAGAAGGAGAGAGTAAAGTATATTCAAATTAAGTAGCCAGTAATCTTGAGAGATCCTTAAAAAGCAGGTTTTATTAAAACCAAAAAACACAAAAACATGTTTTAAGCATAGGATCATACATAAGTAAAGAGGAGGAATTTGATTATTAGTAGCTGGTTAGAAATTCTCTGTTATTCCAAACTAAAAAAGTAGGAAATAGTTGCAGGCAAAGCAACTTATTGTAAGCTTGCCTATTATTGATAATTACAAGTTTACTTTCATTCTTCTGCTTTTGAGGATAAGGAGGTAAGAGACTGCAATCCTGTATCACTGTGGTGTTAATCCATGTGTTGTGGAAAAGTTAATCTCATACATATAAACTACAAAAAACTAGTTATATAACATTGGCTTTGGGTATTTTTTTTTCCTAATTAGTATATCATTCCATGCCAATTATTTTGTCCATTTTCACACAATTTAAAGTAATCTCCCATAAACTGGCTCATACATACAAACATTTTAGGAAAAGTTAGTCAAATATTGTTACCTAAAAATGACACTATAAAATACATGAGATTACTGATGTAACACGGCTTATCTGAGCCTTTACAATTAATTTTTTAAAATATCTCAACACAATAATTATAATGTAATTTTGATACTAAAATATTTAAACACAGTATTGCATATTTTAAATTTACTTTTATCACAGAACATATCTGATATGGAATTGTCTTCCAAAGATTGCATTTGGACAAATGAAGTGCCCCCCCTCACTTTTAGAATCTAGCTAGTAGGGGCATTTTTAAACATAAATTTTTAAAGGTGGTTTAGAAGTGAAAATGTATGAGAAAACTAATCAATAAGCCTATTAAAAATGGATAGAGAGATTAATATGAGTTCAAATTGTGTAATAACAGAAGAGAAACTTTAGAAAAGTAACAGTAAGTCGTTGTTTTTACAGAAACAGTTTAGGCATAGGCCAGCATCAATCAAGAATGGAACTGATTTTGATTTAGAACACCTAATGTTAGTAGAAAGTGTATTCTTAGACTAAAGCATTTAGGTTTTCTGGGAAGAGGGAAACAATGGCATGACATAAAGTCATTGAGGGGGAACAGATTCACATAAGACATGAAATAACTCAAAGACACGTTTTACTATAATAGCTGTTTGATGCAAGTAAATAAGAAAAATATAAATACAAACGTGGCTACAACTCAACAAATGCATGCCACTAATGGAAAACAAGATATTGAGTATTGCACATAATAGAGCTGTTTTCACTCTTTGAGGGTTTAAGTGTTAAAGTTAATTCAAGTCATTTTATTATTGGATGCTTACCTCGTTCAAATTCGTTGCCATATGAGGTTCAAAGACCCTGATACAATCCTAGAGCTGTGAGGATGGGTCTTTAAATGCCTTTCATTCATTCATTCATTCACTCAGCATTTATAGAACCCTACTATGCTAAGTAACGAGGATGCAAAGTAGGGTCAGATACACATTATTTAAGGAGTTTGCATTCTATTAAGGGATAAAAGACTACTAAATAACTTTATTAACAGGCAAAACGAGATTGTCATTGGAAAGGCACAAATGCAGTAAAGGAAGAGTTAAAAGGAGAGGTAGTTTTCTCCTTGAGATATTGGAGAAGGCCGGGTGAAGAGAGTGACATTTGAGCTAGATCATCAAGGATGCTTAGGATTTGATCTTGTAGAAACAGGAGGAAATTGCAGAAGAGAAAGCAAGAGTTAAGAGATGGGAAATTGCAACTGTTCTATCAAGCGGCTTTATCTGTGTACAAAAAATACTGGGAAACAAGGGAAGACATGCTAATGAAATTTTGAATCCATCACTTTCTTTAACTAAAAGATAAATTATTATTTGCAAAATAAACACATTTCAAAAGGAAGGATGGGCTCTCTGAAATGAATGTGAGCATTACTAATGCCAATGATGAGAAGGCATAGAGCACTGCTTTTGGAGCCTAGCACACCTTGGATTTTTATCTTCATTCTGCTTGTCAGTAGGGTGTGACCTGGGCATATCACTTGAAACCTCTGAGATTAAGCTTTTTCATCTGTAGATACATATTACATTCCAGAGTCCTTGTGAGCCCAGAGATAATGAAAATAATGTGCCCAAAATATAACTGGTGTTCTGAAAATGGTAGCTATCAATGTAATTCTGAATTAATTGGGATTCTTTTTATTGCAATAAAGAAACCAGCTCAAACTTCTGGGCTTATGTCTCTGAAAGGTCCAAGTGTAGATCTGAGCTTCTGGCAGAGTTGTGGACAACATCATGGCACACATGCTTCCCCTCCTTCTTGAACTTTCTCAGTTTCTTTCCTCTTAGTTGGCTTCATTCTCTTTCAGGTTCTTTTCATGTGATGGCAAAAATGGCCACTGGCAGTTCTAAGATGATAACCTACCAACTTAGAAACTCTAGCAGAAAAAGATCCCCCTTTCCCAACAGGTAGAGTAAAATTTCTGGTGACGTTGATCGTTGGTCCACTTTGAGTCTCTGCAGCCAGGCTGCAGGGGTAACGTCAGTGGTCAGATCCTGGGTCGCAGACACCAGAGAAGGCAGAGGTAGGGGTTTGCCCGAAAACTACATGGAATAAAAATTGGAAAGGAAGGTATGTCAAAGAAACTTTAGACAGAAAAGTACATGTCCACTATAGGCAGTGACACAGCTATTACTAGATTTTTAATTTCATCATAGGTCTGCCATTTCTACAGTGGAATTTAAGCAGGGTGTGGCACTTTGAATGCCTCGAGATGAAACTAACATAACGTCTGGCCTAAATAATAAGGAAATTTATTACTTATTATTAAGTCTCCAAGTAGAGCAGGCTTCAAAATAGTTTGATTCATTGGCTTAAAGATGTCATCAAGGGCCTGAGTTCTTCCATTTCTCTGCTCTGCCATCTTGGGGAGTCTTTCTTCCTCAAGTGGCATGGTGGCTGCAGCAGTTTTACATCTCACATCCAGACCAGACAATGTCCAGAGGCAGATGAGACACTACCTCTTCCTATGGCTCTCTGTTAGGAATAAAGACAAGTTTCTTAGAAGATTCCCCCCTCCCAGCATCCCTGACTCCAGCAAACTTCTCTCACATCTCATTGGACAGAATTGGGTTTCACAGTCATTTCTACACCAGTCCCTGACCTGGATAAGGGTAGTCGTTAAAAACGGAATGACAGTTGGGAAAGCAGCCCAATGTTTACCACAACCTTGTGTGTGGTCTATGAACTGAACGTGAGCAACAAGTTTCAGAAGCTTGGTTAAGTGAGCACTAACACACTTACACATAAAATGGAAGAATGAATCTCAGCGTCTATACGTGTAATCTTATTCTAGAGACTGTGTTTGTAATCTAGAAGTTGAAGCTCTTTCGAGTGTAATAAAAAAAGATAAAAATAGACTCTTCCTATCAAAGTACCATAGCAACATGCATTGTAGAATGTGTAATTATGCCATTTAATGTGTTGATGAGACTGTCTGCCAGCACCTCCCGAGCCTAGCAGACAATTTCTGCCACTTATCTGAAGAATGGTCTAACATTAAGTAGTGATTATTCACACTACAGAGAACTAATATCCCAACATAATACAGAGAATCTCCTAGCTATTTATTTAGAAAAATAAAAATGTCCCAAATTTATAGCAGATATCTCAAAGTGACACTGTAGCAGCTATTACACACTTGGCAGGAGGAAATGAAACCAGCCCCCCATCTTCTCCAGAGAAGTAGACCTAATGTGAGAGTAAATCAGATAGGAAACACACAACTCCATCTATCCTGTCTAAAAATTAGGATTAGTGGACTTTCCATTAACTCTCCTGACGACAGTTTCTAATTTCCCCAGTGAATCTGCCTGCCTCAAATGGCTCATGTGCTATTTATCCTCATCTGCATTTGCACTAAATTTCTGAATTCATGAATTATGATTTATTTAACTGGAAAGGGATTCTGTGGAGAGTTAAATTCATAAAACCAACCTGAGGCCTCTTTTTACTTCCTCAAAGCAGTATACATACTTTTAAATTCAAAAAAGTTTCTCTTTATTTTAGCCAGGGCTGGGCGGCAACCAAATGGAAGTTGGTACACTCAGTTATTCAATTATATGACTTCCTAATTTCTTCCTGTAGCATATATAAATGCGGACATTCAACAATGTGAGTTTAATTTGTTCCATATGTGCATGTCTTAAATTCTTGAGATGTAAATGTTTTACACAAGAGCATTATAGATTTATACATTTGGAAAAAAATATCTTATTTTAATAAGCACTTAGTGAATTTCCTACTATATGCTAGGCATATAAAGCATTTCCTACTATATGCTAGACATAAAAATAAGGACAGTTTCTGGCACCTCAAAATCTTGAGAATTGAGAGAAAACTACACAATTATAGACCAGTGTCATCTCTATTGTGGTAGAGATGGTAGCTATGGCAGCGAGAAGCACAGCATGGTATTACAGAGAAAGGGCACCAATGCAGTCTTTGAATACTATCTGGGAAGCAGATCTGAGATGACAACACTTGAGCACACATGGCACTTGTATTAGCTTCCTGTGGCTGTCATAACAAAGTACCACAAACTGAGTGGCTTAAAATAACAGAAATATATTCTCTCACAGTTCTGGAGCTTAAAAGTCTGAAGTCAAAATGTTAGCAGGGCCAATCTCCACTGAAGGCTCTAGGAAGAAATCCTCCCCTGCCTCTTCCTCACCTCTGGTAGCTACTGGCAATCCTTTGTGTCCTTTGCCTTGTAGCTGCATCACTCTCATCTCTGCCCCCATTGTCACATAGACTTCTTCCCTGTGTGTTTCTGGTCACCAAATCTCAGCCTCCTTGTAAAGACACCAGTCATTGGATTTAGAGCCTGCCATAATCCTGTATGACTTCATCTTAACTTGATCAATTTTTGATCACATCTGAAAATATTTCCAAATAAGGTTATATTCATAGGTACCTGGGGTTAGGATTTCAACATATCTTTTTTTTTTTTAAGTGAAAGCAAGTTTATCAGAGAAGTAAAGAAACAAAAGAATGGCTACTCCATAGGCAGAGCAGCCTTCAGCATATCTTTTGGGGGGATACAATTAAACCCACGAGTACTGTAGAGAGAATAGGAGTTAGCATGGCAAAGAAGAGGATAAATATGTCCATGTACAAAGACACAGCATGGGAGGGGGTTTGGATGTATAATGAGTGAAAACAGGTCAGGCTTGTGGGCACCCAGTAACCTTCATCTGTCACACATTCTCCTCCTTAACTACAATTATGCTTTATTTGTCCTTCACAGTTTCTCTTCAGGGACTTGGTAGGCTATGGTTACTGGCTGGATAGGTTATTGACTGATTAACCTGATTCTTTGGTAATAGAATCTTAAAATAGGTGCTAGTGGATTAATGTATTCACATCTCTGAGGTGATTTTTGCATCTTTTTACAGTATTTTCTTGTCTGTTTCAAGGAACTAAAATGTACATGTAATTATATAACAGACAGAGGCAAAGAAAATTTGCTAAGAAATTGCCATTGTGTTTCTTAAATCATTTCCTTTGCCAATCATTCCTCCTACCCCAATACTCCTTCTCAGAGATTCTGCCCTAAAAACTCTTGCTAAATGGGCAGCCAGCCTTAGGAGTCAGCCCAGTGGATACCTAACCCAAATGGAACTAGTCAGATTCTCTCTTAGAAGGATTTGGATTTGGGACTCAGAGGCATGGCCATGCAGAGACTCAGTGAGTCTATAGCAGCCTTAGAATTGGAAATGATGCAAAGCTGGGGCTGGTAGCCATGTTTGCCCTGTGCATTTCAAAATATGAAAAAGCCAGTCTATAGAGAGTAAAATGAGTGGGAACCTTGAAACAAACAAAGATGAGAGACTATGTGGTCCGGAGAGACAAAGATTTTCCGGAGGTGGTTCCATTCTTTTGTGAGATCAGACTGTTCTCCTTGCATTTGAGTCTTTAGGCACCCCCTCCATCCCCAGTTCATCTTAAGCTCAGCAAGTTTCTGCCTCTTGTAACCAAATAATCCTCAAATAAAACAATCTGGAACCTCTTTATATGCCTGTGTCGATAACTGGCTGTGAATAGGCTCCTTATCTTGAAATGAGCTGTACTCCAGTTATCCTCCTCATTTTCTTCCTGCAGTTCTCATCTCCCAGTTCTCATTCCCCAGTTCTCCCGCTCCAGTTCTCATCCTCCCGTCCTCCGCCCCCCAGTTCTCCTCTGCCAGTTCTTGTCCTTCACTTCTTGTCCTCTTCTTCTGGAATGTCAACTCTCCTCAGCTGCGGACCATCAAGCTTTCTTTTACACATCATGTCATCTCTCCGCCATTGTGTGGAAATATTAATTCACTTGTGAAAGCATTCTACCTGACCTAGAAGCAAGAACTTTCCACTTGTATAAAGATCTCCATAGGAGAGTTGAATATATCAGTATTAGAAGTATTATGTATA
The DNA here is from genome assembly GCF_000001405.40 of Homo sapiens. Classification (NCBI taxonomy): domain Eukaryota; kingdom Metazoa; phylum Chordata; class Mammalia; order Primates; family Hominidae; genus Homo; species Homo sapiens. The sequence continues at coordinate 82,439,275 of NC_000006.12, read as the reverse complement.
TACTTTTATTTCTTCCCAGAAAACAATCCTTTTTATTATTGTAATGAGAAATCACTTTGATGGCCTAAACTGATGACTTTAGAGTGAGTTATTGGCCTAGTTTATACCTTCCTTAAATGAAGCTTGTAAGATTAATTGCAACCTTGAATGTTACTATATTGAAGAACATTCACTTGGCTTTGGCCTTCTAGAAATATGACATGAGCCATGTCCTACAAACTTAAACCTAAAAGGAAACATGATGAAGTGGTAAATATACAGCATCTAAAAGATAAGTAATTTATAAAGAAATCTGTGCATGGTTATTGGGGCTTCTCACTTGAGACAAGAACATTTGGATGATGTAAAGGACAAATTGAGTTTGCTCTGACAGAACTGGCTGTCTTCTGTCTCAGAACTGCAGCAGGGTGGGTAAAGTAAATTATAGTTAAAATCTATCTGACAAAACTACATTTTATGCTGAGGATTCAGTGTGATTAAACTGTCATCCCATGAAGAAGAGTTCACGTCCAAAATATCTTTTAATTTGCAGCATATTGTCCGCTTTCAGATTCTTTTATCTCCTCTTAAACATCCTTCTCTGAATTTGTAGGTCTGAAAGCCCAGTTTGACTCATTACAGACTGGTTCCTTGAGGGAGTCCAGTATGGGTTAGGGTGGACCTAACTGGACATCTCTTTTTCATGCCCCTCTATCACCTCACTTCCTCTGTTCAGTCTTCAAATAGCTGGATCTGTTCCCAATCCCTTTGGGGTTGGATGTAAGAAGTAGCAAGGGAAGACACATTAGTTGACCCCATGGTAGTTTTCATTCCCTCCTGACCTATAAGGGATTAAGCTAGATAACCCCAGACATCTATAATTGCTTTAGGAAGCATCTGAGCTGGCTCTAATACTTGTGATTTGACTGGAACCTTAGTTCTGTATCTGAGTGATAACTCTTCCCTTGGACTAAATCTACCTCCATCGCATGCCAAAGATACAAACAAAAGTAGGGAAACTTCATGAGAATAAATGATGGTATTATTGCTCATGTGAATTCTCATCTTTATTCCCAAGAATTAGCACATAGCAGACACTCAGTAGTGTTTATTAGATTTTCAAATGATTTTTCTACAGGCCCTTGTGACTGTGCTCACCTTCTTCTCTGACCACTCCTGAACATGGTTGCCTTTCAGATTCCTTTCACAGCATTCTGAACTTGATCTGCATGGCTTCCAGCTCTACCCAGTCTCTAGTCCTGACTGCTCCTGTTTCCTTAGCTAAGGAGTCCCTGCTGTAGCTATGGCTTCACTGAGTCCCATCCAAGCTAAAAGAGATCCCTGAAGCTGATTTCTCACAAGGCTTTGAATTGCAAGCAGCTTAGTTCATGCATATTTTGTGATTTGGGTTTAAGATAAAATTAGATCCAGCATTCAGGCTCAGGGATGGAGAATCACAGCAGATGGTTATTCTATTCTATTTATTTTCATGCTGTTCTTCCATTCTGAATTGATTAGACTGATGTAGTAACCAAGAACAGAAATCAACCATATGATGGAAAAGTATGCAAAAGAATCAATCTTTTTAATTCTTCTTCTGAGAAGTATACATTTTGGGAAAATTATAATAGGAGTTAATGCATATTGAAGACTTACTACGTTAAGGCACTATACTAAATGCTTTACTACAACGTTCTCCCCTGTAATTCTCAAAACAGCCCAATAAATTAGGTACTATATTATCACTCTCCAGTTCTACATATTTAAAAGGTGAGGCTCAGAGATTAAGTAATTTACCCACAGCCTCACCAGCTGCCTTGGACAACCTCAGGAGTGTGTTCCAACTGAGGTCTAGGAAAGTGGCTCTACACTTTCACTTACATAAAGTAGTGTTGGTCCCTAATCCAGAGGGTGCCATTCATATAGATTCTGATGTGAATGTGTTCCTAGAGTTGAACAAAGTAGCTGCCCTGTCCATAGAAGCAAGGAGTAAAATCAGAGCTTGAACCTAGGTCTGCTTGACTTCCAAACCCACCAAGCAACACTGAGATAAACATTTGGGTTTTAGAAATATGATTTTCCTTTCATCAAGCAATTAGTAGAATAAGTAGGTGGGGTGTAGGGCGTATTATATTACAGTTGCAGGTATTTGCCATTTTTTCTGTGCAACACTTAACACAAAGGATTCCAGATCTTTTGGAGCAGAGCCATTTCAGGATTAATGACACTTAGTGGGGTAAACATGTCTTTAACCACATTGTAGGACAGAGGAGATCAGTGTATACATCCAAAAAATTGTCAATAAGTGAATTTGGCCTTATATTTGTATAGGATATATAAGGGTAACACATTTCCCCCCTGAAGAAAACAATGACATCATGCATTTTTTTTTTTTTTTTTTTGAGATGGAGTCTCCCTCTGTCACCCAGGCTGGAGTGTGGTGGTGCCATCTTGGCCCACTGCAACCTCCGCCTCCTAGGTTTAAGAGATTCTCCTGCCTCAGCCTATTTTTTTTTTTTTTTTTTTTTTGTATTTTTAGTAGAGACGAGGTTTCACCATGTTGGCCAGGCTGGTCTCGAACTCTTGACCTCAGGTAATCTGCCCGCCTTGGCCTTCCAAAGTGCTGGGATTACAGGCATGAGCCACTGAGCCTGGCCAACATCATGCATTTTTAAAATCTGATGTTATTAAGATAAAATTATAATCAGAAGGAATCTTAATGCAAAAGAAGAGAACAATTTAATAAGCTATGATGTATCTACTCAATGGAATTGTATGTTATCACCATGTAAAATATATGCATATGAAAAATGACTGGAAGTGATAGTTGCTAAATTAGAGTATGTGATTTATTTTGTTGTTGTCTCTGCTTTCTATTGTTTCTATTGCTATGTGTTGTAATGCTTTCTGTAATGTAACTGTCTACAATTTTTAAAAAGTAAAGCAAAAATGTATTTTATGTATGAGAGAAATATAATTTAACTTTAGACATCTGTTTAGCAGCCCAATTTTTCTCTAAAAACAAGAAAAAATATCCGGTTAGAACTGTTCATTACATAGACTCGCCCTACACTCCTGCAGTTTTAAACAATCTAGGCAATATAACAGCCAGCTCTTCTAAAGATCACTGCCTTCATAAGCACATTGTAAATCATAAATTATTGTAATTTATGAAATGCAGTAGAACAGTGAAACTATGTTTGCCTTCCCAAACATCCATCAGGAAGAATATTGGTAATTAGTTTGTATTCAATTTGTAATTTGATTGTTTAAACTGGCGCTTTGTTCAACGTTTGTTTTTTGTTCTGTTTTGTTAACTACCACTTTGCAAATATTTTATTCTAGAATCACAGCCCATCATGTTCTAAAACAAATTGAATTGCCAAGAAATACACCTCGGTTTTAGTCTGTTCAGGCTGCTATAACAAAATACCACAAACTGCATGGTGGCTTATAAACAACAAAATTCATTTCTCACAGTTCTGGAGGCCAGAGAGTCCAAGAGCAGAGAACCAGCAGATTCAGTGTCTGGTGAGGACCCGTTTCCTGGTTCATAGATGGCGTCTTCTCCCTGTGTCCTCACATGGTGGAAGGAGCAAGGCAGCTATCTGGGGTCTCTTTTATAAGGCAGTAGTCCCATTTTCAAGGGCAGAGTCCTCATGACCTAACCACCCCCCAAAAGGGCTTACCTCCTAATATTATTACTGGGTCGGTGTTGGGGGTGGGATTTCAACATATGAATTTTGAAGGAACATAAACATTCAGGCCATAGCACCTCATAACAAAGTTGACCACTTTTAAGACTCACATTAAAAGAAAAAAGAAAAATTCTCTCTTCTTTTGTGATGATTGGCTTTGGTGCTGAACACTTTATATTTTTGATCAGGGATTTTTAGACCAAAAAACCTGAGTCATAAAAGTAGTGAGCCCAGGGCAAAATAAATCAGTTTTGGCCCCATAAGTAGTATATCAGCTTCTCCTTTCTATTCCTTTTTGGGTGCTTTTCATGCAAAAAAGTGTTACTGGCAAATAGCAAGAGCCTACTGAAGTAAAATGTTTGTCTTCTTTTGGCTTCAAAGACACCTTCAAAGGTAGAGGTGGGAGAGAGCAGAAAATGAGAACATTACAACAAGGGTACAGCTGAAGGTGAAATATTAATGTCATTTTCAGGATTACCATTATTGTCACCTTTATTTGGATTGCCCTAAATGTGGCTAGAGTACAGGTGCAGAAATGACTTAGGACCTGAAGTCAGGAGCCTGGGTTTGAGATCAGACTCCCTTGCTTTCCAACTCTGTGACATGGGATTATTTTACTCAAGTCTTTATCTCTATAACAGAGTTTTATTTCTCAGATGAAATTAAAATATGAAAGTATTTTGTAAAGCACTGACTGTCCCTTCCCTTCCTGCACTTTATTTTAGTACATAGTGGCCTGTTTCAGTTCACTGTGCCTTTTCCAAGCAGTTTTCCCAGGTGTCCTGTCTTACTGTCATTCTCCAGGCCCTCAGACTCCTGCCTTTGGGTCCCCTTGGGTCTGGCATCCAGTCAGTGCATGTTCCTCTGATTCAGAGCTCATTTACCATTTTATTACTAGCTTTGCACATGCACCTGATTTAGGTGTCTACCTTGCACCCCATAGACTTCTCTTCCAGGCTCATGCCTGGCCCTGTGGGATCATTCTTTCTCTTCCAATCATGCTATTCCCACCAGTGAAGGGACATATGAACAGTACCAGGTGGGGAGTTCAAGAAGAGCAAGTTTATAAGGAGAGGAGAATGAAAAATATTCAAACAGGGTTAGGATATGTTGAGTGAGAAATGCCTGTGGGACACCCAGGTAGAAATATTTAGGAGGCTGCTGGAGCTAGAAATACAGGTTAAGAAATCCTAACTCTGTTTGTGACAGCTGAAGCCCAGAGTATGGCTGAGATTGCCCAGGGAGTGTGTCAAATGAGAAGAGGAAGAAGAGCATAAGGGAGATGCCAAGTAAAGTAGGACCAAAATGTGTTCACTGGATTGATTCTGCAAGGTCATGAGCAATCTTTGCAAGAGCAATTTCCAAGAAGTACAGTAGATGCAGGCAGATTGCAGTGGGAATCAATACATTAGGGAAAGGAGGTGTCTTTATAATCAGTTGCCTGCAGGTACCTGTGGGTTTTATGTGCCAGCCAGTTATAGCGTCAGGGGTGGGAAAACTGCACATGCTCTTCACTGAAAATGAAAAGATGATGGTGTCAGGACTCTGGATATTTGGAGACATTTGCCTTGAGAGTTGAAGGAAATTTATAATACCTGCATTATTTGTTTAAACTCTAAGGGATAGCAAACCTATTTCAGATACAGTGATTTTTTTTCTACCTATCTGTAAGATTCAAATAATTTGAATGAAGAAAAGCTTTATGGGACTATTTACTTTGAATTTATCATTTATCAGGAAATGGGAAAATCCTAACTTTGTCGTGGTTTTTATAAAAGAGTGGTGGTGTATGTATGTGTAAGGGATGGCATAGGTAGGCAGTGAAGACACAGAGAGGGTAAGTATAGATACTGGCTAGCTCTTTTGTGTCCAGTGAGAATGCTGATAATATGGCATTTCCAAAGCAATGGAAATGTATTGTATTCCCAAAAGAGATGGGGATACACAGCCGAATCTGCCATATTACCTGAAAATATCTCCAACTGAGTTAGAGAGTTGGGTCACTATGACTCTGTCTCTGGGTAATCCATTGATGAAAAGGAGGGCCCAGTGCTGCATTACCATTAGGAACTGGTTGGAGGGGAGATTATGGCAAGAGAATGTGTTGGAAATAAGTTCATGCAGTCAGTAGGTATCTCTTTTCCTGTATCTTGATGCAGTTTCCCTTAGTCATCTCTCTTGGAAATCATCAAAATAATGACACTGATTTATAATATTTAACAGTTCAGGAGCTCCACATCCCATAGTTGGCATTTCTTGCTAACTGAAAAGGGAGAACTTGGGGGTTGAAGGTAGAACCTGGGTTTCCTATAACAAAATGCATTTCTTAAGGCATAATAAGAGGTTCATTCTTTTCAAGACTCTGGGTATTAAACATTCCAATGTTCTATTTAGGGGTTCAGTGAGAATAATTATTGAAATCTCTCCTGTGAGGAAAGTATAATAAAGAAGTTTCCAGTTTTTGCAGTGTCGCCAAATAAGGTTTGCTAAACAATGTATGTGTATTTATAAGGGACCAATATAAATTCTTAATTAAGTTGTATAATGGAGTCATCGTTAATCTTTATCCTAGCTCAAAGGATTTGAAGTTGCTTCACCTAAATGTTTTTTGTTGTTGTTCTGTGGGTGTTCTGAAATGTTGAGGAAAGCTACCCACTCAGAGAAGGTCTCATAAAGCCTAGGGGCACAGATAAGCAACCGTCCTGGTACCTGGCCTCTGCAGAGGTGCTTGCTGATGACATATCAATGAAAGGAGCAACAAACAAGATCCCTGGGTGTAGATTGCCCATGCATGTAAGAAGCATGACCCATGCTGGCAAGGCTGTAGACAGCCAGGTCAGGGCTTGCAAGGCCAATGATGGCCACGCTTGCAGGAATGAAGGATGGTGCTCAGCTCCCTTCCCATTTGTGAACATTTGAACACTGCCCCTCATGGTGTCCTTGGTGGCTTTCATGCCATATGTGAGGTGCAGGAGTCCTGGCAAGGTCACCCATGAGGCCTTCTACCTATACATTTTCACAGTCCTTTCTTCTATAGAGTGTTGCAGCTCTCTACTTCTTCCCCACGCTCCACCTCAGCCTGAGGGAATATTTTCTAGCCTGGGACAAATCCTCCTCTTTTCTGCCTGCATTTTGAACGGAGATACAAATTTCTGTTCTTTTAAGTCTCTTGTGAAAAAAAGAAATCCTTCTTACCATCAAACCCAGAGCTTTAATTAATCAGAAGCCAGTTCTCCTTTTCATAGAGGGCAAAGACAGTTTAAACTTTAAGCCCTTCCAGAACAGTCAAGATAGAGGGGAAAAACAAAATAGCTAATTGCCGTATTAAAGCAGCTTGTTAATATCCTGCCTACGTAGCAAAAATCTATGTTGTGTGTTTTGTCAGAGTTTAAGCCTATGGAAGACCCAAGCCAACATATTACTTAGGAAAAAATAGACATATCACTGGAAAATGTACATAAACTGATTGGTTTTGCGCAGGCAAACATGCAGGTTATGAATTCGGCATTTGCAGGTTATAAATTCAGCATTTCCCTTCATAATTCACAGGCAGGCATCGTAATGGTTTTCTTTCTTTCTTTTCTTTTCTTTTTTGTAGATTTGAGTTAAAGGCCTCTATTTGACTCACCCCTGTTGTCATTTTACATCAAAATGTTAAAATGCCAGATTTGGGGTAACTAAGCCATGGTATACCTGTTTCATTCACAAAGGAGTCTAAAGGTTTTTGCAGAAGGATCAAATACTATTTAGACTAAACTATAAAAAGTAAGTGCTTGATGGAAGAGACCTCATCCTGGTGTCCCACCTGCTTTAATATTGATTCAATAGCAACCTTCATCTTTAATATTTAAAAAGTCAACATTTGATTTTGATAGTAGAGTGGCCTGGAGCCTGGTGCGCCTTCTCTCTGGGGTGTGCTCTGCTTGCAACTGACATGCTTTCCTCTCATAGGTCAATCCATAAGTTTTGTTTTTGGCAGGCAACAAAGAAGAAAGAAATAACACATTTCACTTTCACTGTGTCAAGAATTCTTATCAAGAGTGTTTTCACATTGTTGAGCAAAATAAAAAGAATACCACTTTTTAAAACTCACAGAACTGGATTTCCATCTGAACACTCTGGCTGTTTGATATTTCTTTTCTCCTCTCTGCCCCTTCCACTTCCCACCAAAACACTTTTTCCAGGTATATCCATACTTCACTTAAATCTTAATTTATCAGTCAGGCTTTCTTTCATCACCCTAGGGCCAGGTGAGGAGATAATTTAGGAGGCTACTGAAGAAGCACTGAGGAGATGGATCAGGATAACCTGACCAGGGTGACAGCAGTAGAGATAGGGAAGTGGAAAGAATCAAGTTACATAAACATTTGCTTGAATGAATGAAAATGTTTCCATTTGTTTAGTATTTACTATGTGTCAGACATGGTACCAGGTGCTTTATATGTATAACCTCAATTACCCTTAAAATAATCTTAAGAAATAGCTATGGTACCTCCATTGTAAAAAGGAGGAGACTGACCCTTGTGGAGGTTCCATAACATGACACGAGTAATACTTAATTGTTGGGGCAGGAATTTGGATTCAGGTCTGTTTGACCCAAGCAAGATAAAAAGAGAGAGTGCAAAAGATAAATATCTATATCTATAGATATAGATATAGGTCTGTCTATATCTGTGATGGTTAATTCTGTGACAACTTGAGGTTGTTTTGGATAAAATTAACATTTAAATTGGTGAACTTTGGGTAAAGCAGATTGTCTTCCATAATGTGGGTGGGCCTCATCCAATCAGCTGAAGGCTTTTAGTAGAATAAAAAGATCAGCTTCCTTGAACAAGAGGGAATTCTGCAGAAGACTGCTTTGGACTTTATCTGCTACATAGTTTCTCCTGGGTCTCCAGCCTTGGATTTGGATTTGCTAGCCTGTATAACTGCATGAACCAAATCCTTATAACAAATCAATCTCTCTGTCTCTCTCCACACACACACACACACACACACACACACACACACACACACACACTCACACACATTCTATTGGTTCTATTTTTCTGGAACCCTTGTTAATAAAATAAATTTATCTAGAAGAGAGAGAAATGAGCAATTGAGAGAACTATGACAAAGGGATGATTGTGACATTGAGATTATGGATCACCAACCATGGGAACAACTCATGTAATAAAGTAGGAAAGAAAATAAACAATTAAAATGTTTATCTTAGTTTGACTATGTTCTTTTCTGAATAGAGATGATTTTTAGTTTTTAGCATAGCCCTCCTATATGGTAAATTAGTTAGACACCTTACACACACACACACACACACACACACATAAATATATAATATTACATATATATGTCTGGGTGATGTGTGTATATGTGTGCGTGTGTGTATATATAGAGAGAGATATATAAATACGTGTGTGTATATATATATGTGTGTGTATGTATATATGGCAAATGCCACACACATGTAATAATCTTGGCCAAGAATACCCATTTGAATCTATAAGGGAGATAAACACTTGGAAGCTTTGCTGCCCTCCATTACTTCTAGGGTGACTTGGAATGAGCTTGGGAGTTCAACCCAGGAGGACTAGTGATAGGTATTTCTCTACTCCAGACAGAGCCATGGCAGAGGGAACATTTTCTTATTTTGCAACAAGCAATATCTTTGTTGCAGTGACAGAGACAGCAAGATGCCTCCCACTAAGAACCCGGGGGATGAGCCCGTGAAGGCCCAGTCAGTTAGGCAAAACAAGAACAGAGTGAACAACAAAAATGCATTTCAGCTCTTCTAGCTCAAGTGGCTCCAGCTTTAAGATGAGACGAAAGGGACTCAATAAAAGGATATTAAAAGACTGAAAATGTCATGGTGACATTATCTTTTGGAAATACCAGACCATCAGTTAAAGTGCTGCTTCCTAATAGTACAGTTTCCAAGATTTGTAGCTGGAATTTGTCAGTTATCTATTGCAGTTCTCAGAAGATGCTTTGCTGGAAATTTTGTGGGGAGAAACTCCTCCCCTACCCCAATTCAGCAGGAATTATAGCTAATTGTGCATTCTATGTACATCCTAGCACAATTTGTGGTGCTTGTAGATGGGAGTAAATCAGGGGCATGTGACAACTAATTGCATTTAGTTACAGAAAGAAGTTTTAGAGTAAAAACACATGTGCCTAAAGCATCATGTTTTCTATGAAGAGTATCATTAATTTTTATAGAACTACAGAGCATACTTGAAATAGCAAAGATTTTTCTTTCTTTTTTAGAGATTTATAAGAACTTCATCCATAGTGTAAATTCTCTAGCTGCATCCAGAGTATGAAAATACAGGTATATTTTTGCTAAATGGTATAGGTGTCTTCCAGCAAATTCAGCTTAAAAGCTAATCTCATTTCTCTTTGATATCCTTTAAAAGTTAGAGATGATTTCCCAAAGGCGCAAAATCTTCTAACAATCTAAGCTGCAAACTTTTAGTAAAACAGTGGATAGCCCAGTGGCATAATGGAATTTGGGATGCATTCACTGTTTTGTTGATAGATTATTAACTCCAATTCTGAGACTCAGTTTTTTGAGTATTTTAAACCTTTTATCCAATATACTTTCTTCCTTCTATTTAATTCACTTTCTCCAATACATACAATATTTTCCCTAATTACCATTGTCAACCTTATTGTTATTATTTTCATGTTATTATTTATTTGACAAAGAGTTGTTGCTAGACAAATACTGGTAGGATACTGCTGGACACTAAAGGAAGGTAGATAAACAATCAGTACTACCCGCCAGGCGATCTCAGTCTCCAATAGTAATATTTAACTTCTAATTCATACTGAAATCTGTATAGCACTTCACAGTTTAAAAAACATATTCATATAAATGATCTCTTTTAAACTTTCGACAACCTCTTGCACAGTAGGTACGTTAAGTATTTTTATGTCTCTGAAACTCAGAGAAGTAAAATGACTCGCCCAGTCTTTGCCCATGTCCTTAAGCGGGCATGCTGCTTCAAATCTTGCACTCTTTTTACTACCCTATGCCAAGCTTAGAAAACATTAAAAAAAAAACAGTACTTCATATTTCTCTTTTGGTCTAGTCTATGTCTGATACAGCAATCATTCATACCATCTACAACCAGTAGTTGCTACTATACCTAAAATATAAAGGTTCTCAACCACGTCATGACTTCTGCTACATTGTAGCCAGTTAAATTGGACGCAAGAAAAGTATGATGACAATAAAATGAAACAGATTTTAGTTTTTTTCTACAACTCAGTGTTTCAACATTCTCTCCATAGTGAAAAAAGAGATGGAGTTGCAGCAAAAGAAAGAATTTTATATAAACCTACCAAGAAGATGAATGATAATGCCTTCTCTTAATTTACTGTAGCAAAATGAGTGTTGGGACCATCATATTAAATGTTAATTTTACCCTTACATCTCTCAGATTTTAGAATGCAAATAATATAAAATGAATTCATTTCCTACTTGCTCAATGTGGAGAAAATTAAGGTTGTCTCAACAACATCCACTCTACCTGTCCCCAATTTTGTGGTCAAGATGAGTTTAGATGGGATTGATCTCTCCACCCACCCTTGCAAACATGGGCTTTGGTAACCTTAATCAATCAGGGAATGACAAGCTCTGGCTAGTGTGATTGATTAAGGATCATTCAGTTAAACCAAAGGTCAGGACTCTTGTCTAATTGCTTGTGGCAAAAAGATTCTTACTTTTCCAGTTTCTCTGCCCCTTTCTCTGCAACCCACAGCTGATATGGATGAGAAAACCCACAGCTGATATGGATGAGAAAGTATAAAAGACATTGGTGTTGGAAGCTGTAATAAAACCATGCAGGTAGCCAGTCACAGAATGCCAATAGAGCAGGGCAGATCTGTAAAAACTTGCAAAAAAATAGGGCCCGGAGTCCTTCTGGACTGCCTGAAGTTCACCCACCCTCTGGACTTTTCTGTTTCTATGTAAATAAATTGCTCGATTATTTAAGCCCCTATTATCGGATTTTGTTATTTGCGACACATAGTATCCTCACTGAAACAATCCATTCAGAATATGTATTAATAGTTAGGAATGGAGAATGTTGGGACTGAATATCATCGACAAATTTTAACTAGGAAAAGACAAAATATTTCTGTACATTCATTTTTGAACAATCAAATACAAAGGATACAGAAATTATTTATGAACCTTCGAAAATAAAAATTACAAGAGGATTTTAACTAGGTCCAGCTTCCTGAAAAACTAAAAAGATCATCTCTAAGATAATGAGAGTCTACCCAGTAGGAGGCTTTATTGCTCAGCATTAGCACTTCAATCCCACTGAAAAATGAATGCTTAGGTCCATCTCAGTAGCCTAATCACTGTACAAATTGGTGTACTTATGAAGTGATTGATTTTCTGCCACCTTTGGGATAATATTCTGCAACAGCTATTCACAAACTCATGCCCTTGCACACAATGTTTAGCTTTCTTACAAAGAGAGCCACTCATTAGGTTAAGTAAGAATTACTGTTTTCCTGAAAACTATCATTATATTAAAATTTTGATCATGGATAGGCAGGCCCTTGATTAAAAATTCAATAAATGGGCCAGGCACAGTGGCTCACGACTGTAATCCCAGCACTTTGGGAGACCAAGGTGGGCGGATCACCTGAGGTCAGGAGTTTGAGGAGACCAGCCTGGCCAACATAGTGAAACCCCATCTCTACTAAAACTACAAAAATTAGCTGGGAGTGGTGGTGTGTGCCTGTAATCCCAGCTACTCAGGAGGCTGAGGCAGGAGAATCACTTGAACTCGGGAGGCAGAGGTTGCAGTGAGCTGAGATTGTGCCACTACACTCCAGCCTGAGCGACATAGTGAGACTTCATCTCGAAAAAAAAAAAATTGAGAAATGTACAAATCACCCAAGTGATATTCAAGCTCACTCTATTGGTAAAGCAGAAATGATTCTAATAAATTAAGAAAATCTAAGTTTAATCCAAAACCATCTTTTAGCTTATAAAAGGAGTGAAAACAATGACTCTATCAGTGAATACATTGCAAATAGTGTTTTGATGGCCTGCCAGGTCATACGATTAATTGGGAGGGTCACTAGGCCATTGTCTATTCAAAATATCTCTACAGGCTTTGAATGATGCAACTATAAGAAAAACAAAATTCATATCACACCTTGCACCCCCCAACTTTATCAACTCAGAAATGGACTTGCTGTGTGTACCACTGCTGCCTCTGTATCTTGAAGCATAGAGATATAAGAATAGAGACATCCTCTGAAGAAAAGCCATTCACCTCCTACTCTTTATTCATTATAGTTTCTCTATATGAAAAAAAAAATACATCTTAAACTGCATATATAAGCAAGAATTTCTGAATGTAAATAATTCCCATAGTATGCATAAACCAACTGATATTTTACTGTGGTCTAAACTAATGCATCAAATTTTGGTACTTGAATCATATACATTTAAATATATATAAATAACTTAAAGGTAATATTTCAAATACAATTAAGTTTTATCTGTTTATAAGAACTTATTTCTGTTTAGTAAGATTTCTTTTTTTTTTTTTTTTTGAGACAGACTCTTGCTGCTGCCCAAGCTGGAGTGCTGAGGCTTCTGCCTCAGCCTCCTGAGTAGCTGGGATTATGGGTGTGCACCACCATGCCTGGCTAATTTTCATATTTTCAGTAAAGACAGGGTTTCGCCATGTTGGCCAGGCTGGTCTCGAGCTCCTGACCTCAAGTAGTCCACCTGCCTCAGCCTCCCAAAGTGCTGGGACCACAGGTGTGAGCCACCGTGCCTGGCTTGTTTAGTGAGATTTCTTATTGTTGTTATTATTATATAGATTTGAAATTGACCTTTAATAAGTCTTAAGGTCTTTGGGCCTCAGCTTTTTCATCTGTTAAAATGAAATGTTTAGAATGATGATCACTAAGATTATTTTCAATCGAAAAGAACAAAGGTAATAACAATAGCATCAACAACAAAGCCCCAATCTCAATGATTCTACCAAACACAGTGGTGGGATGTATAAAGACTGGGCTTCAGTCTTACTGCAACCACATTCAGTAGCTCTATGATTATTAATAAGCTGAAATAGATTGAACGGCCAAGATTTTAATTCTTCTAGGTATTTTAGGAGTTAATTCAAGACCAGCAGAATCCCTCCTCCTTCAGAGACAAGAACCACAAAGGGATCCCATTTCTCCTAACTATTCCTTTAGTTGATGATGGCAGGTCTATCCAAATGGTGGGGTTAAGGGGTTAAGGAAGAAAGCATTCCAAAAAGAGAAATGGAAACTCATTTGTTGGGTTAGAAGCAGTCTATTTATAGCCTCAGGCATTGCCACCAAATTGAAACCATCCAGAGACTGTGGTGGGCTTTTTGTTGTTGCTGTTGTTTGTTTTTTGACTGAGGAATTATTTACATTTCAGAGCAATTAAGTGGAAACTTGACTTTGAAGCAGTAACAAAAGCAAAATGGATACTGATTTCTGAATGAATTGTTGCATTTCCTTTAGCTACAAAGCCTCAGTGCTCAGTCACGGAGGGGAGGGGGAAAGAGGGGTTGATTGCTTTAACTGAATTTGCCTTTCATACAGGGTCATTTTGATACTCAATTTTTATGTTCCTCCAAGTTTGTGTATTTTGGTTGTTTGACGATTATTCTACTATCTTCCTAAATAGTACCATAAGAAATTTCATCTTGCAGAAGAAACTTAAAGCACAGAATACACTTTACATCAAAAAAATCTAATATAGCCAGTTTTATAAAAGTAGAATGGTATTATTTGTTCATTCGACAAGTATTTATTGAGTACAACTCTGTGCCAAGCATAGTGACAGGCATGGGAGACAAAAATGAACAATATAGACTAGGTCCCAATTCACATGGAATTTACAATCTAATAGGAAAGACCAGAGAATTAAGCAAGCAATTCCATGACAGTCTGACTGAGAGGTGTTATAATAGTCAATGACGAGTGCTGCAGGAGCACAAATACGGCATCTCTATCCAAATCTTAAATCAGGAAGGCTTCCTGGAAAAAGTGGTATCTAAGCTACAGAGTCTGATTATTTGATATCTGAGTTAAAAGCAATTTGTTTGTAATAACAAATAACTCACAAACTTAATAAAGATAATGAGTTCCTACTATGTGCCAGGAACTGTTTTATATACTTCACAGGTTTTGTTTCATTTAATTCTCATGAAACATCTTCAAGATAAATATTATTATTCCTATTATAAGAAGGAGGTTTAGAGAGACTAGATAACTTTTCCAATAGTATATGGCTAATAAGTAGTAAAACCAGGATTATAATACTAGTCTGTTTGACTTTAAAATCCATGGTAGTTCCAACATGTCTAGCTAAAAGAAAACTCTAATCTAAAATATGGGGAAAAAATTTAAAATAGACAAACTTTAACATAGTATGATGGTTACCACTGGAAAACATTACCATGACTTATTTTTAAAGATGGTGGGCTGACCACAAATACTTGTATCCTCTCTTTCCAGAGACTATGTTTAAATATTAATTAAGAGGCTGGACATGGTGGTTCTTGCCTGTAACCCTGGGACTTTGGGAGGCCAAGGTGGGAGAATCATTTGAGGACAGGAGTTTGAGGCCAGCCTGTGCAACATAGCAAGACTCATCTCTACAAAAAAATTTAAAAATTAGCCAGGTGTGGTGGTGCATGCCTGTAGTCTCAGCTACTCAGAAGGCTAAGACAGGATTCCTTTAAGCTCAGGAGTTTAAAGCTGCGGTGAGCTATGATCACACCACTGCACTCCAGCCTGAGCAGCAGAGACTCTGCCTCAAACAAACAAACAAAAGCAGTAGGGCGTGGGGTGGAATACTAGTAACGAAAAAAGTCTCTAGAAATCTACAATAATAGAAAGAACTTCTATTCTTTTTGTTTCTGGAGAACAAAAGGAGAAGGAATAATGATAGCTGATGAAGTAGGAGAAAGTTGAAACCTTATTAAATGTAGAAAAGAATGACTAAGAAGGAGCACATTTGCCTCCTAGAACTTGGGAGAGGTTCAAGAGTGGAGCAGGAATGAGAGTGGAAACATGGAAGTGAAGCCTAGAACTTGATATAATGGGTTGATTGTGTATTTGGAACAACTGGACAAACCCTTCTGATATAGAGAGCACCTGTAATCAGGAATTGCACTCCCAAGCAGAAGACTGAATGTATTTTCCTTGGAGCAGCTGAGTGGCTCTGGAGACAAGACATTCCAGCAGCCCCTAATGCAAGAGCTGGCTCTCTGTCTGATCCACCTAAAGCAAAAGCTGACTGTCAACAAGCTACATAGGTTTTGGTGATCACTTGTAAATATGAGGAATCAACCCAAACTCAGACATTTGAGAAAAGCCTCTAACATAAACAAACAGTGGGGAAAACAAACAAATAAAAGAAAAATCCAAAAAAGAGACTAAAAAGGCCCAGGAAAAAATAGAGACAGTTCACAGAACAGAAAAGGAATTTCAAAAGAGAAAACACAAACATTAGCATCCTTTGAGATATAAGAGTAGTTATTGCCTACATATAACTAAATCATCTAACATAATAAGAAAGTTAATGAATGATGTCTAAAACTGATAAATAAAAGAATGGCCAGATAGCATTTTATTTGGGGATTTGGGAATAGCTGCCAAAAGCAGCAAATTAAAAAGCTCTAGATAGTTGTCTCTAGGAAACTGGGCTGGAGAGTCAGAGGGCGTGGAACCTGAGATTATTATTTTGTCATTATAAGGATTTTGATGCTATTTGAATTTTTTAGCTATATTCAGGTTACTAACAGAAAAGTTTATAAAAGGAAAAATATTATGTACCAAATCATTTGTCAAGAAATCAACATAAGTTTCTGTTTAAATTTATTAAATGTCCCTGGTCCTACCATTCAGAATAAGAATCAATGACAATAACACATCATCAATAAACAATTTCATTTCCTTGTACACCATCCCATTGTTATGGGATCATGTAGCTCTTTTATTTATTTTTTGATTCAGATATATACTTTTGTAGCTACCACCCTCTCAGGCCCTATGTCCACCTCTTTGCCTCAGCTACTAAGAAACTAGAGAATAGTCCCAGGTGGACTTGATCAGGTGTTATCCAAAGATGCCCACAACTGTGCATTAACTGTTATAGTTTATTGATAGCAAAATATCATGCATTAAGAAGGCCTTTTAGGATTTACTTTACCTCTTCTTTCTATTGGCACTGCAAATCCCCCAAAAGCTGCCCCAGAAATGTCTTGGCACTAACTTTGTTGGATACCATCAAATTGACCTTAAAATATGTAATTTAAATAGACAATTCCAATTTTTCTAAAAATGAGTAAATTATAAAAAGATGAATGCCCTAGAACAGTGCTGTCAAATAGAAATTTCTGTGACGATGGAAACATTTCCATACCTATGGCAACCAATAGCTACATGTGGATGTTGAACAGTTGAAATATGGTGTGACTGAGGAATTGAATTTTAAATTTTATTCTAATTTGATTAATTTAAAAGCCTTACGAAGTCATTGTTCATATGCATGCTTGTACAGTAAATACTATTGTAAAAAGATAGTTGGTCCTAAGGAAAAGCAATTTACATTTGCCAACAGGCCTTATTTTAGAAAATTATTGTCATTTATCTTTGTATCAATAGGAGTTCATTGATGGCCACGGGGTAATTCATGATGGGTACCTTGAGTATTTCCTAAAGACAAGTGAACAATAGTGACAGTAAGAAGTGAAATGGACTTGATGTGATAATTACACAGTTCAAGGTAAGAAGTTGTTGACATATAAAAAGTTTGATTTATTGTGGGGAGTTCGGGAGGCTGAAAATTGCCTATTCTATCACCCACTCAGAGCCTGGAAGCTAAGTAGTGAGTTAACTACTTGGGCCTAAAATTCCCATTTTACAGATTGCATTCCTATTGTTCTCTTCAATAATAATCTTATGTATGGAGAAAATTGTGCTCTAGACAGTAAAATATTGTGTCTGTTGTTGTGGGTGACAAGAACAAGAAAAGGATTTTGTCTGGACCCTGAGCTGGTATGGCAGGTATCATGAAGGGAAGGGACTCTAGATTTCTAATTTTTGATTAGCTTACCTGAAGGGTTTGAGAAAGTTCAATAGGCACTCCTGGTGAAGGACTGGGGAAAGCTACAGGTGATTACATACCATAGATCTACATCCATATTCATTTAGCCTCATGTGTTTAGAAGACACCTCCAGGCCAGATGTGATGGCTTGTACCTGTAATCCCAGCTACTCAGGAGGCTGAGGCAGGAAGATCCCTCAAGCCCAGGAGTTCGAGGCTGCAATGAGCTATGCTCATGCCACTGCACTCCAGCCTGGGTGACAGAGCAAGACCCAGTCTCCTAAATTAAATTAAACTAAAACAAGTCATCTCTATTTTCTTCTGAGTATAACATTTACAGTAATATAAAAACACAGTTTGACTACAATGAGATATCACTTACTACCCATTAGGATGGCTACTATCAAAATACCCCAAAAATAACAAGTGTTGCCAAGGATGTGGAAAAATTAGAACACTAGTGTACTACTGGTAGGAATGTAAAATGGTATGGCCTCTGTGGAAAATATATGGTGGTTCCTCAAAAAATTAAAAATAGAATTACCATATGATCCAGCAATTCCACTTCTGGATATATAACCCAAAGAATTCAAAACAGGTTCTTGAAGATATATTTGTACTTCCATGTTCATAGCAGCATTATTCATAAAAGTTAAAATGTGGAAGCAACCCAGGTGTCCACTGGCAGATAAATGGATAAGCAAAATGTGATATATACATCAATAGAATACTGTTCAGCCTTAAAAAGAGAATACTATTCAGCCTTAAAAAGAAAGAAACTTGGCCGGGCGAGGTGGCTCATGCCTGTAATCCCAGCACTTTGGGAGGCCAAGCAGGTGGATTACTTGAGGTCAGGAGTTCGAAACCAGCCTGGCCAGCATAGTGAATCCTGTCTCTACTAAAAATACAAAAAATTAGGTGGGCGTAGTGGCATGCACTTGTAATCCCAGCTATTTGGGAGGCTAAGGCAGGAGAATCACTTGAACCCATCAGAGTGGAGCTTGCAGTGAACCGAGATCCTGCCACTGTACTCCCACCCGGGTGACAGAGTGAGACTCCGTCTTAAAAAAAAAAAAAAAAAAAGAAAAAAGACATATTTATTCTACTATGTATCATATCACCCACCTCATCATCATTACTATTATTTTCATATTATGAATCATAAAACATTTCATATAGTATGAAAACAGGGATTTTTTAGGTCTCTTGATGACTGTTGTATCCTCAGTGCCTAGAACAATGTCTGGCATATGGTAGGCATCCCATAAATATATGTTGAATAAATGAGCAAACTAAAGATAGTGTCTCCTTTTAAAGAAAGTGTCTCCTTTAAAGTGTCTCCTTTGATGTTTCTGTTTTGGCAGGGAGTAAGCAAACAAGGAGACAAACATGAGCTTGGCTAGACAACTGAAAACTCATTACTTTGTGACTCAATTCAGCCTATCCTATTTCGTAGGCATCTGAGTCTGGTTGTAGTTTGCTCAAAAATGTGTGTGCTTGTTGTGTGCAGAGGGATTTTTTTAATCTACCAGCATAAAACCTCAAATGACATCTCTTCATTTTAGGACTAGGAGCCAAACCAAGTTAAAGATGGAAAGAAATTAATAACTTTAACATCTGAAAGCAAAAGAGTTCATATCTGAGAGACATAAAAAAGTTCTGAGGTCACTTTTTCTCCTTTACCTTCCTTTTTCATTGCTGGAGGTGCTCTGCTTGGTTAACAAGTGGAATTTATCAAGGTGGATTTGACATTGTACATGATTTCCACTGTGTATAACTCAGCAGTGGAGGGAGGGAGGTGATGGGTAGTTTTTCTACTTAGCTTAGGAGAATGTCCCATTTGTCATCTGCAATACTTTAGTGGCTTTCCTCTGGAAGTGTATTCTGCAGATGGGGCAATGAGATTCATGACAGGCTTTAGGAGAGTGTTGCCAGCAAGAATTACCCAAACTATATCCTCCGGGGACTGAACATAAGCTCATGTCTGCAAGAAATAAAATCCTGGAGTGACTGGGCCCACCAAAGAGTGAACCACATGAGGAGATCTGAGTGAAATAACAGTTGGTGTGAAAATACTTCCATTCTGCTGAGGTTAAGTCTGAACTGATAGGTTCTCTCAGTTAGAATGTGAACAAGAGCTGTTTCGGTTTTGCAGCAGACCTTAAAAAAGTAAATGGACAAGAGATAAAAGGAAATCTTAAAAAGCCAGTTCCCGAGCACAGTAACTATGCACTTCTGAGAACTAAAACTCAACCCAATTATTGGTCTATTGGCTATACAAAGACAAAACCTTCAAGATTTGACTAATTTGGATGCCTTCATAAGGTAACAGTTTCTGAGATCACTGTAGAAAGAACCAGCAGAGATCTTGCTTGCTATAAAAATAGGCTTGAGTGGGGGCTTTCAAAAAGATTAGAAGCAAGTTAAAATCTGTTGCCCTTTTTCTGTTATTCATGGCTGATATTTGATAGATAAGTTTATTCCAGCCAACAACAGGCCCAACCTTATTAAAACAGGCCCAATCCTTGTGGCAATTTTTTTCCCCTATGGCATAGCCCAATAATTTGCATTTTAAAAATGTGTTTGTTTTTGTTAAAAATTGTAACTATGAAATAAAACACATGTAGCAAAGTGTTGCATTTTACATATTTCAGAAAGTTCCTTCATGCCCCTCCCAGTCATAATCACTATTCTGATTTTCTTCGTGAAATATTAGTTTTGCTTGCTCTTGAATTTGCATTTTTAATAAACACTCCAAGGAATTCTTATGTACATTGAAATCTGGGAAACACTGACCTGAAGCTTTGAATATAAAGCAAAACAGAAATCTTTGATTGGGCCCTTTAAATAAAACAAAGCACAAAATCCATGTGTTTGGATTGATCTATAGTGGGGTGATCACAAATCAATATTTTCCATTTCATCATGAAGGCCCTGCAAGAAAATAAAATACAGCTTTGTGCCTGGACTAATATTGATGTCAAATATCAGAGAGGTTCACCTGAAGCCAGATGCCTACAAATTTCTATTATCATAAATAGACCATGATGCTTCCTGGACTCAGAGTAAACCTTCTTTTGCGTAGGCAGGAAATTCACATTCAAGTCATATATTCTCTCTGTCAGCTGTGGTATATTTTCCTTATTCATTCTAGATCTGTCATTTTCAGTCTTATAGGTAAACTTTATGGTTTACTGTACTGTAATTTTAATATGGAATGCAATTTTACCAGGTTGTAGGAGGTAGTACACCTTTCAATTAATCCAAATAAAGCTGTACATATTAAAATTGGAACTCTCCATATCCGTTTTATGGTTCATACAATTTTATTTTTGTTTAATAAAGAAAATAATATTTTGATGTACTTTGGCCATCTTTCCCTATCCTTTGAGCGGTATCTTATAATACCACGTGATTCTTCCAGGACATTGTCAGGAGTCCTTTTCGAATTTCTGGACTAGCTTTTGATTACCTGTTTGCCTGATAATCTATTTACTTCTTCTCAACTCACAGTGACTACTCAATGCATTTAAGTCTTCCTTGGAACTTTCGAGTGATCTAAATCAACGTTTTTCAAATTAGATGGACTTTTGAACAAGGCTACATACATTAAGTTCTTTTATCTCCCATTGTGAGTTGCAACAGACCCAGCCACTCTCAAGAACGTCTATACAGTAATGGCCTTTGATACTGTTTGTCAATGCTTATAAGTGATTATCTAAATATTTTCATTACTTGTGGTCTCCATCACCATATTTTTACAAGGAGGCACAGCTTCCATGGATATAGAGGACAGAGTTAAAAAGAATCATCAAATCATCTCAAAGAAAAGTTCACTCCAACGCTGATTCCAACAGAATCCTTGTGATACATGCAAATGCTTTAAGTCAGGCCATGGAATCTATGCTATTCTAATGACAGACTGAAAATTCTGCACCAACAATTTATATTTCTTTCCTTCTTGCCAATTAAATCCTATAAAGCAAAACTGTGATTTATGAGTGTGGAATTTCTAATGCTAAAACTTATACACATATACGTATCTGGTACCTATAGATCTATATAGATATTTCTATTCACTTTTAAAAAGACTACTTTACATTATGGTGCAGCAAGTGAACTCATTTTGCTATTAGTTACACCAGCACAAGGCTAAGATGAGAAAAATTAGTATCAACAACTTTCCCAGAAACTAAAACTGGCTTTATGTTTTCAAATACAAGAATAATATAGGTACATTATAAAATATAGGAAATATGGAAAAGTAGAAATAATAAAAAAGTGTATTTATCCACTCATGAACAGCAACTGATGTCATTATGATCCATTTCCTTCTATGTTTTTTCTCCCTGCGCCTTTGGCCTGGTTGTGATCATTTGGCAATCTGCTAATTTCATTTGCTATTTTACCATGATACTCTCCATTTTACCAAGGTGCTTCAAAACATGATTAATTACATATTTTATTGTGTTAATATAACGTAGTTGAATTTACCATTTGTCTTCCTTTGAGCGTTCAGCCTGTTTCAAACTTTTTATTGCTATAAGTAAAACTACGATGAACATCTTTATTCATAAGGCTTCTATTTTTTCTGATTATTTCCTATACTGGATACCATGAAAAATTCTTGCAGGTCAAAGAGAATGATCAACTTAAGAGTGTATATTGCCAGTTTTTCCCCTAAAGAGTTACATCAAACAACACATTTGCCAGGAGCACATCCTTTTTGTTTCTATTATTGATTGAACCCTTAAAACCCAACCTTAGCAAGCTCCTGTCTAGAATCCTTATACAGGAAATTGGTTACACTCTCCTCACTGTCCAGGCTCACCTAACAAAGAAACTAGATGGAGAAAAAAAATAGAGGAAAAATAAAGGAGAAAAGTAAAAAGAGGAAGTAAAAGCAGAGAGAAAGGAGTGAGGGAGAAAGGCATGCAGGACGGCAGGAAGAATGGACTTTTATAAAGGAAACTGAATCTGCAAGTTTTCCCCACGAAGATAGAGTTTACACAAAGTAGTTCTTCTCAACCTTTTCTGCCAGTTCAGGACCAGGGATTTATTTGTCAAAAAAAGAGGTTTCAACTCCTCTTCTTCCTAAATAGCACTGTTCCCTCCTTAACCCTAAGCTTATAAAAACAAAAACACTTAAAATTAGCCCATTTTCTCCTTTTGCCAGGGTACATGAGTTTTCATTGCATCATCTCACTTGATTCTCCAGTTATTATGAGGTAGATATGATTACCCCAAGTCTACACATGAATAAACAAACTCAGAGAAGTTAAGCGGGTTCTCCTGTGTCCATCTGTAAATAGTAGGACCAGCTCTCCCATCCAGGTTTTGTAACTTTAATTTTACTCTGCTCCAAAATTTCTATGGCTTCCTGGTTTCTATTCACTTATCTGATTTCTCATGCTGGTATTGCCCTGGCATTCTTGGATTTTTGCCTGGGCTTTGTTTTTCTAGTCTGGGCTTCTTGTCTAGTTCCAACTGGTTCACATTGCTACTGCCTACTTCCCAACCTGCCAATTTGCCAACTTTGTATTATTGAAGAATGTGTTCATTTAAGAAAATTCCTTTCAGTATATTTTAGACAATGAAAAAACTTTATTAGAATTTCAAATATTTCCCCCTAAATGTAACCACTGGCTTCCTGTTCACTTATAGGTCTGACCTATTCCTCCACCAAGAGTTTCTAGTGTACCTACACCACCATGTTGGGTAAAGAAGAGTGGTTCTTCTTTGATGCCCTGTAAATTCTCCACACTGATCCAGTTGCTATACCATTGTAGAAAAAACTGCTAATTGCTTCCCGGATGTCCTGTTCTTCATGGACACATAGTTAGATTACATTTCCCATATAACTGAGTTCTGGCTGTTGGGATGTGAGTGAAAGTCATAAGTGCCACTTCCAGGCCTGGAAAAGTCTATTCTTCATATTTGTTTTCTTTTCACTGGCTTGAAGCAGACTTTTGAAGCCACATGTTGAAAATGACAGAGTCACAGATGAAAAGGATCTGAATTCCTGCTGAAAAGAGAGCCAGCCGTCAATGAGAAAAACCCATTTTAGACCTTATACAAGCAAGAAATTGCCCTCTTTTTTGTTTCATTATACATTTGGGGGTTTATATGTTTCACCAATTAGCCTACCCTAGCTAGCATAGCCATGAACATCTCTGTATAAGAATATTGCTAATTAAGGGGTGCCTCTTTGGTGTTGTGATTTGACTATAAAGCAGAATTAAATACACTCACACGTGAGAATTTTCAAAAAAGTTTGTGTATGTAAATGTGCATATTTGCGTGTGTGCATGTGTGTGCGTGGTTTTTAAAAACCAGTGCCATACAGTTCCTGGAAAGCTTTTAATCTATAAAGCAATGCCCTATATTTCTGCTTTGCCTTTTAAAAATGGCATGTAGGTTGCAGTGCACTTAACAGAATCTTATCCCAGGGTTGGAGGGGTGCAGAGTCTTGGAAGAGTAGAGTCTCATCACCCAATCCACAGAAGCACTTCTAGGGCAATCCCAACCACCTGCCAGAAAACCCACAGAGTCACCCACCAGGTAGGACGGCTAAGGAAGAATGGCCCCACAACCCCTCCCACTGCTGCTCCTCCAGCAGCAGAGTGTCATGAGCCTGACAAAGCATTCTTCAGGCTGCTGGAGATGTGATGAAGGATTAATCGAGAGGCTTTTGATGACTTATGAGATGTCTGTAGGACTTAGAAGAATGTGAGAAACACACAGTGACTTCCAGTGTCCACGTCCAGCAAACTAGAAGACTGGGCTGGGGGATGGGGTGGGGGCATTAACAGAAATAAAGAAGTTGGAAGGCAGAGGCGTTTGTTCTGAGAGGAAGACAATGTGTTCCACTTTGGTGCTGTTGATCTTGGGGCCAGCAGCCACTCCTGTTTCAGGCAGTCAGTAAGTGTCCTTTTCTCTCCTCTTTAGGCCATCCATCCTCTGTTATCTGTCCTTGGCCAAAATCCCTTATCTCTGCTTTTGATGAGTGTTTAGCACATCACTGAGTGATCCTGCATGCATTTCTAAGTATGGATACCCTTTTGGCGATGCTTTGCCAGTAACTGAAACTAAAAATAATAATAATAATAAAAAGCAAAGGAAAAGCAGCCAAGTATTATATATCCATATCTTATTTAATCCCATCCTCTTTAAAAAAATTTTTTTATAGATTCAATCAACTATCTGCCTGGTTCTTAGGCTGAAGCATAGTCTATACCATTTCTTCTATCATGCTTAGGCCGTGATACATTTTTGGGTTTATTTGTTTTATGAGTTAGCCTGCCTTATGTAGGACAATCATGAACATTTCTGCATAGCAACATTGATTAAAGAACAACTAACAGGTCTAAGTTGATAATTGAGATATTCACTAAAGTAATTGCATCATCATTTCAGCTGAGTTGTGGGCAGGAAAAAAACCCTCCTGATTCTAGATAAATAAAAAATTTCACTTAAAAAGTAATTTTTGTTTCTTAGGTTACAGCTCTAAATATTCTTGAAACATCTCAACTCTGAGCTTTTCTCCAGCAGCCTTTGCCTTGATCCACTCCCAGGTTCGTACCCTAAGGCATCATCACCTGAAACAGCTTCAATATCCTACTATGATCACAGTCCTTATCCTTCCAAAAATCTCACTCCATTGCTCCTGACATATTTTATCTTTGAACTCATGAAAGTTGCCAATGTGCTGTGATCACAGGTCATCCTCCATTCCCCTGCACCAGCCTGGGACCCCTCTCTCTCCCAGTTTCTTCTGATCCAGCCTAGACTTGGTGGCACATTGTTTCAGCACATTTCTTCTCAGAATCAATGCCTCTGCTCAAGCCCTGCTAATTGAGGACCTTTCTCAGATCTATGCCCCTATGGCCAGACTCTCGCAAACTAATGCAGAAATTCATGCTAAAAATATACTGCCTCTCACCTCAGCCAAGCTCCCTGGGCCACTGAGCCACCGAGCCACCGAGCCACCTTTTGGTTGATGAGCTGTCTTTCCCATTCCCTTCAGTGGCTGTTCCTAACCTCCAACACTCTCCCTAGACACCATATCCCATCCTGAAACTCTTCTCCCTCAGCAGATGATATTTCTCATATTTCATAGGGAAAAAAATGGTGTCTTTTAGGAGAGGACTTTCTCACACTCCTTTCCCCACACAGACAGATGTGTCTATAACTGCTCCATTTTTTCCTCATGTCCTGCAGAAAGAAACTATTACCTAAGACTGGTCCCTCCATCTATTCTTCTCCCAATTACTCAAGGTCTCTCCATTGTCATTATCTCTTCTCTTGCTTACATCATCAATTTTCTCTCAACTGGATCCTCCCCTCAGCTTCCTTCATTTTCAAGTTTCTCCCATAAAAAAGAAGCTACCCTTGATATATTCTTACTCTTTCTCGTCTCAATCAAGTAAAAGTTGTTTGTGCTTTCTATCTCCACATCCTGCTATTAATCCCTCAGTCTTTTGCAGTTTGCATCTACTTTAACTATACTATTGAAATTACTATTGCTAAGATAATTTCAATAATCTCCAAGTTTCTCAATTTAAAGACCAGTTTCTCATTCTCTTCCTTGACCTCCCTGCAGTAGCTGAGGCTCCTGACCACTCTCACCCTCTTCAAATGATCTCTCCTGGAGTCTAGAATAACAGCCTCCTTTGTTTCTCTTACCTCTCTGATCAGTCTTTTTGAGCCTGCTTCCTGGACTCTTCTTCCTACCCATGTTAAAAAAAAATGTTTTAAAACCAAACAATACCAACAACAAGAAGAATTCTACATTTGGTCCCCTTCTCCTCTCCCTCTTTGTACTCTTAACTGTCACTTGGTCACAGATCTGACTTCCACTGCCAATGCTCCAGCTCAGGGGGGTGTGAATATACTGTTGGATTGGGAACTGGTCACCCTTAGAATAAAATCCTTACTCCTCAATATGATTCCAAGCTCCTTAATGACCTGGCCTCTGAGGACCTCTCCACCATCCTCTGACCTCTCCCCTCTTTATGTCATAAGTGCCAGGAAAAAAAGATGAACGGAAGTAGCTACTGTTTACGGGACATTTGTCATGTACAGTACAGGTGAGTGGCTAAGAGCTAACTTAGAAGCCAGGAAACCTAAGTTCAGATCCTGGTCTGGCAGTTTGTAGCTATGGGACCATGAGCTCATTAAAAAGATCCCTTTGTGCTCTGCTTCCTCATTTGCAAAACAGAAATGATAATAGTAGCTACCTCATAGAGCACTATGAATATCTGTAAAATGATTAGAATTGTAGCTGGCGTGTAGCATGTATATCAAACAAACATTACTGGCCACATGGTCATTATGTCAGGTAATTTGCAAACAATGGTTTATCTCCAGGATTGAATGACATTATGAGTACCACATTCCTAAGGTAGATGCCAGAGACTTGCTTTGCCTCACCTCTCTTGCAGATAGGCATGTGATAAAGACACAGTGCAAGACTTTGATTCTAAAGAGAGCAAAGTGTAGATGCAGGCATTGTGTAGAATCCATTTTTTGATGAGAATAGACAGTGGAGGTTCTGGTGGTTAATGCCCAGTGTTAGCCATACACAGCATGGTGTCTGTGCCCAGAGATGGCAATGGTGCTTTTGCTGAAGCAGCCCTGGGGTACAGTCCAGGCATTTTATCTGGCTGGGTACCCTCATAGCCCAACCCCCCAGAGACTCTGTGATCTCTGTGGACTATCCAGAATATCCTTTAATGACTGACTTTCCTGCTTAAACTAAATATGGTGGGACCTAGTGTTGGCAACTAATAACCCTGGTTGTTCTTTTGAGTAATAAGTTCATCAATATATGTTTATTTTTAAATGGTTCCTGTTGTTTCTAAAACAAACAAAGTGCTACAACAGAAAGTTGCCTGTTGGCTCGGATGTTCTCTGCATTACTGGGGACTGGAGTTCTGCCACCTCTATTGCTCAGATTCCCTTGTCAGGTGTCTGCAGAGTAGTCTTGTCAATGGGAGGCAATGGCAGGAGATGTAAGGTGGCATAAAGGGATAAGCCACTTTTCTTTTCCTTCTCTGTTTCTGACCTTGTCCTAGGCGGTAACAACAGCAGTAGGTATGTGTGAGGTCCAGGCTTCTTGCTCTAGAAGCATGGTTTCAGAGGTGACGGAAGCAGTGCACACTCTGGCAGCCTTGGATCTCATTCCAACAACAGCTGTGGTGGGCGCAGGTAACTCTTGAGTTTCTTGACTCCTGGCTTTCCGCAAGGTAGTAGCTGTTGTGGTTCCAATGGGCCCACAGCATGGGTGGATACTCCAGTAACCCTAGTTACAGTGAGTGTGGACTCTGAGTAACAGCATTCTCCCCTTTACTTCCAGGCTTATGTGCTAGTGACTTCATATTGTCATCAATCTCTGGGTAACTGCACCACCTTCTTTTTTGCATCTCCAGCCTTTCCGACATTTTGTAACCAATTTGCCATATTAAGTAACTTCTGTTTAAAATACCTAGAGGGGCTTCTGTCTCCATGACTGACATAAGAACCAAAGAATATACTTTTTTTTCTGAATTCTCAGGAACATTGTTATTTGTGATTATACTTCCTCAAGGAAAAATTGTTTTTAAAGTAATATTTGAATAATCATTCATTGAACGGGAATGCTAGCTCTATACTACGTAAATAATTCATATATGATTTATGAAGCTTAAAAGCTTTGATTTCATCAGATAATGATGGTTGAAGACAGACTATCTGGGTTCAAAACTTGGCTTTAGCACTTGCTTGTGTGAACTTGAGTAAGTCATCGAATTTCTCTCTACGTTTTCATCTATAATATGGAGCTAACTTTAGTGTCTAGTTGCATAATTGCTCTGACAATGAAATGTGTCAATATATGTAAGCTTCTCAGGACAGTCCCTGGCATATTGCAATCACTCAGTAAATGTTAGGTGTGCTGTTATTGTTATTGCTGTGGTTTAGATATGCTGTGTTTGTTCCCATCAAAACTCACATTGAAATTTGATCCCCAATGTGGCAGTGTCGGGAGGTGGGGCCTAGGGGAAGTGTTTTAGTCTTGGGGGTGGGTCTCTCATAAATAGCTTGGTGCTGTTCTTGCAGTAGTGAGTGAGTTCTTGCTCTGGCAAGACTGGATTAGGTCTCATGGGACTAGATTAGTTCCTGTAAGACTGAGCTGTTAGGAAGCCAGGATGCCCCTTGGGTTTTGTCTCTTCAAATGTGTCGGTTTCCCCTGTGACCTTCACCATGTTGTGACGCATCAGGAAAGCCCTCACCAGATGTCAGGGCCATACTCTTGAACTTCTCAGCCTGCAGAACTGTGAACTAAAGAAATCTTTTTTCTTTATAAATTACCCAGTCTCAGGTATTCTGTTACAACAAACCATGCTGATTTTTCCTGAGGCAAAAAGAAAGAAGTCAAAATCTTTTAAAAATCCAAACAAATGATGAATAAATTATCTTAAATCTAAAGTAAAAATAGTCAAAAGATAAGTGGTTGCACCAGTTGGGAGAAGGAATTTACAGGCAGAACTCAGAGGATTTTTAGGACAGTGCAGGTATTCTGTATGATACACAATGGTGGATCCATGTCATTTAAAGGCGAGGAAACTAAGACACAGAGAGTTAAGTAGCTCACCCACGGTGATACAGACACACTAGAAAGAGGTGGAGCAGGGACTTGAACCCAGTGTAGTATGATTCCAGGTCCCGCGATCAGCCTCTCCGTGTACTCTCATATATGTCTCTTTCACAAAACAATTTGCTGCTATCTCTTCTTATACACCAAACCCAAGAGGCTTCTCTTCCATTTTCTTAATCCTAAGACAAATGTTCAAAACTATAAACTGCTTCTCTGTCTCATATTAAGTAATAACAGTTCTGACATTCTGGACATTGATTTAGATGTCTCCTTTTATCTCTATGTTCTTTGGAAGTGTCTATAATTATAATGCTTATACACTCAGACAAATATATGAGACATGGTTAGCAAGAGAGAGATAAATTTTCTCCTGGTCTCTATTATATTTTCATAGTGTTAAGAAAAATGCAGAGGACAGATAATGAAGCAAGGCAAGGAATTTGGGGAGGAAGCTTCTTTGATGATTTTTGGCTGAATCACCAGACAACAAATCAGATCTTGACTATCCTGGCCTGCCTAGATTTCTAAATCTTGGAGCAAAAAGAGAAGTAATGGTTAACACTGAGGTGCAACAGTACAGTAGTCCCCTCTTATCTTCAGTTTCATTTTCTGCTCAGTTACCCATGGTCAGCCTTGGTCTGAAAATATTAAATGGAAAATTCCAAAAATAAAAAATTCATAAGTTTTAAATTGCATGTTATTCTGAGTAGCCTGATGAAATCTTGTGCCATCTTGCTCCATCCCGTGAATCATCCTTTTTTCCAGTATATTTACATTGTATACACTACCTGTCCATTAGTCACTTAACAGTCATGTCAGTTATCAGATCCACTTTTGTGGTATGGTAGTGCTTACGTGCTTGTGTTCAAGTTAGCCTTATTTTACTTAATAATGGCCCAAACATGCAAGAGTAGTGATGCTGGCATTTTGTAATAATTGTTCTATTTTATGATTAGTTATTGCTGTTACTCTATTACAGTGCCTAATTAATAAACATTATCATAGGTATGCATATATAGGAAAAAAAACATATTATATACAGGGTTTGGTACTATCTGAGGTTTCAGGCATCCACTGGGGGTCTTGGAATGTATTCCCAGTGGATAAGGGGACACTACTGTGTAAAGCATGCGATATACATCTAATCCACACAGTGTCACAGATTGGTAATGGACGACTGTGTTGAATTATTAAAGTGTTTTAATTAGGTTTTCCTGCACTTCCAATAATAACTGTCCTTGGATAAGATACGCAATGAGTCTGCCTTATAATAATTCCACAGTATAGAACAATTAGAAGCACTGTTAGAACAATAAGCTAAGTTGTTTACATATTAGATACTGTTAGCATACATTATTACTGAAACAAAAATGCCTGTATAAAGATACTAGAAACACATTAAGATAAGTTGATGGGTAAACTCTAACTCTATGTTCTTGTTTTCACATTCTTTTGGGTATGAGTGCCTTCCTTTACTAACTTATTTACTTGCAAATAATTTAATTAGACAATTTTAGTTGTATTGGGTTTTGCTTTCTTCAAGTTGGGAGTGTAATGGAGGCATGTCCAGCTCCATATTCAGGCCTTTTCCTTATGGGAGATCTCTAGGATAGTAAGTAATGGCCATTTGTCACTCTCACTTATCATTGTTTGTCAGGCTTCAAGTCAGCAGGCAGAGAGGTAAGACAAGTGACAAAACCATCTTTCAAGAACTTCTGAGACTGTTCATTGCTAGTGGCAATGTGTGAAAGAGCTGCCAGTGCCTTGGGGAAAAGCAGGGAGCTTCCCATTTAGAAACAACTAGTGGATCACCCAAAGGCCATCCTCTCTGTGGCTTCCAAGAAGAACATGGACAAGAAGCAAGGAAATCTGTTTAAATTTGATGTTTGTTCCAAATGTCATTTTTGGTGATATAATTTTGAAGGAAGAAATTTCATTGTGATGGAAGTTAAAACACTTAGAAGACAGGAGAGCATAAAAGAAATGCAAAAATTTACATTACCAAGGTACCTCCAACATTCCAAATTTAAAGTACTTTTCAGTCTTGAAATAAGTGCAGTTCCTATTGACCAAACAAAGAGACAGATTTGGTTCTGGACCAAATGGTTCTGAACTCTTTTATTTTAATCATACTAAGTAAGATGCACAGTACCTGTTTTAAATATATATATATATACACACACACACACACACACACACACAATATATATACATACACATATATATAATATATATACATACACATATATATATAATATATATACATACACATATATATATATAAAATCTCCAATATTTATTTGTGACTACCATAATATTGGAACAGAAATTCTCACAAACCTTATGCGGCTTGAAAAACATTTTTAAAAATTAACTTGAATTAACAATATACTTAAAATGAGACTTCCGAAAAGATAGATCTTTCACTTTTAAATCCATTTTTATTGTCCTTACAAGGTGCCTTAATTATAATTAGAATCTTTTATGGCTATTTAATATCTTTTTCTCTTACAACATTTGCACTTGTCTTTTTTGTATAATAGTGTATAATAATATCACATTACATTAATCTTCAAAGTGATTGCAAAGAACTTCATGATGAAGATTAGCTTGTTCTATGTTGATTTCTATTTGTTGTTGATATCTGACTAAAAGCATCATACTATAACAAAGGTACCAAGTTATTCACTCTGAATAAAAGATTTGCCTTAGACATTGTTTATTGAACATCTCTCTCTTCTATCTCATCTCTGTATTGAGCCATTGGTCCTAACAGTATTGAGTTCTCGAAAAGTAATTATAATTTTTGTTGTTTTATGTTCTTCACCCATCACTGTATTTTACTACTCAATATGATAACTTCTATACTACATTGAGAATGCTGATAATATCAACCCTACTTGAAAAGCCTACATAATATGTAGTATATATATCTATATATACTACTATTTTTCCTGTTCATGCTTATTTTTAGCTAAGCTTTCTAATTACTAAAAATCTAAAGCCAGTTTATCTCTGAAATCAGATTAACACAGTTATAATTACCCACTGTTTATATATTGCAATTTTAAAAATCCATAGCCATATTCACGTCTAAAAAAATAGTGTCTTAAAAGGCACAGGGCCCATGGCTGTATCTCGCCATGTGTGACATGATCATCTCTGGTGTTCTAACATGACTTATATGGAAATTAGAGGGCAAGATATATTAGTGCAAACAAAAGTAAGAATCCCGTGAACCAGGAATCTGGGTTCTAATTTTGATTTTGTCACTTAATAGCATTATGACTCTTGGAAAATTCTGTTTTTACATCTGTAAAACTGGAATAATACTTCTTATTTCACTAAGTTTTTTGAGGCTTATATGAGTTATGACATTGTCCAATATCCTGCATGGCTTCAAATAAGTGGTCAATACATGTTAATTTCCTTTCTTCCTTTTGAGCTCCAGTTTCCTCATCTGTAAATCTGCTATAATATCTCTACAGCCAAGTAGCATACTGAAGCTGTCTTGTACCAGCTCATGGGAGCTAACTGTTAAATTTTAGGAACTTGGCAAGCCTTTTTCAAAAAAATTAAATTATATAAACCTACAATTAAGTAAATTATATTAAAAACAACGGCTACAAATATTCAAAATTCATTACTTCCTAATTATTTTACTACATATTTCTATTATTTAGGCTGTCAAGTTTATTTACATGTATCTGTGTGGTAGAAATACTACAAAAACAATGGCACATTCCGTGAAGTAACGTTGGAAGCTTGAAATGGTGGGAATATTTACACCACAAAGACTGTCAAAAGTTTTAAATCAGGGCTTTTTCCCCTAGAGAACCAGTTACTAAACATTTATGTGAGTGTTCCATATACCTAACTGATTTTGAAATGGAAAAGCACTCCATACATATAATTTTAGAAGTTCTTTCCAAGTTTAAAATTCGAATGTTCCTATAATCATGTTGAAATACTGTGCAATAAGAGAAATGGATGCTATTAGTGATCATGGAAACAACAGTAGTTAATAGCATGCTAACTGTAGCTTGGGACAGGTGGTCCTGAAGACTGGGTATAAAAAGTGATTGGCCCCTTGGATTTAAATAAATATTTAAAATGTGACCATAAGCATTTGGCAGCCATGTATTTCAAGAAGTAAGCCCTGCACATGGCCCTAAATATCATTTAGTCTCTCATTCTAATTATAATCTGTAATTCACTAGCTCTACTTTTAGAGCAGACATGACAATACTTGCATGTCTATTCTTTATGGTGTCATAATGTGCATTTATAAGGTGCCTTATTGATAAATAATTGTATCTGAGCACCCACAGCCTTAAAACCTAATTCCATAAGACATAAATTCTCAAATGAAGTAAAAGGTTTTTACCCTAAAAATATTTTTTAATTATTTAAGACCATGTTACCCACAAAGAATGGGTTGTTTACTCCAAAGTTCCAAGGGAAAAAAGAACTAAATATGGACTATAAAATACATGCTAGTGATGGAGTGTCATTATTTGCAGTATTCTTTCTTATTAGTGCTAAGAAAGCTCTTAAATCTCATAAACCTCTACTTTGAAGTAGCTGTTTACAACTAAGCCCTTTTTCATCTTGAAGTTAACATAAGGTTGAATCTGCTAAAAAACAAGTAATCTCAGGATGCCAACTTTAAAATAATAAAAAATCATAAATTGTAATGTTTAGAGGAAGTACTATAAGTCATTTCAAAAATAGAATCTGGAAAATATAAAGAATAAAAAGCAGGTTAACATTTGATTAATATTTCTAGCAATGATTTTATCTCATACTAAAATTTTTACTTATGCAAGAGAATAGTCTCTATTACAAATTACTTTATTATGAGGAAATCTATTCTAACTTGATTATATGATTTCAGAGGATATGAGAAAATAATATTTTATTGATAAATTGTACTCCTAAATTTTATATTTTGCTTTTAAATTATTAAACTATTTTTCGATCCACATTTTTTCGTGTATTAGTGCACAGTGTCCTTTTTAACATTATAATTATGAGACTGGGTATGGTCTCTATTGCTTACTGATCATGAATAAATTAATATAATTCTTCTGATTACTTTCTTGCACTCACAAAAATAAGGAATAACAAAACCCAAGAAGCAGTTCTAGAAAGGTTTTCATCAAGCAAAAGTTGATTTCCAAGGATGTTCCTATTTAAGATGATATTATACTTCTTTTCATATGAGAAAGTATGGTATGGTAAACTTATACAGAGGTTCCAAATGCCATCAAGAGAACAGTCCTTCTCGAGACTATTAACTTTTCACTAAAACACAGAACATGGAAACAAATGAACATTCACATCACTTAACACTGAGATCAGACTATGGAAATAATCTATTCAAATTGCAAGGAATCATGAGCTGGATTGAGGAAAATTTAAGTAAGCCTCAACTCACATGAAATGAAGAACATTTAGAAAATAATACAAGATTTTAAAAACCCCCTCAACTGCACCCCATTTGTCACTAGCCACAAAGAATGAGAAAAACCAGTCAGTTCTTCATGTTTCCTCCACCCCAGCCTTCACACACACACATCCTGTATCCCAATAAAGATAGGAGACAACGGACAGAACCCCCACCACTTGTCCTTGGGAGGAGAGATAATTCTATAGTACCTACATTCCTCCAGAGGTCCCCAGTGGAATTAAGTCCCAGTTGTCCATAGTTGGCAATGAGCTCAATCTACTTTGACTTTGTTTTTCTTTCTCTGTCTCACACTCTCTCACTCCAGTTTCTGGGGCTCATGCTGTAAATTAACTACCTGCCTCTAAGTCCTTATTGCAGGCTCTGAATTCAGGGAAACCCAAACTAAGACAAAGTCTCTATTACCTCCTTCTTTGGCTTCTTCATCCTTGTACTCACCCTTTGAAATTTAGCTCAGTGTCACCCCCTTGGAACAGCTTTACCTGACTGCCCTGACTCAGATACCTCTTTCATTAAAATATTATAATCATTGATTAACTAGAGTCTCCCTCACCATTAGATTGTAGTCTCCTGAGTATCAGGACATATTGGTATTGCATTTTTACACCAGTGCCTGGTACACTGTAGGCTCCAATAAATATGTGTCAAATAGGTAGCTGAATAAATGAAAAAAAAAAAGAATAAAAGGAGAGGAAAGGAAGAAAAACAAAGACAGCCTTCTGTTGCTAACATAAAATAAATTAGGAATTTGTGCTTGATCATCCCAAATGTAGCTCCCCTTAACCAAACTATATTTCCTATTTTCAGCTTACATACTCATCCCATAAAAATAACCCTGGAAAGAGCTTTCATATCTTAATTCCCAAATGAAATCTAAAGGACTTGCTAAGATGAAGGTATGTGAGATCATTTCAGCAGCAGGAGGAAAATAAAACTCTTTTTAGCTAAATCCAACACAAA
Organism: Homo sapiens; assembly: GCF_000001405.40. Taxonomy (NCBI): domain Eukaryota; kingdom Metazoa; phylum Chordata; class Mammalia; order Primates; family Hominidae; genus Homo; species Homo sapiens. The sequence goes on along the minus strand of NC_000006.12, from coordinate 82,403,405 downwards.
ATCATTCAGAAATCCCCTTGATCAATAATTTCAGGAGCAAAAAAAGAAGTCACAAGCTTACACTTGAAAAATTATTCATACCTACTACAGTAATGGTAGCAAACTCTGAAACAGTGGGACAAACCCTAGGCCAAATGCTAAATAAATCCTGTGCTGTGCCAGGTAGGAGATGCTCAGAGAGATCTGGGCCCTGCAGCCTGTCCCACAGAGCTGAAGGGGAAAGAGCTCACTAATGGGACACAGAGCTGCCATAACTCGTATTGGTGGAGTGGTGGGACTAACGGAAATCGCTAGTTAAATGACACTTTCAAAAACCCTTTCAAGGGAAAAAACTTCATCCTTTTCTTTCTGGGAACAGAGGATAAGGAGTAAATCCAGCCCTGCCTGGAATAATCAGGTGAGCTAACTGAGGTATACAGGAATGACAGCTGGACTTTCTGTCTCGCTAATGTGCAAACTCTTAAATCAGGAAAAAAGAAGGCACATGGTACAAATATAACCTTTCTAAGTCAGTATTTTATAAACTGCAAATTGTGACCCACTAATGGGAAATAAAATCAATTTATGAAACTTGACCATTAGTTTTAAAAAGTACAATGGAATGGAATAGAGTTGGAAAATATCAGAATGTTCACATTTTTGTGGGCACATGTATATGAATGGTGGGTCACAATATAAAATGTTTTCTTAACTCTAGGTTGTGGTTAAAAGTGTTTGAAAGTCCCTGCTCTTGGCTGGTGCTTCTCTTAAATGTGGTCCAGGGTTCCCCATATCAAAATGATAGTTCAGATAAAAATGTAGCTTCTTGGCTGGGTATGGTGGCTCACACCTGTAATCCCAGCACTTTGGGAGGCCGAGGGCACCTCAGGAGTCAGTTGTTGGCCAGCCTGGCCAACATGGTGAAACCCCATCTCTGCTAAAAATACAAAAAAATTAGCCTGGTGTGGTGGTGCACACCTGTAATCCCAGCTACCTGGGAGGCTGAGGCAGGAGAATTGCTTGAACCCAGGAGATGGAGGTTGCAATGAGCCGAGATCACGCCACTGCACTCCAGCCTGGGCCACAGAGTGAGATTCCGACTCAAAAAATAAAAATAAAAATAAAATAAAAAATAAAAATGTGGCTTTGTGGCACCACCCCTAGAGATTCTGATTGAATAGGTCGGGGGGCGGGGCTCAGGAATATGCATTTCAGAACTGCAGATGATCCTGCTGCAAACTAAATTTGAGACACAGATGATAGCACCTCCAGGGTTGCAATGAATAAATGTAAAGATTTATTTGTCATTTCACTTTCTGGCATGCAGAAGGATTCTCCATGATTAGCATTTCAGGGAAGATCTTAGTTCTGGATAAAAAGTAGTGTAGCATAGTAGTTAAGAGGGTTTCTGTGAAGTGAGATAGATCCAAGTTGGAATCTCAGTTTGCCATTTATTAGATGTGACATCTCAGGAAATCTCAATTACTTTGTATAAGCGGAATCGGTAACTGTAGCTACCACATAGAATTAAAAGAATTACATGAGATAAAGCAGCTGGTGCATAGTAAGGCAGGAAATATTAGCTATTATTATATTTAAGAATCCACAACATTTTGAGAAAAACGCTATTCAACTTAATTTGACAGACATTAATTGAGTGTGCAAAGAACTATGTTACGTGCTTATGTAAATGCAAAGATAAAAAACAGCCCCTCATTTCACGGAATTTACAATGCTATAGTCATTTTTTTTTTTTTTTTTTTTTTTTTTTTTTTTTTTTTTTTGGAGACGGAGTCTATCTCTGTCACCCAGGCTGGAGTGCAGTAGTGCAATCTCAGCTCACTGCAACCTCCACCTCCCAGGTTCAAGCAATCCTCCTGCCTCAGCCTCCTGGGTAGCTGGGATTACAGGCACACACCCAGCTAATTTTTGTATTTTTAGTAGATATGGGGTTTCACCATGTTGTTCAAGCTGGTCTCAAACTCCTGACCTTGTGATCTGCCTGCCTCGTCCTCCCAAAGTGCTGGGATTACAGGAGTGAGCCAATGCGCCTGGCTGGTGATAGCTTTTAATAGCAGAAAATCTTACAGATTACTCAATCTAGCTCTCATTTAACAGAAGAGGAAACTAACACTTGAGAGTCTAACTAAGCAAGTTGCCCAGAGTCGTACAGATAGTTAAGTGGAGGAGTCAGACATAGAACCTGGGAACCCGAACCCAGGCCACCTGGGATCCTTCCACCAGAGCGGATCTCAGTTCCTGGATAAGAGAAAGCCCAATCTTGACAGTGGTGTGCTGGTAAATATTAACAACCAGCTCTGTGTTGGGAATATGTGTGTATGTGTGTGTATATATATTATATATAGAATATACGATATTATATATGTTACATATGTATGTAAGTTTATTCTAAACTTTACTAATATAAAGGACATATAGCACACAGTTTACTAATGATAATAAAATATACAATATACTTTATTATAAATTCCAACTGATTCTCACAGAATGCTTTAGTTGATTTTTGCTCAATTCCTATATCCATAGCCAACCTATGATTGCAATTAACTATAATTTGACAAACAGAGTTGTATCTCAATCCACTAACTCTTTTTTAAAAATTGTGGTAAAATAGGCATAACAGGCTGGGTGCGGTGGCTCATGCCTGTAATCCCAACATTTTGGGAGGCTGACATGGGTGGATCACGAGGTCAGGAGTTCAAGACCAGCCTGGCCAACATGGTGAAACCCCCATCTCTACTAAAAATACAAAAATTAGCTGGGCGCAGTGGCAGGCACCTGTAATCCCAGTTGCTCAGAAGGCTGAGGCAGGAGAATCGTTTGAACCCAGGCGGCAGAGGTTGCAGTGAGCCGAGATCACACCACTGCACTCCAGCCTGGGTGACAGAGTGACACTCTTGACTCAAAAAAAAAAAAAAAAGGCATAATATAAAATCTGCCATCTTAACAACTCTTAAATGTATAGTTCAGTAGTAGTATTAAGTGTATTCACACTGCTGTGCACCCAATCTCTAGAATTTTTCATCTTACAAAACTAAACTCTATACCCATTAAATGACAATTTACTCTCTTCTCCCCTCAGCCCCTGGCAATCATCACTTTACTTTCTGTTTCTATGAATCTGACTACTCTAGATACTTCATATAAGTGAAAAAGAGTATTTGTCTTTTTGCGACATTTTTAGCATAATGTCCTCAAGATCATCCAGGTTGTAGCACATCACAAGACTTCCTTCCTTTTTAAGGCTGGATAATATTCCATGGTATATACATATACCGCATTTGTTTATCCATTCATCTGTCAAAAGATACTTGGTTTGCTTCTACCTCTTGGCTATCATGAATAATGCTGGTATGAACATGGGTACACAAATATCTCTCCAAGACTCTGTTTTCAATTCTTTGGATATATACCCAAAAGAGGGATTGCTGGATCATACAGTAGTTGTATTTTTAATTTTCTGAGGAATCACCATACTGTTTCCATAGTAGCTACACCATTTCCCATTCCCACCAGCAGGGCACAAGGGTTCCAACTTTTCCATGTCCTCACATCCTTGGCAACACCTATTTTCTGCCTGTTTTTTTTTTTTGTTTTTTTTTTTTTTGAGATAGGGTCTCACTCTGTCACCCAGGCTGGAGTGCAGTGGCACAGTCATGGCTCACTGCAGCCTCCACCTCCTGGAATCAAGCAATCCTCCTCTCTCACCCCCCAACTTCCCCCCTCCCACGAATAGCTGGGACTACAGGCACGCACCACCAGGCCTGGCTAATTTTTTTATTTTTGTCATTAAGTCTGACATGTGATCTACTATTAAGCTATCTTCCACCATCATACAGATTATATTCATTAAATTAAAACCTTTTTTTGGTTCAGCACACTTAAGTTCAAACATAATAGTCAATACTGTGATTACTGAATCAGATAACAGTTTTCCAATATTGAAAAAAGTATTTCCTCAGTTTTGTGTGCTAATCACAATGTAATAGCTACTAAAAAAACATGCTTTTAAGTTTAATTTGCATTTTTAACATTTACTCATCACTTTTTAAAGTCTAGATGAAGGGTATAGAAACATTTTCTATAATGGGCCAAACAGTGAATATTTTAGGCTTTGTGGGTCTAACATCTCTGTTAAAACTACTCTGCCATGGTAGCATAAAACTAGTCACAAACAGTACATAAGTAAATGGACATGGCTGTGTTCCAGGGAAACTTTATTTATAACAACACATAGCAAGCATGCCCTCTTTTACTGAATCCTGATTTAGATAATCAACAAAACAATAAATCAAGCTGTGCTGCTTGCCAATTTCCCTCATGTAAATACTCCCACCATTATCAAATTTAAGTTTCAACACGAAGTTACCGAAAGTAGAGTTAGAAAGAAATGCATAGTTGCATGCCATTTTTAGCATTCCTACCATTAATACAAATAGACATAAATAACCTCAATGGCACAGATAATAGTAAAAATGTAGTTAAATAATTAGGGAGTGATAAATTTTGAGTATTTATTACTTTGTAAAAAACAAAATTTTAGGTCAGGCAGTCTAGCTCACACCTGTAATCCCAGTATAATAATTGGCTCTCCCAAGCCCATGTGGGTGAGTTCCAGCACCCCAGTGGTTCCATACTTTAGTCTCCTGCCAATCCCCTCAGTGGTCTGAGAACCAATCCAACCCTTGCCCCTTGCACCCTTTCACAAACTTTAAGAAAATATTCTCCTCTGAAAGGCAGAAACCTGCTTTCTGGATATGTATCTTACTCTCCCATAACTTAATTTCTATAAAAACATCTTCTCTTCCAGTTTTTATTTAACTGTTATTCTAGTCTGGCCCTAAGGTAATTACATTTCTGACCAAACCTGCACCATCTTAGAATTTACAGAAGTAAACAATTGTTCCTGTGTTTGTATTGTGAGTCACATTTGGCCAAAAAGAATTTGCATTCCTTTAGAAGCTTCTAAAATTACAGCACTTCCTAGTTCAGGAACCAGTAACTTTGGGGTAGAAAGTAAAATGGGTATAAGATCACATAACTGAGCAGAATCAGGGGATATATATTTTAAGTTAGCCCTAATATACACAGTTATTCTTGGACAACTGATTTCCCTTATTTATATAAATCTCCATTTTTCTCTCCTCTACAAACTAAGGAGGGTAATAATACTTGGTATTCTTAAAGTTTGTGAGGGCTAATATTGCTCAAGTGATTTAAGAACATTGGCTAATGGGGTGTTGGAAATGTAGGTCATCATTTATCATCTAGACATGAATGTGAGTCATTAAAGATTGCAATTCCATGAACCTGACAAAATCACTTTAAGCTTTGAAAAATGTACTTAGATGGTTAAGGCAAATTGAAACTACCAGGTGAAATTAGCGTTTCAATTTTTATCTGCATTTTCTTTAACCATATTCTCCCTTTCTCCCTATGCCATAAGTAACTGAGAGGTGATAGCTTATTCAGGCATGTTTTCTTTTTTTTGTTTCCTTTGACTCTGGAATAGATACTCTATGGTACCAATGCCACCATTTCCAGGTCTTTCCTTTCTGTGCTCTTCCTTTCTAACTCAATCAATGAATCCATATTTATCAGGACATTGTATTAGATCATCCTTTTTCTGTTTCCAGATTATTTCCAGGTTCTGGCTCTTACCTTGTTATGAGTGCATACAAGCAACACACAGCCTTCTAACATTGATATGTCTCTTTAATCATAAAACATGGGACAGGACACAGAATATGGGCACAGGAGTTCACTCTGGCAAAGCATAGCTCTTGCATGATAAATCTCATTCTATGTATTCTGCAAAGTCCAGTTTGGTTTATGCTTTAGTCTCATGAGAATCCCAGCCTACCCATGAATCCTTCCGGAGATGACCTATCTCTCTGTTATGAAGACACAAAGTGAAATCTGTTTAATGCATGAAATGTAATTATTCTTTACTCTCACTGAATGTTAATGTATATTTACAAAGCTGCACCAAGTTGGGAAATATATTTTGCATTTTTAGTAGAATACCATATTTATACTGCAAAGTTTTTGTTTTATGAATATTTTATTGAAGAATAGCTGGGAATGGGTTATCCAATTCAAGGTTTTATTTGCCTTTTGTATATTTATGTGGGTTTGAAAGAGGAAACACTTGCTTTTATATCTGCTAAGATTAGTCACAGGTAATTGTGGTTAGGTTTGCTGAAATTCCTCATCCTAATGATGCAAACAAAAATCACAAAGCACAGAGCTTTTGGTTTCAGAGGTGACTCACAAAGTCTAGCAATCCATCTTGGAAGTCTTAGCAGGCCTATTTTTGGGCTGTTCTCCACACATGGCAAGGCTGAAGAATCCCAGGTGTTCTTGCTGAGAGCACAGTGAGAGCATGAGGATTGCCCTGAGAAGCAAGAAAATGCTCATTAAAGCAGGTTTCTGGTGGGAGATGACTCTGACTGGCAGGCCTGCATTCCTCCCTGTGGTGACCCCTTTCCTTGTTAGAGAGGGGGTCTGATGTCCAAATGTATCTGGGTTTAATGAGTAGCTGTTCACTGGGGACCCAGAGATGGCAAAGTGCTTGCTTGGTGAACCAAGAACAGCATATCGTTTATTTTGTGGATACGACACTGTTTAAATAATGTAAAAGTTTTTCTTTTGTGAGACGCTTTCCATGCCTTAGTAATTCTGAATGGCATATGTGGATATAGGAAACCTGAGGCTATGGTATAAATGGACTAACCAGGTTGGCTGAATTAATGATTCTGACAAAATCCCTAAATTCTTAAAAATAATTTGATAAGATCAACAGACATTTATGTCCCTACTGTAAATGAAGATGGAATAAAATTAGGAATTCTTCCCATAGGTCTGCAGATGTAGAATGGTTAATCAGGTGAAAAGATATTTAAATAACAGACCAGGGAATTAGGCCACCATATTGATTTTTTTAAATTGTTTTAATCTGTCAGATACTTACTAACTGCAAGCATATTTTGTCTTGCAGGGCATATTTCAACAAAATGGCAAATAATATGTATTTTGGTGAAACCAAAATTGAGTAATTGTATATAACAAAATTGTGAATAGCAAAGTAGCAATTTATATATGGCTAAGAATAGAATTTTATACAAAATATAGAGTGCAATGTCTGTGTGAGAAAATGCATGACAACAACGACAGTGTTAAAGTCCTCGAGAAACACCACATGTGTATCATAAGCTAAGCTAAGCATTTACTTGGAATTAAGTGCCAAGAAAAAATATTATTTCCCTGTGGCATGATATTTTGAAAGACCTCTCCATCACTTAAAAGTAAGGTGTTTTTTTTTTTCTGTCAGTATTCTAGAAATAAATTTGAAAGCACTTAAGGTATATGGAAAATTTTCTACTATTATTAGTATAAAAAACAACTGCGAAGGAAAACTCAGTGCTTTCCAAATCAACGTGTTTAATGCCCTGTTTATAGAATCAACTGTATCAACCACTTCATGATATAATTTTTCTCCCATTCAAATGAAGTTCTAGATCTGTGGAATCTTAACTTAAATACTTAACTCCTATTAGGCTATGTCTTGTGCAACTCTGGCCAATTTCATTAATTTTTCATTGCTTTGGTTTCCCAACTGAAAAATAAGGATCATAATGTAGTTCCACCTCTTCATCACATTCTATAGGGTTGGGCTAAACTGAGCACAAATAAAATATTTTTATGTAATAAAGGTATTACATAAAAATATTAATACTCTTGTAAATTTTTAATTATTACAATTTTAAAAACAACATAATTTTCCAAATAGATGAGGTGTAAGTATATAATTTAAGTCATCATTGAGCTTATCAGGTGGGCAGGGGACGAAACTGATACACAGATATTTACTGACCACATTCTAATGCCAAGCACTTTATATGCACTATTTCACTCAACTGTCATTACAGTCTGAGGTAAATACTACTATAAGATCTACTTTATAAATGGGAAAATTGCGGGGGAGGAGCCAAGATGGCCGAATAGGAACAGCTCCGGTCTACAGCTCCCAGCGTGAGCGACGCAGAAGATGGGTGATTTCTGCATTTCCATCTGAGGTACCAGGTTCATCTCACTAGGGAGTGCCAGACAGTGGGCGCAGGTCAGTGGGTGCGCGCACCGTGCGCGAGCCGAAGCAGGGTGAGGCATTGCCTCACTTGGGAAGTGCAAGGCATCAGGGAGTTCCCTTTCCGAGTCAAAGAAAGGGGTGACGGACGCACCTGGAAAATCGGGTCACTCCCACCCGAATATTGCGCTTTTCCGACCGGCTTAAAAAACGGCGCACCACGAGATTATATCCCACACCTGGCTCGGAGTCTCGCTGATTGCTAGCACAGCAGTCTGAGATCAAACTGCAAGGTGGCAGCAAGGCTGGGGGAGGGGCGCCCGCCATTGCCCAGGCTTGCTTAGGTAAACATAGCAGCCGGGAAGCTCGAACTGGGTGGAGCCCACCACAGCTCAAGGAGGCCTGCCTGCCTCTGTAGGCTCCACCTCTGGGGGCAGGGCACAGACAACAAAAAGACAGCAGTAACCTCTGCAGACTTAAATGTCCCTGTCTGACAGCTTTGAAGAGAGCAGTGGTTCTCCCAGCATGCAGCTCGAGATCTGAGAATGGGCAGACTGCCTCCTCAAGTGGGTCCCTGACCCCTGATCCCCGAGCAGCCTAACTGGGAGGCACCCCCCAGCAGGGGCACAATGACACCTCACACGGCAGGGTATTCCAACAGACCTGCAGCTGAGGGTCCTGTCTGTTAGAAGGAAAACTAACAAACAGAAAGGACATCCACACCAAAAACCCATCTGTACATCACCATCATCAAAGACCAAAAGTAGATAAAACCACAAAGATGGGGAAAAAACAGAACAGAAAAACTGGAAACTCTAAAACGCAGAGCGCCTCTCCTCCTCCAAAGGAACGCAGTTCCTCACCAGCAACGGAAAAAAGCTGGATGGAGAATGACTTTGACGAGCTGAGAGAAGAAGGCTTCAGACGATCAAATTACTCTGAGCTACGGGAGGACATTCAAACCAAAGGCAAAGAAGTTGAAAACTTTGAAAAAAATTTAGAAGAATGTATAACTAGAATAACCAATACAGAGAAGTGCTTAAAGGAGCTGATGGAGCTGAAAACCAAGGCTCGAGAACTACGTGAAGAATGCAGAAGCCTCAGGAGCCGATGCGATCAACTGGAAGAAAGGATATCAGCGATGGAAGATGAAATGAATGAAATGAAGCGAGAAGGGAAGTTTAGAGAAAAAAGAATAAAAAGAAATGAGCAAAGCCTCCAAGAAATATGGGACTATGTGAAAAGACCAAATCTACGTCTGATTGGTGTACCTGAAAGTGATGGGGAGAATGGAACCAAGTTGGAAAACACTCTGCAGGATATTATCCAGGAGAACTTCCCCAATCTAGCAAGGCAGGCCAACATTCAGATTCAGGAAATACAGAGAACGCCACAAAGATACTCCTTGAGAAGAGCAACTCCAAGACACATAATTGTCATATTCACCAAAGTTGAAATGAAGGAAAAAATGTTAAGGGCAGCCAGAGAGAAAGGTTGGGTTACCCTCAAAGGGAAGCCCATCAGACTAACAGCGGATCTCTCGGCAGAAACCCTACAAGCCAAAAGAGAGTGGGGGCCAATATTCAACATTCTTAAAGAAAAGAATTTTCAACCCACAATTTCATATCCAGCCAAACTAAGCTTCATAAGCGAAGGAGAAATAAAATACTTTACAGACAAGCAAATGCTGAGAGATTTTGTCACCAGCAAGCCTGCCCTAAAAGAGCTCCTGAAGGAAGCGCTAAACATGGAAAGGAACAACCGGTACCAGCTGCTGCAAAATCATGCCAAAATGTAAAGACCATCAAGACTAGGAAGAAACTGCATCAACTAATGAGCAAAATAACCAGCTAACATCATAATGACAGGAGCAAATTCAGACATAACAGTATTAACTTTAAATGTAAATGGACTAAATGCTCCAATTAAAAGACACAGACTGGCAAACTGGATAAAGAGTCAAGACCCATCAGTGTGCTGTATTCAGGAAAACCATCTCACGTGCAGAGACACACATAGGGTCAAAATAAAAGGATGGAGGAAGATCTACCAAGCAAATGGAAAACAAAAAAAGGCAGGGGTTGCAATCCTAGTCTCTGATAAAACAGACTTTAAACCAACAAAGATCAAAAGAGACAAAGAAGGCTATTACATAATGGTAAAGGGATCAATTCAACAAGAAGAGCTAACTATCCTAAATATATATGCACCCAATACAGGAGCACCCAGATTCATAAAGCAAGTCCTGAGTGACCTACAAAGAGACTTAGACTCCCACACATAAATAATGGGAGACTTTAACACCCCACTGTCAACATTAGACAGATCAACGAGACAGAAAGTTAACAAGGATACCCAGGAATTGAACTCAGCTCTGCACCAAGCGGACCTAATAGACATCTACAGAATTCTCCACCCCAAATCAACAGAATATACATTTTTTTCAGCACCACACCACACCTATTCCAAAATTGACCACATACTGGGAAGTAAAGCTCTCCTCAGCAAATGTAAAAGAACAGAAATTATAACAAACTATCTCTCAGACCACAGTGCAATCAAACTAGAACTCAGGATTAAGAATCTCACTCAAAACCACTCAACTACATGGAAACTGAACAACCTGCTCCTGAATGACTACTGGATACATAACGAAATGAAGGCAGAAATAAAGATGTTCTTTGAAACCAACGAGAACAAAGACACAACATACCAGAATCTCTGGGATGCATTCAAAGCAGTGTGTAGAGGGAAATTTATAGCACTAAATGCCCACAAGAGAAAGCAGGAAAGATCCAAAATTGACACCCTAACATCACAATTAAAAGAACTAGAAAAGCAAGAGCAAACACATTCAAAAGCTAGCAGAAGGCAAGAAATAACTAAAATCAGAGCAGAACTGAAGGAATTAGAGACACAAAAAACCCTTCAAAAAATTAATGAATCCAGGAGCTGGTTTTTTGAAAGGATCAACAAAATTGATAGACCACTAGCAAGACTAATAAAGAAAAAAAGAGAGAAGAATCAAATAGACACAATAAAAAATGATAAAGGGGATATCACCACCGATCCCACAGAAATACAAACTACCATCAGAGAATACTACAAACACCTCTATGCAAATAAACTAGAAAATCTAGAAGAAATGGATAAATTTCTCGACACATACACTCTCCCAAGACTAAACCGGGAAGAAGTTGAATCTCTGAATAGACCAATAACAGGATCTGAAATTGTGGCAATAATCAATAGCTTACCAACCAAAAAGAGTCCAGGACCAGATGGATTCACAGCCGAATTCTATCAGAGGTATGAGGAGGAACTGGTACCATTCCTTCTGAAACTATTCCAATCAATAGAAAAAGAGGGAATCCTCCCTAACTCATTTTATGAGGCCAGCATCATTCTGATACCAAAGCCGGGCAGAGACACAACCAAAAAAGAGAATTTTAGACCAATATCCTTGATGAACATTGATGCAAAAATCCTCAATAAAATACTGGCAAACTGAATCCAGCAGCACATCAAAAAGCTTATCCACCATGATCAAGTGGGCTTCATCCCTGGGATGCAAGGCTGGTTCAATATACACAAATCAACAAATGTAATCCAGCATATAAACAGAGCCAAGGACAAAAACCACATGATTATCTCAATAGATGCAGAAAAAGCCTTTGACAAAATTCAACAACGCTTCATGCTAAAAACTCTCAATAAATTAGGTATTGATGGGACGTATTTCAAAATAATAAGGGCTATCTATGACAAACCCACAGCCAATATCATACTGAATGGGCAAAAACTGGAAGCATTCCCTTTGAAAACTGGCACAAGACAGGGATGCCCTCTCTCACCACTCCTATTCAACATAGTGTTGGAAGTTCTGGCCAGGGCAATTAGGCAGGACAAGGAAATAAAGGGTATTCAATTAGGAAAAGAGGAAGTCAAATTGTCCCTGTTTGCAGACAACATGATTGTATATCTAGAAAACCCCATTGTCTCAGCCCAAAACCTCCTTAAGCTGATAAGCAACTTCAGCAAAGTCTCAGGATACAAAATCAACGTACAAAAATCACAAGCATTCTTATACACCAATAACAAACAGAGAGCCAAATCATGAGTGAACTCCCATTCATAATTGCTTCAAAGAGAAGAAAATACCTAGGAATCCAACTTACAAGGGATGTGAAGGACCTCTTCAAGGAGAACTACAAACCACTGCTCAAGGAAATAAAAGAGGATACAAACAAATGGAAGAACATTCCATGCTCATGGGTAGGAAGAATCAATATCGTGAAAATGGCCATACTGCCCAAAGTAATTTATAGATTCAATGCCATCCCCATCAAGCTACCAATGACTTTCTTCACAGAATTGGAAAAAACTACTTTAAAGTTCATATGGAACCAAAAAAGAGCCCCCATTGCCAAGTCAATCCTAAGCCAAAAGAACAAAGCTGGAGGCATCACAGTACCTGACTGCAAACTATACTACAAGGCTACAGTAACCAAAACAGCATGGTACTGGTACCAAAACAGAGATATAGATCAATGGAACAGAACAGAGCCCTCAGAAATAATGCCGCATATCTACAACTATCTGATCTTTGATAAACCTGAGAAAAACAAGCAATAGGGAAAGGATTCCCTATTTAATAAATGGTGCTGGGAAAACTGGCTAGCCATATGTAGAAAGCTGAAACTGGATCCCTTTCTTACACCTTATACAAAAATCAATTCAAGATGGATTAAAGACTTAAATGTTAGACCTAAAACCATAAAAACCCTAGAAGAAAACCTAGGCATTACCATTCAGGACATAGGCATGGGCAAGGACTTCATGTCTAAAACACCAAAAGCAATGGCAACAAAAGCCAAAATTGACAAATGGGATCTCATTAAACTAAAGAGCTACTGCACAGCAAAAGAAACTACCATCAGAGTGAACAGGCAACCTACAAAATGGGAGAAAATTTTCGCAACCTACTCATCTGACAAAGGGCTAATATCCAGAATCTACAATGAACTCAAACAAATTTACAAGAAAAAAACAAACCACCCCATCAAAAAGTGGGCAAAGGACATGAACAGACACTTCTCAAAAGTAGACATTTATGCAGCCAAAAAACACATGAAAAAATGCTCATCATCACTGGCCATCAGAGAAATGCAAATCAAAACCACAATGAGATACCATCTCACACCAGTTAGAATGGCAATCATTAAAAAATCAGGAAACAACAGGTGCTGGAGAGGATGTGGAGAAATAGGAACACTTTTACACTGTTGGTGGGACTGTAAACTAGTTCAACCATTGTGGAAGTCAGTGTGGCGATTCCTCAGGGATCTAGAACTAGAAATACCATTTGACCCAGCCATCCCATTACTGGGTATATACCCAAAGGACTATAAATCTTGCTGCTATAAGGACACATGCACACATATGTTTATTGTGGCATTATTCACAATAGCAAAGACTTGGAACCAACCCAAATGTCCAACAATGATAGACTGGATTAAGAAAATGTGGCACATGTACACCATGGAATACTATGCAGCCATAAAAAATGATGAGTTCATGTCCTTTGTAGGGACATGGATGAAATTGGAAATCATCATTCTCAGTAAACTATCGCAAGAACAAAAAACCAAACACTGCATATTCTCACTCATAGGTTGGAATTGAACAATGAGATCACATGGACACAGGAAGGGGAATATCACACTCTGGGGACTGTGGTGGGGTGGGGGGAGGGGGGAGGGATAGCATTGGGAGATATACCTAATGCTAGATGACGAGTTAGTGGGTGCAGCGCACCAGCATGGCACATGTATACATATGTAACTAACCTGCACAATGTGCACATGTACCGTAAAACTTAAAGTATAATAAAAAAAAAATTAAAAAAAAGAAAAAAAAAGAGGCATCTGTGATATAACATATTGTGGTATTTAAAATTTGGAATTTCTAATTAAAAAATTACCTGAAAATAAATAAATAAATAAATAAATAAATGGGAAAATTGGGACTCACATAAGCCATGTACCTTGCTTAAGTTCATGCACATGGGAAGTGAGAAAGACCAAGATTTGAACATAGTCCTGTTTGATTCTATAGCCCAAGGTCTTAGTCATGCTACTCTGTGAATGCCTCCCCAAACTCCAGCTCCCTATTCATACAATCTAACACTTTGAAATACTACATAAAGTGCTATCTCAAAATATAAATGGAATCTATTGTAGTTGAAATCAACACACAATTTCTGAAATCTTATTCCATTCAAAACTTCTGGCTGAAATGCATGCAGTTTTGTCATCCAAATGAAAATAAATTTAGAAGAATCCCATCATATGAGCTAGTAGGTGAGACATATGGAAACGTATTTCTTGCTTTGTTAGCTTTGTGGTCTGATAAAAAAATGCATATTCTTTGGATAATGTTTCAGTTCCCTTTGGATAACATTTCAATGTCCAAATGTATCAATTCATCAAAGTTTTAAACAGAACATTTAAGCAAATATTTGTTTATCATGCCAAGAAAAATATGTAACCATGCATTATTTGGAAGTTTTTTAATCAATAGAATTATATTAGATATTTTTTCACCTCTTTCATGTAAAAACTATTATAGTGGTCCAGAAAAATGACAGACGCCTCCAGATTAGGAATAATCTGTGTGAAATAAGTAAAATAAATAAGCTACTTGCCGACTTCATTAGTACTTAGTACATTTTGAATCTAACTAAATATTTTAATTTTGGTAATTTTCCATAACAGTTTGTTTATTTGTTTGAGCTAGAGTCTTGATCTATCATCCAGGCTGAAGTGCAATGATGTAATCTCAACCTCCACACCTCTGCTCCTGGGCTCAAGTGATCCTCCCACCTCAGCCTCACGAGTAGCTGGGACTACAGGCATGCACCACCACACTGGGCTAATTTTATTTTATTTAAAAAAATTTTTTCTGTAGAGACAAGGTCTCACTATATTGCTCAGGTTGGTCTCAAACTCATGGGCTCAAGTGATCCTCCCACCTCAGCCTCCCAAAGTGCTGGGATGATAGGCATAAGCCACTGTGCCTGGCTCATAACAGTTATTTTTAAGGGAAATATATAAATTAGATTAATTTTTAGAAAAATTAAAACACATATACTCTAAATATAGGGAAGAATGATATACAGTGGTCATTTTTAATATTGATTTTCTTAAAGGAAGAATGCATATTTATGTTTACAAAACATGGCTAGAAAATTTTTTAAACTTATAATAATATAAACTGCTATGGCTTTCAGTTAGGAAAAAACAATATTTTTTTCCAAAAATGTATTATATTTAAATGTTTGAGCCTCCTAGAACAGGGTGGTTTAGCTTTCTGAAACATGTATTTTTTCTTAATGATATATTATAAACAATAAGTGTTACAGTGGGTTCAACTCATTTTTGAAAGTCCTAGAAGAGTACAAAATGGAGAGCTACATAAACACCAGGAAAGAAACCAAATTATTCAGAAATAACCACCTTATGTAAAAGCTTCATCCAAATGAGGATTTTTGTGTAATGTAAATAAACCTTTTACTAAAAGTAGACAGTTACCATTATTATTAACACTTTATCCCCAGGAGGTACAATTTTCCCAATTCTAAGTAGTAACACAAAAATGCCCAACAATTGTTCTTCCTAGAAAAAAAAACTGCTGTATTCAATTTGTATTTATTCTATTATTTTGCAAAATCACTGGAATATAAAAAAATACATCATATAAAGTTTCACTCTACATAAAACGAGGTTTCAGAAAGAACTATTTTCCAGCCTGCCAGCTGTTTTTCCTCCTTTATTGTAAGTTAACAGTAGTGATATATCAAGGATATTGAGAATGCACAAATGTATTAAGTCTCCTGCTGCCTTGTCTGTAAGTATCTTATTCATTTGCCAAAAAAAGATGTACTAAAGTTTGTACTTGGCATCTTCCAACTGAAAAGCTGCTTTAAAAGATACAGAAGTTGTTTTCCATTATTCTAATTTCTGCTACTCAATTCTACCTCAACCTGCAACTGACAACCAAAGAAAATAAAACATTCGCTTTTATTTGCTTTCATCAAAAACACCACCAAAAATGAATTTGTTAATGTTAAATTAGTTCTATAACCTTCCATTTAGTTTTAAGTGACTCCTGAAAGAGTTATCCAAGATAAAGAGAAATGTTGACAGAATCTGATGGCACAAGAGGGAACTATCCAGGCAGAAAATCTCACAGCCCCAGCACTGCTTGGTGGTTCAGGAGTAGGAGAGTTAGAGGTGAAAATACACACACCCATGCTCACACGCGCACACACACACACACATTCATGTGCACATGGACACATATACATAGAACATAACATCAAGGAGATTCCCCTCATGTTTGGAATTGCTTTAACAGACACCATGCCACATCAAAATGTGGCTAAATCAGCTGTGTTCAAAAGAGAAGCAGAGAGGCCAATGCCTTTCCTGGAAAAAGTCCAGTGTTGGAAGCCCATTGCAGCTACATCTGAGGTTCACTTGCCCATTCCTGCCAAAAGTGCATGCCTCTTAACCCTTTTGAGTCTATTATTATTATTATTATTATTATTCCATCTCAAAATGAGGTTAATAATAGTCCCAAGACTTCATTTTGTTTTTAGACAGCATCCACTGGATTGCACCTGTAAATGCTGTATAGTCACCTGGGCAGGAACCAGTAGTATGGGCCATTATTAGAGGTATTAAAGGCTCAGAAAATCAGTAGACAGAAGTCAGTACCATACTCAATACAATCTTGATCCCTTGATCAATACCATACAGATTGAAAGCCAAATTAATTTAAAATTAAATCTAGGCAAAACCCCATATCTTAATAAAAGAAGTTCAAACTCTGACAAATAAAACATATTCAAATTGCAACAGCACTAATTGCTTTTCTTTTACTCTGGTTTACTTTAGAAGGTTTTGGTGCTGTCATTCTAATGATTACTACTGTTTTAACCCTCTTAATTAATGTTTTAAGTTTTGTACTTTTATCTTGACAGCAGTTTTATAAAAGGAAACAATTTTGAACAAATAAAAAGTGTTACCTGAGCAGTTCTGCAGCTTAGCCAGCTGCACAGGTGTAATGGAGCACTTGGCACAGTTCCATTTAGCCTCTGGCATTCTGAGAATATTTGTTATGAAGCGCAATCAGGACACACATTTTAATGGATGCAGATGACTGAAGTCCTCTGGCTGGAGACCATCCCTTCATATCTGTACAGCTTCGGTCACCAAAGGCTTCCTCAAGACTTCCCAGGGTACAAAGCCACAAAGTATAAATGTGAGGGTGAGAGGAGGGTTCTGTGCTAGAGCAGAGGCCAGAATGAAAGCTTAGTACAGTGCTGTTTTGGATAATGCCTGGCTTAAAGTGGACACTCATTAAATGCTCAACTGAGGTTAAATCAATTTGCTATGGGGAGAAAACGAGGAAAAGAGGTGGAGAGCAGGGGTTAAAATGCTGAGAACTAACGTATTATGAAATGTCCTGTTATTATTTAATGAGCACTCAGCTGTGTCTCTGATACCACATAACCTAGATCATAACACCTCTGTTAAAGCTGTGTGACTCAACCTGTCTGTTCTTTCATGGAGGTTTATTTTTAATTACTTTTATTTTGTAATTAGGGAGTTTTTCCTACCATAGAAACTGAGATTGACATGCTAATGAGGAGACAATGAAAATCTGATAATTTAAAGTGAAATGAAAATCTCTTCAGGCTAGTAACTGACTTACCAGGGTTTGACACCCTTGTAGTATATGATAAAGGTATAATTTCCAGTTAAGATTTGTGGTCCTCACTGCTGACCTCAGACTTGGTCTTTAAAGAATTTGAAATATGACAAATGAACCTTGACAGAAATACATTTAACAACTAGTTTGCTGACATCCACAGGTAAGGCAGAGAAAACTGCCAGTTCTCAAAAAAACTAATTTGCATCTGGCTCTCACCCTCAGGAGCTGCCTCCAGGGCCCTGTTCACACTCACCCGAAGGAGCCCTGCCGGGTGAGCCCTGCTCCCATGCCTGGGGACCCTGGACCATCTATCTGGAGCCAACACAGTGAGCCAGAGGAGTCGGCTCCTAACTTGTTAAAATGCAGTTTGTAACCACTGAGATAAATATTTACTTCCTTTAACCTTTACTTATGTTAGATGGTTTTACTCAGCAGATGAGGAAAAAATCTGCTTTGTAGAAATATCTGTTAAATTTCTGTTAAATGCCCAAAGTTCAACATTTTGAAATGAAAAGAAATAAACAAACAAACAAAAACACTCTCTACATAATGAACATCTCATCTGTTATTAGTTACAGGATAAAAAAACACTCTCTACATAATGAACATCTCATCTGTTATTAGTTACAGGATTCGCTCTACTTAGGTTTCTCCCTTTCTCACTCTTGAGTGTTTATGAAAGGCCAGTAAGTAATTAGCCTGAATGTCTGCAAAAGGGTATCAAACACAAATTTAGCATTTGAAAGACATAAGCTCCTGTGAAATTCCAAACACAGTATTAATTACTTGTTAAGAGTAATTAATGAAAATGACTACATTTAAATATCTTCAAAGACTTGGAAAAGACTCATTTCAAGTTTCCTTACAAACACAAATCCAAAATATGAACTCGTATTTTATGTTTGATGTCTGCAGTCAACTCTAGATTAAACTTGTTGTGTCAGAGTGACAGAGCTATGGAGTTAGTAAGTGCACAAAAGAAAAATATTTTGGAAAATGTAACTGAGTTAAAATCTCATACCTTATTGCAGTTGTGAATTGTTTAGTATTGAATGATAGCCTTTCCTGATGCCAGCATTTCATGAGCAATTTACGTGTAGTTAAATTTATCTATCAGACAGTTTTCCAAACACATTTTCTTTTTTACCTTCCTCTAAAATCTTGTTATTCAAAGTGTAGCCTCCGGACCAATGGCTTCTGAACTGAGTTTGTTAGAAATGTAGAATCTCAGGCTCCACACCAGACCTTCTCAAACAGACACTACACTTTAACAAACACTCTGAATAATTCCTCCACACACTAGTTTGAGAAGCACTGTTATAAAACACAACTACACAGGTTTCTTGTAAAAGAGAGATGGGTTTTTTAATTTTCAGAACTAATAAAGTCAATTTTTTTTAATTCGAAAACTTTTCCTATTTAAAACAATTCACATAATGAATGTAAAGGATTTTTAACATGGCTCTAAATTTTTCTAGAAATCCCCCTCCATTTTGTTGGAGGTTTGTTATAATAGTCCCAATATGCAATAAACAAGTTACAAGTTACAAACAAAAGGATAATTCTTGATGCCAAATATAATAGTAACAACTAGTTTTGTCTGATGTAATATTACAAATAGGCCACGTTTATTATTCTGCCCTCGTTTATCAAATATTTTGTATCTTGTATGTAGTATTTTCGGAATTTGTGATAATGGAATTATGCTGCAAATCCTCTGACAAAATTATAAAAAGCTTTGTTCAGAACAAGAGTAACCTCTGCTGGATTGTGATTGTCTTTTGAAAATCCAGAACAAAACTGAGAATCTTCTCTGTTTTTACAGAGAAAGAGCAACTGCTTTGTTTACTTGGAGATAATCTGTGTTCATTTTTTGAACTAAACTAAGACTCCTAATGAATAATATGCTGGTGTCCTGAAGAACACATTATCTAAATGATAATGTAACATTTTACTGTCAAATCACGAAATCAGATTTATTTACGCCAATGACATATTTTCTACTTAAATTTAAATATTTTCATGCATCATCTTCAATCTTTTAACAATAAATTAGTTTCAGGAAAAAAAACTAAAAAGAAATAGGGGTCTGAAGGTAAAAAAACTATGTTGATTTATTTGTTTCCATTTTTCAAAAAATTTCCGAAATAGTTAACAATGAAGAATTTTTTTGTAATTTGTAAAAAGGCTTCATTTTTTAAAAAACAACCAAAAATTGTTTACCCCTTGGTAAAAGTACAAAATAATTGTATATTAAAAATAGAATGAGAATCACTAATAGGAGGTCTTCTTGTCTCCATATTGCCCATAAAATAAAATCATTTGATCCTAGAGATGCTTAAATGAGAGTCAATCAGAGGAAAACTACCTTATGCAATCAAAATTGTTAAGCAGTTACCCAAAGTTTAAAGAGCAGCAATATGAAATGCATAATATGCTGTACTTCTAATTTTTACTTTGTAAATTATATGTTCTTGTTGACAGGACAGAAAATTCAACAGGAAAAAAAGTGTAACCACAAGAAAGTATACAGTATATGTAAGAAGAGAAGATGTTCTTCAAAAAAGAAAGCATAGTTTTGATTCTAGTTCTTTCTACTCAAAAACCTTCCACAGCTTACTGTTTCTGATTGAATAAATTCTAAGCTTTTAAGCATGGCTCCAAAGTTTTTCATGACCTTGTCCCAAATCTTACCAGTTACCTCCTACTTGCCATCCTCTCTTTATTCTAACCAAATCAAACCATTTGCTACTTCCCTAATGCAACCTGAGTTTTTCCATTACACACTTCTGCTCACATTGTTTATATGGATTGGGATACTCTCTCCAATACAACCTCACCCTGCCATACTCCCCATTATGACCCCAAACTACCTAGAAAAATCCTACTCTGTCAGTTAGAATGCTTATAAGCTTCTTGTAACAGAATACTCAACTAACTGTGCCTTAAATGATGTAAACATTTATTACCTTACATAGCAATAAGTCTGAGCTAGAAGAAGCATGTGATTTCCATCATTCTGTTTTGCTATCTTTGGGATGTTGACCATTGTCTCTGGGCTTCTTTCCTTATAGTCACACGGTAGCTGCCACTGCTCCAGGCATCATATCCTCACATATCTATATCAAAAGGGAAGGAGACGCTGGGTGCAGTGGTTCATGCCTGTAATCCCAGCACTTTGGGTAAGACGGGTGGCTCACCTGAGGTCAGGAGTTCGAGACCAGTCTGGCCAACATGGTGAAACCCCATGTCTACTAAAAATACAAAATTAGCTGGGCATGGTGGTGCATGCCTGTAATCCCAGCTACTCAGGAGGCAGAGGGAGGAAAATGGCTTGAACCTAGGAGGCAGAGCTTGCAGTGAGCCGAGATTGTGCCATTGCACTCCAGCCTAGGTGACAAGAGTGAAACTCTGTCTCAAAAAAAAAAGAGGGGGGAGGGGAGAGAAGTTCTTCTCATACATCTTTTTTAAAAGAGAAGGAAAATGTTTTCCAGCATGCCTTCAGTAGACCTTTGTTAGGTGCCAATTGAAAGAAACCATCCATGCCCATTCTCTAGCTTCTGAGGAGGCAGGAAATGCAAGCATTGTAGCCTATAAAATGAATAGCCTCTATACTATCCAGAAGGAGGATGGGGGTGGGGTGGGAATAGCTGTTATGCAGGCAGTCAATGGTTGCCTCTAGTCTCTAGTCCTCCAAAGCCCAAATCCAGTAACATTGACTCCATGGAGTCTTCTCTGACTCATCCAAATAAAAATAATCTTTCCTTTGGGTTTTCACAACCCTATGTACCTTTCTATTCACATTTTGCTTTGTATTATAGTTACCTGTGTATTTGCCCCATTTATATTATAAGAATGTACCAATTCTATTCTTATTCATCTTTTGTTCCCCATATGCCCCTATGGCCTTGACCCTTAGAAAGTCTTGAATAAGTATTCTTGAAACCTCACTAATGTGAATCACAGTGAGATAGTTCATTTCAGCTACAGAAGGAAAAACAAAAACAAAACCCCACATAGCCCAAAAGGAAATGTAGGGCTTTCACCACAGTTGCAATTAATAGATACTCTGTTTTTCAATATGCAAACTACATGGTTAAGAGTCAGAAAAAATATATGTAGAGAAGCTGAGTTTATCCTCTCTCCTGACACACACACACACGCACAGACATAAAAGGCATCCTGTAAAGACTAGTCCACTTGTTACTGGAGGACAAAGTGGAGCCTCCCAAGGGCTTATCCTCACAGGATTCTAGACTCAAGCCAATTCATACCAAAAGGATTAGGGCTAACTACTAGGCATAGAGGAGCAATAAGGCTAGAAATCTCCCGAGAAATTTGTGGAACAAAGTTGCCATATCGCTTCTTGATTCAAACCTCCTCTCTTAACATGAAAGAAAAAAACATGTACCTCAACTTCTGCCACTCACGGTTGTACTTAATCCAAATTCATGCATTCAGTCTCCCGTGGAGACTACGGCACTGCCAGAATCTCCAGAAGCCATTGCCAGTAAGAAAGTCCACTTGAGTCAAGCCTCAATCTGGCTTGGAACGCTGCTCAACTCATGGATTGGCCAAAACTAGTCCCATCCAGTCAAGTACCATCGGCTTTCTGCACTCGGTTCTGTTAGCAAAATGCTGGCTGCAAATTGAGTTTCTCAAGCAAAACAAGGACAGTAACAAATTGTCAAATATCCTAAACATCAACATTGCTGGTTGTGTTTAGTTAAATGCCATTTTTTTCCTAACACGAAGTCAAAGAATTGAGTCAGGTTTTCTCAATGCCAAAGCAATTACCTCCAATCAAGGGGTAGATGACACACAGAGAAAAATCCAGCTCAGTGGTTCTTTGTTTTTGATTTGTATTGTTACATCTCTTACCAAAGACTAACACTATGGCAACCCGCACATGCAAAACAGTCAAGTGTAGGAAAAGTCAATCTAAAAATACAGTTTCTATATTATTCTAAAATTAATTGAAAAAAGTTGTTTCTTTGGACTGAATGGTAATTTTGGTTTTATGACCAATAAAGCCACTTAAAATAAGAAGCAGCTGATTTGTATGTGAAGCTGCAGGTTATTTGAAAAATACCTCGATTGCAGTGTACATCAGGTCAGTTTACATAAGCAGCAGAGGAGCCCTTAAAGCTGGGCCTTGGTGAGGACATAGGGATTAGCACTCTGGCAGACACATGAGAAGGGCAGGAATGCTTGTTCTCAGCTTTTCTACCGAGAGGACAACTGTCCAACCAAGATTAAGCTGAAAAGACATGACAAAGTTTTCTTAACTTTAAAAGGAGAACTTCATAACCATTTGATTCATATGATAAATGCAGACCTCAGATCTGATAATTAAGGTCAACACATTCAAAACAAGGCTTGAAATGTCTTACTTATCTACAATGGTGTTACACCAATATTCAAAACTAAGTTTCAGTTTCTGGAAAGCATTTTTGCAAAAATGGATGCAGCCAATAGCATAAAAACGGATCATTTAATGTCACAAAGAAAATCTATGAGCACATCTGGATAGTCAAAGTAAAATAGTGTTACTATTCTTTTAAGGGAAGTGCTTCATTTTTGAGCTATTTTTTTTTCCATTTTAGACTTGTAAATGGCATTCCTATGGTCCTCTTTTCCATATACAATATCTTAACCAGGATTTTCTATTATTTTATTATCATTCTTCACATATGTTAAATGCCATCAAAATGTAGTGATTGTTTATAGTTTAACATCAAAAAATAAAAAAATAAAAACTTTGAATTATTTGGGTCACTTAGCCCATAATCCCATATACCATACATGCAGAAGAGAAACAAGTTATGTATATATACTACCCCTCCCTTTTATTCTCTCACCCCACATCTGGGCAAACTAATAAATCCACAGTTATTCCCATTCCCTACTTCTTACTCCTTCACAACCCCCTCCTACCTTGGCATGAATGGCGGGTAGAGGAGAAGCAGGAGGGAATTCAAACCAAGCAAACCTAGGAACCCTTATCCTGGCCTGACTGTCTACCCACAATAAAAATCAGAGCCACTCTCCTCTCTTTGCTTAAGCCCTTCTATACTAGCTTGGATGTCTGCCCTGCTCTCTCCAAAAAGTCCCATTATACGGGTAATAAATCCTTTCATACCCTCTTGGTGTGTGTGTGTGTATCATTCTCAAACTTAAAATTCAAACCACTTTGGTGGGAGTCATGAGTAGATGATGATCCTGCCATCCACAGGGCAACCAAAAAGCAACTGGTAGACTCAACTGCATTGTCTAGTTGAGGACCACCACCACCTAGGAGTCTTTCTTTTCTTGCTCTTAGCTTGCTCACTATCTTTGATGACAATTATTCATGTCTCTCCTTTACCACTGATACTATTGCCTTAACTAAATTTCCCATAGTTACAGTGCCCATTGACCTAAAATATCCCATAGTGCACATGAATTCTTTGACCTCACAAGTAATAAATCGAAATAAAATTAATTTTTTTTTTTTGAGATGGAGTCTCACTCTGTCACCCAGGCTGGAGTGTGGTGGCGCAATCTCGGCTGACTGCAAGCTCCGCCTCCCGGGTTCACGCCATTCTCCTGCCTCAGCCTCCCAAGAAGCTGGGACTACAGGCACCCGCCACCAGGCCCAGCTAATTTTTTGTATTTTTAGTGGTGATGGGGTTTCACCGTGTTAGCCAAGATGGTCTCGATCTCCTGAACTCGTGATCTGCCCACCTCGGTCTCCCAAATAAAATTAAGTTTTTGGCACTTAAAATTGGCTTACCAAAATGGGACTCCATGGACCTTTCCTCACAGCTAAATTAGTTAGTATAGTCCAACATAGATTAAACCAAGACCATGGACCTTCTCTCACAGCTAAAATAGTTAAAAAGTCCAATATAGATTAAACCAAGACCTACAGGAATTAAAACCCACCATCTAAGACTTCCAAAAGGAAGGCGCCATCATTCCTGCTATTTTCCCTTTTAATTGCCCAGTTTGGCCAACGCTCAAACTTGATAACAATGAATGGCATCTAACAGCAGATTATCACAACCTTAATGGCACGGTGCCTCAATTAAGGCTCTCATACCTGATATTATTGAAATTATTGACTCTATCCAATCAGTAACTGAAAAATGCTTTCCTATTATACATGTGGCAAATATGTTCTATTAAGTTTCTATTTCAACAGCCTCTCAGTTCCAATTTGCCTTCACCTTCAAAGGGACACAATACAACTTTACCTGACTGTCCATGAGGTATCTCAATAACCCTGCCCTCCTACACAATCTCTGCTGCCATGATCTTCATCACATCCACCTTCTTCCAGGAACACAGATATGATATTACGTTGATGGCATCCTCCTCTTCAAAGATTCATTTGACATACTCATTCAAAAAATACAAATACTCACAAAAAGAAATGGGCATTGCCCAACAAAAAGTACAAGGCCCTGCCATATCAGTTAAATTACTGGGAATTATTTTGTCAGTCAAGGACTACTCCAGCTCTGATACTATCAGAAAACAATTAGTGGCCCTCTCTTAACACCTGCAATGTTAAGATAAGCAAACAATCTTTTAGGACTTTTTAGGCTTCTGAAGGCAAATATTCCTTACTTACAAATTTTACTTAAGTTCACTTATGCTGCTACTTGCAAACTGGCCCATGATATAGTTTGGCTCTGTCCTCACCCAAATCTCATCTTGAATTGTAGTTCCCATAATTCCCACGTGTTGTGGGAGGGACCTGGTGGGAGATCATCGAATCATGGGGGTGGTGACCCCCATGCAGCTGTTCTCATGATAGTAAGTGAGTTCTCATGAGATCTGATGGTTTTATAAGGGGTTTTTCTCTCTTTTGTTCGGCACGTCTCCTTGCTGCCGCCACGTTTAGAGGATGTTTTTGCTTCTCCTTCTGCCATGATTATAAGTTTCCTGAGGCCTTCCCAGCCATGCTGAACTGTGAGTCAATTAAACCTCTTTCCTTTGTAAATTACCCAGTCTTGGGTATGTCTTTATTAGCAGTGTGAGAACAGACTAATACAGTAAATTTGTACCAGGTAGTGCAGTGCTACTGTAAAGATACCCACAAATGTGGAAGTGACTTTGGAACTGGGTAACAGGCAGAGGTTGGAACAATTTGGAGGGCTCAGAAGAAGACAGGAAAATGTGTCTCTTTCCAGAGACTTAGAGGGCTCAGAAGACAGGGACATCTGAGAAAGTCTGGAACCTCCTAGAGACTTGTTGAATGGCTTTGACCAAAATGCTGATAGTGATATGAACAATAAAGTCCAGGCTGAGGTGGTCTCAGATGGAGATGAGGAACTTGTTGGGAATTGGAGTAAAGGCCACTCTTGCTATGAAAGGCCACTCTTGCTATGCAAAGAGACGGGTGGCATTTTTTCCCCTGCCCTACAGATCTGTGGAACTTTGAACTTGAGAGAGATGATTTAGGGTATCTGGTAGAAGAAATTTCTAAGCAGCAAAGCATTCAAGAGGAAGCAGAGCATAAAAGTTAGAAGAATTTGCAGTTTGACAATGAAATTGAAAAGAAAAACCCATTTTCTGGGAAGAAATTCAAGTCTGCTGCAGAAACTTGCATAAGTAATGAGGAGACAAATGCTATTCACCAAGACAAAGGGGAAAATGTCTCCAGGGGATGTCAGAGACCTTCCCAGCAGCCCCTCCCATCACAGGCCCAGAGGCAGAGGAGGGAAAAATGGTTTCCTGGGCCAGGTCCAAGGCCCCCCTGCTGTGTGCAGCCTCAGACTTGGTGCCCTGTGTCCCAGCTGCTCCAGCTGTGGCTAAAAGTGGCCAAGGTACAGTTCAGGTTGTGGCTTTGGAGGTTGCAAGCCCTAAGCCTTGGCAGCTTCCATGTGGTGTTGGTCCTGAGGGTGCATAGAATTGAGGTTTGGGAACCTCCACCTAGATTTCAGAGGATGTAGGGAAATGCCTGGATATCTAGGCAGAGGTGTGCTGCAGGGGTGGAGCCCTTATGGAGAACCTCTGCTAGGGCAGTGCAGAAAGGAAATGTGGGGTTGGAGCCTCCACACAGATTCACCACTGGGCACTGCCTAGTGAAGCTGTGAGAAGAGGGCCACCATCCTTGAAACCCTGGAATGGTAGATCCACCAACAGCTTGCATCATGTGCCTGGAAAAGCCACAGATACTCAACACCAGCCAAAAAAGCAGCAAGGGAGGGTGCTATACCCTGAAAAGCCACAGGGGTGGAGCTGCCCGGGACCGTGGGAGCCCACCTCTTGCATCAGCATGACCTGGATGTGAGACATGGAGTCAAAGGAGATCATTTTAGAACTCTAAGGTTTAATGACTGCCCTACTGGATTTTGGACTTGCATGGGGCCTGTAGCCCCTTCGTTTTGGCCAATTTCTCCCATTTGGAATTACCCAATGCGTGTACCCCAATTGTATCTGGCTTGCTTTTGATTTCATAGGCTCATAGGCAGAAGGGACTTGCCTTATCTCAGATGAGACTTTGGACTTGGACTTTTGGGTTGATGTTGGAATGAGTTAAGACTCTGGGGACTGTTGGGAAGGCATGGTTGTGTTTTGAAATGTAAGGACATGAGATTTGGGAGTGGCTGAGGCAGAATGATATGGTTTGGCTGTGTCCCCACTCAGATCTCATCTTGAATTGTAGTTCCCATAATTCCCACATGTTGTGGGAGGGACGTGTTCTTGTGATAGTGAGTGAGGTCTCATGAGATCTGATGGTTGGTTGGTTGGTTGGTTTTTGAGACAGAGTCTCACTCTGTTGCCCAGGCTAGAGTGCAGTGGCACAATATCAGCCCACTGCAATATCCACCTCCCGGGTTCAAGCAATTCTTCTGCTTCAGCCTCCTAAGTAGCTTGGACTACAGGCATGTGCCACCACACCTGGCTAATTTTTGTATTTTTAGTAGAGATGGGGTTTCACCATACTGGCCAGGCTGGAATCTGATGGTTTTATAAGAGGCTTTTCCCCCTTTAACTCAGCTCTTCTCCTGGTTGCTGCCATGTGAAGAAGGACGTTTTTGCATCCCCTTTCGCCATGATTCTAAGTTTCCTGAGGCCTCCCCAGTCATGCTGAACTGTGAGTCAATTAAACCTCTTTCCTTTATAAATTACCCAGTCTCGGGTACGTCTTTATTAGCAATATGAGAATGGGCTAATATAGCCCACCTTGAATGAGGTCTCCTTTAACTAAATGCTCTAGAATCTGTTCAAATTACACACAATAAGCACTCTCCTTAATATACCCCAGAGATTCCCTCACTGTAGAGGTTTTAGCAACCTCCTCTCATGCCTCCTGGGGTCTCTGGATCACCTGTAAGTTGCCCACAGGCTTTTGATACAGGAAGCTGCCCTCCTCAGTCCCATGCCACACACCATTTGAACATCAACTGCTGGTTGCACATTGGGCCTTTCTGGAGACAAATACCCTCATGGCCCCTAAGCCTGTGATCCTATGTACCCAGCTGCCTCTTATGCCTTGGATCATTGACACAGCACTCTGCACAATCAGCACAGTTAGTTATAGAGGCCTCTGGACAAAAATGGAAATAGTACTTATAGACCAGAAGCAAACTTAGGCCTCCTGGCATATCCAACCTACAGGAGGAAGTGGTTTCTCCTGTCCTCAGCCCCTTGCCAAAGGTAATGGTGCTGTAGGCCACCCTTCTTCCAGGCCCACTGGCCACCTGGAGAGTCTCTTGGGATCAACTGAGTAATCAGAAAAGGGATTTCATATGCAAGGTCACCATAAAATGTAATGATGCCCTCTAGTGAGCTGCTGCTATTCATTCCCTAACCAGGACATCCCTGATCAAGGATGGGACTCAAGAGCCAGCACAACCAACCAAACTTCATGCAGTCATCTTAGCACTACATGATGTTTAACCAACAACTGGTCCAGTATGTCTATTTGTATACATTATTGGGGCATTACTAATTATCTAGTCAGTTAGTCTGATCTGTAGCAATAATAGCAATTCCTTATCCAAGGTCACCCCACTTTGGGCTAAAAACAAAATCTCTGGGAATTTTTTGCCTTACAGATAGCCAAAATATAAACAAATGTCACACATCAGCCCACACTAAAACTAAACGAAAAGGCCTCACCAAGACACTTCTTATCCCCTTCAGAGTTCCAGAAATTATTGATGATGACCAAGGCCTGCATTTCACTTCTTAAAATACACACCATGGACTTTTGAAGAAGACATGCAATGGAACTCTCACCTCTCTTACTGACCTCATGCTGCAAGTCTCATAGAGTACAATAATGGTTTATTTAAACAAGTTCAAAATCAATTAAATCAGCCCTGGCACATTTCAGTCATCAATCAAACATCAGTGGTGAATTGTAATAGAGTCTGACTCCATTTGTGATGTCTGAGTACTCATAGTTTTTAAGATCCATTCCTCCTCCTCCCACTTTTTGTCCCATATCTGAGCAAGCCTATAATAGGGCCCATGAACTTCATCCCTTGGCATCTGCTGGAATGTGAAGACCAGACAAACCTGAAGCCTCCACGTGGCTCCAACCCTGATCACAATGAAAAACAAAGCCAAGTCCTGCTCTCCCCAAAAAGTCACATTATGCAAGTAATAAACCTGTGCATACTCTCTTGGTGTGTGTGTGGTCTCATCAGTCTTGATATCCAAACCAATTTGGGAAGGGTGTTGATCTCATCTTTGTTGGGTACAGCCACAGCTATGCATATAACTCCTTTGCTCGTAGACTTCCAAGAGCTCCCCCACTGTCCACTAAATTGTATAGAAACTATTTATGATAGCTTCCATCTAGAAAGATAAATTTATCTTTCTAGTCTTATACTCCATTATTCTCCTTTGTAAACATTACATTTCAAATGTTACTGTTCCCAGAAAACACTTGGTCTTCAATTGCCTCCATTCTCTTTGCTTATGCTATTCTCTCTGTCCTGAGTTTTCTTTTCTACCCATCATCTCTCTTTGCCTCTTCTTCAAAATCATCTTAAAAGCTAACTCTTCCATGAACCCTTTTTGGATTCTCCTGACCAGACAAGATCTCTCCTTACTTTGAACCTGATATCACCTTGTTTGAATCTCTGGTGGGGTTTATCATGTTCTATGCTAGAAAAAGCACAGACATGATCGTCATTCACATCTCCTCTAGAGCAGGAGTTAAGAGCTTGGATCCTGAAGGCTCCCCCAACATCCTCCCCAGAAAAAAACAACAGTTCAAATCCCATATCTGATTCTTACTACCAAGTTGTTCTTGGGCAGGTCATCTATCCTCTGTAAGCCTCAATTTCCTCTTCAAATGAGAATAAATCTTATATGTGAAAAGCTGCACTCCATGAAATGTTAGTTATTATCATCACTTGTCCTCACAACTAGATTAGAAGCAAGTTTATCTCAGAAACTCATTTTTAAAAATCCAATGCAAGATCTGAAAAAATGATTCATGGGAACTTACTAAAATTTTAAAGCAAATTAACAAGAAGATGAGTACAATTAATTCACTTGTATGAAATCTCACTTAATTCTAAGTATACCCATACAAGGCATCTAAAAAAATAAATAAAAGAGTAGAATTCGGCAAAGATATAGGTTTGTCTTAATAACTGCTTCCTAACTCATAACTAGCTAAATTTATTTCCCAGATGTTCCTCCATACCCCACATTGTCTTTCCCCACCCTGACTCACACACACACACACACACACACACACACTCACTCATAACTGGGCTATGGGCTTAGCTATCTTCTAAATTTGTTATTTTAACAAAGAATAGAAATTTATGGATTTAAAACAGTGACAAGTTAGTTGACAACTCGGTCCATATTTACTTCTGTTCAAAATCCTGTCCACAGACATTTCGTTACTATGTAAAGTTTGATGTGAAACTCTTAAAACATATAGTGAGCTATGATCTATATTTCATCATCCTAATTTAAATAGGCATCAAAAATATTTTTTGAAGTTAGAACAAAAGAGATTATACCCTTGGATCTAGTAATTCTCCCTCAAGGATCTACCTTAAGGGAAAAATGCAAAAGGTAGAAATACAGGGGGGTACAAAAATGCTTATTGCAACATAAGTTAAAACTGCAAGCAACATCCTGTATGTATAAAACATATGATTGTCTGCAGTACATTAGAACCAGATGTTAAAATAGTTTTCATAGTGGTGGAGAATGCTCAAAAAAGTGTAACTGAAAAGGCAGGATACATGTGAAATAAAGAGAAGGCCATTTATCCCAATATTAGCACTTCTTTTTTCCTTAGTCATAGTGTTACTCATGGTACTTTTCCCTTCCTGTACTTCAAAATATTCTACAAAACATGAGTTAATTTAAAAATGTTTTTTAAGTGTTTTATAGCCAGTGTTGAAATGGTCTATAAGAATCACCACAGAATGTGTACCATTGAAAATTAAAGTCCTCCTTGAATACAATGTAATACTGTATTGTAAAATTGAGAGAAACTGACATAGAGTCACTTGTATTTGTAAACTGACCCACCTAATGTTCCAGTCAGTCCAATTCCCCTGGGTAAGATCACCTTGAAATGTTGTGTGTCATGGCTCTCTTGGGAGGAAGAAAGTAAAAAGTAATAGAAACAGAACTGATGGCTGGGCACGGTGGCTCATACCTGTAATCCCAGCAGTTTGGGAGGCCAAGGTGGGCGAATCACTTGAGGTCAGGAGTTCAAGACCAGCCTGGCCAACATGGTGAAACCCCATCTCTACTAAAAATACAAAAATCAGCTGGGCATGGTGGTGCACGCCTGTAATCACAGGTACTCGGGAGGCTGAGGCAGGATAATTACTTGAACCCAGGAGGCAGAGGTTGCAGTGAGCTGAGATCATGCCACCACACTCCAGCCTGGGCAACAGAGCAAGACTGTGTCTTAAAAAAAAAAAAAAAAAAAAAAAGAACTGTAAGGGGAAGGGGAAAATAAATGTATAAACTTCCGTTTTTTTTTTTTTTAAGCCTATCTCGATAACATCCCCGGTTCTTTAAAACATATTTTTAATATTTACTTTTCACAAAAAGTATTATAGAGGGTCATTATCTTAAGCTTCTGCTTCCTTAGACCAAATGTTTCCTTACATTAACCAAGTTAAATTGTGAACCACAAGTAAGTCCTATCATAAAATGTCAGCTAAATATAAACTGTATTTGTTTTTATAAACATTTACGTGTAAGTGTATGATATAGTAATCATGTTGCTTAATCTTAACCCACACTTTTTTAAAATAATAAAGTAAACCTAATTAATTTCCCATGCAATACCCTGAAAGGTACTCATGCTAGCTTCCCAAAATTCACATAAATTATAAGCCTTTTGCAATCTGCAGCATAAATACTACATATGATGTGAGAAAATTGAGATGTAGTGTGTGTCCTGCATATGTAAAGACAGTAAACTGGCACTTCAGCAGCCAAGCTGGCAGTGTTCGGCTGGTCAGTCCCCTGGTTTTCCAGGGTGATAATGGATTTGCATTGATTTAACTAACTTCCCTGTTTGGTCCAGGCCCTTAGAGGATGGCAGCATGCACCTGGAGTGGGCGTGAGCTAGGAGAACACAGCAGAGAATGCAAAGCTGACTGTCTCACCTGGTGACTGATTGACTTAATGGTCACGAACTTGGTCTCATTTGTTTAGTTTTCTCACCAGCTGAGCTTAACTCACATTTAAGGTTGAATTATACAAACCAGCACTGCATTCCAGAGTTTTTATTTTTCTTTTCCAAAGAAATATCACCATTAAATTTCCAAAATACTTCCTATTATATAATAGACTCATAAGATTGTTATGAAAAAATCATTTCAAAAACATTAAATGTTTTCGGGGGTTAAAACATGGTAATTTTTAACAAAGTAAAATCTAGAGCAAACTGAAGCATTCACTCAAAGCAACAACAATAAAACAAACAAATTCACCAAAGCAATTGCATGTTTTTATCAGACATGGTGATTTCAAAGGCCTCAAGGTAGGCAATTAGTAATGCCATCATCTGGTAAAAAGAGCACCAGAAGGGGAATCTAGAACCCTAGGATTTTGTCCTGGTTGTCACTGTATAACTGACACTGTATAACATAATAACTGTCACTGTATAACATAATAAGTCACAGTTACCAGTTACTTCATTTGTGGAATGGAAAGCTGAGCTTGACACTTCTAAGAGCGCTTCCAATTTTGAACGACTAAGAATTTGTATTCTTGTCAAAATTATATAAATCATATATTAAACATTTTTTTAATTCTAGATTTTTTTAACCCATGACAAAGAGCTGCTAAAATGTTCTAAGATAAAACAAAATAAAATGAGCCTGCCTTTTTGAAACAAAAGTCTCTAAGAGTAACAATGGGAAAATAACTGTACAAAACATCCTCAAGATGTTTTTCGTCATCTAAAAGGTGACAGGATCACCTGGACAATGTTGAATGTATTTTCTTAAACTAATTATTTCTAGTGCAGCACTGCAGTATTGGTGAAAGATCTTAAAAATACAATATCAAGGTAATTTTCATATATTATCTAGAAATATAAATTCCTCCCTTTCCTCTCCTTTACTGTTAAAAATGCTTGCACAAGTGTAAAAGTGAAACCAGAATTTCATCTAATA
The DNA here is from genome assembly GCF_000001405.40 of Homo sapiens. NCBI lineage: Eukaryota > Metazoa > Chordata > Mammalia > Primates > Hominidae > Homo > Homo sapiens. The sequence goes on along the minus strand of NC_000006.12, from coordinate 82,369,919 downwards.
AATGTCTGTCTTCACTTTACGGTGCTGCTCTGAAAGGTGGATGACCGGATTTGGGAGCAGGAGGAAGCACGTGCAGAATTGTTTTTAACCTTGCAAATCTCGTGATGTCTCCTTTAGTGTAGTCTTGGGAGAAAAACTAAAATGATATGAAAGAATCACAATCTAGAATTGCAAAGCCTCTAAGGTCCTCAACAAGGTAAGCCCTGTTTTAGAACATCAGGTAAAAGGAAAAGAGTAAAACAGAATTCCTAAGCAAACAATCTCAGTTCATCTGGACCTTCTTTTTTACAGCCACTTTAATTAAAAAGACAAAAGACAAAGGTAAGTTATTTCTAATTAAATACTGAGATGAGCATAATCCACACTTACTGCCAATCAAGGTATTTCTAAAGGATTTATTATTTGTGATTTGCTCATTTATTTCAACCAGCCTTCCCCCCCAAGCTCCTACTCTTTTTCCTTTAAAAAATCCTATTCATTTAAAAACTCCTATTCAATGTGCTTCAAAGTCTCCTTATTTTGTTAGAAAAATCTGTCAGCTCCTGTACAAATTTGCCTTGTAGGTTACCATTGAATCACACCCATAGCAGCCAAACTGCTATTACAAAAACGAATGCTGCAAACTGAATGGTTACAATCAAAGGGGGCAGTTATAATTCAGGGCCAAATAGCTGTATTATCCTAAAATTTTTGCTACTTTAAATAGAAATTTATGGGATAGTTGAATAGCTTTCTAAATTAAGGGATATATCAAGTCCTTGAATTTCTAAGTATTTTTTCTAACTTTCTTCAAATGAAACTTGTAAAGGATAAATGAAGGGTGTTTTATGTTGAAAATTTTACGTTCAGTAATAAAGAGTATTACCAACTAAAATAAAATTTTAAAAATGGATACTTGCAGGTTTCTAGAGTCAACAATGCATTAATAGTAAGAACAGTATTTAAAACAAACAGACTTGTCTTATTTTTAAATAAAGTGATACTTTTATTTTTCCCATATTCCCTTATACTTATTGAATTTATATAGCCTCTATCTTCCAAGGAACTTAGAATGTTTTATAAGCTTATAGACTTAAGAATATTAGGGCTGCAAAACATTAATTAGTTGTCAAATAATAACAATTTTTTATCTTAAGAATAAGGTGTTCTTTTAATTGACTTTTTTATTTCCATATTTTGGAGAACAGGAAGGAGTGATGTGATGGAAAACAAAGCAGTAGCAATTGGAAAGTCCAAACAAGAGAATAAGTAGGGGGATGAAAAAGAAGCAATAAATTATAACTTCAAAGAAGCCATCTACCTAACAGGGAAAACTTGGCTTCACTTTATCAGATTCATCATTGCTTCAAAGAGTTGATGAGAAAAGCTAGACTAATGAATCTACTGCTTCCCTGGTTCTTAGATAAAGCTCCACTTTAAACTGTTAGATTATCATGTGATGAAGAAACAATTCTTCTCAATAGAGGCTCTATCAATATTATAATTTGTTTCCTACAATATCAGAAGACTTACTAAGTCCATCAACAGTTTACTAAGATAGTGGTCACTATTTTTGACAGATTAGTATCTCATTGTTCTTACCAAATAATGGCAACCAGACAGTTTAGGAATTTCTGATGAACACTTAAACTGTTTGATGGAATTTTAAGTGCCAAATATTTAGCTTTTTCTGAGGTAATTATAGGATCTGAAATATAACCCTTAAATAATAAATACTATATTTCACAAAACAAGCCTGATGGAATTTAAGGAATTACAGCTTTGTATTCTGACTATATATTCTAACCTATAAAAAGGAAGATTTACTTATTTTTAGCCCTACTTTGAAAATTTCTGAATTTAATTCAAAGAAGGAATCAGCAAAGATTTCTAGAACCTAAAATACTATCTGATCCTATTTTATTTATAAAAATATGAAAATGTAGATTTTATTTCAAACATAAAGCACTGAAGGACATAACCAGTTCAAAGGAAAAGCAAGCCCTAAGACTTACTGATGCAAGTTTACCTAATACTTTCAGTTAAGCAATAATGGCTACATTTAAATCACTTGATAAAAGAGCCTGAAGACTGATTAATGGAATTTACTTTTCAGATTAAATGACAGATAATAAACTGAAAAAATAATAAAAGCCTTGTATATTATGGATGTATCAATTAATGATTGCCTGTATTTACACCTAAATGTGATTTATTCTTCACAAAGGTGTATATACTTACATTATGAACAGCTTAGCTAAAATCAAAATATCCTCAAATTCTTAAACACTGAACTGAAGATAAGAACCTATAAATACTTGAGACACGTGTTTACAGATGTAGACATTTATCTGTGGTTATTTCCTCAAGTTCATATTCAACCATGTCAAGTCAACTTTTTAAACATATTAGCTGGGTCTCTGATAAACTAAAGAACATTTATGTTCCACTTTAAATGTTTTTTTGAAAATATCCTCAAGAAAATCTAAGTTTCAATTTACATTAAGACATTGAGAAATATTTTTTAAATTATATTTTATATCTTTTATTTCAGAATATTGTCTTTAAGACACTTTATCTTTATATTTATTTGCATTACATTTGTTTCAAATTCTGCTCTAAAAATCCACAGAACAATTTCAAACAGAGTTTTATTAAGTAAATACTATTTTTCTAGACCAACAATAACTTCATTAGCCTTGAAAAAGCCCCAAACTGGGAACTGTTTATTGTGCAGAACGCTTAGCTTTTACCAACTTCATTATGTTCTTACAAAACTGTTTCATAAATAGCATTAACTTTGGGACCATACAGTCACATGAATACTCAAACTCTCCATTTAAATACTAAAAGGATCCACCATTTCAAAACGATCTCCCAAGTCTATTTATATTAGACATTGCTACAGTTTGATTCTCAGCTATGTTAAGTAATAATTATCATCGGAACCAAGACCATTGAATACTCCTGCCCTTCATCCTTTTTTCAAAGCAAACTTGCACACACTGTAATTCTTTTAAGAATCTTTATTTTTTTTTTTTTTAACAATTCAGTCGGTTGGATCTCGATGCAGTTTATTAAAAAAAAATCAGTACATTTTCATATAAACTGCAATCAAAAAAGTAATTTACTTTGTCAAAGAAGTTATGAAGTTGCAAGTTATTTTTTGTAATATGCAGAACAGTAAAATGTAAGCATGCTCTTGGATGCAGGTGCTCCTGTGCACCATGGAGTTATTTTGAAGAGCCTGCTAACGTCTGCAGGCAGTTTATAGGATGCAATTATTTTCTCCACAACTTAGGTACATGAGAATAAAACTGATATTTATGAATAAAGTATTTTTCTCGAAAAAGTTGAGGCAGCTTTTGTTGAATGCTATCTGTGTGGGTACACTTGCTACACCTTGAACTGTACTGAGAGAGAGACAGACAGCAAGAAGCCCATGTTCATGCTGAAACCTGAAAAATCCCTCCATACGTGTTGAGGAGTTCCAAGAAAAAGAAGAGGGTAAAACACTATACACAACTGTTCATCGTCTTACATTAACAGAACACACCGAGAAACTTTACATAACAAGGAAGCAAATCCCCTTCACTGCTTTTAGTCAAAGTCCGTTGTATCTATAGTGGAGGATGAAAGTGGAGCAAGCCTAGTAGGGATAAAGCTTAAGTCTACATCTCATGCAGAGTTGTCCTTGGTCTGTCCTCTAATATTTCTCAGACATCCGAGTTAGAACTGAGGTTCGTTAATCTGGGGTCCGCATTGATTTCATATCTGTAATGATACCCTTCCATGTGATCCCTGCAGGCATCTCTGATGTTATGCATCCACTTTTTTATCCCCTTGCGGTTCAAATACAAAACCAGGAGGAAAATAGCGCCTATCAGGGCTAAAACAATACCCAGGAAGACATAAGAGGTTTGCAGGGATGGGGGAAGAATCGGGTCACAGTCCAGGTCAGCACTGTTGAGTTCCAAGAGGACCCGATTCCTCATTTTTTCCGGATATGCACAGGTGAGCCGGTCTTTGCCCTGCACTACCTCTGTTTCCTTGAGCCAGGTCACCATGTCTGCCATGTGGCAGTCGCAGACCCAGGGATTGTTGTCCAGGAAAACCCTAATGTGGGGTAGACCTTGCAACTCAGCCAGGGTGCCATTGTGAAGGACCTTGAGGGCATTGTCCTCCAGGTGGAGGCTTTCTAGATGTGTCAGGTTGCGGAAGGACACGTAGGTCAGGCTCACCAGCGAATTATTACTTAAGTCCAGGTGCCTGAGGCTGGGCAGTTGGGCCAGCACATCCCGCGGCAGGTAAAGGAAGTGGTTGCTGGCCAGCTCCAAGCGGCGGAGCCCCTGCAGTGCACGGCCCGCCAGCAGGGCCGCCACCACCATGCCCTCGAAGCTCCGGTTCTGCCGCTCATCTTCAGGGGGCACGATGTGGTTCAGGATCAGTTCCACAAGGGGACTGGGGGCCGAGACGCTGGCATTGCTGCCCGAGAAAGCGAAGGGACTGAGGTCGGCCAGTGGGTTGTGGCTGAGGTCGAGCTGGCGCAGGCTGGGCAGATGCTCGAAGGCGCCCGCGCGCACCTCGTCCAGGCGGCTGCCGCTGAGGTTGAGCGCGGCCAGCTCCGCCAGCGGCGGCCGGCGGGCGAAGGCGCCGGCAGGGAGCACGGCCAGCTGGTTGCCGGTAAGGAAGAGGTTGCGCACGTAGGCGGGCAGGTCCGTGGGCACCTCGGTCAGATTGCGGTTAACGCACTTGACTGTGCGCGCTGCCTCGGAGCACTCGCACAGCGCGGGGCACTGGTCCGGCAGCGGGGGCTGGGCGGACACGGCGGAAGCCAGGAACGGCGCCGAGGAGGAGAAGGAGGATGCCGAGGAGGTGGGAGAAGACGAGGAGACCCAGCCCAGGAGTACCAGCGCTAGTCGCGCCAGCCGCAGACGCCCGTCCCCGGCGGCGGGGCCCCGGGAGCACCCCCCAGGCATCGCGGCTCGCGTTTCCCCGGAGCTGGGCTGGGACGGCGCCCGCTCCGAAGGCTCGGGAGGCTGGGCCCGGAGGGCGCGAGCCGGCGGAAGCGTCTGGAAAAAAAAAACTTTCCTCTCGTGGAACCGAGGGAGTGGCGCCGCAGCCGGAACTTGGCTAACCCCCTCGCCACCGGGCGCTTCCCTCAGGGGCCGATTCCCCCGCCCCTTCCCTCCAGAAAGTACGCACGGCGGGTCGGGACGCTCCGCTCCGCGCTCCTGCTCCCGCTCCTCTTCCTGCCGCCGCCCTGGTGCCACCTCTTCGCCTCTTGTTGGCGCCCCTCGCTGGATCCTCTGAGGGACCTGGGACAAGCAGGAGAGAGGCGTGAACAGCGGTGGCTGCCGCGGCTTCCGGAGTGCAAAAACCGGCCTTTTCGAGTCTAGTCGTCTCCAGTCTGTCCCAGAGACCTCCTTCCAAAAGCCCGCCCCGGCCTCGCCTCCCCAACCCCTCCGGTCACTTTTACTCCGGAGGGGGACGCGCATCCGACACCCAGACCGCAAAGTCTTCCTTCTTCCCTGGCCCACACTAAATAAACCCGACCGGCCTCCCGCCCTCCGCCTTTCCCGAGGAGACTCGTCTCCCGCGTCTAACTTACCGCTTAATCCCCAATTCCTTCCCTACCAAACTTCTCCCTCTCCCGTTCCTTCCTGCACCGCCTCGGCGGAAGGTCGGCCTCCGGGTGTCTCCGCCCCCGCCCAGACCTCTCCACCAGGTCCCGGTTAGGATGCGAGGGAAGTTTCAGGTTACAGGACTTTTTGATCTCTTTTTGTACCTTCTCGCATTAGCAGGAAGTGGAGCTACAACTGTCGCCCCCCAGCCCGCGCCCCGCCAGCCCCTCGGATCTCAAAGGGGTTCAAGTCATCTCCAAAGAGGAGGGGAGAGTCTGGGAACAAAGCAGCAGTGGGACTCGGGGTACAGTGGCAACCCGAACCAACCCTACTCTCCACCCGAGGATGGGGAGGGGCCCCAACGACGCCTCCCGGGTCTCTCCCAGGCCGCGGGCTCCCACTGCTCACCTCCGCGTCCGCCGCCTCCAGAACCAACTCTGAGTTCCACCAGAGTAGCGACGACTTCCCGGCTCCGCGTTGCGGGCGCCGACTCTCTTCGCACCCCAGCCCCTGGCCCAACCTCCCAACCTCCGCAGCTGGGAAAAACCAACCCGGGGGGCGGGGGAGGGCCAGGACTGTCGGGGAGATTCCCGACGCGCGGCCAACCTCGGCAGCCGTAGGTAGGGGGATTTAAGAAGAGAGACTAGGGGAGCTGGGCTGCGCGCCTCCTCCTGGTGGAAATTAACGAGGAATGTGCCGGAAAAGGTGAGGGAATCCCTTTCTCTCCCCCCTCCCCGACATCCTTGGGTGGTTCCTCATTTTGCATACTGTATTTACCTTGGACTGGAGCAAAACCGCTGGTGAATCTCGTGGAATTCACCCTGATTCAGGCACCTTTGGCAGTGACGAGATAGATTTAGGCATGACAGAGCAGCGCGAAGCAGCAGCAGAAAGAAATGAGCTGAAAATCTACTGCGGCAGCAGCAAAGGCACGGCAGGTTGTATGGAAGCTTCAGAAGCTCTCCCCATCAAAGTGGTACTTGAGGCCGCAAACTTCAGATTTAGGTGTAATTAATGCCTTCCCGCCTGTCCCCCCCGCCCCCTCACTTCTTGGGTAGTGATGGAACTTGTGAAGAGAGCGCGCCAACTTTAAGAGAGAGAGAGAGAGAAAGAAAAAAAAAAGATTAGTGGAGAGGAGATTCATTCCTGATTCATTAGCTTTTCTCTTACCAAAATTAAAAGCAGATGGAAGAGAAAGGCAGCCAAAGGCATCCCAGAAACAAAAGGCAAATAGCAAAGACTTGAGTCTCCCGGAAAGCGGACCCGCCCCCCTCCCCAGATGTAGCGCGGTGTGTCAAGTCACTTCTGTGGAGAAAGCTCCAAGGATGAGGAGTGGGGATTGCAGGAGCTGACCTGGGAGAGAAGTTTGGTTTCAAAGTCGATTGTCCCAGGGGGCATCTGGCAGATGGTGATGGAGAGGATGGGGTTGGGGAGAGGGACAAATTGAATGGTTGGTTACCGGAAGGATCTGTTATTATACCAGACAGGTTTTGGGTTCTGAAAGCCCTATCGTTGCTCTCTGTAACTCCACATCCCCTTTGTCCCAATTAAATAATTTCCCCGAAGGGATAAGAAGGTTCTTCCAGGCTTCTTCATTTTAGAGAGAAAATGGCAATTAGGGAAAACATGGTTCGGAAATTTAAGACCTGGTCGTATTAAAAAAGATCAAATAAGGATCCTGAGGCTTGTGCCTGGGACATGTGCCTTTAGTGTGAAGAAAGACCCCAACTCTCCAACGGACGCCTGATTACTTTTATAGAAAGAGATAGTCTGCAAAGCCGACAGCAAAAATGGCTCAGACAAAAGCTGAAAACACTGGAAACTGCAGAGATTTGTGCACAAAAGCTGGTTTCATTAATTTGCATCTTCAGCACGTTTATCTACATCTCTTTTCTTATTTTTAAAAGTGTTTTGCAACATGAATGTAAAACACTTTGAAAAAGAATCTCTAAAGCTGTAGTCATGTTCTGTATCCGGATTGTGGTGGTGGTTACATAAACCTATACAACGTGTTATAACTCATAGAACTTTGTAAACCAAAAGAGTCAATTTTACTGTATGATAAGTTTAAAAATAAAATTAATTACTCATTGGAAAAAACCTGTAATAATGCTCTGGCATGGTATTAACTCTGGTCCTGATCTGAAGACCAACTGCTTTGTTAGGAGAGTGAGATACACTTTAGAATTTAGAAACATAATATATATACTCATCTGATTTTCAAGACAACTCAGAGGCAAGATAAATATTGTTAGTATTATTGCTTGTTGCTATTATTGTTGTTGTTCTGTTGTACAAATGAAAAAACTGGGGCTTTAAGTTAGCTTGACTGAGTGTCTTCCACTTGCCAAGCACTGTGCTGATCACAGATATTATCTCATTGACTCTTCACTTCGGTACTCAAGTTAGGTCCTCTCACTCCAGTTTTACAGACAAGAAAATTGACGCAAAAATAAATTACATAACTTGTTCAAATGAGTGATGGAGGTGGGAACCAGGCCCAGATTTGCCTGCCTCCCATATAGTACATCCCACATTCTGCCTCTAGGCAAGATTAAGGAGTTTGTGCAAAGTTCTACTCTGTTCCACTTAGGCAGAACGTAAACCTCACCTCTTGTTCCCTTTTTACTTCTTCTGCCTCCACCTTCCTGCAGCTGGCAATTGCTTATGGCTGCTGAATAGGGACCCAGAAATTTAGGGTCATTTCTAGCTCTGACACTTGCCTGCTGTGTGTCTTCTATAATAGGACCACTAATGAAATTTGAAGATATTTCCATGAAAATTGAGATAAATATGTCACATACTTAGCAAAATCATCTGTTTTGATAGTTCTCTCCTAAATTACCCCCCTCATGTTATTTATTGTAATCCACTATATCTCTGTAACTATGTTAGTAATAGGAATACAAGGATAAATAATTTAAAGTCTCTTTAAGGTAGAGTTGCCAGATTTAACAAATCTGGCAAAACAATGAATACCTTTTAATGAACAAAACAATGAATACCTTTTAAGTGTGTCCCATGCAATATTTGGGAAATGCACCCAAAATTTTGTTGCTTATAGTTGAAATTCAACTTTAATTGAGTATCCTGTATTTGATCTGGCAATACAGCAGTTGATAATCTGGTAAACGAAAGACATAGACACGGAAGCAAAAGCTCTCAATGCAGAATTGAGTACGGTTTGGTGTGTGTATCTTTCCAGTCAATGCCCTCTCTCTTTATAAATATTTCAATTGTTTCTGCTATTTTTTATGTGAATGGGATCATAGTATATGAATTATTCGCATTTTTTCTTTTTTAAAAACAACCATCTATTTTTCTGTGTGCATACATATAGGTATGCTTCTCCTTTTTTAAAGACTGAAATATTTCAAACTGTAGATTGTTGTACCACAATTTATTTAACAGCCTTATTGAAAGACATTTAGATCAGTAAATACTTTTTAAAGAAGTTTCCTCCAAGTGAGAAAAGCTTACTAGGATCAGTTCTATTTTGATTGTCTTAAGCATTTAATTATCCCAAATTATCATACTTACTTTACTCCTGACAGCTTGAAAATTTTTTGTGCATGATGCTATTTACATACTCTAAGGCAGGGCAGAGGATTGCAGAGCACATTTTTCCCAATTTATTCTTCTATTCCAAAGTGAAATAAAGGAAGGATCTGAATGTCCCGACAGATAAGAACCAATTTAGTGTATTTCAAGAGGTCACTTTGTAGCCTGCAGGAAACGTTTCTACACTATCATTTATTTACAAGATTGTTTCTACAGGGACCATTTTTCTTCTAATGACCCAAAGGAAAGTCAGTAGTAAATTATTGAAATATTGCTTCTAAATCCTGATTAGGCAAGGAATAAATAGGTATAAAAAGAATGATGAGTGGTTATGACCACCCTTATGGTAACTAGCAGAGAGAAGCCGCGTGGTCCAGCATGGACAAACACCAAGATTATTTAAGACTAGTTCATTTTGATCTCTGTCTCAAATTAGCAAAGGAATTGAATACACGTGAAAACTGTCAGATCTGAAAAGTAACTAAAACAAAGTCAAGTGTTGGTGAACAACAAGCACATATGTCAAAAAACCATGAACCAACACTTAAAACTAAAACCATCAACTTGAGGGTCAATTTGACAAAAAAAAAAAAAAAAAACCCACCAGAAATTGTACATGTATATGTGTATATTCATGAAGAAATAATTTTTTAAAATTGTCAGTGATTAAAAAGAAAACTTCAAGTCACTTTAAGTACTTGAAGTGTGTAAACTTCTGAGATGTGTAAACTAAAGTAAAATGTAAATTAAGGAATGGGTCAAAAGGAATGTATTTGTCTCATCAGTCAGTACAATAAGTGCTGCGGCTAGTAAAAGAAAAATATAGCCCTCTATATCTGTGGGTTCTATATCCCTGGATTCAACCAAACCACAGATAGAAAATAATCAAAAGAAAATAAATGGGTGGTTACATCTGAACCAAACATGTACAGACTTTTTAAAAAATTATCATTATTTCCTAAGCAATACAGCAGGGCGCGGTGGCTCATGCCTGTAATCCCAGCACTGTGGGAGGCCGAGGTGGGCAAATCACTTGAGATCAGGAGTTTGAGACCAGCCTAGCCAACATGGTGAAACCCTGTCTCTACTAAAAATACAAAAGTTAGCCAAGTGTGGTGGTGCACACCTGTAATCCCAGCTACTGGGGAGGCTGAGGCAAGAGAATCACTTGAACCTGGGAGGCAGAGATTGCAGTGAGCTGAGATCATGCCACTACACTCCAGACTGGATGACAGAGCAAGACTCCACCTCAAAAACAAAACAAACCTTTTGGTGAATTAACACTCCTTTCTGAGGGGCAGGGTTGATGGTCCAGAATGTGGTGGTCCAGCCTTCCTCCACCATTAATAATGGTTATTAAGAGTTTCTATTTGTATAGTGCTTTAACCATTTACATATTTTCATATGCATGATTTCATTTTCCTTCTCAACTCTCCATTACCTCTATTTTACACATAATAACACTGAGACTTAGAGAACCACTTGGTCCAGATTACCTAGTAAGTGGCCAGCCTGTGGTTTAAACTCTGTTCTCCTACTTTATTTCCAATATGGCAGGCTATCCCTGGACCCATTCACTATTTCAGATTCAGTAGTTGTTTCTTTGGAAGACACTGAGGTTTTCAGGGCAGAATAAACATATGTCAGAATTCCACTGAACTTTCACTTGAGAAATTAAGGAGAAAAACCTCTTCCCCTAATGAAATAAAGTTATCTAATGATATGTAATTTCTCTTACAGCCAAAACCAATGTTATTGCAGTTCAAACAAGCCCTTATATAAAAATGAGATAAATAAACATAAAATGTTAATAAAAAAAACCACAAAAAAATACAGCATAAAAACTATTTACATAACATTTACATTGTATTAGGTATTATGAGCAACCTAGAGATGAATTAAAGTATATAGGAGGATGTCCATAGGTTATATGCAAATACTATGCCATTTAACTTAAGGAACTTGAGCATCCCTGGATTTTGGTATCCGCAAGGATCCTGGAAGCAACTCCCTGAGGATAACAAGGGATGATTGTATATAGTAATATCCAAACTCTCCAAATAGTCACCATTACAGCAGGATCACTCAACATTAATTCAATAAATGCTTTTTTAAGACCCCGCTATATACTGTCCACCTATTTGATGCACTTGAAATACAAGGGTAGATAGGATAAAAATCCCTGCCCTCAGATAACTCACAGTCTAATGGGAAAGCAAATAGTTACAAAACATACGGTAAGTGCAAACATGGGATGGAGTGGGGAGACTGTCAGAAGGTTTTACTAGGGTGGAAATGCCTGAGTTGCATTTTGAAGCACAATCGGCCTGTATACTCAGCTTCTGCCCCGTGTATTCAATCAGCTGGGGATTGAAAATATACAGAAAAAAGAAACAGGAAAAAATAATGCTACAACAGTAAAAAATAATACAAATGAAAAATACAGTAAAACAACTATTTGCATAGCATTTACATTATATTGGGTATGATAATCTAGAGATGATTTAAAGTCTGTGGGAGGATGCATGTAGGTTATAAAAAAATACTATGTCATTTTATATCAGAAACTTTAGCATCTGTGGGGTTTGGTATCCACAGGGCTCTTGAAACCAATCCCCATGCATACTGAAGGAAGACTATGTTAGTAAGAACTTGACAGACAAAAGATCGGCAAGTTGGTGAAAAACCTGAGAATTTATTCAGTTCTAGAGACTACACAAAGCAGAGCACAGCACACATTGATACATTGGAGGGAGTGGTACAAGGTGAGATTTGAAATTTAGTGGGATCAGATTACTGACCTCCAGTCTAAAAGGTTTGTATTATTCCAGCCTGGCATGGTGGCTCACACCTGTAATCCCAGTACTTTGGAAGGCCGAGGTAGGTGGATCAGCTGAGGTCAGGAGTTCGAGACCAGCGTGGCCAACATGGTGAAACCCCATCTCTACTAAAAATACAAAAATTAGCCAGGCCTGGTGGCAGGCATCTGTAATCCCAGCTACTTGGGAGGCTGAGGCAGGAGAATCACTTGAACCCAGAAGGTGGAGGTTGCAGTGAGCTGAGATCATGCCATTGCACTCCAGCCTTGGCAACAGGAGTGAAACTCCATCTCAAAAAAATAAATAAATAAAAATAAAAGGTTTGTATTATCCTGAGTGATGGGGGGCCAATGGAAGTTTTCAGCAGAGGGATGACATGATCACAAGTGCATTTTAGAAAGATCACATTTGCTATCTGTTTAAAAGGTAAATTATAGACAAAGAAGACAAAACAGAGAGAAAAGTTGGGTGGTTCAAGTGAGGGATGACAAAGAGCCAAACTAAAGTAGAAGGAAAAGATTGGCAAGGCAACAATAGATTATATAGACCACTGGTTATTATATAGACCATAAGATTACATGGAACAGTGGTTCCCAACAGAGTGGCACTGCACCCAGTGCCACTAAAATATTTTTTGAAAAGAAAATATTGGCTTTTAGAAAGTTTGAAAACAACCTATAAAAATTTTTAAGATAATCTACAAATCTTGGTGATTTATTCACTTTGAAGGTAACAATACATACATTTATAATTCTAAATATAAGATTACAGATAACTTCTATATTTTAAATAATGACCAAGAGAAATTTTAATTTATCCCCAGTGTGACTAGATAAAAACCTGAAGTTCTCAGCCTAGAAACAACTTCATTTTACATTTAAGCTCCAAATACTTATAGTATGGTTTTATTATACGTTGAATTTTCCAGGAACAGTTAACACTGTAAGGAAACAATATATATTGTTTTGTTTGGAACTTTACCAAAATTTTATCTCTGATAACCATGCCACTCATTCTACTCAGATCATCAATATAGTATCAGTTTGCATTTGTAGTTGTTACATTTGCAGTGATTCTTATTTCAAAATGTCTAATATTTTTAAAAATTATTTCAACATTCATTTGAATATTGGTCTAACTTCTCTTAAATCCTAGCTTGTTTATAAGTAGGCAGAAGAATATCACCACTTCATTGAGTTTCTATCGTAGTTATGCCCAAGTATTTATATGTAGTGCTACATATTAACTAATATTCTTCTTTTATTTATCCTTTAATATTCTAGTTAATATAGTATGTACTTTTTAAATTATTTATCAAGATGCATTTTGTAAAATAAAAAAGGCTTTATAAAATATTGTGAAGAAGAAACATTGATTTTTTGAAAGTTTGAAAACAACCTGTATAAATTTTTAAGAGAATCTACAAGTCTTGGTGATTTATTCACTGTGAAGGTAAGAATACAGACATAATTCTAAGTAGCATAACATCACAGAAAACTTATTTAAAATTTTTTTCTCTTTTGAATTTAATATTTCAGATACATGGTATTTAGTCAGCCTCTATATTTTAAGTAATGACCAAGAGAAATTCTAATAATTCTTTATTAAAGAGTCAAGTTTGATTATGATGAAGTGAAAAAATACCTAGAGAAAGAATAGGATAAGACACTTATCTGTTTCAAGAACCTATCTTATTTGATTGAAATTATTGTCTTTTAAAAGGAAGTTATGGTAAATATTTAAATTAGCAATGTTACCTAATATCCTTTTTTAATGTACATTATTTCCACTTCGGAGGTGACACGGAAGATGTTTGCAGGGATTCTTGTCAAAATGTTCTTACCCAAGATGGGTTCTAAACCAAGACTGGAATTCAGTCAAGAAATGGGAGCAGTTGCAATTGTAGCCACCATCCAAACTCAATTAATTTCAATTAAATTTAACACAGTTCAATAAATGTTTATTAATGTGCTTTTCTGTAGTACTCACTTTGTCTTCCAAACAGGGCTACCTCCAAAGCCAGCAATTTCCCTTAAAAAAATTTACAATACTGGCACATTGACAGGCAATCTATTGCATATCCATGGCAGAGGTTCAGCAGATAGCGTTAGGCCAAAGTTTGGGTACATGACCCAGGCTTCTCTATTTTATTATAAGTCCTACCCAGTGAGTTAAAATACAGAGGTCAATAGGATGGTTCTTAGCACTGTTTGAAATGTTCAAATACAAAATTGAGTATCAAATTTAGATCCCCATATGAAAGCTAAGGAAGAGAGTACTAGAGATGTTATGTACTTTGAAATAGAAATTTATCATATTACCTTGGAGTGAAAAAAAGGAAGTTAAGGAGCTTAACTAGGGAGATAAAGTCAAGCCAGTGTCAAACCATATGGCCTGAACAGTGTGGGTAGCGATAGGATAAAGGAGTTGGGTGCGGGGCACACACCAAAGGATGCCCATACTGAACTTCAATAGAAACCCGGTAGAGAAATGTGTGACATCAGGCGGTACTTTCACCCCCAAAATATTGATGTGGGTGACATTTACAAAGGGGTGAGATTCAAAACGGTTTGCAACCAGTATGGCACAAAAACTGATCAAACAGTGTTCAATAATCAGAGGCTGCCACCTGTAAACAACTAATAGAGCTTTGTTGTTGCAGACTGCCTGAATACAAGCCCTGCATCTTCATAAGAAAACTAAAGACACTTCAAGGTTTCTGATAATCTCCACAACCACCCTCCAAAGTATGTGCCATCACTCAAAAATTGTTCGATAACTTCCAAGTTTCATCATAAGGAATTGGAAGCTTCTTTAAAATAGGGAAATTACTAGTAGCTATGGATAAACTGAGTTTATTCATTATTTATTACATAAATATTTTTGGAGTATGTGATGAGTGCTTCTAGGCACTGTTCTGAGAACTGAGGAAGCAATGGTGAAGAAGACAGACATGGGCTCTATTTTCATGAAATTTGTTGTTCCCACTACTTTGTTAAATCAACTAACTCTGATGTGAAAATCTAGATTTCTTTTTTAAGTGAATTTAAATATTTTATTTTTAAATACAGCAAACACACTCAACAATACAGAACAGCATAAAAACCTGTGCACCTATTACTCAGCCTTACAAATCCTAACATTACATTTCTTTTTTAATGTTCTTTTGCATATAATTGAAGTGTACCATTGGATAATTATGTATACATCCTTGAAACCATCATTACTATCAAGAAAATGAACGTATTCATTATTCTCAAAAGTTTTCTCATGTCCTTTTGTAATCCCTCTATTCACATGCCGCCCTTAAACCATCCCATCCTCAGGCAACCATTAATTTAATTTCTGTCACTACAGACTAATTTAAATTTTCTAGATTTCATATAAATAGAATCATAAAGTTGGTGCTCTTTTAATTTGGCTTCTTTCACTGTGCATAACTAATGTGAGATTCATCCGTGTTATTGTAAGTATCGATAATTCATTCCTTTTTATTTTTTTATAAGTAGCATTCCATAGTATGGATATAAAACAACTCTGTTCCAAATGGCTCTGACCTTCCTCCTAAGACCAGTGAAATAGCCTAAACATGCTATTCTTATGGCAACAGGTTAAGCACAAGAGCAAGCAAACGTAAATCATGTAAATCCTTTTTAAGATACTGCTTGCCTAACATCTGCCAATATGCTATAAACCAAAGCAAATCACATACTAAAGCCAAGGTGCATGGAATTACATCCCAAACAAAGTGAAAGGGCCCTACAAAGTGGCATGGCAAAAGGCTTGTGTAAAGGAAGGTCTGAAGAAATGGGGCTATTGATGCCATCTACCATGAACTGACATACCACCATTTCTTTAAACACCGCCCACGAGGATGTTTTCAGTCTTGTGCTATTACAAACAATACAGCAATGACTGAGTACATTGTCATCTTCCACACAGGCCAGTATATCTGTAGGATAAATCTTTAGAAGTGAAATTCTTGGTTAAAGGATATAGGTTTTTGTAATTTTGATAGGTGTTGCCAAAGCACTGTTCAGACATAATTGATTGTAACAATTATATTTCCACCAACAATGTTGGGACTATGTTATCATTAAAAATTTTTTTTCCAGTCTTACATGTGAAATGTAATCTTTGTATGGCTCTGATTTGTATTTTTCTTGTTAAAAATAAGATTGACAATCTTTTTATGTTTAAAAGCCATTTACATTTCCTTTTTTGAATCCATCTGTTCAGATCTTTTGCTCATTTTGTTTCAGTGAAGGTTTTTTTTTTTTTTTGCCTTTTTTCTCTTCTGTTTTTTTTTTTTTTTTTTTTTTAAAGAGATGGGAGTCTCACTATGTTGCCCAGGCTGGAATGCAGTGGCCATTCACAGGTGTGATCATAGCACACAACAGCCCCGAACTCCTGAGCTGAAGTGATCCTTCTGCCTCAGCCTCCAGAGTAGCTGGTGCTACAGGCACATGCCGCTGTGTCTAGCTTAGTGGGTTGTTTTTTTTTTCTTTCTTTTCCCAATAGATTTGTATATTCTAGGGAAATTAGTACCTTATTAAATTAGTTACAAATATTTCTTCATTTGTTTAATGCCTTTGGTCCTGGAAGTTTTTCATCTTGGTTTTTCATTTTAATAGAGTCTAATTTATCATTCTTTTATGGCTTCTGGGTTTTGTGTCATAGGAAGGCCTTCACTTCAAAATTATAACATTTCATTTTTTACATTTTTTAATCATCTGGATGTATTTTTTCAGCACCTGTTGAACTCTAGTATCTCTTCTTTTTCTTCTTGTTTTATAGAGATTTTTGCTATAAATATTATTTTTAAAAAAAGTTTAGGCCAGAATACATGATTACTATTTTCATCTGCTTTAATGCAACATTTTTTGGTGGGTTTTTTGGTCTGGCATTTGCTTTTCCCATTCTTGTCTTGCTTTCTATTTCTTACTTATCTTTCAGACAGGTAAGATTTTTCCTTGACCAGCAATCTGTCGAAGGTTCACAAAGTGAAGGTAATCTTGGGGATGTTCCAAGAAACTAGAATTTTCCTTAGAATCCAGGATGTTGTGTATGAGCCACTTTAACCTCTATGCTTCCCCAACAGAAGGAAATAATGAAGTGTGGAAGTTTTCACAATGCGAAGCTTCTCTTCCTCTCTTCTGCCACAAAGACTGACTACTTCTTGCAAATATGACTGATCTGTGAGAGTCCTGATTTAGCCTTGACTCCTCTGATTCACAGAACCAACCCAGTCTTAGGGAAGCATCTGCCAGTAGTCCTTGCATCCTGTGCTAAATACAAGATTGATCTTTTCCACCTCAAAGTATATACTTCACTTTCCAAAAATGTACTTTCTGACACTTTTTTTGAAATCTACATCTACAGTGTCTTCTTTCTTCTTTCATGCTCGATCCCACTGCTTGTAGGAGCCATTTCCCCTATTGTGTTATTTGGGGATTTAACTGTCATTGTTCCACTAAAAATGAGTTTGCACTTTTTGTTTCTTATTTTTCTTGTTCTTTTTGATGATTTTTGGTGAAAGAAAAGGGAGAAAGCAGACTTACTACCATTATTTTCAAATGGGAATTTTCTCTGGAGTTGTGAGGGGATAAATGTATGGCACAAAAAAAGATAAATAGAGTAAAGTTTATTAGATATTAGCAAAGGGTGCATATATTCAAAATTACTGTTAAAAAAAAGAACCATTGCATAACAAAGGGTAAAAATAAATAAATTAATTAAAAAGATATAGCAAAAGGAGAACCAAACCAAAAGGGTTTTAAAGATTCAGAAACAGAACGAACCCTATCAGTTATGGTATTAAGTAAAACAGCGTAAACTCTCTATCAATAATAGACTCATAGACTGAGTCATAAAACAAACTGTATACTGTTTATAAAAATGATTGACAGATTAAAAACCAGATGAAAAAGCCCTGGTAAAAATGCATCAAATAGTGCAAACAACAAAAAAATGTAGGGAGCAAATTATTAATATCAGACATAAGGGAAAGAAACAAAAAGAGGGTACTTTTGTTAAGAAAATGATAATATAATTCACAATGAAGAAAATATTCATAAAGTTTTATGCAGTGAATAACAAAAATATGTAAAGAAAAAATACAGGAATTGTGAAGAGAACATTTGTAGTAGAGACTTTTAGATGCTCTTTGATAGAATCTTTGATAGATTATGCAAATAAAGAATAAGATAATGAAGAATCATAATGTAATTCAGGTTATAATTACATTGTGTATGTATACATCATACTCTCATTTTCTAGTGCTCATTGAATAAATTCAAAATATGACTCTCTATTAGGCAATACTGAACTTAAATTTCAAAATGCAGAAATGAAATAGGTCACATTTTCTTACCACAATAAAATAAAATCAGAATCAATAATAAAAGATTTACCCTTTGGAAATAAAAAATGAAATTTTCAATAAAAATAGGAAATTTTAGAATTACAGACAAGTTGGAAATATGAGAAAAATGTCTTTCAAGAATTGTGGGCTGAGTGCGGTGGCTCACTCTTGCAATCCCAGCACTGTTGAAGGCCGAAGTGGACAGATCACTTGAGGCCAGGAGTTCGAGACCAGCCTGGCCAATATGACGAAACCCCATCTCTACAAAAAATACAAAAAATTAGCTGGGCATGGTGGTGTGCACCTGTAATCCCAGCTACTCGGGAGGCTGAGGCAGGAGAATCACTTGAACCCCGTAAGGTGGAGGTTGCAGTGAGCTGAGATGGCACCACTGCACTCCAGCCTGGCAGCAGAGCAATACTCTGTCTCAGAAAAAAAAAAAAAAAGAATTCTGAAACTTAGCCAGAGCAACATTATGTAGCGTTTAAGAGCAAGTTCTAGAGCCAAAAAAGTTTGATTTATATCCTGGTTATACTGCTTTGAAGCTTGGGTAGACATTTTAAGTGCTCTGTGCCCTTATATGAAAATGGGAATAGAATAGTAGAAACATTATAGGTCTGTTTTGAAGACTCTCTGACTCATTGTGAGAACTTTATAAATGCTATCCATTATTACTAGGAAAAAACTCTTTTTTTTTTGAGACAGCATCTCACTCTGTTGCCCAGGCTGGAGTTCAGTGGCATGATTACAGCTCACTGCAGCTTCAACCTCCCAGACTCAAATGATCCTCCCACCTCAGCCTCCCAGGAAGCTGGGACTACAGGTGTGTGCTACCCCTGGCTAATATTTTTATTTTTTTGTAGAAACGGGGTCTTACCGTGTTACCCAGGCTGGTCGGACTCCTGGGTTTAAGCAATCCCTCCCAAAGTGCTGGGATTACAGGTGTGAGCCACCACACCTGGTCAAAACTCATTTTTAACTGGTTTTGTCATAAAATAATGAAAATAAGTTACCTAAACACCAAACTCTCAAATTAGGTAAACAACAAGAAAATCTAAGGAAAATCAGAGATTTGATAAATTAAAAAGCAAACATTAAAAAATTTTAAACAATGATATCATTAACAAATAAATCCAAAAGATGATGGGTAAATATATACAAATCTTTCTTAAGACGAAAGCTCTATTATCTTACAAGATAATAGAGCAAAAATACATTAAGCAAAAGAAAAGGGATATAACCTAAGAAATGAAATAAAAATTTCAAATTATAAGAAAGTACCATGCCATAACTTTGGAAACATAAATATTAACAATTTCTAGAAATACTTAAATTAGGAAAACTAGCAGAAGAAAAAGTAGGAAAATAATGGAAAAAATGTGAAAAAGCTTTCAAATAGCTATCCCCAAAATGGTGCCAAGCCCTTACAGTTTTATTGATGACTTCTATCAAACTTCAAAGAACAGATTACCTTTTTACTACTTAAGGTAGTTCATAACATTGAAAAAGAAGAAAAGCATTCTAATTTTCTATAAAAGACAAGCAAATCCTGTGAGAAGAGACAAACTTGGATGGCCTCTGAGGCTAATTTCCTCCTCTATTTGATGGCTTAGCAGAATTGGCTTAGCAGGTCACAGTCAGTTGAAGAGAAAACAGACCATAACAGCTTGTGAGCTCTGAAAATCCCACCCCCATCTTTCTAACAAGGCCACTTCCTAGATTAGAGAGCTCCAATGTTGCATAGTACCCGCTCCTGTGCTGATAAATATGTTCAACCTAATGGGACAGGACCCTTCCCCACAGCAACAATGGCCATAGGGCATGCCTTCTGGCCTAAACTATGGGATGAGAAATTAGAAGATTTTATGCATTCTACTACTTCTCTACTTGTGAATTCTCTCCACCTCTAATAAACCCTATTTCATATCTGCAGCAGATGCCACTAGTGCTGTGTTCTGATTGCTTTGCCCAACACTCTAATCACAAAATTTGACGTCAGTACCAAACAAAAAAATTATAGCTAAATAACACATACATTTAGTTGCAGATATACTAGTAAATGAAACTCAGTAGTGTACAAAAGGAAGATTTTCCCAGGAAGACAAGTAGCATTTTCCCAGAAATTCAAATAGTACTTAACATTGGAAATTTTAGTTTTATTCATAATATTTATACATGAGAGAGGAAAAATCATACAACTAACTTAACAAATGTTAAAAGGGTGTTTTTAAAAATGCTCCGCCAATTAAAACTTTAGGAAAATAGAAGTGAAGATTAGGGTTGTCATGAATTACTTCATCACATTAGAAGCGTGTCAGCTTTAAAGAGTGGTTTGTGAATAATTTGTAAATGGGATGAGGTGATTGTTAAATATAATATAAATAGGAGACATTAAGAGTCTTGCAATGTAGCTAATACGAAAACATAAGGCCAGGCTGGGCATAGTGGCTCATGCCTGTAATCCCAGCACTTTGGGAGGCCGAGGGGGGCAGATCACCTGAGGTCAGGAGTTGGGGACCAGCCTGGCCAACGTAGTGAAACCCTGTCTCTAGTAAAACTACAAAAATTAGCCGGGCATGGTGGCAGGAACCTGTAATCCCAGCTACTTGAGAGGCTGAGGCAGGAGAATCTCTTGAACCCGGGAGAAGAAGGTTGCAGTGAGCCAAGATGGCGCCATTGCACTCCAGCCTCGGCGACAAGAGCAAAATTCCATCTCAAAAAAAAAGGGAAAACATAAGGCCAGATGCTGGTAGTATTTTCATATGTCATAAGCACATTTTGAATAAAAAAGTCCCCCAGTTATGAGGTAGTTCCTGGGAAATCCAGACCAATTCTGTTGAATTTTTTTTATTCTTTCCTTCTAACCCCTTATTTATTTCTCCTCCCTTATAATTTTTGGGAATTCTCTAGTTTTAATGGAGGAAGAAATTGTTCCTTCAGTGAGTAGTAGAATATGATTTAGGCCTTCAAGGTTAGACTCACCTGACTTTGACTCCCGTTTTGTCATTCCTATTTATGTGAATTAGGATACTTTCACTTCATCCGTAAATGGGGATTAAATAAGATCGTTAATTATTACCGGCTTCTCAGAAAACAGACTCTCCACAACTACCATTCCAAATCTAGGCCCTTTACAGCAAAGGTTGAATTTGTCTCCACCTAGCGAAGGCCCAGTCTGTGTCTCTGCCTAGCCAGAACCGTAACGTTTAAAAGGACACTAGTGAAAGAAGCTCTACTCCAAGTGGGTGTGGCCAAGAAGATGGATTCCCTCCTTAGCTCCCAATCAAGTGTTAACACATCTCACCAGAAGGGGCAGACTGTCAATGTTTCTTATCCCCTTTAATCCAAGATAAATAGGCTAAATTCCTGGTGAGTGTTGTAGAAAAGTCAAGTGCTCTCCTCCTCCACATAGCCCCCATCCACACAGAGGCTCTGCCCCAAGCACAGCAGGTCAAGAATGTTGGGGTCTGAATTGCCCTCATCCTAACACTCATAACACAAAAGTCTCATACCAGGAAAGGTAGGCTGGAAAGATCAGAGACTATGCACCCCACCCTCTGCAGTACCGGGAATAGTGGCTCAGAAATTTTGTTCTGAGGGAGAGACATCCGTAAGAAAAGAGAGCTCTGGACCCGTTTCTGAACTGACTTTATTTGAAAAGGAGTGTGGAGAAGCTCAAGTATAAAGATACTCTCAAAAACAATAGGGCTCCCTTATTAAGAACAACAAGCTGAACCACAGGCCAGCTATTCACAGACATAATCAGTGAAAGAGAGAGCTAAGAAGAGTCCTCCTTAGCTCAGAAAAAATCTGGGAGACTGGCCTCAAAAGTACCCCAGTCTGAATTTAATTGTTAATTTATTTTAATTTATTAATAAAAATAACAATTAATTTTAGTTATAAAGTATAAAAACATGTTTCTTATTTCATCTCTCAACTGATTTAAAATGAAGTTGTGTGAAATACTATGTTTATAAATATATTGTTGGGCCAGAACATATAGAAATGTAATATATTTGCTAATAACAGCATAAAGGAGTGTGGGAGCAAGTTGAATTTGGCTAAGGAAATGACACCAGATAATGACTTGAATCGATGGAACATATGTAGAAAACCAAAAATGGTAAATAATAAGGTTAACATAACAAACTCTATGTGTACAGGCCTGTGCTTAATGACCGGGGTATATTCCGAGAAATGCATTTTTAGGTAATTTTGTTGATGGGCAAACATCATGGAGTATACTTACACACACCTAGATGGTATAGTCTACTACACACTTAGGCAATATGGCATAGCCTATTGCTCCTAGGCTACAGACTTGTACAGCATGTTACTCTACTTAATACTGCAGGCAATCATAACACAATGGAAAGTATTTGTGTATCTAAACACAGAAAATGTACCGTAAAAATACCTTCTTTAAAAGTATAATTTTATGGGACGGCCATCATATATGTTATACATGTGGTCCATGGTTGACTGAATGCGATTATGTGGCACATGACTGCGTATACTTGTTCTTCCTTTTCTCAGCTTCTTTGATAGACATAAAATTTACAAAGTAATAGTTACAGCAATATATTATTGGGTTAGTAACATTTATAGATGTAATATGTATAATAATAATGGCACAAAAAGGAGAAAGAGGGAATAGAACTATATAGGAATAATGTTTCTGTACCTCACTTTAATTAAGTTTGTATAAATTTGGAATAGACTCTGATAAGACATGTATGGCAAACCCTAGAGCAACCACTGAGAAAAAACTTTAAAAATAGTTTAAAAAGTAATTACAGTAATTAAAATATTACTCTAAAAATATTCACTTAATGCAAAAGAACACAATAGGGGTAATAGAGGAACAAAAAAGATATTAAACAAATAGAAAACAAAAATTAAAACTGCAAACATTAACTATATAGATACTAGTGTTAAATGTGAATTGATTAGATAATCCAATCAAAAGACAGGGATTGTCATACTAGATAAGAAAACATGATGTAACTACATGCTGTCAACAGGAGAAACACTTTAGATTCAAAGATACAAATAGATTGAAAGTAAAAGAGTTAGACCAGGTGGGATGGCTCACACCTGTAATCCCAGCACTTTGGAAGGCCAAGGCGAGCATATCATGAGGTCAGGAGTTCAAGACCAGCCTGGCCAACATGGTGAAACCCCGTCTCTACTAAAAATACAAAAATTAGCTGGGTGTGGTGGCTCACATCTGTAGTTCCAGCTACTCAGGAGGCTGAGGCAGGACAATTGCTTGAACCTGGGAGGCGGAGTCTGCAGTGAGCCGAGATCACACCACTGCACTCCAGCCTGGGCAACAGAGCAAGACTCGGTCTCAAAAATAAATAAATAAATAAAGTAAAAGAATTGGCTGGGCACAGTGGCTTACATCTGTAATGCCACCTCTTTGGGAGGCTGAGGCAGGTGGATCATCTGAGGTCAGGAGTTTGAGACCAGCCTGACCAATATGGTGAAACCCCATCTCTACTAAAAATACAAAAACTAGGCAGGTGTGATGGCATGTGCCTGTAGTTCCAGCTACTCGGGAGGCTGAGGCAGGAGAATTGCTTGAACCTGGGAGGCAGGGGTTGTAGTGAGCTGAGATTGCACCACTGCACTCCAGCCTGGGCAACAGAGTGACTCCGTCTTGCAAAAACAGAAAAAATTAATAAAATAAAATAATTGAAAAAGGTATATCATGTAAACAGCAAGCATAGGAAAGCTGGAATTGCTATAATATTAGACACAATCAACCTTAAAATGGAAAAAGGTGTTATTAGAGACAGAGAGGTTATTTTATGATAAGGGTCAATCTATCAGGATGTTATAACAATTATAAACATATATGTACCCATCAACAGAGCTTCAAAATATGTAAAGCAAAAACCAACACAACTCAAGGGAAAAATAGACAATTCAACAATAATAGTTGATTTCAGTATCTCCCCTTCAATAATGGATAGAACATCTAAGCAAATGTTAACAAGGAAATAGAAAATTTGAACAAT
Organism: Homo sapiens; assembly: GCF_000001405.40. Lineage (NCBI taxonomy): Eukaryota > Metazoa > Chordata > Mammalia > Primates > Hominidae > Homo > Homo sapiens. The sequence goes on along the minus strand of NC_000006.12, from coordinate 82,345,546 downwards.
ATATACAAAATAGACCTTACAGGCATATATAAAATAACCCACCTAACAACAGCAGAATATACATTCACTAGAGCACATGGGGTACTCTTTAAGATAGACCACATTCTAGGCTATGAAACAAGCCTCAATAAATTCAAAGAGATTGAAATTGTAGAAAGTATTTCTCTGACCACAATGGATGGAATTAGGATTAGAATTTAATAACTAAAAGAAATTTTGGATATTCACAAATATGTGAAAATTAAACAATATTCTATAAATGACCAATACATCAAAAAAAATCAAAAGCAAAATTAGAAAATATTTTAGGATGAATGAAAATGAAGACACAACATACCAAAACTTATGGAATGCAGCTAAGGCAGTACTTAGAGGAAAGTTTATAGCTATAAATTCCTATATTAAAAAACAGGAAGAAAGATCTCAAACACTGAAAAAAATCAACATAAAACACTAAAAAAAGAAAAGCAAATTAAACCCAAAGCAAGTAAAAGGAAGAAAATAATAAATATTAGAACAAAAATTAGTGAAATAAATAAAAGAAAGTAATAGAGAACATTATCAAAACTGAAAGTTGGTTATTCAAAAAGGCTAACCAATTTGATAAGAATTTCTTGGACTTCAAGGCTCAAATTACTTAAATCAGGAATAAAACAGAAAAAGTTACCACCAACCTTACAGAAATACAAAGAATAAAAAAAGAATACTATGGACAGTAGTACCAACAAGTTAGATAACTTAGATGCAATGGACAAATTCCTAGAAAGACAAAAGCTACTGAAACTGACTTAAAAAGAAATAGAAAAGCTAAATGGACCTATAATAAGTAAAGAGACTGAATTAGTAACCATAAAACTTCCCATAGAGAAAAGCCAAGGACCAAATTACTTCACTAGCGAGTTTTCCCTTTAAAGAAGAATTAATTCCAATTCTCAAACTTTTCCAAAAATAAAGAAAGAAAAGGGAATATTCTCCTACTCATTTAGTGATATCAATTATTACCTTGATACCAAAAGCTGACAAAGGTATCACAAGGAAACTATAGACCAATATCTCTTAAGAATATAGATGTAAAAATTCTTTTTAAAAAACCTAGGAAATAAAATCCAGCAATATATAAAAAAGGTATACACCATGACCAGGTGGGATTTACATCCAAGAATGCAAGGTGGTTTAAAATCTAAAAATCAACGAATACACCATATCAATAAAAAAAAATTAAACATAAAGCTATACTACGACCCAGCAACTCCACTTCTAGGTGTATACACAAGAGAAAAGAAAACATATGTCCACACAAAACTTGTAAATAAATGTTCATAGCAGCATATTCACATTAGCCAAAAACTAGAAACAACCCAAATGTTCATCAAAAGATGAATGGATAAAGAAATATGGTATATTTATGAAATGGTATATGATTTGGCAACAAAAAGGAATGAAGTACTAATACATGCTGTAACATGAATAAATCTTGAAAACATCATGTTACATGAAAGAAGTAAGTCAAAAAAGGCCATACATTGTATGATTGTGTTTATATGAATTATCAAGAATAGGCAATCTACAGAGACAGAGAGTAGATTCATGGTTGCCTAGAGCTGGAACTGGTGGTGTTGGAAATGGGGAATGTCTGCTAATGGGTATGGGTTTCTTTTTGGGCAGATAAAAATGTTCTAAAATTGATTATGGTGGTGGTTGCATAACTCTGAATATACTACAAAATCATCGAATTGCACACTTTAAATGAATGAATTATATGGTATGTAAATTATATTTCAATATAACCATTAAAACTACTAAAACAAAGAAAAAATTGGGATTAAAAAGCACCATTGTACAAGTGAGTTTTAAGGGCTAACTTGAGGCATAGTAACTACAATTCAGAGAATCCTGGGATTGCTGTCTGGAACTGTTCCAAGCTTGTGCAGCCTACGGCCCATGGGCTTTGCAGGATGGCTTTGAATGTGGCCCAACACAATTCGTAAACTTTCTTAAACATTATGAGCTATTTTTGTGATTTTTTTTCTTTTAGCTCATCAGCTGTTGTTAATGTTAGTGTATGTTGTGTGTGGCCCAAAATAAATATTCTTTCAGTGTGGCCCAGGAAAGCTAAAAGATTGGACACCCCTATGTTAAATGTTAAATCTCACAGATTAAGGAATTGGATATGGCTGGGCTCAGTGCCTCATGCCTGATGCCAGTGCCTCATGCCTCAGCCTTTTGGGAGGTCAAGGTGGGAGGATTGCTTGGGTTCAGGAGATTAAGACCAGTGTGGGCAACATAGTGAGATCTTCATCTATAAAAAAAAAAAGTCACAATTGGTTGGACATGGTGGTGTCTGCCTGCAGTCCTGGCTACTCAGGAGGCTGAGGCCAGAGGATTACTTGAGCCCAGAAGTTCAAGGCTGCAGTGAGTTATGATCATGCCATGGTACTCCAGCATGGGCAACCAAGCAAGAATCTGTCTCTGAAAAAAATAAAAATAAAAGCTTTCCATGAAATGGGCTGATATGGAAGAAAAGAAAACATTCCATATGGAGAATAGAAGTATATGTGCAAAACCCAGTACTTCCAGGCTCTCATGTTTCTAATTCATCCTCCACACTGGCACTGGAGAGCTCTTTCTGAAAGCAAAATTTTGAGCAATTTACTCGCACCTTAAAGCACTAAAGGCATCTCATCCCCTCCGGAATAAGGTCCAGACCCCTTAATTAACATTCAGAGCCCCTCAAACCACTTGCCTCAAACCACTCCTTATATCCCTTGTTTCCACAATGCTAAACTGTTCATGGTTCCTATGCATGTCATATTCTTTTTTTCTTCCTGTGTTCAGTACATTCAACACTTTCCTCAGAAAACCTCCTGGGCACATATTTTATTTGTCTGCCTGCTAAAATCATATTCATGCTATAATACTCAGCTTAACATTGCTGTCTTCTTGAAACCTGTTGACCTCAGAGTGCACCACTTCATCTTCTGCCTTACCCATGCAAGTTATGAAGTACAAACCTCTGTTACTGAACTTACTTTGTGTATGCTAATTATTTGTTTACATGGCTGACTTCTATATCAGACTGTAATCCTTTCTTCTCTGTATCTTTAGTGCTAGGAAAAGCACTGATTGAATAACTACAGGGATGGTTGCATGAATTACAAACTAATTACAAGGTCTCCATCATCTGCTTTAATCTAAGTGTAATTTGAAATATCTAAATAATTAATCTGATGTCTTCCTAATAGGATTGATATGGTTTGACTCTGTATCTCCATCCAAATCTCATGGTGAATTGTAAGCCCAGGTTTTGGAGGTGAAAAGTGATTGGATCATGAGGGTGGTTTCTGATGGTTTAGCACCATCACTATAGTGCTGTCTCATGATAGAGTTCTTATGAGATCTGGGCTCAGAAGAAGACAAAAAGAAGAGGGAAAGTTTGAAACTTCCTAGAGACTTGCTGGATGGTTTTGACCAAATACTGATAGTGATATAGATAGTGAAGTCCAGGATGATGAGCTCTCAGATGGAGATGAGGAACTTATTGGGAACTGGAGTAAATGTCACTCTTGCTATGCTTTCGCAAAGAGATTGGCAGCATTGTGCCCCTGTTCTAGAGATCTATGGAACTTTGAACATGAGGCTGGTGATTTAGGGTATCTGGCAGAAGAAATTTCTAAGCAGCAAAGCGTTCAAGGTGTGCCTGGCAGCTTCTAAAATCCTACACTCATTGGCATAAACAAAGAAATAATCTCAAACTGTAACTTGTATTTAAAAGGGAAGCAGAGTGTAAAAGTTTGGAAAATTTGCAGCCTGGTCATGTGGTAGAAAAGAAAAACCCATTTTCAGGGAAAGAATTCATGTTAGCTGAAGAAAATTGCATAAATAAAAAGGAGCCAATGTTAATAATGAAGAAAATAGAAGAACTGCCCCCCAAGCATGTTGGAGACCTTTGTGGCAGCCCCTCCCATCACAGGCCTGGAGGCCTAGAAGGGAGAAATGGTTTCATGGGCCAGGTCCAGGGCTCCGCTGCTCTGTACAGCCTTGGGACATGGAGCCCTGCATCACAGCTGCTCCAGCACCAGCTGTGGCTAAAACGAGCCAAGGTACAGCTTGGGCCATTGCTTCAGAGGGTGTAAGCCCCAAGCCTTGGTGGCTTCCACATGGTATTGGGCCTGTGGGTGTACAGAGGGCAAGAGTTGAGGCTTGGGAGCCTCTGCTTAGATTTCACAGGATGTATGGAAATGCCTGGATGTCTAGGCAGAAGTTTGCTGCAGGGGTGGAGCCCTTGTGGAGAACTTCTACTAGGACAGTGTGGAGGGGAAGTGTGGGTTTGGAGCCCCCACACAGAGTCCCCACTGGGGTATTGCCTAGTGGAGCTGTAAGAAGAGGGCCACCATCCTCCAGACCCCAGATGGTAAATCCATGGACAGCTTGGAATGTGCACCTGGAAAAACCACAGGCACTCAATGCCACCCTGTAAAAGCAGCTGTGGGGACTATACCCTGCAGAGCCACAGGGCCAGAGATGTCCAAGAGCTTGGGAGTCCACCCCTTGTGTCAGTGTGGCCTGGATGTGAGACATAGAGTAAAAGGAGATTAATTTGGAGCTTTAAGATTTAATGACTGCCCTGCTGGGTTTAGGACTTGCATGGAGCATATAACCTCTTTGTTTTGACCATTTTCTCCTTTTTGGAATGGCAACATTTACCCAATGCCTGTATGCCCATTGTATCTTGGAAGTAACTAACTTTTTTTTTTTTTTTTATGGCTTATAGGTGGAAGGGACTTGCCTTGTCTCAGATGAGACTTTGAACTTGGACTTTTAAGTTAATGCCAGAATGAGTTGACTTGGGGGACTGTTGAGAAGAAATAAATGTGTTTTGGTATGTGAGAAGGGCATGAGATTTGGGCAGGGCCAGGAGTGGAATGATATGGTTTGGCTCTGCATCCCCATCCAAATCTCATATTGAATTGTGATCCTGAAAATTGGAGGTGGGGCCTGGTGGGAGGTGATTGGATCATGGGAGTGGTTTCTAATGATTTAGCTTTCTATAGCAATGTGAGGATGGACAAATACAAGGATTTTAGAATAGTTTTTGAACTTAAAGTTTGGAAATTGTATCATAGCACTTTCAATGGAAACTGATCCTTCTGTTACTCTCCTTCCTAAAGGAAAAAAAAAAGTATAATCACTGTTTTGCATTCTTTCATGAGATGGTAAGTCAGGTGTGGCCATGAGAAGAAACAGGAGAGGCTCAGGAAAAAACAGTTTATGATGCTCATGGGTCCCAGAGAGACAGGATCACTGCATGCTGAGAGGGGAATCACATGGGAATGAGCACGAAGGGATCAGGATCACCCAAGCAGATGGGAAGCAGAGAGAGAGAGAGAACCTGTGAGCAAGTACATTTATTGAGGTTCAGGGTGGGACACACAAGAAAAGGAGTGAGGGAATTTCATTGGTGTGTTTGAATGTCACTAGGTCACAGTCAGGAAAGGAAGTAGGAAGGAGAACCTCCAGCAGGGACTGACCTTATCACATTGGTGCACCTGGTTGACTAAATTGGAAACTCACAGCCCTTTTATGGAGATTTTGAAGTAGCAGGAAAATATGTAGTTTTAGGGCTGCAACACACACTGTCTGCAAAAGAAAAGAGAAAAAATAATAATATACTTTTTGTGATGTAGATTCAAAATTGGGATATCAGGCAATGGAATTTAGCTTAATAATTCAGCAGTTTGCTGTTATGGGAAGTTCTGAAATTAAAAGGAAGCTTAGCAAAGTTCACACAAAGAAAAATATATAAATACTAAGTTGGAGGTTGCAACAGAAATATGTTTTTAAGAGTTGTGTAATATATGTTCTAAATGTATGAAGTGGTAGGTCAATGTGACAAATAGATTTTATCATAATTCACTATAAAATATTTTTGTCTCTGGACAAAATGAAAAGGTGTACTTATTAGATTATGGGTTGCACCTAATATTAAAAGTACAGAACGCCATGTTATTTGAACATGAAGCATTATTGAGTATAATTCTCAATAGCTTTGCTGAGCTTGATTTTCTATAATAATTTCTGTTGTAAATTCTTCCATTTGTGTAATCTCATTATAAATTGATTTTTGGTTAAGAAACAAAAGATGCAGGCTGGGGGCGGTGGTTCATGCCTGTAATCCCAGCACTTTGGGAGGCCGAGGCAGGTGAATCACCTGAGGTCAGGAGTTCAAGACCAGCCTGGCCAACATGGCAAAACCCCATCTCCACTAAAAATACAAAACTTAGCTGGGCGTGGTTGTACACACCTGTAATCCCAGCTACTCAGGAGGCTGAGGCATGAGAATCGCTTGAACCTGGGAGGCAGAGTTTGCAGTGAGCCAAGATTGCCCCATTGCACTCCAGCCTGGGCAACAACAGAGCAAGACTCTGTCAAAAAAAAAAAAAGAAAGAAAGAAAAGAAACAAAGAAACAAAAGATGCAACACATAGGTTCTATTTTATGATTAAGTCTTTATTGAGAAAATATTTGCATGCTCAAGAAAACTGCGATACATTGTCATTACAAATATTGCATAATTTTTGTTTCAGTGTTTGCTTTTGTATTTTAAAAAGTTTATGGCTTAAGGCCAGGCACAGTGGCTCATGCCTGTAATCCCAGAACTTTGGTAGGCCAAGGAAGGTGGATCACCTGAGGTCAGGAGTTCGAGACCAGCCCAGCCAACACGGAGAAATCTTGTCTCTACTAAAAATATCAAAATTAGCCGGGCATGGTGGTGCGCACCTATAGTCCCAGCTTCCGGGGAGGCTGAGACAGGAGAATTGCTTGAACTCAGGAGGTGGAGGTTGCAGTGAGCTGAGATCATGCCACTGCACTCCAGCCTGGGTGACAGTGCAAGACTCCATCTCAAAAAAAAAAAGAAAAAATTTATGGCTTAAAACTAGGCCACAGGACATTAAAGAAGTACTTGGTTTTGTCTCTCAAAGACCTTTTTAGGGCCCAGTATAGTTGACACTGAGGTAAAGGCCTATCTCAGATCTCTTTGTCTTTTCTAAACCCAAATCTGCTTATTACTAAATGTCAGCTTGGTAGACTCCCAAATAGACTAGGTTTAAGGAAATTGCTAGGCCATGGAATTTGGGTTAAGTTTATCTAGTACCATATGAAATAATAAATTACTTGTTGCAGAAATAATTTCTTAGAATTTTCACAGTCTATGGTATTTTTCTTACAGATCTTAGTTCTGACTACCTTGTTTTACAGTTACTTATATGCAGCATGCATTTCTCCTGCTAGATTGTAAGTAAGAGACCAAGTTTTACTTATTTTGAAATAAGCCATACCACTTTTTACAGTGGCTTAGCATATAGGAGTTACCTAATCAATGTCCTTTCAATATCAAATTACTGAAATTCATTTACCTAAATTAAAATATAGGATTGTGGATGATGCCAAAAATGTGTTTAGAGAAAATTTTGGCTTCACCACAATTACAAACATCTATGATGCAATAATTGATCTTGCTCTATAGATCAACTTGCAGACACATGTCATGGCCTTTCTTTCTCCCTCTCTTTTATTTTCTTAATCAGCAGCTCACTGAAGTACTTCCTGTAAGTGAGCTGCTTCATGTTTTAGCACCCTCCAGAGGCTTTCAGGATATTCTGATACTTGTCCTTGGAGAATAGGCAGGTAAATTCTTGGCAGAAATCCACAATTTTGCATTGGAGACATAAATGTTGCCAGGACTTGCAGCACGTGATGTGTTTTCATGGCACTGAGGCAGCCTTTGTCGGAACAGATAGATATCTCAGCAGCCTGACGCATCAGGCCCTTGAGTCGCTGTGCTAGGAAACTGATCATAAGGAAGAGATGCAGGCTCCCAAGAGATATTCAAAATGACCTTCCAGGTGTGGAAAGAAAATATTAGAGTTTCAATTTACATATTTTATCAAAAACTATGAAATAAATGATACTTTATTAATAGTTTATACACACTTTGCCAAAATGTGGTTCTCAATATATCCTGAGGAAAGAGTGGGAGAGGTTGATGCTGATGCTCTTTTTTCTTTGTTTACTTCAACCTATCAGAGTTTACTAATCCTGACTCTAATTCTAATCTTAACCCTTGCCAAGTGTAGCAGACCCTGTCAACACCACACCCCATACCTGCGGGGCCCACCTGAATTCACTTTAGGTGTGGTAAGCAGTTTGCTGAAAGCTCTGCACCTCTAGACCAGCCTCTCTCTTCTTCTCCTGATTCTCCAACACCATGGGGTTTGCTCTGTCAAAAACAAATGCAACCCTGAAGTGAGAGGGGTTCATGCCACCAGGGACACCCATCAACCAATGGGGAAGGAAGGTAAGTGGATAAATGCCCCAGCCTCCCCATCATCCAAGAAAGGATGACTTGAGGGATGCTCCACACAGCTTCTCAGAGGGTTGCTGTTGGGATTAGGCCCACAAAAGCAACATGCTCATTAACATACACTTTATCTCACTTCCTAATAAAATGACCTGTATATGTACCCCACTTTCTTTATCCAATCTACCAATGATGGGCATGTCTTTGTTATTGTGACTAGTGCTGTAATAAACATTCACCTGGATGATGAAATAATCTGTACAACAAACACCCATGACCTGAGTTTACCTACATAACAAACCTTCAAATGTACCCCCAATCCTAAAATAAAAGTTTTAATAAGAAAAGAAAATAAAAGAAAAGAAAAAGAAAAGGAAAATTACCTACACCCAAGACCTTGATTCAGGGTCTACTATTGAGGAAACCCAGGAAGTCAGGTTAAGTGTATTTGTGTACTATGTTATGTGGTTAACTAAACTCACATAATGTATACATATTTCAAAAAGATTTGAGCAAAGAAACTTTATATTGAAGATTATGTTGATAATGTAAGAGTGAGTGAACAAGAAAATGACATCGCTGACACTTCTCTGAATCCAAGTAAGAGCTCCTTGTCAGCCAAATTACAATACAAAAATAATGACTATCTAATCAGATATGACAAGAAATGGGCAAGAAAATAAAAATTGTCAAGGACTATTTGAAATAGGCATTTACATTTATAATGATAAACCTTAACCTACCTTGAGTTTGTGCCTTGAGATGCTAGTTAATGATAATATGATACCATCACAATTGACAAAAACTTAAACTATAGTATTTGCTTCATCTTTATTTCATTCTTTTTATATTTCTGCGTTTCATGATGTAATATATTAGTAAAGTGGTACATCTACTAATTTATACATTTGTGAATAATTTATAAATTTGCCATGCAGAGCCTTACCAAATGGAGGTACTTGCAAAGGTTTCTCCACTAATAAGTCTATGATTAAAAATCTTTAGGACCATTGTGTGAAGAATAATAGGCTTTGTAACTCTCTATCAGAGGTCACCACATTGAAATCCCTAATTTTAAAGATGAGAAAAGTGAGCTCCAGATAGTTTAAATAGCTTGTCCAAGATCACACTTCTGATTGATGGTAGAACTAAGTTATAATGCAGGTTTTCTGACACCCATTTTAAAAACCTCCACTCTACCACAGAGTGTAAGACATCTGACATTGTGTTTATCATGATTTGGAGGGCACATTTGTCTTTGGCACACATTCTCTGCTTGTCTGCTCTCATGACCCACATTGACTCTCAGTGTCTCTGCATGCTTGACCCCTTTATGTTTGCTGACTTTAATTCCTCCATGTGGACGTCTCTTTGACCATCTACTCGCCTTGTCCTATATGGCAGCTCCAAATTATGTTTTGTCCTGCCTTACAGCCTTATCTTTTCAACTCAATACTGCTCATGGTCCAAAATGACAGGGCTAATATTCTCCAAGTGGTCCAGATCCTACTCCAGAAGCCTATTTGGCTTCAAGCTATAGGAGCCATGCTGGTTGCATCTCACATACCACTGGATCAGTAGACAATTAACTCTTCAGTTTCTCCTCAAACTCTAAGTTAATTTTGATTCTGAAGTGCTCTAGAATTAGATGAGGGGTTGGATGAGGCAGAGAAATGAACTTAGTTCCAGATTCACATCTATAAGTTTGTGAATTTAGTTATCTACTATATTTTTATAGCTATAATGGAAAAACTAATTAGAACTTGAGTGTAATACATAGAAGTAGATCAAAAGGAAACACAAGGAAGTGCAGTGGTTAAGAGCATGGATTTAAAGTCAAACTGCCTGCAGTCTAATTCTAGCACTGCTGGCACTGCCATTTATTAGCAGCATAAATTTGGGCAAGTAAGGTCACTTCTGTATGACTGTCTCCCCATTTATAAAATCTGAATAATAACTTCATCTACTTTGGAAGATTGTGACGATTAAATTAGGTAATATAGCTAAAGCATTTAGAATAATGTCTCATAAATAGCAAACACCATGTAAGTATTAGAAGATAGAGGATCTTCACAAAACATAACTGTTATATAGATATTCATCTATTGAATTGACAAATGTCTGATGGTCTGTTTCTGTATACAAAATTGTGTTAGGTGTTATAGGGAGTACAATAAAATGCAGTACATAATACTAGATCCCAGAAGGGAAGAGGTAAGATGAGAGTCTGAGCTAAAGCAGCAGAAGTGATAATGAAGATGCATGGATAAATTTATAAATTAGAAAACACAGGTGGGCACGGTGGCTCACAACTTAATCCCAGCACTTTGGGAGGCCAAGGTGGGTGTATCACCTGAGGTCAGGAGTTCGAGACCAGCCTGGCCAACATGACAAAACCCCGTTTCTACTAAAAATACAAAACTAGCCATATGTGGTGGCACATGCCTGTAGTCCCAGCTACTTCTGAAGCTGAGGCAGGAGAATTGCTTGAACCTGGGAGGCAGAGGTTGCAGTGAGCCAAGATCACACTACTGCACTCCAGCCTGGGCTACAAAAGCGAAACTCTGTCTCAAAAAAAAAAAAAAGAAAAGAAAACGTAAGACATGATGACTGATTAAATGTGGAAATGAAAGGAAAAGGGACATAAAAAACGTCTCTTACTCCATCTATTAGCTTGTATGTTTATATAAAATATATTGTAGAATGAGGGAGGAAATGCAGAGAAATAGACTTCGAATGAAAGATAATGAGGTTGATTTGGATATTTCTAGGTTGTGGTACCTATAAAAGTAGAGATAAATCTGGAGCTCAGGAGAAAGGGATCCTGGAATTAGAGTTGAGATCATTGTAGAGGCCATAGGAGTCACTGAAATCACTCAGAGAAGACATTCAGAGGGCAAAAGAAATTTAGATCATACCAACATTTAAGAGACAATTTAAGAGGCTAACTCAACAAAGCCAGAAAGAATAGTTAGAAATGTAGAGACACCAAAAGAGTATAATATTGTGGAAATAAAAGCTGGAAGAAGGTCCCAGATGCCCAATTGTGACTGAAGCTGGGAGATTGAATATGATGAAGAGTAGAGATAGATCCTTGTATTTCAAGATTCAGTGATTGAGTTACAGTAAGTTGGTAGATACATTGTGGATAATGGCAATGACTTAGATGTCACCTATAGGACAAAACTGGAGTTTCTGTGGTTGCCACCTACTCACTGACTTGCTGAGCAAACTACTCATACTGTTTAAGCCTCAGCGTTTTCATCTGTATAAACAAAGCTACTAATGATACCTACTTTATTTGATTCCTGGAAAAAATGTAAGCTGCACAGTGCCTGGTACACATTATTCACTCAACAAATATGGCCTATTACATATAATGGTATTATTATAGTTGATTGATGAGAAAATGATAGGTTAGGACGTGGAGTCTATGAGGAAAGGAAGCAAAGACATAAAGCATTCACTTGAGTAGAAAACAGTGTCCAAGGAAAGATATATATGTGGTAGAGAGAGGCTTGAACATGTTTTTTAGGCAGAGAAGAAGGAGTCAGTAACTTAATAAAAATAATACTGTTATTGAAAAAGGAGGCTTCTTTATTTAGAGAAAATTTTTTCGTAAAGGAAAAATTTCACAACGAGATAATATGACAAGTTCAATAAATCAATAACAGAGTAATATTTGGATTGAAACATCTTTGAGTGAATCTAATTTATGAAAACACCTACACTTTGTTGGCTGTTCTCAAGAAAAGTGAATGCTTCTTCCATGAGGTGCTTTCAATTTATAATTTTTTATTGCTTGTGAAATGAAAGCTAATTCTTGAAAAATGTAGCCAAGAGTCCAGGCAGGTTTACCTAGATGGGATATCAGCTCTTTCTAACAGTTTTTCTAGTCATGTGAGAATCAGAAAGGCATGTGTGTGTGTGGCAGTGGAGGGGTGAGGGGTTTGTGGGGAGAGAGAGAGAACAAGGCAGGCAGTCAATCTTTCAGACAAATCTCAAGCTACCAGTAGGGTACAATGGAAAACACTGATTCCTGTTGGCCTTAAAATATTCAGCAAAGTTAAATATCCTTTTCCTGCAATTAAAATAGCTTATATCAAAAAGACAGGTAATAATAGATGCTGCTGAGGATGTGGAGAAAGGGGAATCCTAATCCACTGCTGATTGGAATGCAAATTAGGACAGCCACTTATAGAGAACAGTATGGAGGTTCCTCAAAAAAATAAAAATAGAATTACCATATGATCCAGCAATGTCACTACTGCGTATATATCCAAAAGAAAGGAAATCAATATATCAAAGGAGATCTGCATCCTCATGTTTATTGCAGCACTATTCACAATGGCCAAAATATGGAATCAACTTAAGTGCCCATCAACGATGAATGGATAAAGAAAATGTGGTATGTATACACCATGGAATATTATTCAGCCATAAGAAAGAATGAAATTTTGTCATTTGTAGCAACATGAATAGAACTGGAGGCCATTATGTTAAGTGAAATAAGCCAAGCACAGAAAGACAAATATAGCACATTCTCACTCACAGGCGGAAGCTTAAAAAGTGGATTTCCTGAAGATAGGAAGTAGACTGGCAGTTACCAGAGACTGGAAAGGGGAGGGGATAGAGAAGAAGAAGGGAGAAGGGGGAAAAAGAATATAAACGTATTTATTACCACTGAACTATAGACTTAAAAATGGTAAAGATAAGCCGGGTGCGGTGGCTCACGCCTGTAATCCCAGCACTTTGGGAGGCCGAGGTGGGCGGATCACGACTTCAAGAGATTGAGACCATCCTGGCCAACGTGGTGAAACCCCATCTCTACCAAAAACACAAAAATTAGTTGCATGTGGTGGTGTGTGCCTGCAATCCCAGCTACTTGGGAAGCTGAGGTAGGAGAATCACTTGAACCTGGGAGGCGGAGGTTGCAGTGAGCCGAGATCCCGCCACTGCACACTCCAGCCAGGGCGACAAGAGCGAAACTCTGTCTAAAAAAAAAAAAAAAAGAAAGAAAGAAAAGTAAAAATAGTAAATTGTGTATGTATATTTTATCTCAATAAAAAAAAAAAAAGAAAGATTCCTTTTAAAAAAAAGTAGCCCCTACCAGAGTACATGGAGATCAGCAGCCCCACAATGGCCACAGAAATGAGAAAAAGGGAAAATGGCTGGAAAGTACAGAATACTTTCAGTAAGTAACTTGGTTCAGAAAACAGCCACTCCCAACATTATGTTTTAAAGAGGTGTGATGAACCATTTTGACTGCCAGATATCATTTTGAGCTTTGCCAAATTAATCCTTATGCTTGTCAAACTGAAAGTTTAGAAAAATGTAACAGCTACTTCTTCACGATTTTGCCTAAGAGTTGAGCCTGCAGGCCAATGAAGAAGGTCCTTTTAGCTCAATCTCTATACCCCTCCAATCCCTGGACTTCCTCCCTCAAAGGCTCCGGGCTCAGTCAGTAGAAAGAGAAGAAGACTGAGTGAAATGCATGTCACTGGACTTACTTTGCCCTCTTATGGCAAAGGCTGAGCACAGCTCATTTCTGTGAAACTTCTCTGTTGAATTCACACTTTCTTCCTGGCCATCCGTTGTCAGCAGGAAAAGAATCTAATGGGCCAATTCACACAGAGTTGCTGATGACTGAAAATGGTTGATTATGAAATCCCTTCAGGCTATTTACATTTGTGGGAGAGAATTCACAAAAGCACTGACTCTGAAGGTAGGAATTTTAAGTACCTAGGAATGATCTAGGAGAGATGTATGAAGACTTAGAACTCTTCCTAGCACTTCACCAATTTTATCATATAAACAACAGCATATTCTTAACTCTGACAATTCTTGGCAGGCTAGAGGGCTGAGGATACTAAGAATAATAATCATGTGACCAGGGTCCCAATTCTAAACCCTGCCTAGAAAAGAAAAGTCTTCATGACCCAAGAAAACAAATTACCTCCTTCTTTTGTGCAGCCCTCATCATGGACTTGCTGTGACAATTAAATAGATCTTGTACTGATTTTTTTCAATCCATTGGTTAAAAATGTATTCCCAACAGTTATTCTAATCTGAAAAGAGAAGAAAGAGGGAAAAAGTGGTTCATGGAAACTGTACTCTAAAGTAAATGCTCAGGCCATTTTAGGAAATAAAAAAATTTCACTGATGAAACATTTAGTCTAAAACAACACTGAATAAATATTTATTAGGTTGTATCATTTGTAGGAAAGATACTATACTGTTGTGGGCAAATATAAAGGAGAAGACTAATAAATTACTATGTAGTGAAACATAGTAAACATAAATATGAGAAGCAGGTCTATAACCCAGAACAAGTGTTTGTGGATAGGATGTGGATGAAAGGCATAATAAAGTTATCAAACATTGCTTTACACCAAAGACAATAGCAAATCCCTGTCTTTATGTAGGGAAATTGCTTTCACAAACTTTTTAAAAATTTGATCCTTATAACCACCCTAAGATGTTAGGTAATAGAACATTAGAAATTCAACTGCAGCAGAGATCCGGAGAGAACAGAGGCTTATCTAAAAGGTTACATAGCCGGCAAACAATTTTGGGGAGGGATGGGAGAGGAGACAAGACAAAGTCATCCTACTTAGCATAATTATTGGCTGGCACACAATTTTACTATACCCTCTGTGGAAACTTAGGGTTACTCAAGTCTCAATAATTCTTCACTTGTTCACATGCAAAGCATCTTATTTCAATTTGATTATTCACTACCCCTAGGTATTTAGCTCAAGATAGTCTCACTCATGTGAATTGACACATGTACAAATTTGCTCACTTTCTGCATTGTTTTTAATGACAAAAGTTTAAAAATCACATAAATGTCCATAACTTATTTTATCCAGTAGATAAGTTATGGCCCAACCATACAATAGAGTACTGTGCAGCTGTCAAATAGAATGAAACACTTCTCTATTAATATGGAAAGATCTCTGTATTCACTTCCTAAGGCTGCTGAAACAAAATCCCACAAACTGTGTGGGTTAAGATAATAGAAGTTTATTGTATTACAGTTCTGAAGGCTAGAAGTGATACTGGTGGCGAATCCATATGGGTCTGCTGCAACCTCAATTTTTGCCTCCTCAGAAGAAAGAATTCGACTGAGGGGCATAAGGCAGAAGGAGAGACCAAGACACATTTTAGAGCAGGAGTGAAAGTTTATTAAAGAGCTTTAGAGCAGGAACAAAAGAGAGAGTACACTTGGAAGAGGGCCAAGTGGGCGACTTGAAAGACAAGTGTGTGTTTTGACCTTTTGACTTGGGGTTTTATAAATTGGCATGCTTCTGGAGTTTTGTGTCCCTTCTTCCCTGATTCCTCCTTTGGGATGGGCTGTCCTCATGCACAGTGGTCTGCTAGCAGTCGGGAGGTGAACATGCTCATTTGAGGCATTCTTCCCTTACTGGTGGCATGTCCCTGGAAGGTCATATACCAGTTAAACTTCGCCATTTTGCCTCTTAATGTGCATGCTTGAACCTACTTGCCCGACTCCTGATACATACCAGGAAGCTGCTGATCACCAGTTTCAGGTTTTTTCTATGCATAAGGAGACTGCCTTTCCCTGGCACTGGCTGTAACCAATTATTATTTTAGAGAGACAGTTAACAACTGCCTGATCATCACCTGATGGTTGTCTGACATTCATGGTGGTGGGGGGCCCTTTCCTGCCCTTCTCATGCCTGACTAGCTACCTACTGTAACAGAAGTCCCAAATCACGGTGTTGGTAGTGCCATGCTCCCTCTGAAACCTGTAGGTGAGAATCCTTCCTTGCCTCTTCCTAGCTTCTGGTAATTTGCCAGCAAGCCTTGGGGTTCCTTGGCCTGCAGTTGCATGACTCCAATCTCCACCTCTGTTGTTACATGGCATTCCTCCTCTATGTCTCTGTCTCTTCTTATAAGGACACTAGTCACATTGGACTGAAGGCCCGTCCTACTCCAGTATGACCTCATCTTAACTAATTACATTTGCAACAAACTTATTTCCAATAAGGTCACTTTCTGAGGTATTAGAGGTTAGGACTCCAAGATACTTTTTGGGGGGATACAATTCAATCTATAACAATCTCTAAGATAAATTATGTAAAACAACAACAACATGCAGAGCAGAGTAGATGGCATGATACGTTTGTGTAAAAGAAATATACACACAAATATTACACAAATGTTTGTAAACTCATTAGAGTATCTCCAGAACAATTCATAAAATGCCAGTGGCCTTCATGCAGGAGAACTTTGTAGCTGGCAGAAACAGGAGAGAAGAATTATACTTCTTAGTTATTGCTTTTTTTGTACTTTTTGAATTCTGTGTTAACTATTTTTAAAAATTCCCTTCCACAACTATTCTTCAGTTACTGTGAATCTATTTAACATCCAATTCCCTCAAATATTAGGAGAAGGTATTGAGATCATTTTTTTCTGGGCTGCTCTGGCAAGATTAATCAGAAAGGGAATTCACTCGGTTTAATGCCAATCTGAAATATTAAGTAGAGAGAGAAAAACCAGAACCAAGATGAGATAATGGGCTCAGAAACTGTGTGACCAGAATCCAAAGCTAAGCAAACACATATGACAGAAGTTGAGTTCAAATTCTCCAGCAGAATAATTATGGATGTGAGGGCCAGGATCAGAAATAGCAAGGCAAGTCACACACACAGTGGTGTCTTAGTGGGCAGTATTTTCTAACCCTGCCAGTCCTAAGAATCATCTTTTCCGCATACTCTGCTTCCATCAGTCTGAGGCCTTGGCCACAAAATCTGAATGTTTAATATGTGCAGAGAGAAAGTTTGGCAAACACTAAAGATTAGAGAGAGAACAGAGGGAGGAGAGAGACTTAATGACTATCTTTGGTGTTACCTCTTTATCTATCTGATTCTGCCTTAAAATTAACCCTGATCCTAAGGTATAAGCAAGCTCTTCAGCTCAGGACTATTTGGGGTGACCTAGCTTTTGCCTCACCATCCCACTGTTATCCTTTATTCATCCCTGCTTCTCCCCAATAACTCTAATATTAAAATTTCTCTGACATGAGCTTTTCATTTCCTCCTGTATTATTTACATCCTCAAGGAAGATGGTCAAACTGATATTCCTAAGGGTTTCAAGTGAGAGTAAGCATAAGAGATCAGGATCTAGAATGGAATTGATAATGGAAGAACTACAATTACCCTTCAGGATTAAAATTAGGTCTTTCATAGGATGAAAATTAGGTCTTTCAACAGAATTAGAAAACATGCTGTTGATTAAAAAAATTTTCAAACTATATCTTGATGTAATTTGTTTTGTAAGGAGTTAATAGTGTGCTGCTTAAATAGGACTGGTAGTACAATAAATTTGGAAAATACTAATAATTATTCCCTCTTTAAAGACTCACTGTGAATATTGTAGTTAAGGCTCTAAGAAGTCTTGATGTAAAAAAAACTGTTTGATTTCATTGAACTCAGAGTTTAGAAAACTTACTTGACTACATATCTCTTTTTTACACTGTACTTATTGAAGTTTTCTTGCAAATCTGCGGTTCCAAGAAGCATAGTGGATGAAATAGGACTATTTCTTGGCACATTTATATATTTAACAAACATTATCAAACATTATCTAGAAGAATAAACTAGGCAAAATTTTTTTCCACAAAACATAGGGAATTTTTTTTACAAGCTCCTTTACTAACATGCATTATTTTGTAATTTTGTTTTTAAAAAATATAGACATTTTCTTGAATATTCTTCTTTCTAAAATATGATTAATATGAGAACACACTAGATTGTTGATCTAGTAAGTGTTGGTTTATTGCCTAAAAAGAAACACCATATTATCAACAGAGTATATAGACAACCTACAGAGAGAAAATATTGAGAAACTATATATATCTGACAAAGAACTAATTCTAGAATCTATAAGGAACTGAAACAAATTAACAAGAAAAAAAATCCTTTAAAAAGTGGATAAATGACATGTGTAGACATTTCTCGAAAGAAGATATAGAAATGGCCAAGAAACATGAACAAATGCTCAACAACACTAGTCATCAGGAAAATGCAAATTAAAGCCACAATGAGATACTACTTTACCCCAGTCAGAATGGCCATTACTAAGAAGACAAAAAACAATAGATATCAATGTGGGTGCAGTGAAAAGGGAATGCTTTTCTACTATTGGTGGGGATGTAAATTAGTACAACCACTATGGAAAACAGTAGAGAGATTTCTCAAAGAACTAAAAGCAGACCTACCATTCAATCCAGCAATCTCACTATTGGGTGTCTACTTAAAGGAAAAGAAGTCATTATATCAAAAAGACGCTTGCAACTCATATGTTTCTTGCAACACAATTCACAATTGCAAAGATTAAAAAATCAACCTAAGTGCCCATTGACACACACACACACACACCCCATAGAATACTACTCAGCCATAAAAAAGAGTGAAATAAAGTCTTTTGCAGCAACTTGGAAGAACTGGAGGCGATTATCCTAAGTGAAGTAACTTAGGAATGTAAAACGAAAAACAGAATGTTTGCACTTGTAAGTGGGAGCTAACCTATGGGTACACAAAGGCATACAGAGTGCCACAATGGACATTGGAGACTCAGAAGAAAGGAGGGTGGGAAAGGAGTCTGGGATGAAAAATTACCTACTGGGTACAATGTACACTACTCAGGTGATGACTACACTAAGAGCCCAGACTTCACCACTATACAATTCATCCATATAATTAAAACCACATGTACCCCTTAAGCTATTGATATTAAAAACAAAAGAACAAAAAACAACAGTTTATGAGAATATTGAAGTACAGTATATATTTCTTAAATATGTAGTACAACAAATGCTGAGTTGTATAATAAATTCATCTAAGTGGCAATAAAATATTGGATTTAATGACAAACATAAAAATATTCAAAGATAGAATGAGACTTCTGATTAAACATGGCAAACTGAACCT
Organism: Homo sapiens; assembly: GCF_000001405.40. Lineage (NCBI taxonomy): Eukaryota > Metazoa > Chordata > Mammalia > Primates > Hominidae > Homo > Homo sapiens. Next base: position 82,326,229 of record NC_000006.12, on the reverse strand, counting down.
GTTTGTTTAGTTCTGTGCTCTCCTAAAACCCCCACTTAAATGGCAGCAAAGGAATAAAACCACTGTGAGAACAAAGAGAACAGGGTGGGGAATAACAGCAGCTAAGAGATAGCCACACATTTTAGATGGTGGGAAATAATTAATGAGTGATAAAAGACAGCTCAGCAGAGATCACTGAAGCCTAACTGCCTGCAGTGTCAGATGCCCCAACAGAAGCACTCCCATTAAACTTTAAGGGCCATAAAGCTTTGGGACTTGAAGACACTGGTTCCTCGTGAAGAACCAGGGTATGGGATAGCACTAAAAAGAAGAGAATTGATGAGAAGACTGTAAGCAGCAGTATAGAACTCCCAGATCTCCTCTTCAGCCAACAAAGTCAGATACCACTCCTCTGGGACCCTGGTAGGAATCAGGATGAAGAGTCAGTTTTACCATGAAGCGAATGAAGCATAGGCCCTCCACTTGCACTGGTCCCTTCCAAGTTCCTGTATTTAATTTTGCATTCATAGTTTATTTATTTTTTTTTGGTCTGGAAGAGGGCCCCCCAAAGACTATAAGCTTTAGGCCCACAAAACCTGGATTCACCCTAGACAGAGTGGAGAGCTGGGACTAGGGGACACCATGTTGAACACAAGGGGATTGGGTGAGAGTCTGCATGAAAAACAGTTACCCTCTATCCTAATTCTGCTCACAAAACACTGGTAGCAAAACTTAATACCCCTAGGCAAGAAGTAAACTGGAAATAACTGACAAGCTCAAAATCAAAGATACACAGAAATTGATATTTAGGGAAGCCCAGCTGCCTCTTCAGGGAATCCTTAACCCAACTCAACTTTCCTAAAGCAAGTCTCACCAGTTGAGAAGTCCCATAGCTTAAAAGCCTCCTTTTTATATATGAATAAACTGCCAAGAATCACCAGTAAGAATCACTAGAGAAAAGCCTCTAACATAATAGATAGGGGGAAAGTCCGGGCACAGTGGCTCAAGCCTGTAATCCCAGCACTTTTGGAGGCCAAGGTGAGTGGATCACTTGAGGTCAGGAGTTCCAGGCCAGCCTGGCCAACATGATGAAACCCCTCTCCCTATCTCACCTCCCACCTACCCCGCCACACCTCCATCTCTACTAAAAATACAAAAATTAGCTGGGCGTGCTGGCAGGCACCTGTAATCCCAGCTACTCGGGAGGGTGAGGCAGAAGATCTGCTTGAACCCGGGAGGCAGAGGTTGCAGTGAGCCGAGGTCACGCCAATGCATTCTAGCCTGGGTGACAGAGTGAGACTCCATCTCAAAAAATTAAAATAAAATAAAATAGAGGGAAAAACACAGGAAAACTTCAAAACTTACAAACCTATAATAAATATCCTCAGAAAGAAAAGAGAAAAACATGCATCCAGTTTAAAATGTTTGTATCTATACTTGTGTATAAATACATAAATATATATATATAAGTGTGTGTATATATGCATATATATACACGTATTATAAATACACGCATAAAAAATAAAAATATTGATATTGATTCTATTTATTTATTTATTGAGACAGAGTCTTACTCTGTCTCCCAGGCTGGAGTGCAGTGGTGTGATCCGGCTCAGTGCAACTTCCACCTCCCGGGTTCAAGTGACTCTTCTGCCTCAGCTTCCCAAGTAGCTGGGATTACCACCACCATGCCTGGCTAATTTTTATATTTTTAGTAGAGACCGTGGTTTTGCTATGTTGACCAGGCTGGTCTCGAACACCTGACCTCAGGTGATCCACCCATGTCAGCCTCCCAAACTGCTGGGATTACAGGTGTGAGCCACCGCACCTGGCCTGATATTGATATTTTAAATATGATAGATTGAAACATAACATTGAGGAAATTCAATTAATAATGATTCCAGAAAAAAAGTATTAAAAAAATGAAGGGGAGAAAATTATTAAAGAAATAACACATGTAGGTTTCTGAGCTGTGAAAATCTGAGTTTCCAAATTGAAAGTCTGCTAAATTCTCAACATAATAAATAATAATAACTAATATTAATAGCTAGTGTTTACAGGGGGCTTGCTATGTGCCAGGCACTATTCTAGACATTTTTAAATATTGCTGCTATCCTTCCCCAAACCCTATGATGTCGGCTCCTTTAGCAGCCAACAGAAGCACAGAGATATTGAGTAACCCATCCAAAATTATAGAGCTATTTAAGTGATGAACCTAGAACTCTGGCTCTAGAATCTGTTTTTGTAATCACCACACATTTCTGCCTCTCCATTAAAAAAAGGCCTTGTGCAAGCTAAATTATTTTGAAATTTTAGAACCCTAAGACTTCCAGTGAAAAAAAAACTAGGTCACATTCCAAGGACTGGGAACAAGAATGACATCAGAATTCCAAATAGCAATACTGAAATCCAGAAGGCAATGAAGCAATGTCTCTGATTTCTGAGAAAAAATTATTTCCAACTTAGAATCCTATACCCAGGCTACCTATCAAGGATAAGAGTAGAATAAAAACATTTTCAGTCACTCAAGTTTGTATAAATTTACTTCATGTGCACCCCTTTTCAAGAGGCCACTGGAGGGCTAAATCAAGAAAGAGGAAGATGTGGGAGCTGGTAAAGGTGATGCACCCAGGGGAGAGGCAGAGGGAAATCCTAGGAAGATAATGAAGGGGGGCTTGCACATGACAGCTATGCTGCAGGCCTGGAAAGTTACTGGAAAAGGCTGGAGCAGGAGGACAGAGGTATCTGGGAGGAATGATGAGAGAGGAAGAAAAGGAGAAGGAGAAAAAAAAAACAGAATTAACTGTTGTGTTTGACCACATCAAGAGAAGTTTTATAGTTTTGGCAGAATGATAGGAATGAATTAGTTCTCAGTACATGGAAAACAAATCAAATGCAAATAAAATTACAGTCTCAGAGAAAAGAAATAGTTGTACAATAAATGAATGGTAATTATAGTACGATATATGCTTCAGTGTCAAGTAGTTATCTAGTCATATCGGTGAAAACATCAAACGTTTTATTACAACTATATTGGGTAGAGGGAGGAAAGAGACTTGTGTCCTTTCCCATTGTCTTTTTTTCTTTCCTTTTTTTCATATTATGGTTCACTTTCTGGAATTATATAATTCAGTTATTTAGTTATTTATGTTATTTAGTTATTTTACCTTCTCAAACCGCAATGTAAGTTCATAAGTACTGGGGACTTTGTTCTGTTCACGGGTATATCCCCAGTCTCTACAACATTTATTGCAGGAAGAGGCAGACTGTAGAGCTGAGCAAAATCTTCATCCTTTAGAGTAGAAAAGCAATAGGCAACATCCAATCCTTTAGAGTAGAAATCAATAGGCAATGTCCAATACTGAGAAATCTAGAAGTAGTGGTATAAACATATTAATTCAAATAATACCAGGAGAAAACAGCTAACCAAAATAGTTGAAAGAGATGTCCTCTGGGAAGCAGTAAGAATGTGAAGAGATGATTTAAGAGACAGCTGTAAGCTTTGTGATTTTTTTTTATTCTTAAATTATTTACATGTAGTACTTTGATAAACTTTGAAAAGGAAAAAAATAAATGGATACTATAAAATTATTCATAGCAAAACTGATAACACTTGACATTGAAAACATTTCACAATAGTGTTTCAGAATGACTGATTTCATAATATGCATAATGAATTGCATGAGATAAGAGATTACAGGAAAGAAAATCAGAAAGGAGACTTTGAGCTAATTCAGATGGTAGATGCTGAGGCCTTTAAGTGAATGGGTATCCCTGAAATTGGAGAAGTAGTGACATATTAGAATATATTTTGGTAGTTAAAAAAGTAACTAAAAAGATATCCGGGAAAGACTGCATATTCCATAACCATCACTAATAGGCATTCTCAAGTAATTTTTCAGGACTTTTGCAATAGTGAGTACAATTCTGTAATTTGAAACAAACACAAGTTAAAAGAAATCCAAGATTACTCTTATTTTTTGCAATATTCCTTTCAAAACACTTTTATAGTTTTAGTGTCCATCATGAGCAGTCTTGACAGTTTTTTGGTACACAGGGCAACTTTTGAAGCATGAGGTAGAATTGCAGTATCATGTCATAGTATTATCTTCAGTTCTACAGATTCAGAAGTCAACATTTTCTGATTTTAAAACCAGATTATACACTATATTCCTGATAAAGACCTCAAGCTATCTCTCAGCTCTTGGAAGTACCAAAACACCTTGCTTTTCTTCCTGTGGCATTTACCTTATTCTGCCTTGAATAATTTCTTTTTTTTTTTTTTTTGAGACAGAGTCTCACTCTATTGCTTAGGCTGGAGGGCAGTGGCACAATTTCAGCTCACTGCAACCTCCACCTGCTGGGTTCAAGTGACTCTCATACCTCAGCCTCCCAAGTAGCTGGGACCACAGGTGCATGCCACCAGGCCCGGCTAATTTTTGTATTTTTGGTGGAGACGAGATTTCATCATATGTGCCAGACTGGTCTTGAACTCCTGACCTCAAGTGATCCGCCTGCCTCAGTCTCCCAAAGTGCTGGGATTACAGGTGTGAGCCACCATGCCCAGCCTGCCTTGTATAATTTTTCATTGCTTTCATTCTTATGAATCAATAAGGCACTTTTAATAGGCATGAATACCACAAACATGTAGGTCCTCAATAAAGATTTGTTGAATTGAATTGACTATTCATATTTATGCATGCTTACAGAAATTTAATTATTCCCTTCTGGAGGAAAGGAGCTCAGTTTCCTCAATGAATAAAGAATTAAGGAAACTGAGCCCCTCTCCTCCAGAAGGGAATAACTCTTCCTTATTTAATACCTTAGATCAGTTGTTCTCGATCCTGGCTGCACATTATTAATACAATAACTGGAGACTTTTAAAACAAATTCTGATGCTCAAGTCAATAAAATATCTGGGTGTGTGAAGCTTCTATTTTTTAAATAAATTCTTCTCTTGATTTTAATATGCATCAGAGATTGAGAATTACTGTATTAGACCATCTACAACTTTGGTTCCAAACCTAGTTGGGTATCAGAATCACCTAAGATTTGTATATAAGGAATTGATGGGCTATCAGAGAGAGTATCATAATCGTTTATCTCTAGATATTTTCCCCTTCTCTGAGTATGTCTGTCTCCTTTGACTTGGTTTAATTTCTGCCTAGAATGAAGATTTTGAGGTTGGAACAAGTCAGCACCTATGAGCTGGTTTCAAGACCCTGGGGAAGCAAACTGAATAACATTACTGAAATGCTTTATGTAATGCTGTGCTTGCAAAAGTTGTACTGCTCTTTCACCAGAAATAGGTAATATTTTATGTTAAGTATTGTAATCATTTCCTCCTTATTTCACATTATAATATTCTTCATACTATTTTCACTGCAGATAAACATATCAGTTACTAAATAATAATTTCTTATTAATCATCCCACAATTATAAGCTCATACAAGTCTTTTAATAGTCTGTCAGATAGGTTGGAATATCACCTGCATTTTGCACCTGAGCAAACTGAAGTTAAAATTTGTTCAGAGCAGCTACACTAGACCTTCTGTCACCTGGTTGCAACATTAGTGTTTTTCTACTCCAATATGTTCACTGTCTTCTTTGTGAAGAAGTAGAAACTTATTTCTTTTTATAAAAAAAGTCGGATTTCAAGTTCTAAATATGCAATTTATTTTCTGATGAATATTTCCCTTTAAGAAACAGAACGTTTGGAATAGTGAATATTCTAAGCAATCAGTCCTGCGCAATTTGTATAATCATTTTATATGTTAGCCATGTTTGTATTTTTCCACATGAAAACAACTGTCATGTTTAAAATACATTTCATGTAAAACTGCCAGCAGCACAGCTTTGAAATAGATTTTTATCCTATAGAAATGCAGAAGAGTTTAACAAAAATGAAGAAAAATCTGTCAAAGGGTTGTTTTTCCATGTTGGCATCGTAGGCACTTAATACCTGGTTCTTGAAAATAATAACAATGGGTGTTAGCATTCATGATACATGCACTTTGCTCATCAGGTGTGAATCAACAAGACACAATCTGACCTTCCTGTGCAGAAAAAAGATTTTATTTTGGAAAAGCCAAAAGGAGACTGGAGTGGTTACAGAAAGGGGTTTAATTACAGGTATTTAAAACATAAAATAATTGTTTAAAATCTTTTCACAGAGAAAACCTTGTCTGCTATCAGCTGTATTTTTTCCATGCTCTTTTCTACTTTTGTGGAGATCAACTCCTTTGTTATTCTCCCAAAATGTTTAAATAGACTGGAGCTGTAGTTTGAAAAACAATGAGAAATGCTAGAGCCTTATAAAACGTTAAACAGCTACAAGAACATGTCTAATTCTTTGAATACTATTTCATTTTAGAATGTAACATGAAGAGGAGAAGAGCTTGAACTGGGAGTTAAGACCTTATTTTTAGCCCTGATTCTGCCACAAACTTATTATATAACCTTTGGGCACTTCTCAGAGCCTGTATTTCCTCATGTGTGAAATGAAGGCATTAGGGTAGAATGATCTTCCCTCCCTGCCTGAACATTTCATAATGCTACATTTCTACATTTCTCAAGTTTAACCTTCATTCTACACTGAATATACCTAAAATTTTATGTAGATCCTCTCTTGAAAAATTATTTCGCTGCCACTAACACTGTTTTGCAAATTGTGGTCTTCAAACTTCCTTTTAACAGAACCACCTGGAATTTATATTAAAAATGCAGATTCTAGGACCTGCCCACGCATAAAGATCCAAAATCTTTATGAAGAGAGGGAGGATTCAAGAATATATGTATATATGTGTGTGTGTGTATATATATACACATATATGTATATATATAATATTTCTCAAAAGAAGACAAACAAGTGGCCAACATATATTTTTAAATGTTCAACATTGCTAATCATCAGAGAAATGCAATTTTTAAGAACTATCTCACAAAGTAAATTTTATTTTATCTTATTTTTAAATTTTTAAATTTCAATAGTTTAGGGGATCAGGTGGTTTTTGGTCACATGGATAAGTTATTTAATGGTGTAATGGTGATTTCTGAGATTTTGGGGCACCTGTCCCCTGAGCAGTGTGCACTGTACCCAATTTGTAGTCTTTTATTCTTCACCCACTTCCCATCTTTCCCCAGAATTCCCCAGAGTTCATTATGTCACTCATGCCTTTGCATCCTCATAGCTTGGCTCCCACTTATAAGTAAAAACATACAATGTTTAGTTTTCCATTCCTGAGTTACTTCACATAGAATAATGATACCAAATTCCATCCAGGTTCCTGCAAATGCCATTATTTTGTTACTTTTTTATGGCTAGTGTAGTATTCCATGGTATGTGTATATTTATATTTTTTCTTTATCCACTCATTGGTTGATGAACATTTAGGCTAGTTTCATATTTTTGCAATTGCAAATTGTGCTGCAATAAATATGTGTGTGCAAGTGTCTTTTTCATATAATGACTTATTTTCCTCTGGGTAGATATCCAGGAGTGGGATTGCTGGATCAAACGGTAGTTCTACTTTTAGTTCTTTAAGGAGTCTCCATATTGTTTTCAATACTGGTTGTACTAGTTTACATTCCCACCAGCAGTGTAAAAGTGTTCCCTTTTCGCCACATCCGCATCAACATTTATTATTTTTTCAATTTTTAAAATTATGTCCATTCTTGCAGGAGTAAAGTGGTATTGCAATAGGTTTGATTTGCATTTCCCTGATTATTAGTGATGTTGAGTATTTTTTAATATATTTGTTGATCATTTGTGTACCTATTTTTGAGAATTGTCTATTCGTGTCCTTAGCCCACTTTTTGATGGAATTATTTTATATTTTTCTTGCTGATTTGTTTCAGCTCCTTGTAGATTCTGATATTAGTCCTTTGTTTGATGCATAGTTTGGGAATATTTTCTCCCATTCTCTGGATTGTCTGTTTACTCTTCTGATTATTTCTTTTGCTGTGCAGAAGCTTTTTAGTTCAATTAAGTCTATTTATCTTTGTTTTTGATGCATTTGCTTTTGGGTTCTTGGTCATGAACTCTTTGCCTAAGACAATATCCAGAAGAGTTTTTCCAATGTTATCTTCTAGAATTTTTACAATTTTAGGTCATAGATTTAAGTCTTTGATCCTTCTTGAGTTAATTTTTGTATAAGGTGAGAGATGAGGATCCAGTTTCATTCTTCTACATGTTGCTTGCCGATTATCCCAGCATCATTTGTTGAATAGAGTGTCCTTTCTCCACTTTATGTTTCTGTTTGCTTTGTTGAAGATCAGTTGGCTATAAGTATTTGGCTTTATTTCTGGGTTCTCTATTCTGTCACGTTGGTCTATGTGCCTATTTTTACACAAGTACCATGCTGTTTGGTGACTATAGCCTTGTAGTATAGTTTGAAGTTGGGTAATGTGATGCCTCTAGATTTGTTCCTTGGCAGTATGGTCATTTTCACACTATTGATTCTACCCGTCCATGAGTATGAGATGTGTTTCCATTTGTTTGTGTCACCTGTGATTTCTTTCAATAGTGCTTTGTAGTTTCCCTTGTAGAGGCCTTTCTCCTCCTTGGTTAGCTACATTCCTAAGTATTTTATTTTATTTTATTTTTTGCAGCTATTGTAAAAAGGGTTGAATTCTTGATTTGATTCTCAGCTTGGTTGTTGTTGTTTTATAGTAGCACTACTGATTAGTGTGCATTGATTTTGTATCCTGAAACTTTACGGAATTCATTTATCAGATCTAGAAGCTTTTTGAATGAATCTTTAGGGTTTTCTAGGTATACGATCATATCACTGGTGACGGTTTAACTTTCTCTTTACTGATCTGGTTGCCTTTTATTTCCTTTTTATTTATTTGTTTGCTCTGGCTAGGACTTCCAGTACTACGCTGAATAGAAGTGGTGAAAGTAGGCATCCTTGTCTGTTTTGATTCTCATGGGGAATGCTTTCTTCCTTTCCCTGTTCGGTGTAATGTTGGCTGTGGGTTAGTCATAGATGGCTTTTATTATGTTAAGACATGTCTCTTCTATGCCGATTTTGCTGAGTTTTAATCATAAACAGATACTAGATGTTGTCAAATGCTTTTTCTGCATCTACCGAGATGATCATATGATTTTTGTTTTTAATTCCATGTATTGTGGTGTATCATTTTTGTTGACTCATGTATGTTAAACCATCCCTGCATCCCTGGTATGAAAGCCACTTGATCATGGTGTATTATCTTTTTGATATGCTGTTGGATTCAGTTAGCTTGTATTTTGTTGAGGATTTTAGCATCTATGTTCATCAGGGATATTGGTGTGTAGTTTTCTGTTTTTGTTATGTCCTTTTCTGGTTTTGGTATTAGGGTGATACTGGCTTCATAGTACAAATTAAGGAGATTCCCTTTTTCTCTATATTTTTGAATAGTTTAAGTAAGATTGACACAAATTCTTCTTTGAATGTTTGATAGAATTCAGCTGTGAGGCCAGGCATGCTGGCTCACACCTGTAATCCCAGCACTTTGGGAGGCCAAGGAGGGTGAATCACTTGAGGTCAGGAGTTTGAGACCAGCTTATTGAATATTGCGAAACCTCGTCTCTACTAAAAATACAAAAATTAGCCAGGCATGGTGATGGGTGCCTATAATCCCAGCTACTCGGGAGGCTGAGGCAAGAGGATAACTTGAACCCAGGAGGTGGAGGTTGCAGTGAGCTAAGATCATGCCACTGGACTCCAGCCTGGGCAACAGAGCAAGACTCTGTCTGAAATAAATAAATAAATAAATAAATAAATAAGATTTTAGCTGTGAATCCATCTGGTCCTGGGTTTTTTTGTTATTGTTGTTGTTGGCAATTTTAAAATTACTGTTTCAATCTTGCTACTTGTTATTGGTCTGTTCAGAGTTTCTATTTCTTCCTGTTTTAATCTAGGAAGGTTGTGTATTTCCAGGAATTTATTTATTTCCTTGAGGTTTTCTAGTTTGTGCACATAAAGGTGTTCATAGTAACCTTGAATGATCTTTTGTATGTCTGTAGTATCAATTGTAATAACTCTTATTTCATTTCTAGTTGAGCTTTTTAAATCTTCTCTCTTCCTTTCCTGGTTAATCTTGCTAAAGGTCTATCAATTTTGTTTATCTTTTCAAAGAATCAGCTTTTTGTTTCACTTATCTTTTGTATTTTTTGTTTTAATTTCAATTAATTTCATTTAATTTCTGCTGTGATCTTTGTTATTTCTTTTCTTCTGCTGTGTCTGGGTTTGGTTTGTTCTTGTTTCTTTAGTTCCTTGAGGTGTGACTTTAAATTGTCTATTTGTGCTCTTTCAGACTTTTTAATGTAGGCATTTAATGCTATAAACTTTCCTCTTAGCATTGCTTTTGCTGTACCCCAGAGGTTTTGATAGGTTGTGTCACTATCATCATTCAGTTCAAAGAATTTTTAAATTTTCATTTTGATATCATTATTGACCCAAAGGTCATTCAGGAGCAGATTGTTTAATTTCCATGCATTTGTATAGTTTTCAGGGTTCCTTTTGGAGTTAATTTCTAATTTTATTCCACTGTGGTCTGAGAGGGTACTTGATATAACTTCAATTTTCTTAAATTTATTGAGACTTATTTTCTAGCCTATCATATGATCTATCTTGCAGAATGTTCCATGTGCTGATGAAAAGAATGTATATTCTGCAGTTGTTGGGTAGAATGTTCTATAAATATCTGCTAAGTTCAATTCTTGTAGTGTATAGTTTAAATCCATTTTTTTTTTTGTTGACTTTCTGTCTTGATGACCTGTCTAGTGTTGTCAGTGGAGTATTGAAGTCCCTCACTATTATTGTGTTGCTGTCTATCTCATTTATTAGGTCTAGTAGTAATGGTTTAATAAATTTGGGAGCTCCAGTGTTAGATGCATATATATTTAGGATTGTGATATTTTCCTGTTGGACTTATCTTTTTACCATTATATAATATTCCTTCTTATGTTTTTTAACTGTTGTTGTTTTAATGTCTGTTTTGTCTGATATAAGAATAGCCATTTCTGCTCATTTCTGGTTTTTATTTGCATGGATTATCTTTTTCCACCCCTTTAAGTTTATGTGAGTCCTTATGTGTTAGGTGAGTCTCTTGAAGACAGCAAATACTTGGGTGGTGGTTTTATTAATCCATTATGCCATTCTGTATCTTTTAAGTGGAGCATTTAGGCCATTGACATTCAACATTAGTATTAAGATGTGAGGTACCATTCGATTCATCATGCTCATTGTTGACTGAATACCTTGGTTTGTTTTTATCATTGTGCTATTGTTTTATAGGCCTTGCATGAGATTTATGTTTAAGGAGGTTTGCTGGATACAAAATTATTGGCTGATAATTACTTTCTTTGAGGAGGCTAAAGATAGGACCCCAATCCCATCTGGCTTGAAGGGTTTCTGCTGAGAAATCTGCTATTAATCTGATAGGTTTTTCTTTATCTTAAAAAGCTCTTAAGATTCTTTCCTTTATCTTAACTTGAGACAATCTGATGACTATGTGCCTAGGTGATTATCTTTTTGCAATGAATTTCCCAGATGTTCTTTGAGCTTCTTGTATTTGGATGTCTAGCTCTCTAGCAAGGCCAGGGAAGTTTTCCTCACTTATTCCCTCAAATATGTTTTTCAAATTTTTAGATTTCTCTTCTTTCTCAGGAACATCAATTATTCTTAAATTTGGACATTTAACATAATCCCAAATTTCTTGGAGGCTTTGTTCATTTTTTTAAATTCTTTTTTCTTTGTCTGTCTTGGATTGGGTTAATTCAAAAGCCTTGTCTTCAAGCCAAAAGTTCTTTCTTCTACTTGTTCTAGTCTGTTGTTGATACTTTCCAGTGCATTTTTTATTTCTCTAAGTGTGTCTTTCATTTCCAGAAGTTGTGATTGTTTTTTCTTTATGATGTCTATTTCTCTGGAAAATTTTTCATCCATATTCTATATTATTTTTTAAATTTCTTTAAGTTGGTTTTCACTTTTCTCTGGTATCTCCTTGAGTAACTTAATACTCATCCTTCTGAATTCTTTATCTGGCAATTCAGGGATTTATTCTTGGTTTGGATCCACTGCAGGGGAGCTAGTATAATCTTTTGGGGGGTGTTATAGAACCTTGTTTTCTCATATTTCCAGAATTACTTTTCTGGTTTCTTCTATTTGCGTAGGCTATTCAGTGGAAAGATCTTGAACTCAAGGACTGCTGTTCAAATTCTTTTGTCCCATGGGGTGATCCCTTGATATGGTGCTCTCCTCCTTCCCCTAGGGAAATGGCTTCCTGAGAGCCAAACTGGAGTAATTGTTATTGCTCTTCTGGGTCTAGCCACCCAGCGGAGCTATCATGCTCTGGGCTGGTGCTGGGGAATCTTTGCAGAGTCCTGTGATGTGATCCATCTTCAGGTCTCCCAGCCATGGATACCAGCATCTGCTCTGGTGGAGGTGACAGGGGAGTGAAGTAGACTCTGTGAGAGTCCTTGATTGTAGTTTTGTTTAATATGCTGTTTTTCTTGAATACTGGTTATGCTAGCAGTGAAGTTGTCATGTAGACAGACTCATGACCTCTGTTTAGTCAGGATGTTGCAGGCAGTGGAATTAACTGTAGTTTTCTCTTTCCTTGGAGCAGGGTTATTCTGTTATGAGCTGCTGTAATGGCTTGAGTTGGTTGACCTCCATCCAGGAGGTGGCACTTTCAAGAGAGCACCAGCTGTGATAGTAGAAGGGGGACATAAGCTTGCCCTAAGTTGTCCAGGATAAGCATTCAGGTTTCTCAGGCAATGGGTGGGGCCATAAAGCTCCCAGGAGTTTATGTTTTTTGTCTTTGGCTACCAGAAGAGGTAGAGAAATACCGTCAGCTAGGGGCGGGGTTAGGTGGGTCTGAGCTCAGACTCTCCTTGGTCACAGCTTGCAGCAGCCACTCTGGGGGGTAGTGGGGCGTGGTTTTCAAGCCAATGGAGTTATGTTCTAAAGGGATTATGGCTGCCTCTGCTGCATCATACAGGTCACCAGGGAAGTTGGGGGAAGCCAACAGTGACAGGTCTCACCCAGCTCCCACACAGCCATCAAGGCTGGTCTTGCTCCTGTCATGCCTCACCAACAATTTATTTTCAGGTAGCCCATGCACAGGGCTCAGACCTTGCCCCAGGCAAGAAGCCTTCCAGCTAAGAAAGCTATCATCGCTTTCAGGTCTTGCCTCTCCCTGTCTGCACACACTGTTGGCTGCAGCTCCAGTGCTTGTATCTGCAGCATTTCCTGTTTAACCCTTGGATTCGGCTCAAGAAAATTTGAGCTTGGTTGAAATTATTACAAAGTTCAGTTGGAAGCTTCTTTCACCCTGTGACCCCTCCCTAGTTCCACTGGCTGCCTTCCTTAAGGAGCCCTGTGAGATAAAGTCAGGGGTGGCTTCCCTGGGCTCAAGCTGGGAAGTGAGAGTGCCTACAAGGCTCTTTCTATTGCTTCTTCTACTTTAATATTTTGCTTGGCTCCCTAAGTCTATTATATCCTTCCCCTATTATGTGAATTTTCAGGTTCCCCACTGGAGATGTGTGTTTGGAGGCAGGTTTTTCCCTCTCATGCTTTGGGAACTCACTTTTTCAGCTGTCTCACAGAGTTTTCAGTGGTAAGTTGCTTCTTCCGCAGGACCCGTGAACTTTTTCAGTCTTCCTGGCATGTTCCTGTGGTGGTTCTTGGAGCAAAAGTTCATGGCGTGAGTCTCCACACGCTGTTCCGTCCATCCAAGTAGGAGCTGAATGTTAGTCATGACTCCTATCCACCATTTTCCAGAGAAATGCAAATTAATACCACAATAAGTTATTACCTCACACTTATTAGATTGGCTATCACAAAAAAAAGAAAGATAACAAGTATTGGTGAGGATGTGGAGAAAAGGGAACCCTTGTACATTGTTGTAGCATTGTAAATTAGTACATTTTAGAAAACAGTATGGAGATTCCTTAAAAAACTAAAAATAGCATTATCACATAACTCAGAAATCCCACTCCTGGGTATATATCCAATATAGTGTATAGTATATTCAATATAGTGTATCCAATATAGAGTATAATATATCCAATATAGTATATAGTGAATATAGTGGTAGCCAGGAAGTGGTTAATGTGGGCCTTGGGCAAAACCCAGTACCTTGCTGATTTCACGTATGACCCAGCACAGTCCTAGTGGTGGTTGCCACATGGGTGCTTGTGTCACCCTTCCCCCAGCTCCAGGCAGCTCAGAGAGTGGTTCCATTTGCTTAGAAGAAAGTAAGGGAAGAGAATAAGAGTCTCTTCCTGGTAATCCAGGAAATTCTTCCAGATCTTATCCAAGACCATAAAGGTGATAACTCTACAAGACTGCAAGAGCTGTACCATTACTGGGCTTGGGAAGTATCTAATGCACATATGGCTGCAGTGACAAAAAGCTTAGATTACAATATTCAGGTCCCTTCAAATACCTGCAAAGCAGTCCCAAAGACAGGTACAAATAAGCCGAGACTGCAAAGACTGCAATAAGTACTTAGTTCTTCAATGCACAGAGACTATGAACATTAACAAGCGTTAGGACCATCCACGAAAATATGAACTCATCGAACAAACTAAATAAGTCACCATGGATCAATTCTGAAGGGAGACATGTGTGACTTTTCAGAAAATTGAAAATAACTGTTTTGAGGAAACTCAACAAAATTCAAGATAACAGAGAGAAGGAATTTAGAATCCTATTAGATAAATTTAACATATTGAAATAATTAAAAATAATCAAGAAGAATTCTGCCATTGAAAAATGCAATTGACATACTAACGAATGCATCAGTCTATTAACAACAGAATTGATCAAGCAGAAGAAAGAATTAATGAACTTGAGGACAGGCTATTTCAAAATAGACAGAGAAGACAAAAGAAGAAAAGAATATAAAAGAATAAAGCATGCCTATAAGGTCTAGAAAATAGCCTCAAAAGGACAAATCTAAGAGTTATTGGCTTTAAAGAGGAGAAGAGAGAAAGATTGGGGTAGGAAGTTTATTCAAAGGGATAATAACAGAGAACTTCCCAGAACTAGTGAAAGATATCAATATTTAAGTACGAGAAGATTATAGAACACCAAGCAGATTTAACCCAAAGAAGACTACCTCAAGGTATTTATATAATTGAATTCCCATAAAGATAAAGGGTCCTAAAAGTAGCAAGAGAAAAGAAATAAACAATATAAAATGGAGGTCAAATATGTCTGACAGCAGACTTTTCAGTGGAAACATTACAGGCCAGGAGAGAGTGGCATGACAGGAAAGAATGCTGAGGAAAAACCCTTTTCTCCTAGAATGATCTATCCAGCTAAAATATCCTTCAAATATGAAGAATAGACTTTCCCAGACAAACAAAAGTTGAGGCATTTCATCAACACCAGACTTGACCTGCAAGGAATGCTAAAGGGGTTCTTCAATCCAAAAGAAAAGGACATTAATAAGCAATAAGAAATCATGTGAAGGTGCAAAACTCACTGGTAATAGTAAGTACACAGAAAAACACAGAATAGTATAACACTGTAATTTTGGTGTGTGAACCACTCGTATCTTGAGTAAAAAGACTAAAAGATGAACCAATCAAAAATAATGACTACAACAACTTTTGGCTCAAGCCTGTATTCCCAGCACTTTGGGAGGCCAAAGTGGGCTGATCACCTGAGGTCAGGAGTTCAAGACCAGCCTAGCCAACATGGTGAAACCCCGTCTCTACTAAAAATACAAAAATTAGCCAGATGTGGTGGCAGGTGCCTATAATCCCAGCTATACTGGAGGCTGAAGTAGGATAATCACTTGAACCCAGGAGGCAGAAGTTGCAGTGAGCTGAGATTGTGCCACTGCACTCCAGCCTGGTTGACAGAGGGAGACTCCATCTCAAAAACAAACAAACAAACAAAAATTTAAAAAGGGAGAGGGGGCAAAGTTAAAGTGTAGAATTTTTATTAGTTTTCTCTTTGCTTATTTGTTTTTATGCAATGAATATTAAGTTTTCATTATTTAAAATAATGGGTTATAAAATATCATTTGCAAGCCTCATGGTAGCTTAAAATCAAAAAATATACAAGAGATACACAAAAAATAAAAAGCAAGAAATTAAATCATACCATGAGGGCAAATCACTTTTACTAAAAGGAAGGAGAAAAGAAGGAGAAGACTACAGAACAATCAGAAAATAAATCACAAAATGGCAGGAGTAAGTCTTTACTTATCAATAGTAACGTTGAATATAAATGGACTAAATCTTCCAATCAAAAGACAGAGAATGACTAAATGGATTAAAAAAGAAGGCCCAATGATCCTTTGCTATGAGAACATACTTTACATATAAAGACATACATAGACTGAAAACAAAGAGATGGAAAAAGATATTCCATGCAAAAGGAAACCAAAAAAGAGCAGGCGTAGCTATATTTTATCAGACAAAATACATTTCAAGACAAAAATCTATTTAAAAAAAGACAAAGAAGGTCATTATATAATGATAAAAAATCAATTCAGAGAGAGAATATAACAATTTTAAATATATATTCATCCAACAAGGGAGCCCTCAGATATATAAAGCAAATATTATTAGAGCTAAAGAGAGAGATAGACCCTAATACAATAATAGCTGGAGACTTCAACACCCCACTTACAGCATTGGCCAGATTATCCAGACAGAAAATCAACAAAGAGCTTTGGACTAAATCCGCACTATGGACCAAATTGATCTAATAGATGTTTAATGAACATTTCACCCAGTGGCTGCAGAATACACATTCTTCTCCTCAGCACATGGATCATTCTCAAGGATAGACCATATGTTAGGCCACAAAACAAGTCTTAACATTTTCTTGAAAAAAAGGAATTATATCAAGCATCTTCTCTGACCACAATATAATAAAACTAGAAATCAACAATAAGAGAAATTTTGGAAACTATACAAACACATGGAAATTAAACAATATCCTCCTGAATGACCAGTAGGTCAATGAAGAACTTAAGAGGAAAATTTAAAAATTTCTTGAAACAAATTATAAAGGAAACACAACATATCGAAACCTATAGGATACAGCAAAAGCAGTACTATAAGTGCCTACATCGAAAAGATAGAAAAACTTTAAATAAACAACCTAAGAATGCATCTTATGGAACTAGAAAAGTAAGAGCAAGCCAAACCTAAAATTAGTAGGAGGAAAGAAATAATAAAGATCAGAGCAGAAATAGATGAAATTGAAACAAGGAAAATAATACAAACTATCAAAGAAATGAAAAGTCGGTTTTTTGAAGAGATTTAAAAAAATCAACAAACCTATAGTCAGACTAAGAAAAAAAAGAGAAGACCCAAATCAATAAAATCAAAGTTGAAAAAGGAGACATTACAACCAATACCATAGAAATTCAAAAGATAATTAGAAGCTATTATGAGCAACTATATATCAATAATTTGGAAAATCTAGAAGAAATGGATAATTTCTTAGACATATACAAGCTACCAAGATTGAATCATGAAGAAATCCAAAACCTGAACAGAAAAATAACAAGTAACAAGATTGAAGATGTAATAAAAATTCTCCCAGCGAAGAAAAGTCCAGGACCCAATGGCTTCACTTCTGAATTCTATCAAACATTAAAAGAACTTAATACCAATCCTTCTCAAACTATTCTGAAAAATAAAGGAGGAGGGAATACTTCAGAAACTCATTCTATGAGGCCAGTATTATCCTGATACAAAAACCAGACAAAGACACATCAAAAAAGAAACTACAGGCTAATATCCCTGATGAACATTGATGTAAAAATCCTCAACAAAATACTTGCAAATCAAATTCAACAATACATTAAAAGATCATTCACCATGATGAAATGGGATTTATCCCAGTGATGCAAAAATTGTTCAACATACAGAAATTATTCAATATGATACATCATATCAACATAATGAAGAACAACAACCATATAATCATTTCAATTGATGCTAAAAGAGCATTTGATAAAATTCAACATCACTTCATGTTAAAAACCCTCAGAAAACTGGATGTAGAAGGAATATACCTCAACATAATAAAAGCCATATATGACAGACCCACAGCTAGTATACTACTGAATGGGAAAAATTAAAAGCCTTTTCTCTAAGATCTGGAGCATGACAAGGATGCCAACTTTCATCACTGTTATTCAAAATAATACTGTAAGTCCTACCTAGAGCAATCAGACAAGAAAAAGAAAGCACATCTACATTAAAAAGGAAGAGTCAAATTATTCTTCTGTGCAAATGATATGGTATTATATTTGGAAAAATCTAAAGATGTTACCAAAAAGCTATTAGAATTGATCAACAAATTCAGCATAGTGCCAGGATACAAAGTCAACATAAAAAATTACTAGCATTTCTACTTGCCAACGACAAACAAAGTGAAAAAGAAATCAAGAAAGTAATCCCATTTATAATAACTACAAAGAAAATAAAATACCTAGGAATTAACATAACCAATGAAGTGAAAGATCTCTACAATGAAAACTGTAAATCACTGCTGCAAGAAATTGAAGAGGACATCAGAAAAAATGAAAACATATTCCATGTTCATGGATTGGAAGAGTCAATATTGTTAAAATTACCACACTACACAAAGCAATTTACAGATTCAATGCAATCCTTATCAAATACCACTGACATTCTTCACAGAAAGAGAAAAAACAATCTTAAAACTTGTATGGAACCACAAAGAGCCAGAATAGCCAATGCTATCCTGAGCAAAAAGAATGAAACTGGAAGAATCACATTACAAAGGATTATTAGAAGCTATTATGAGCAACTATATATTAATAATTTGGAAAATCTAGAAGATAAATTTATTGCCAAGCTTAACTCTTTCAAAGAAGTCATTGAAGTATTTTCATACATTTGCTTATTGCCCAGCAAGGACAGGTGGCAGGGCCAGGGCTCAGTGTCTGGCACCCTCACAGCTGGAGACAGAGGCTCTCCTGGGGCTGGTGTCTCAGGAACAGGGGGTCTGTGCCTAGAGCTGGGCTGCAGCCCCTGCAGGCAGCTGTTGAACACTGGAGGGCCGCCTGGACCACATGGGATGGGCTCCTGAGGACATGGGGCAGTAATTTTGTTCTGTAGTGTGTGGCATGTGTGGAGGCAGGTGAGGCCCAAGCTTGGAAACCCAGGCCTTCCTGTTCACTCTGAGCTGCTTCCTGAGGCAGGTGTTCAAGCAAGGCTGCAGGGGCAGTGGTGGGGCCAAGTGTGACCATTTGCTAAATAAAGTGAAATATGCAACCTCAAATATATATAGATATATATAGATATATATAGATATATATAGATATATATAGATATATATATAGATATATATATAGATATATATAGATATATATATAGATATATATATAGATATATATAGATATATATATAGATATATATATAGATATATATAGATATATATATAGATATATATAGATATATATAGATATATATAGATATATATATAGATATATATAGATATATATAAATATATAGATATATATAGATATATATAGATATATAGATATATATATATCTGTCTCATGTCATGAAAAAAATTCAAATTATACTACAAAGCTACAGTAAACAAAACAGCATGGTACTGGTATAAAAACAGACATGTAGATCATTGGAACAGAATAGAAATCTGAGAAACTTATTTCCAACAAAGTTCCAAGAACACACACTGGGGAAAGAACAGTCCTTTCAATAAATGGTCTGAGAAAAATTGGATGTCCATATACTGGAGAATGAAACTAGACCCTATCTCTCACAATATACAAAAATCAAATCAAGGTGAATTAAAAACTTAAAACTAAGACTTCAAACTATAAAACTACTCAAAGAAAACATCCTCTAGGACATTGGTCACAGCGAATATTTCTTGAATAATACCACACACACATAAGCAACCAAAGCTAACATGTACACATGGTATCACATCAAGTTAAAAAGCTTCTGCAAAGCAAAAGAAACAATCAACAAAGTGAAAAGACAACTCACAGAATGGGAGATAATCTTTGCAAACTATCCATCTGACAAGGGATTAATAACCAGAATATATAAAGAGCTCGAAAAACTCAATAGAAAAAAAATCTAATAATCCAATTAAACAAGTGGCAAAATATCTGAATAGACATTTCTCAAAATAAGACATACAAATGGAAAACAGATGTATGAAAAGGTGCTCAACATCATTAATATTCTGAGAAATGCAAATCAAAACTACAAGAAGATATCATCTCACTCCAGTTAAAAGGGCTTTTATCCAAAATACAAGTTATAACAATACTGGCAAAGATGTGCAAAAAAGGAAACCCTCATACACTGTTGGTGGGAATGTAAATTAGTACAACTGCTATGGAGAACAGTTTGAGATTTCCCAAAAAACTAAAAATAAAGCTACCATATGATCCAGCAATGCCACTGCTAGGTATATAACCGAAAGAAAGGAAATCAGTATATAGAAGAGATACCTGCACTCCCATTTTTATTGCAGCACTATTCACAATAGGCAAGATTTGGAAGCAACATTAAGTGTTCATCAGCAGATGAATGGATAGAGAAAATGTGGTACATATACACAATTGAGTACTACTCAGCCATAAAAAAGAATGAGATCCAGTCATTTGTAGCAACATGGATAGAATTGGAGATCATTATGTTAAGTAAAATAAGCCAGGCACAGAAAGACAAATTTCACATGTTCTCATGTCTTTGTGGGAGCTAAAAATTAAAGCAATTAAACTCATGGAGATAGAGAGTAGAACAATGATTACTGAGGCTGGAAAGGGTAGTGAAGAGAAAGGGGGCATGGTTAATGGTACAAAAATATAGTTAGGTAGAATGACTAAGAGCTAGTATTCGATAGCACAAGAAGGTGTCTACAGCCACCAGTAATGTATTGTACATTTTAAAATAACAAAAGAAGCCAGGAATGGTGGCCCACATCTGTAATGCCAGCGCTTTGGGAGGATGAGGCAGGCGGATCACCTGAGGTCAGGAGTTCGAGATCATCCTGGCCAACATGGTGAAACCCCATCTCTACTAAAAATACAAATTAGCCAGGCTTGGTGGCATGCACCTATAATCCCAGCTACTCAGGAGGCTGAAGCAGGAGAATCACTTGAACCCAGAAGGTGGAGATTGCAGTGAGTCAAGATCGTGCCACTGCACTCCAGCCTGGGTGACAGAGCGAGACTTTGTCTCAAAATTAATTAATTAATTAATTAACCAAAAGAGTGTAGATTTTTGTAACACAAAAAAAGGATAAATGCTTGAGGTGATGGATATTCCGTATATCCTGATATGATTATTATGCATTGTATCCCTGTATCAAAATATCTGATGTACCCCATAAATATACACACCTACTATGTACCCACAAAATTAAAAATTAAAAAAAAAAAGAGCCTGGCTTCTGCCTGACCACTTGCTTTCTCTCTCACCATGTGATCTCTACATACTGCTCTCCTTTGCCATCTCCCATGAGCAGAAGTAGCTTGAGGCTCTTATCAGGTGCAGATGCCCAATGTTGTACTTTCTGGCCATGAGAATTGTGAGCCAAATAAACTATTTTTCTTTCTAAATTGCCCAGCCTCAGATATTTCTTTATAGCACACAAAACAGACTAAGACAAAGGATACAAAATTTTAGTTAGACAGGAGAAATCGGTTCTGGTGGTCTAGTGATTATGGTTAATAATATATTGTATATTTCAAAATAGTTAAAATAATGGATTTTAAATGTTCTCACTACAAATAAATGATAATTACTTGATAGATATGGTAGTCTGATTTGATCATTTCACAATGTGTACATGTTATGGAAAAATCACATTGTATCCCATAAACATATACAATTATTACTTGTCAATTTAAATATACATATTAAATATATAATAATATATATTTATATGTCTAATGACATATAGTGTTTATATATATGTGGGTGTGTATATATATATATGTCTAACGAGTTCCTTGGTGATCCTTATTTCTTCTAAAGTTTGAAAACAACTGAAAAACCAAGAAAGGAAAACCTTAGAAGATAAGAGGGGACAGTAATAGAGCAACAGTGATAATTGCTACCTAGTTTGGGATGAGGAAGAAATAGGTGGAGAGGAAAGAGGTGGAGAGGGTACTCCTAAAGAAGGCATTTCTTTGTTAACATTTCTTGCACTGGGATCCTTGTTTGCACAGACTGAGATCTGCACTGATTATGAGAACTGGTTGCACAAAATTGCCCTGAAATCATAGCATCACCTGATATATTGGGTCTGTAGCTTTTGTTTTCCATGATATTCAAAGTCGGAGAAGCTGGTTGTGATTATGTCTAATGAATGAGGAAATGGCCTTCCTGAAAAGGCAGTGAGAAAACTGAAGTATATGATGATCATTTAAGACAATCATTTTTTAAACAGTAGAAATAAACTATTTGTTAAATTAAAATATATTATCTTCATGCTTGGGATTTTACTCAAATTTTATTTATCCTGTTTTGGGGGTTGTTTACTAGAATGTTTAGGCTAGATCATTTACGAAAATTCATGGGAAAACACATTCTTTTTTTTTTATACTTTCAGTTCTAGAGTACATGTGCACAACGTGCAAGTTTGTTACATATGTATACATGTGCCATGTTGGTGTGCTACACCTGTAACTCATCATTTACATTAGGTATATCTCCTAATGCTATCCCTCCTCCCTCCCCCAACCCCACGACAGGCCCCAGTGTGTGATGTTCCCCACCCTGTGTCCAAGTGTTCTCATTGTTCAATTCCCACCTATCAGTGAGAACATGCAGTGTTTGGTTTTCTGTCCTTGCGATAGTTTGCTCAGAATGATGGTTTCCAGCTTCATCCATGTCCCTACAAAGGACATGAACTCATCCTTTTTTATGGCTGCATAGTATTCCATGGTGTATATGTGCCACATTTTCTTTTTCTTTTTTTTTAATTTATTATTATTATATTTTAAGTTTTAGGGTACATGTGCACAATGTGCAGGTTAGTTACATATGTATACATGTGCCATGCTGGTGCACTGCACCCACTAACTCGTCATCTAGCATTAGGTATATCTCCCAATGCTATCCCTCCGCCCTCCCCCCACCCCACCACAGTCCCCAGAGTGTGATGTTCCCCTTCCTGTGTCCATGTGGTCTCATTGTTCAATTTCCACCTATAAGTGAGAACATGCGGTGTTTGGTTTTTTGTTCTTGCGATAGTTTGCTGAGAATGATGATTTCCAATTTCATCCATGTCCCTACAAAGGACATGAACTCATCATTTTTTATGGCTGCATAGTACTCCATGGTGTATATGTGCCACATTTTCTTAATCCAGTCTATCATTGTTGGACATTTGGGTTGGTTCCAAGTCTTTGCTGTTGTGAATAATGCCACAATAAACATACGTGTGCATGTGTCTTTATAGCAGCATGATTTATAGTCCTTTGGGTATATACACAGTAATGGGATGGCTGGGTCAAATGGTATTTCGAGTTCTAGATCCCTGAGGAATCGCCACACTGACTTCCACAATGGTTGAACTAGTTTACATTCCCAACAGTGTAAAAGTGTTCCTATTTCTCCACATCCTCTCCAGCACCTGTTGTTTCCTGACTTTTTAATGATTGCCATTGTAACTGGTGTGAGATGGTATCTCACTGTAGTTTTGATTTGCATTTCTCTGATGGCCAGTGATGGTGAGCATTTTTTCATGTGTTTTTTGGCTGCATAAATGTCTTCTTTTGAGAAGTGTCTGTTCATGTCCTTCACCCAATTTTTGATGGGGTTGTTTGTTTTTTCTTGTAAATTTGTTTCAGTTCATTGTAGATTCTGGATATTAGCCCTTTGTCAGATGAGTAGATTGTGAAAATTTTCTCCCATTTTGTAGGTTGCCTGTTCACTCCAATGGTAGTTTCTTTTGCTGTGCAGAAGCTCTTTAGTTTAATTAGATCCCATTTGTCAATTTTGGCTTTTGTTGCCATTGCTTTTGGTGTTTTAGACATGAAGTCCTTGCCCATGCCTATGTCCTGAATGGTTATGCCTAGGTTTTCTTCTAGGGTTTTTATGGTTTTAGGTCTAATGTTTAAGTCTTTAATCCATCTTGAATTGATTTTTGTATAAGGTGTAAGGAAAGGATGCAATTTCAGCTTTCTACATATGGCTAGCCAGTTTTCCCAGCACCATTTATTAAATAGGGTATCCTTTCCCCATTGCTTGTTTTTGTCAGGTTTGTCAAAGATCACATAGTTGTAGATGTGTGCTATTATTTCTGAGGGCTCTGTTCTGTTCCTTTGGTCTATATCTCTGTTTTGGTACCAGTACCATGCTGTTTTGGTTACTGTAGCTTTATAGTATAGTTTGAAGTCAGGTAGCATGATGCCTCCAGCTTTGTTCTTTTGGCTTAGGATTTACTTGGCAATGTGGGCTCTTTTTTGGTTCCATATGAACTTTAAAGTAGTTTTTTCCAATTCTGTGAAGAAAATCATTGGTAGCTTGATGAGGATGGCATTGAATCTATAAATTACCTTGGGCAGTATGGCCATTTTCACAATATTGATTCTTCCTACCCATGAGCATGGAATGTTCTTCCATTTGTTTGTGTCATCTTTTATTTTATTGAGTAGTGGTTTGTAGTTCTCCTTGAAGAGGTCCTTCACATCCCTTGTAAGTTGTATTCCTAGGTATTTTATTCTCTTCTAAGCAATTGTGAATAGGAGTTCACTCATGATTTGGCTCTGTTTGTTTCCTATTGGTGTATAGGAATGCTTGTGATTTTTGCACGTTGATTTTGTATCCTGAGACTTTGCTGAAGTTGCTTATCAGCTTAAGGAGATTTTGGGCTGAGACGATGGGGTTTTCTAAATATACAATCATGTCATCTGCAAACAGGGACAATTTGACTTCCTCTTTTCCTAATTGAATACCCTTTATTTCTTTCTCTTTCCTGATTGCCCTGGACATAACTTCCAATACTATGTTGAATAGGAGTGGTGAGAGAGTCATCCCTGTCTTGTGTCAGTGTTCAAAGGGAATGCTTCCAGTTTTTGCCCATTCAGTATGATATTGGCTGTGGGTTTGTCATAAATAGCTGTTATTATTTTGAGATATGTCCCATCGGGGAAAACACATTCTTTATCAGCATTTCATAGTGTGATTTTGCACTTCTATTGTGATATCTCTGTAGGTGTTTTGACAATGTTGCCTTTTTAGCACAAACAAACATGTATGCAAGATAGAAAGAGAAGCAAAAGTCTCATGCAGTGTCTCCAACTTCAGACATGTTTAAGATCAAGCCTCAGGCAATCCAACTTTTCTTTTGACAAGCCAAATGTCCTGTGTGAAAGGATACTGAACTGCTCAAGGAGTTTGGCTAAGTTTAAATCTCCCACATTATTTGAATGATGAGTTCAAGTATAGAAGCTGCTCTGGCTTGGAAGAATCTTTCATGAACTGCAGACTTGTGGGTGCATCCTAGCACAGGGTAGCATTGCATAGAAAGGGCCTGCAACCTTCTGGCTTTGCATCCATTGAAGTGTGAATTTCTAAAAATCATGGCAAGCAGGTCCCTCTGGTGACCTAGCTCCCAGTAAAGAATTGTCTTAGTAGAAAAGACACTAAAAGTAAATGGGAAATTGTGAACACAATATTTCTTTCCCCTTCTCCATGATTTCCTAAGCAAATGAACAACTTGCTTGGTGAGGCCTTTCCTGTCTGCTCAAACTTCTTCTCTATTTTTCTTTATAATATTTATACTTATTTAGTTTATTATCTATATCCACTTCTCTAGAACATAAGTTCCATGAAGTCATCGATTTCTTTCACTGCTTAGCCCCATGCCCAGAAAAGTTTCTGGCACTTAGTAGGTGCTCATTAAATACTTGTTTTAAAAAAAAATGAGTAAACTTAAGTTATTGCTTTCCCACATAACTTATAAAGGAATAATCAGTCTATTTTAAGTAGTTTTAGGATTGTGTCCCCAAAAATGAAAATAAAATACTAAGAGAGATGAACCAAGGTGGATTATTTATCTGACTGTTTCTGGCTTTCTGAAAGATTAGGTAACTTGGTCATTGACAGATTCTGCTCTGGAATTGGACTACCTTGGTTTCAATCCTGGTCTTGCTACTTAATAGCTGTGAAACCTCTAGCATGTTAACTTTTCTGTACTTCAATTTCCTCCTTTGTGAAGTGGGATAATAATAGAAAGGTAGTTCTGTGTATCAACGCTGTCTAAAGTGTTTGAAATTCCATCCTGCACATAGTATACAAAAATAATATCTGTGTTTGTTTTCCTTTGAATAATAAAAGTTATCTCTTCCATCAATGATGCTTTCAATAAACCATGAACACAGTTACATTTTTGTACTTAAGTCTGCATTTCTTGAAATATGTAGCTTCATGACCCTTATGAGAATCAGAAATCACAATTTTAGTGCAGAAAAATAAAAAGAGGAATAAAGGTGAGCCACTGTTTATACAATGAAATCCAGATCATAACAATAATGACAAAAATAACAACAATAATGTAACATTAGCTATGTTTAATATCTTATTTTAAATCTATTTATCCACCTTTCTACCTATCTATCCACCTATCCATCTATGTACATGTTTATCTACCTACCTACCTACCTAACTACCTACTTACCTATCTATCTAATATGGTTGGGATATTTGTCTCCTCAAAATCTCATGATGAAATGTGATCTCCAATGTTGGAGGTGGAACTTAGTGGGAGGTGTTTGGGTCATGGCAGCATATCGCTCATACATGGCTTCGTGCCCTCCCCATGGTAATGAGTGTGTTGTTACTATATTCATTCACAGGAGAACTGATTGTTCAGAGACTGACACCTCTTCCCTCTATCTTGCTCCCTCTCTTGCCATGTGACTTGCCTGCTCCCCTTTCACCTTCCACCATGAGTAAAAGCTTCCTGAGACTTCATCAGATGCTTAGCAGATGCTGGCACCATGCAGAACCATGAGCCAAATAAATCTCTTACTAAATTACTGAGCCTCCCGTATTCCTTTATAGCAATACAAAACAGGTTAACACATTATCCTACTGTACTTGTATGGCTTTATATTAAGAAGGTATTTATGAATGGATGTTTCTCTTTTAAAAGAATAAAACATCAAGGCTGAGCATGGTGGCTCACAGCTATAATCCCTGCCTTTGGGAGCCCGAGGCAAGCAAAAGGCTTGAGCCCAGGAATTTGACACCAGCCTGCTCAACATGGTGAAACCCTGTCTCTACAAAAAATACATAAAGGAGCTGGGCATGATGGTTCATGCCTGTAGTACTTGGTAGTACTACAAGTAGCTACTTGGGAGGCTGAGGTGGGAGGATCACTTGAGCCCAGAAGGTGAAGCTTGCAGTGAGCGGAGATCATGCCATTCACTCCAGCCAGAGCAACAGAGCAAGCCCTTGTTTAAAAAAAAAGAAAGAAAGAAAGAAAGAAAGAGGGATAGAGAGAGAGAGAGAGAGAGAAAGAAAGAAAAGAAAGAAAGAAAGAAAGAAAGAAAGAAGGAAAGAAAGAAAGAAGAAAGAAAGAAAGAAAGAAAGAAAGAAAGAAAGAAAGAAAGAAAGAAAGACAGAAAGAAAGAAAGAAAAAGAAAGAAAGAAAGAAAGAGAAAGAAAGGAGCACCAAACATACATACATATAGCATTAGTTTGTGTCAGGTATTATTCTAAGCACTTATGTATAATTTCTCATTTGTCAGTGTAAACTGTGGGAAAGAGAGTTTCTGGGATGCCAGCTGAGTTGGTCTCCCCTGTGTGAGACACCCATGGGAAGCCATGGCGACCTCTGAGGAGAAAAGTCTCCTTATTGCCTTCATGTCTTTATGCCCAGAGAGCATAATCGCTCAGCGGGATTCCACAGGTTGCTCAGGGAGATAACACTCCCTTGAAGCAGTGGAGTATAATCAAACACCTTGGCTCCTCCTGAAACCTGCTCCCACCTGTTTCAGTTCCGATAAGTTAAAGATCTTAAGTAGTTTAGACACACGCCTTTGCTCAAGGAAATTCACAGAAGCCGCCACTGCTGTACATCTTATAGAATGACTCACGAGTTCTCCTCCACTGATTCATCCTTTTCCTCATCCCTTCCTCCCAACTCCCATCTGCCCGAAGAACAAACAGCTTGTAAACCAATAAATTGTGGGGAGCCCGAGAGCTCTGGGCCGCGAGCAAGCCTCCGATGCTCCGGTCCTCTGGACCCGCCTTTTAAATGCTTATTCTGTCTCTTTCTAACTCCTTTGTCGCCCCGGGACTCGGGGTACCCGCTGGGTGGTGTGGGGCTGGTTTCCTCAACATAAACCACCATGCATTCTCTTGCTACTTTCAAAATTATTTTTAAATATTTGAAATTCGGCTGGGAGCAGTGGCTCACGTCTGTAACCCCAGCACTTTGGGAGGCCGAGGTGGGCGGATCACCTGAGGTCAGGAGTTTGAGACCAGCCTGGCCAACATGGTGAAACTCTGTCTCTACTAAAAAAAAAAAATTAGCTGGGTATGGTGGTGGGCACCTGTAATCCCAGCTACCCAGGAGGCTGAGGCAGGAGAATTGCTTGAGTCCGGGAGGCAGAGGTTGTGGTGAGCCGAGATCACATCACTGCACTCCAGCCTGGGCGACAAGAGCAAGACTCCATCTTAAAAAAAAAAAAAAAAAATTACATTCAGAAACACACTGACATGGTTTGGCTCTGTGTCCTCACCCAAATCTCATCTCATACTGTGATCCCCACGTGCAGCCAAACTGGCTGGAAATACTGAAGGGTTTATATTGAAGAACCCATTTTGTGCAAAAATCAAACCAGAAAACAAAGACATCCCCACAAATTAGTATTCAGCCCTGATATGGTTTGGCTCTGTGTGCCCACCCAAATCTCACCTTGAATTGTAATAATCCCCACATGTGAAGGGTGGGACCAGGTGGAGATAATTGAATCATGGGGGTGGTTTTCCCCATGCAGTTCTTGTGATAGTGAGTGAGTTCTCACGCAATCTGATGGTTTTTTAAAGGGCTTTTCCCCGTTTGCTTCTCACTTGTCTCTCCTGCCGCCCTGTGAAGAAGGACGTGTTTGCTTCCCCTTTCGCCATGACTATAAGCTACCTGAGGCTTTCCCAGCCTTGCAGAACTGTGAATCAATTAAACCTCTTTCCTTTATAAATTACCCAATCTAGGTATTTATTCATAGCAGTGTGGGAATGGACTAATACAAGCCTTGAGGAAGAATCAACCTTGTATCTTTTCTCTGGCTTTTGGAATCTGTTTGTGCCTCACTTGCTATGGTCTAAATGTCTGCCCCCTTCCAAATTCATATGCTGAAATCCTAATCCTCAAGGTGACAGTATTACGAGGTAAGGCCTTTGGGAGGTGATTATATTGTAAGAGCATATCCCTCACTATTAGGAATCATGCCCTTCTTAAAGACCATAGAGAGCTAGCTAGCCCCTTCCACCATGTGAGGACACATGGAGAAGGTGCCATCTATGAATCAGGAAATAGACCTCTACCAGACACCTAGTCTGCCAGTGAGATGTTGGGGAATGGAGGCAGGACTTTAGTCATTTTGAGGAATATAAAATAAAATAGTCCAAGATGGCTAGAGAGGTTAGGGATGTCTTAACTGGAATAGTTGGGTTTCAGTTGCATTGTTTAATTAATACTGACACCCACTGTGATGAACTTTCACTGTTAACTTAGAATGTAGAAACAGGGTCATGTGAATCTTATATGAATCAGTCAGAACAAACAAGAACGATAACATTAAGATTAGCTATTCATGAAAATGTGTCTATTAGTCTCTTTCACACTATTATAAAGATACTACCTGAGACTGGATAATTTATAAAGAAAAGAAGTTTAATTGACTCACAGTTCTGCATGGCTGGGGAGACCTCAGGAAACTCACAATCATGGCAGAAGGCAAAGGAGAAGCAAATAGCTTCTTCACAAGGCATCAGGAGAGAGAGAAAGAGAAGGGGGAAGCACCAGAAACTTATCAAACAACTAGATCTCGTGAGAACTCATGCACTATCATGAGAACAGCAAGGGGGAAACCTGCCTCCATGATCGAATAACCTCTCACCAGGTCTCTCCCTCCATGCGTGGGAATTATTACAATTCAAGATAAGATTTGTGTGGGAAGCCTGACGTGGTGGCTCACTCCTGTAATCCTAGCACTTTGGGAGGCCGAGGTGGGCGGATCACGAGGTCAGGAGATCGAGACCATCCTGGCTAACACAGTGAAACCCCGTCTCTACTGAAAATACAAAAAAATTAGCCAGGCATGGTGGCAGGCACCTGTAGTCCCAGCTACTCGGGAGGCTGAGGCAGGAGAATGGCGTGAACCTGGGAGGCGGAGCTTGCGGTGAGCCGAGATCGCGCCACTGCACTCCAGCCTGGGCAACAAAGCGAGACTCTGTCTCAAAAAAAAAAAAAAAAAAAAAAAGATTTGTTTGGGGACACAGAGCCAAACCATATCAGAGCTGAATACTAATTTGAGAGGATGTCTTTTTTTTCTGGTTTGTTTTTTTGCACAAAATGGGTGCTGCAATATAAACCCTTCATTATTTCCAGCCAGTTTGGCTGCTGCCAGGGGCTCCTTCCCCTTGTTGGGTCTACAGTTGCCAAGGGAATGATGGAAGAATTTCTCAAAGAGGCTTCTATTTAACTTAACTCCCCAGATGAGTCAGTGACACCTTAACTCCTGGGAGCAGTTTGGAGCAGAGGATATAGCTCTGACCTTCATGTGCTTGATTACACTGAGATGTTCAAGACAGAATGTCATGAAATTTCTAAAGGGAGAATCCTGTCCTCTGTAAAGTTAACTCTGATGTAATTTGAGGAATTAAATATAAAAGTATCCTTGGACATACATGTTGGCCAAGTCCTTCTTTTACATTCTTTGTGCCCAGGATAGCCTGTAGAGGAGGTGGTAAAATGACTAACATTCAATTAGATCCTAAAATCCGTTAGGAATTGAGCTGAAAACTTTACACGAATCACTTAAAAATATAGCAGATGCACAGTGTAGGGTCTGGCACAGTGGCTCACGCCTGTAATCCCAGCAGGTTGGGTGGCCGGGGTGGGCAGATCACCTGAGGTCAGGAGTTTGAGACTAGCCTGGCCAACATGGCAAAACCCCATCTCTACTAAAAATACAAAAATTAGCAGGGCATGCTGGCTGTCACCTGTAATCCCAGCTACTCAGGAGGCTGAGGCTGGAGAATTGCTTGAACCCAGAAGGCGAAGGTTGCAG
This sequence comes from Homo sapiens, assembly GCF_000001405.40. Taxonomy (NCBI): domain Eukaryota; kingdom Metazoa; phylum Chordata; class Mammalia; order Primates; family Hominidae; genus Homo; species Homo sapiens. The sequence continues at coordinate 82,294,959 of NC_000006.12, read as the reverse complement.
TGAGCCAAGATCGCACCATTGCACTCCAGCCTGGGCAACAAGAGTGAAACTCTGTCTCAGAAAAAAAAAAAAAATCCACAGTATAATGTCCTTATTTTACAGAGAAAACAGGTTTCAAGAAGTCATGGGTTTGCTCAGAATCATACAGCTTGCACATGGCTGAGCTGATATTAGAACCCAGTTCAGTCTGACTTTCAAGCCTTTGCTCCTAGCAACCATGATACATTGAATGACTATGTCAGGGAGTTTGGAAGGAGGGTAGTGAGGTGATATATGGATGGTGAAAGTTGTTTCCAAAATTATGAATTCGTATACGAGCTTTAATTTAGTTAGCCAGGATTCTTGGTTGGAAGTGACAGAATCCTAATTTAAACTAGCTTAGGCCAGAAAGAAAAAATAAATAAATGTATTGGCTCATTTAAAAAGTCCAAAGGCTGGTAACATAGAACTAGGGGTTTAAACGAAAGTTTCAGAATCATTGTCTACATGTATTCATCTGTTAATTATAGTGGGTGTTTGGTGTTGGTTTTGTTTTGTAGGCTGGCTGTGTCTACATCACGGAGAAAATGACTCCTGACAACACTAGGCTTACATAATCTTTGTAGTTCAGGAACTCATATGAGTAGATTACCCTCTCTCCACAATCATCCATATCAATCCTTGAAAAATACTGGCACCACCTGGATCACATACCCATCCTTGGACTAATTACTGTATTTGAAGGGAAATACAATACTCTTATTGGCCAACCTGAGTCGTAAGTTCACCTTTAGCAGAACTGATGGCGCCATGAGATTGACAGCCCTAACTGTTCCCAAAAACACAGTTTCCAAAACAAAAGAAGACTGGGCAAACCAAAAAAAAAAAGTAAGAAAATAAAAGTGGGTACAAAATTACCAACTCACTAACTAAATAAACACACAGGGCTGTCTCTTGGGTGGCTGAATGAAGGATGTGATGTGAGCAAGGGACAAGCATTATGAGAAACATTGCTTGCTACCTAATCAAGCAAGAAATACAATATGTTAAAAAATAGCTCCCTTGAGTAGGCCACACTGCTTGAATAAAGATAGATGTTTTCTTCATTCTTAAACTATACACCAAAACTGCTGGAATAATGATAACTTCTATCCCTGTAGCATTGCTTTTTTTAGCAAGGAAATCAGGGATCTTTCTAGACATTACCTCATTCATTACTCTGAAAACACAAATTTGTTTAGTAATAAGAATGATGATGATGATGATTATTATTATTATTATTATTTGAGACATAGTCTCACCCTGTCGCCCAGGCTGGAGTGCAGTGGTGTGATCTTGGCTTACTGCAACCTCCACCCACCGGGTTCAAGCGATTCTCCTGCCTCAGCCTCCCGAGTAGCTGGGGTTACAGGCACCCGCCACTGCACCTGGCTAATTTTTGTATTTTTTTTTTTTCAGTAGAGGTGGGGTTTCACCATCTTGGCCAGGCTGGTCATGAACTCTGGACCTCGTGATCCACCCACCCCAGCCTCCCAAAGTGCTGGGATTACAGACATGAGCCACCGGGCCCTGCTGATTATCATTATTTTATAGGGGGAAAAAAGATGAAAATGTCTTTATCCAAAGTCAGCATCTGGTGGATTGAATTCAGGCATTCTTTAACTTAGAAACTCTCTTGGCAGAATAACACCTGAATGCCTACCTCTGGATTCTCTTAAACCCAAAATCCTTCCAGAGCTGTTTTTTCCAGAAGGGCTATCTTAGCTTTTGTCCTTTGGATTCTTCCCTCCACCCTTTTCCTTCTTGAAGGTTCTAGACTAAGAACTTGAGGTTAGTACTATAGGGTAACCAACCCAGGGAGTTTTTTTTTTTCTTCTCCATTCTCCTCTCCTCCTTCCTGCAGTTACCTGAGAAATTAAACTTTTCTTTCTTTCATTTATTTATTTATTTATTTATTATTATTATTATTTTGAGATAGAGTTTCACTCTTGTTGCCCAGGCTAGAGTGCAATGGTGAGATCTCAGCTCACTGCAGCCTCGGCCTCGCGGGTTCAAACAATTCTCCTGCCTCAGCCTCCCAAGTAGCTGGGATTACAGGTGCCTGCCACCACGCCCGGCTAATTTTTTGTACTTTTAGTAGAGACAGGATTTCGCCATGTTGGCCAGGCTAGCCTCGAACTCCTGGCCTCAGGTGATCCACCCACCTTGGCCTCTCAAAGTGTTGGGATTACAGGTGTGAGCCACTGCGCCCAGCCAAAATTAAACTTTTCAACTTTGCTTAACCATCATCTCTTTGTATTCTCCTTTGTTATAGAACTCTTCTTATTTTGTTGTCTTATTTGTTTGTATGTGCATCTTTCCCCATTTTCTCTAAGCCTTCTGTCATTGACGAGGTGATAAAGCTTATGTTTATTCATACTTGGGTGCATAGTTTTTACACTGCCTAACAGATCATAGGTACTCAGTGAATGTTAGCTGAGTGAATGAGAACTTTACCGTTAATTGTAAAATAGTGATTCCCTAGTTTGTAAACAGGCAAGAGAATAGAATTCAGGGAAAATTTTGTACAACCCAAAGAACTATGGATATACTAAACTTAAATAGCTAAGTATATAATTGTATACTAAATTGAGTCTCATACTAGATTTTATTATTAAAAAAATAATAACAGTATCAGAAGTTTAAAGAAGCAGTAAAATGTGTACCTTAAGATGAAATTTAGAGTCCCAAAGACCCAAGTTCTATTACTGGCTGTTCTGATTATTATTACTGCATAATTAATTGCCCCAATAATTAGTGATATAAAACAACAACAAGGGCAGGGCATGGCAGCTCATGCCTATAATCCAAACACTTTGGGATGCCAAGGCGGGTGGACCACTTGAGTCTAGGTGCTCAAGATCAGCCTGGGCAACATGGCAAAACCCCTTCTCTACCAAAAATAAAAAAATTAGCCAGGCCTGGTGGTGTGCATCTGTAATTCCAGCTACTTGGGAGGCTGAGGCATGAGAATCTGTTGAACCTGGGAGGCAGAGGTTACAGTGGGCTGAGATCACGCCACTGCAATCCAGCCTGGGCAACAGAGCAAGACACCATCTCAAAAACAGCAACCACAACAAAACAACTAGGTTGTTCTCACCTGGAGTGTCTCATACAGTTCAAGTCAGACATGGAGCTGCAGGCATCTGAAGACTCAATTGTGCTGGACGTTTAAATGGCTCACTTACATGGCTCATAGTTGATAGTAGGCTATAAAGCAAAGAACCTACATGTGGCCTCTCTAGCATGAAGGTTTCAGGATGGTCAGATTTCTCACATGCCAGTTGGTTTCTACTAGAAAAGCATCACAAAAGAGCCAGTTGAAAGCTGTTGATCTTTTCTAACCTAGCCTCAGAAGTCACACAGTGTCATTTCCAATGGATTCTATTGGTTACAAGTGAGTCCCTAAGGCCAGCCCACATTTAAGGGAAAGGGACATAGACTGTCAATAGGAGAAATGTGAAAGTGTTTGTGGACATTTTTTTTTTTTGAGACAGAGTCTCGCTCTGTTGCCCAGGCTGGAGTGCAGTGGCACGATCTTGGCTCACTGCAAGCTGTGCCTCCTGGGTTCACGCCATTCTCCTGCCTCAGGTTCCTGAGTGGCTGGGACTACAAGCGCCCGCCACCACGCCTGGCTAATTTTTTTTTTTTTGTATTTTTTGTAGAGATGGGGTTTCACCATGTTAGCCAGGGTGATCTCGATCTCCTGACCTCATGACCCGCCCGCCTCAGCCTCCCAAAGTGCTGGGGTTACAGGCGTGAGCCATCGCACCTGGCCTATGGACATGTTTTAAATTTATCACACTGGCTCTACCACCTAGTATTTGAGTAGCCAGTGGAAAATTAGAGTTTTTCTATCTATAAAATGTGATCCTTGTGAAGATCAAATGAAATGATGTATGTAAAGAATTTAGCTCACAATAAGCTCTCAAATGGTGATATGGGTTGGCTGTGTCCCCACCCAAATCTCAACTTGAATTGTATCTCTCAGAATTCCAACGTGTTGTGGGAGGGACCCAGAGGGAGGTGATTGAATCATGGGGGTCTGTCTTTCCCATGCTATTCTCGTAATAATGAATAAGTCTCAAGAGATCTAATGGGTTCATCAGGGGTTTCCACTTTTGCTTCTTCCTCATTTTCTCTTGCTGCCGCCACAAATAAGTGCCTTTCACCTCCTACCATGATTCTGAGGCCTCCCCAGCCATGGGGAACTGTAAGTCCAATTAAACTTTTTCTTCCCTGTCTTGGGTATGTCTATATCAGCAGCTTGAAAACAGACTAATACAAATGGTCTTTTTTTTTTTTTTTTGAGAAGGCGTCTCCCTCTGTCACCCAGGCTGGAGTGCAGTGGCTCCATCTCTGCTCACTGCAACCTCCGCCTCTCGGGTTCAAGCAATTCTCCTGCCTCAGCCTCCTGAGTAGCTGGGATTACAGGCACATGCCACCACGCCCGGCTAATTTTTTTTGTTTTTAGTAAAGACGAGGTTTCAGCATGTTGGTCAGGCTGGTCTTGAACTCCTGACTTCGTGATCCGCCCACCTCGGCCTCCCAAAGTGCTGGGATTATAGGCGTGAGCCACCAACAAAAGGTCTTTTATTATTGGGAGAAACTACATGGGGAAAACTGTTAAAACCAAGAAAATGACATCCATGAATTACATTACCCTGAATATTGGAGAAACAGCATTACTCTCTCTTATATTTTTCTATAAGAATTCCCCTTGTGGGACACTAGTGTCCCATGGGAGCATATTTTTAAAACACCACATTCTAACAATATTTGTATACATACAATCATTCTAAGTTCCAATCAGCTGATTGAAATTTGAACTTTTGAAACCCAACTTACTTGTTTATAACTGCAAAGTAGTCTCCATATGTATGAATGTATATCTATTTATCAGGCTAATAACATACCACATTGCTATTCTGTCAAAGGGATAAAAGAAAAAAAAAGTTTACCAGGAAAAAAAAAATCTGTTAGTCATTGAATAATATGACTTTGTATTAGGTTAAAAATTTTCAGGAGAGAGATTGATATAGTTTATCTTCATTTAACACAAAAGCAACAACTTTGAAGACTATCAGACCCTGTGCTGAAGTATCACATTGATTCAATAGCTAGAATCACAATTAATAAAGAACAGGAAAATCATTAACATGGGTGATGCAATCATCCTGTAATCAGTCTTTTATAAATACCCTGTGAGTAGGCTGGGCACGGTGGTTCACACCTGTAATCCCAGCTCTTTGGGAGGCTGAGGCAGGTGGATCACCCAACATCAGGAGTTTGAGACCAGCCTGGCCAACATGGTGAAACACCGTCTCTACTAAAAATACAAAAAATTAGCCAGGTGTGGTGCTGGGCACCTGTAATCCCAGCTACTCAGGAGGCAGAGGCAGGAGAATTGCTTGAACTCGGGAGGTGGAGGTTGCAGTTAGCCGAGATCACGCCGTTGCACTTCAGCCTGGGCAACAAGAGCAAAACTTTTTCTCAAAAAAAAAAAAAAGAAAAAACTCAGTGGTGATTAATTTCATGTAATATTATTCACTGCTGTAATCCCCTCCTTGCTCTTCCCCTGCCTCAGAACCAAGAAATATTTGAATCCAATACAAGGATTCTTGCTATAGACTTATATTAAAAGGTTTAATTAACAGAAAATCCTGCACCAAATACAATCAAACACAGAGATTGCTCTCCATCAAGATCTCAGGGATTCCTGAGCAACCTCTGTCTATAGAGTCCATTCACTTTAATCAGAATCACTGACACATTGTCTTGCTGAGAAGCTGTGACAGACTTTAGTTTGCATTCACTTTTTTTTTTTTTTAATTTTATTTTAAGTTCTGGGATACAAGTGCAGAACGTGAAGGTTTGTTACATACATATACGGGTACCATGGTGGTTTGCTGCACCTATCAACCCATCATCTAGGTTTTAAGCCCCTCATGCATTAGCTATTTGTCCTAATGCTCTCCTTCCCCTCACCCCCCACCCCCTGACTGTCCCTGGTGTGTGTTTTTCCCCTCCCTGTGTCCATGTGTCCTCATTATTCAACTTCCACTTATGAGTGAGAACATGCGGTGTTTGGTTTTCTGTTTCTGTGTTAGTTTTCTGAAGATGATGTTTCCAGCTTCATCCATGTCCCCGCAAAGGACATGATCTCAATCCTTTTTATGGCTGCATAGTATGGTATTCCATGGTGTATATGTGCCACATTTTCTTTATCCAGTCTACCACTGATGGGCATTTGGTTGGTTCCATGTCTTTGCTATTGTAAACAGTGGTGCCGTAAACATATGTGTGCATGTGTCTTTATAGTAGAATGATTTATATTCCTTTAAGTATATACCCAGTAATGGGATTGCTGGGTAAAATGGTATTTCTGGTTCTAGATCCTTGAGGAATGGCCACACTGTCTTCCACAATAGTTGAACTAATTTACATTCTCACCAACAGTGTAAAAGTGTTCCTATTTCTCCACAGCCCCTCCAGCATCTATTGTTTCTTGACTTTTTAATAATTGCCATTCTGACTGGCATGAGATGGTATCTCATTGTGGTGTTGATTTGCATTTCTCTAATGATCAGTGATGTTGAGCTTTTTTTTGTATATTTGTTGGCCACATAAATGTTGCAATCACTTTTATATTCAAGTTTCTAGGACTTTTTGGAACTCTCCTTCATGTAATGAATTTTGAAAGTAACCAAGACTTTCCCTTTAGCTCTTAGCCTATGGAATCATCTTCTCTACTCTCTAGAAGCCCTTGCTTAACTTCACTGAGTGTTATCTATTATTCACTTATCACCTTCTGGGAAGCCATTGAACAAAGAAAAACCTGGAGAGTCATGAGAACTCTCTGCTGTTTGTAGGAGGAGAGAACTTAAATTCTTTGCTAATGATCACCATCTTATTTCTATTATAATTTTCTTATCTTGGGCAGAATAATGTTTCCTCTCTACTCTATCATCCAGTGGACTTACTACTACCACTTTTCTCATTCTTCCAATGCTTTTTTACAATATATCCCTGCATGACAGTCTCATTTTGGGAGATGTGTTAAACCATGCACAAATGGGAAGAAAAAACCTAGCGCCAATAATAATAACCTGATGTTAGTGAAGAAAGAAAGTTATACAATCCAGTCAATGTTGAATATCAATGGGGCACAAATGAATTGACCAACAACCAATCTCTGTTCTCAGCTTTCCTGGGGAGATTTCTGTCTTTGCTGTTTTCATTGAATCCTCATTTGTTTTCTTACCTTTCAGGCAGCCATTTTACTTCACTGGCCTAATATAATCAGTTCTTATCTGTGGGTTCCATATCCCTGGATTCAATCAACTGGAGACAGAAAACATATAAAAACAAATAAATACATAAATAATGACAATATGGGCTGGGTGCGGTGGCTCACACCTGAAATCCCAACACTTTGGGAGGCCAAGGTGACCAAATCACCTGAGGTCAGGAGTTCAAGACCAGCCTGGCCAACATGGTGAAACCCCATCTCTACAAAAATACAAAAATTAGCTGGATATGGTGGCAGGTGCCTGTAACCCCAGCTACTCTGGAGGCTGAGGCAGGAGAATCACTTGAATCTGGGAGGCAGTGGTTGACTGAGCCAAGATCGTGCCTTTGCACCCCAGCCTGAGCAACAGAGCGAGACTCCGTCTCAAAAAAAATAAGTATAAATAAATAAATAAATAAAATAGGCCAGGTGCGGTGGCTCACACCTGTAATCCCAGCACTTTGGGAGGCCGAGGCAAGCTGATCATGAAATCAGGAGTTTGAGACCAGCCTGACCAACATAGTGAAACTCTGTCTCTACTAAAAATACAAAAAAATTAGCCGGGCATGGTGGCGGGCACCTGTAATACCAGCTACTTGGGAGACTGAGGCAAGGAGAATGGCTTGAACCTGGGAGGCGGAGGTTGCAGTGAGCTAAGATCGCGCCACTGCACTCCAGCCCAGGTGACAGTGTGAGACTCCATCTCAAAAAAATAAATAAAAATAAAACAATAATAACACAACAATAAAAACAATACTGAATAACAGCCATTTTCATAAGATTTACATTGTATTAGATATTATCATATAAATAACGTAGAGATAATGAAGCATATGGGAAGATGTACACAGGCAATATGCAAATACTATGCCATTTCCTATAAGAGACTTGAGCATCCTTAGATGTTGGTCTCCAAAAGGGTCCTGGAACCGACTGCCTGTGCATACCAAGGGATAACTATATTTTTTGTTGAAAGAGAAGCCATTCAATGATTGTAGGGACAAAAACCCACTTCCTTCCTGTCCCACTTTCTAACAAGGCACTTCCTTCAAGAGTACATTTCCTCCATCAGATTTAGTTTTATTATTTGAGAATATTCTTACATATATATGTGTGGTGTGTGGATGCACATGTGTGTGTACACATCTGCATATATAGGTATATGTGGATTATAGGTATAATGGGGTATTAGTGCAGTGAATATAAGTACCACACCATCCTCACTAGTTTTGTGATTTTTAACAATTTACCATGCTGTGCCTCATTTTTTTAGACCTGTAAAACAAGAATAATGATAGTACTTCCCTCAGGATGGGATTGTGAAGATTCAGTAAAACTTGTTAGAAAGTGCCTGATACATGGAAATACTCAATGAATCTTAGCTTAGCTATTATCATTGCCTAAAATTTCTTCTTTTACAATTTTACTAGGGCATGTACAACACAATCTTAGGTCCCAAAAGATCTCAATTCTAGATGCCAACACTATTTACGCTTACCTGTAATATGCACACTCCATTCATGTTACAACACCCAGGGGGTTTATTTTTTATTTTATCCCAACTCCATATGACCATTTATCTTGCTGCCTTCTGCCCATTCCACACCTTCCTTGACTAAAGGAAATAAAGATCAATATTTAGAAAAATATAAAAGAAGGTAAAGGTCTCTGTAATTTCTCAAAGTTTGTGTTCAGTATATGTTGATCCATGAGCCTAAAATAGATTTGAAAAGGATGAGGGACTTTGCCCCCTTTTCTGTGGTCTATTGTAAAGTGACTAAGGTCAGGCAGAGAATGTAAGGAAGTAGAGGAAAACTAAAGCTCTTTGATACAAATTAATTTGAAATTGACAGGCAACTACCATAAAAATTCATCTAGTACTTAGAAAGTTGCACTGCCCAATTCCTTACCTGATTGGTACTCTACTTGAATAAGGATAAAACACACAAGTTAAAGAAAAATGAAATAGTAACCATACCAGCAGCAGAATAAATCAGAGCAAACCAGGAGAAAATGCATAAGGTTAAGACAATGTTAGAGTTAACATTTGTTTCATTCAATTTGGTTTGGTGCAGCTGGGATTAGCTATGTCTTTGTATTTTCAGTTCTTTTCAGATGAATTCTTCCTGTTAGAACTTATGTTCTTTCTATCACATTTTGATCTTTTTCCTTTTCCATATTAAAAGACTTCTGGAAAACCAGAAATATAAATGTTGTTTATAAAAATTTTTCTTGTCCTGGTATGAATGAAAATTAAACAGCTATGCCTGAGATATCAATGTCCAATCAATCTCAATATTAAAAACTCAGTCATTGTGCAGTTTTAATTAAATTGATAGCTATCTTTAGTTCACATGATTTCATTCCAGAAAAGACAAAAATGTCAAAAGTGGATATTAAACATTAAGAAATCTTTTATTCTTAATATACTTAATACAGTATATATCAGTATGTAATTATCAAATATAGAAGGCTAATAATTTTTTAAAACCTTAGAACATAATGAATTCATTGTCAACAAAAACTCTCATGGAAATTTCTAAAGGCAAAGACTCAAAATATAATTGAATATTCTTTTTGAAATGAACAAAACTTCCATAATTATTCTATAGACTAGCGAGGTAAAATGTTTCCCTTGCCTTTCAAAAGTTTTTCTTACAGAAGCAAAGAACATGTAATCTATGGCTCTGAATCAAAACCTACAGGCTTACTTATAGCCTTCCATTGCTTCTCTGATTAAAACAAAGTCAAAAGTAGTAGCATCACATATTATTTAAAGTCAAATTGTGTGTGTGTGTTGGTGGAGTCATTATCCACTTTTGGGTTTTCCCCCATTTCCTAAATCCAATTCTTGGACATATAGCCAACAAGCTGCATAGCAAGCACATGGAGGAGACTCATTAAATATTTACATAAATGAATTGTTTTTCTTCCGTTCATTTTCTGAAAAACAGAATGGGTTCCTACTCTTTTTTCTTTTAAGATTGAATTTAGGGGTTGGCCAAAATGGCCAAATAGGAACAGCTCCGGTATGCAGCTCCCAGTGAAATCGACGCAGAAAGCAGGTGATTTCTGCATTTCCAACTGAGATACCCAGTTCATCTCATTGGAACTGGTTGGACAGTGGGTACAGCCAGCCCACCGAGGGTGAGCCGAACCAGGGTGGGGCATCACCTCACCCGGGAAGCACAAGGGGTCAGGGATTTCATTTCCCTAGCCAAGGGAAGCCATGAGAAACTGTACCCGGAGGAATGGTGACCTCTGGCCCAGATACTGCACTTTTCCCAGGGCCTTCACAATCGGCAGAACAGGCGATACCCTCCCGTGCCTGGCTCAGCTGGTCCCACATCCATGGAGCCCAGCAAGATAAGACCCACTGGCTTGAAATTCTCGCTGACAACACAGCAGCAGTCTGAGATAGACCTGGGATGCTCCAGCTTGGTGGGGGGAGGGGCATCTGCCACTGCTGAGGCTTGAGTAAGCGGTTTTATCCTCACAGTGTAAGCAAAGCCTCTGGGAACTTCAAACTGAGCAGAGCCCACTGGAGCTCAGCAAGGCTGCTGTGGACAGACTGCCAGATTTCTCCTCTCTGGGCAGGGCATCTCTGAAAAAAAGGCAGCAGACCAAGTCAGGGACTTAGATATGGAACCCCCATCTCGCTGGGACAGAGCGTCTCCGGAAAGGGGCTGTTGTGGGTGCAGCTTCAGCAGACTTAAACGTCCCTGCCTGACAGCTCTGAAGACCGCAGTGGACCTCCCAGCACAGTGGTCAAGCTCTGCTAAGGGTCAGACTGCCTCCTCATGTGGGTCCCTGACCCCCATGTATCCTGACTGGGAGACACCTCCCAGTAAGGGCCAACAGACACCTCATACAGGAGAGCTCTGGCTGGCATCTGACGGGTGCCCCTCTGGGACGAAGCTTCCAGAGGAAAGAACGGGCAGCAATCTTTGCTGTTCTGCAGCCTCTGCTGGTGATACCCAGGCAAACAGGGTCTGGAGTAGACCTCCAGCAAACTCCAGCAGACCTGCAGCAGACGGGCTTGATTGTTAGAAGGAAAACTAACAAACAGAAAAAAATAGCACATCCACTTAGAGACCCCATCCGAAGGTCACGAACATCAAAGACTAAAGGTAGATAAAACCACAAAGATGGGGAGAAACCAGCACAAAAAAGCTGAACATTCCAAAAATCACAACCCCTCTTCTCCTCCAAAGGATGACAGTTCCTCGCCAGCAAGGGAATAAAACTGGATGGAGAATGGTTTGACAAATTGACAGAAGTAGGCTTCAGAATGTGGATAATAACAAAGTCCTCCCAGCTAAAGGATAATGTTCTAACCCAATGCAAGGAAGCTAAGAAACTTGAAAAAAGGTTAGACAAATTGCTAACTAAAATAACCAGTTTAAAGAAGAACATAAATGACCTGATGGTGCTGAAAAACACAGCACAAGAACTTCGTGAAGCATACACAAGTATCAATAGCTGAATTGATCAAGCAGAATAAAGGATGTCAGAGATTGAAGATCAACTTAATGAAATAAAAATAAAAAAAGAAGACAAGATTAGAGAAAAAAAAATAAAAAGGGAACGAACAAAGCCTCCAAGAAATATGGGACTATGTGAAAAGACGAAATCTACGTTTGACTGGTGTACTTGAAAGTGACGGGGAGAATGGAACTAAGTTGGAAATCACTCTTCAGGTGATTATCCAGGAGAACTTTCCCAACCTAGCAAGACAGGCCAACATTCAAATTCAGGAAATACAGAGAACACCACAAAGATACTCCTCGAGAAAAGCAACCCCAAGACAAATAATCCTCAGATTCACCAAGGTTGAAATGAAGGAAAAAATGTTAAGGGCAGCCAGAGAGGAAGGTCGGGTTACCCACAAACGGAAGCCCATCAGACTAAGAGCAGACCACTCTGCAGAAACCCTATAAGCCAGAAGAGAATGGGGCCAATATTCAACATTCTTAAAGAAAAGAATTTTCAACCCAGACTGAGCTTCATAAGTGAAGGAGAAATAAAATCCTCTACAGACAAGCAAATACTGAGAGATATTGTCACCACCACCTGCCTTACAGGAGCTCCTGAAGGGAGCACTAAACATGGAAAGGAACGACTGGTACCAGCCACTGTAAAAACATACCAAATTGTAAAGACCATCGACACCATGAAGAAACTACATCAACTAATGGGCAAAATAACCAGCTAGCAACATAATCACAGGATCAAATTCACACATAACAATATTAACCTTAAATGTAAACGGGCTAAATGCCCCAATTAAAAGACACAGACTGGCAAATTGGATTAAGAGTCAAGACCCATTAGTGTGCTAAATTCAGGAGACCTGTCTCTTATGCAAAGACACACATAGACTCAAAACAAAGGGATGGAGGAATATTTACCAAGCAATGGAAAGCAAAATAAAGCAGGAGTTGCAATCCTAATCTCTGATAAAATAGATTTTAAACCAACAAAGATCAAAACAGACAAAGAAGGCCATTACATAATGGTAAGGGATCGATGCATCAAGAAGAGCTAACTATCCTAAATATATATGCACCCATTACAGGAGCACCCAGATTTATAAAGCAAGTCCTTAGAGAGCTACAAAGAGACTTAGACTCCCACACAATAATATTGGGAGACTTTAACACCCCACTGTCAGCATTAGACAGATCAACAAGACAGAAAATTAACAAAGATATGCAGGACTTGAACTCAGCTCTGGATCAAGCAGACCTAAAAGACATCTACAGAACTCTCCACCCCAAATCAACAGAATATGTGTTCTTCTCAGCACCTCATTGCACTTATTCTAAAATTGAAAGTAAAATTGGAAGTAAAACACTCCTCAGCAAATGCAAAAGAACGGAAATCATAACAGTCTCTCAGACCACAGTGCAATGAAATTAGAACTCATGATTAAGAAACTCACTCAAAACCACACAATTACATGAAAACTGAACAACCTGCTCCTGAATGACTACGTGGTAAATAATGAAATTAAGGCAGAAATAAAGATGTTCCTTGAAACCAATGAGAACAAAAGCACAACATACCAGGATCTCTGGGACACATTTAAAGCAGTGTGTAGAGAGAAATTTATAGCACTAAATGCCCACAAGACAAAGCAGAAAAGATCTAAAATTGAGATCCTAACCACAAAATTAAAAGAACTAGAGAAGGAAGAGCAAACAAATTCAAAAGTTAGCAGAAGACAAGAAATAACTAAGATCAGAGCAGAACTGAAGGAGATAGAGACACAAAAAACCCTCAAAAAATCAATGAATCCAGGAGGTGGCTTTTTGAAACGTCAACAAAATTGATAGACTGCTAGCAAGACTAATAAAGAAGAAAAGAGAGAAGAATCAAACAGATGCAAGAAAAAGTGATAAAGAAGAGATCACCACTGATCCCACAGAAATACAAACTACGATCAGAGAATACGATAAACACCTCTATGCAAATAAACTAGAAAATCTAGAAGAAATGGATACATTCGTGGACACATACACCCTCCCAAGACTAAACCAGGAAGAAGTTGAATCCCTGAATAGACCAATAACAAGATCTGAAATTGTGGTAATTAATAGTCTACAACCAAAAAAAGTCCAGGACTAGAGAGATTCACAGCCAAATTCTACCAGAGGTACAAAGGGGAGCTTGCATCATTCCTTCTGAAACTATTCCAATCAATAGAAAAAGAGGGAATCCTCCCTAACTCATTTTATGAGGCCAGCATCATCCTGATACCAAAACCTGGCAGAGACACAACAAAAAAAGAAAATTTCATGCCAATATCCCTGATGAACATTGATGCAAAAATCCTCAATAAAATACTGGCGAACCAAATCCAGCAGCACATCAAAAAGCTTCTCCGCCACGATCAAATCAGCTTCATCCCTGGGATGCAAAGCTGGTTCAACATACGCAAATCAATAAACTTAATCCATCACATAAACAGAACCAATGACAATAACCACATGATTATCTCAATAGATGAAGAAAAGGCCTTCAAAAAAATTCAGCACCGCTTCATGCTAAAAACTCTCAATAAACTAGGTACTGACGGGTCTTATCTCAAAATAATAAGAGCTATTTATGACAAACCCACAGCCAATGTTATACTGAATGGACTAAAACTGGAAGCATTCCCTTTGAAAACTGGCACAAGACAAGGATGCTCTCTCTCACCACTCCTATTCAACATAGTATTGGAAGTTCTGGCCAGGGCAATCAGGCAAGAGAAAGAAATAAAGGGTATTCAAATAGGAAAAGAGGAAGTCAAATCGTCTCTGTTTGCGGATGACATGATTATATATTTAGAAAACCCCATTGTCTCATCCCTAAATCTCCTTAAGCTGATAAGCAACTTCAGCAAAGTCTCAGGATACAAAATCAATGTGCAAAAATCACAGGCATTCCTATACACCAATAATAGAGAGCCAGATCATGAGTGAACTCCCATTCACAATTGCTACTAAGAGAATAAAATACCTAGGAATCCAACTTACAAGGGATGTGAAGGACCTCTTCAAGGAGAACTATAAACCACTGCTCAAGGAAATAAGAGAGGACACAAACAAATGGCAAAACGTTCCATGCTCATGGATAGGAAGAATCAATATCATGAAAATGGCCATACTGCCCAAAGTAATTTATAGATTCAATGTTATCCCCGTCAAGCTACCACTGACTTTCTTCACACAACTGGAAAAAAAACTACTTTAAACTTCACGTGGAACCACAAAAGAGCCTGCATAGCCAAGACAATCCTAAGCAAAAAGAGCAAAGCTGGAGGCATCACGCTACCTGACTTCAAACTATACTACAAGGCTACAGTAATCAAAACAACATGGTACTGGTACCAAAACAGATATACAAACCAATGGAACAGAACAAAGGCCTCAGAAATAACATCACACATCTGCAACCATCTGATCTTTGACAAACCTGACAAAAACAAGGAATGGGGAAAGGATTCCCTATTTAATAAAAGGTGATTGGAAAAGTGGCTAGCCATATGCAGAAAACTGAAACTGGACCCTTTCCTTACAACTTATTCAAAAATTAACTCAAGATGGATTAAAGACTTAAATGTAAGACCTAAAACCGTAAGAATCCTAGAAGAAAACCTAGGCAATACCATTCAGGACATAGGCATGGGCAAAGACTTCATGTCTAAAACACCAAAAGCAATGGCAACAAAAGCCAAAATTGACAAATGGGATCTAATTATACTAAAGAGCTTCTGCACCACAAAAGAAACTATCATCAGAGTGAACAGGCAACCTACAGAATGGGAGGAAATTTTTGCCATCTATCTATCTGACAAAGGGCTAATATCCAGAATTTACAAGGAACTTAAACAAATTTACAAGAAAAAAACAAACAACCCCATTAAAAAGTGTGCAAAGGATATGAACAGACACTTCTCAAAAGAAGACATTTATGTGGCCAATAAACACATGAAAAAATGCTCATTATCACTGGTCATTAGAGAAATGCAAATCAAAACCACAATGAGATACCATCTCACACCAGTTAGAATGGCAACCATTAAAAAGCCAGGAAACAGGCTGGGCACAGTGGCTCACGCCTGTAATCCCAGCACTTTGGGAGCCCAAGGTGGGCGGATCACCAGGTCAAGAGACCAGGACCATCCTGGCTAACACGGTGAAACCACGTCTCTACTAAAAATACAAAAATTAGCCTGGTGTGGTGGCGGGCGTGCCTGTAGTCCCAGCTACTTGGGAGGCTGAGGCAGAAGAATGGCATGAACCTGGGAGGTAGAGCTTGCAGTGAGCCGAGATCATGCCACTGCACTCCAGCCTAGGTGACAGAGCGAGACTCCATCTCAAAAAAAAAAAAAAAAAGCCAGGAAACAACAGATGCTGGAGAGGCTGTGGAGAAATAGGAACGCTTTTACACTGTTCATGGGAGTGTAAATTAGTTCAACCATTGTTGAAGACAGTGTGGCGATTCCTCAAGGATCTAGAACTAGAAATACCATTTGACCCACCAATCCCATTACTGGGTATATACCCAAAGCATTATAAATCATTCTACTATAAAGACACATGCACACGTATGCTTATTGCAGCACTATTCACAATAGCAAAGACTTGGAACCAACCCAAATGTCCATCAATGATAGGCTGGATAAAGAAAATGTGGCACATATACACCATGGAATACTATGCAGCCATAAGAAATGATGAGTTCATGTCCTTTGCAGGGACATGGATGAAGCTGGAAACCATCATTCTCAGCAAACTAACACAAGAACAGAAAACCAAACACCACATGTTCTCACTCATAAATGGGAGTTGAACAATGAGAACACATGGACACAGGAAGGGGAACATTACACACCGGGGCCTGTTTGGGGGTAGGGGGCTACTGGAAGGACAGTAGGTGATGTGTTGATGGGTGCAGCCAACCACTATGGCACTTGTATAACTATGTAACAAAATGGCACATTCTGCACATGTGTCCCAGAACTTAAAGTATAATAATATAAAAACAAAAAGATTGAATTTAGATAAAATCTAGTAAGGATGTTTTACATTCATTGATCTAAGGTTGTCAATTTCAAAGTTTTATTTATATATGTGATAAGAGCAATATTTTGTTTGGTCCACAGTAATTCCTCTTTTTAAGTTATGACAATGCTCCCTTATCAAGAGCCATACCTGGCAAGTGCAAATCAGTTTCTTTCAACATGTGGAGAAGATAGCTCATCCACAATTAAGGCTGAGTCATTGTGCTTAGTGCTACCAGGAAAAAGAAGGATATGATATCAAGGAAGTATTTTCCAGAGAGAAAGAAAACAAAGTCTCTCCCCTTCCAGAAAAATATGGTCAGAAGTTGGATGTGCAAGTCTTAGGGTGGAGCATTGAGGAAGGATGCTGGTAGAAACAGCCAGAGAGGCAAAATGGACTTTCCAGTTACACTTCAGTGGATACTAGTCTAGAGACCCCTTCTGACTATCCACCAGGTCACAAAGACCAATAGAAAGTCATTTATGAATGCTCAGTGCCTGCACTGCTGAGAGAACTTTCCCCTACAAATGCTATCTTGAGTAGATAAACAAAGAGGGGAGGAACATCCCTAGTATGGAGCTTATATGGTTTGGCTCTGTGTCCCCACCCAAATCCCATCTCGAATTGTAATCCCCAAGTGTGGAGGGAGGGACCTGGTGGGAGGCAATTGAATCATGGGGGCGGTTTCCCCATTTTGTTCTCCTGATAGTGAAGGAGTCCTCACAAGATCTAATGGTTTCAAAGTGGCAGTTTCCACTGCACTCATTCTCCCTCTCTCTCTCCTGCCACCTTGTGAAGAAGGTTTTGCTTCTCCTTCACCTTCTGCCATGATTGTGAGTTTCCTAAGGCCTCCCCAGCCATATGGAACTGTGAGTCAATTAAACCTCTTTTGTTCATAAATTGCCCAGTCTCAGGTAGTATCTTCACAGCAGTGTGAAAATGGACTAATACAAGTGATGACCCTGGAATTGATGAAATATTTATCAGAACACAATTGTTTCATCCAGAAGTTACTTTAATTGGCAAGTTAAAGTCTTTGTTGTTCTATCATTGAACTGTATACACTTAAAGATGGTTAAGGTGTTACATGTATTTTAGCAAAATTTTAAAATATAAGTCTCTTTTGTTTCGTTACTTTCCTCTAACACCACTGCAGGTATAGGAAGTAAAGAAGGTTTTGAAGTTTTTTTTTTTTTTTGCACATCTAATATAATATAACTAAATCTAATCTTGAACACCTCCCTGCCTACACACACACACATACACACACACACACACACACACTTTCTGTTAAAATTTATGACTTTCAGCCCTAGGATCCTTTTCAAACTTTCCTTTCTTTTAAGGATTCTCCTTTTCATAAGTGGAATTCCTCTAGGGTTTTGAGTTTCAGATGGGATGTAAGACTGGATTTTTTTTCCCCTAAAGATCACATAATCATATTCAGTCACATCTTACTCATAAATATAAAATTACAAGCCCTGCACATTAACTTGTCCTCCTCCAAATCTCAAAATCTATAGTACTTGAGGAAGTGAGAGCTTTGAGGAAGTCATGTGTTCTTATTATATTCCAAAGGGCATTTTGGGAGTGGGTCGTTCCACCCCTCTTTTAAAATAATGTTAGTAATATTCTCCTCAGTATTTCCTGCCCATCCCTTCTCTATCTCTAATGTATGCTTGGAGCAGCTTTCCAAAACTCCTTAAACCAAATCAAATGAAATGGAATATGAAACTAGCTTGGTCTGTGCCACTTATGAATATGTGACCTGTGACAATTATTGAAGCTCTCTGACCTTTAATGTTCTCCTTTATAAAATAGGGAAAACCTAAACGTTTAGAGGTTTGTTGTTAGAATTAAATGAAATAAAGAATGCAAACCACTTACTCAATCTAAGTTGCTGTGATGAATATCTTCTTAAATTTAGCCCCTTTCATTTCTTATCTTTCTTTTTTGTTTTGTTTTGTTTTTTTGAGACAGGGTTTCACTCCATCCATTCAGGCTGGAGTGCAGTGGCTGATCTCGGCCCACTGCAACTTCCATGTCCCGGGATCAAGAGATTCTCCTACCTCACCTCCCCAGTAGCTGAGGCCACAGGTGCACGTGCCACCATGCTTGGCTCATTTTTAGTATTTTTGGTAGAGAAGGGATTTCACAATGTTGCCCAGGCTGGTCTCGAATTCCTGAGTTCAAGCAATCCACTGGCCTCTGCCTCCCAGAGTGCTGGGATTACAGATGTGAGTCACAGGTGCCTGGCCTCTCGTTTTATTTTTTCCCCAACTCAGTTCAGTGAAGCTCCTCTCATTTCTACCTCTGTCTTATGGAACACTTGTGAATAAATTTCCCTGTGCTTTCAACATTTTCTTTTATTCATTTAACAAGCACCTACTATAGACCAGATATAATGCCAGCTTCTGGTGATCCAAAAATGAATAAGGTACAGATGGTTCACGATGCCCTCAGAGTAGCAGAGAAGACAGATGCTATAGAAGCCCAGAGTGGGCAGCAACTGACTCTGTCCAGAGTGGGAGGAGGGTGAAAGAAGACTTCTTAAAAGAGAAAACATTTGAGCTGCACAAGAGAGGAGGGAGCAGGCTGCTCATGGTATGTCTCTTGGGCCTCTTCCTTATGAAGAGGATGCCAAGGTTTTCCATGAACCTCTGGGCTTTAGTTTGAAACTCTGCTTTCTTCACATTGCCCTATTTTTCTGAAAACCCTCTACAATAGGATTGAGACACAGAAAGGATACATTTCTTGTCCTTGTGGGGAAATAAAGAGGAAAAATTGTTGTTGCTTTTTTCTCTTTTTTTTTTTTTTGAGACAGGGCCTCATCTTGTCACCCAGGCTGGAGTGTGGAGTGTACTGGCCCAGTTATGGCTCACTGCAGCCTTTCTACTTCTTCTTCATGCATATATTCTTTCATTCTTTATCCACTCCACAACCATTTATAGAGTACCAGTTAAGTACTAGGCACTGTGCTAGATGCTAGAGATACAGAGAGATAAGAAATTTAGTCTAGTGAGAGACACAAACAAGAAAATCAAAGATTACTCTGCATTTATGAGAGCTCTAACAGAAGAATATTAGAATATTCAGGGGGCTGGGGAGCAGTGTTAGGGTGACCAACCAACCCAGTTTACCTGGTACTGTCTCCAATTTAGCACTGAAAATCCCACATCCTGGAAAACTCCTTAGTTCTGCACAAACTGGGACAATTGGTCATCACAGCTCAGGTCATCACAGAGCAGGCTCTCCTAATGCAGCCTGGCATGGGGGCAAGAGTATAATCATGTTAGAAATGATTCCCAGCTTAAATTTAATAAAATACTGATGGATAAAGACATTGGAAACATTCATCAAGTGAATGCTTTTAGCACATGTGAACTAGATTACATTGGGTGATGGGGAAAATCCTAGTAATGTGCCCACAGTTCACGTGGAACATTACTCCTAGAGCTGTATGAAGATTAAGTGATTTAAATATATTTGGGTGTCTGTTACCTGAAAAGATAATTCTGACAAAGTCACTGCCTGCGAGGAGCTTATATTTCAATGAAGATTAAGCTATATATACAAATTATTATAAAGTAAGTTATAGAACAAACTGAAAGCAATTCAGATAAAGGACAGTGGGAGTCAGAGGATGTTATTATTCTGGCCTGGAAGCAGGGGTGCCTTAGAGGATCCAGGGATGACTTCATGGAATAACAATGTAGGTGAACAAAGGAGAATTACAGAAAGGATGAGAAAGAAGGTGCTCAGATGGAGAAGCAAGAGCTCCTGCACAGAAGCAAAGCCAAAAACACACCTGGCACCTCGGGCTCTGGAGAGAATTGTTGAAATTGTGGGATAGAGTGACTCATTCCAAGCTTTCTTGACTTTTTCTCCCTGAATTTTTTTTTTTTTTTTTTTTTTTTTTTTTGAGACGGAGTCTTGCACTGTCGCCCAGGCTGGAGTGCAGTGGCGCAATCTCGGCTCACTACAACCTCCACCTCCCAGATTCAAGTGATTCTCCTGCCTCAACCTCCCAAGTAGCTGGGATTACAGGTGCCCACACCCACACCCAGCTAATTTTTTGTATTTTTAGTAGAGACAGGGCTTCACTATGTTGGCCAGGCTGGTCTCGAATGCCTGACCTCACGATCCACCTGCCTCAGCCTCCCAAAGTGCTAGGATTACAGGCGTGAGCTACCGCACCAGGCCTCTCCCTCAAAATTTTACTTCCACAAAATATTTCCCAGGGACTCTGCAATAATGTGCTCATTTGGAGTTAGTTGGACTGTGGCTATATATTTTTTTAATTAGAGTCAATATATCAAAATTTTGTTTTCCAAAAGCCTTCTTCACAGTGCTAACAGTTTAGTTGAGCAGAATGTAGACACTTCAGGGACTACTCCAGTGTGCTTATTCACCACAGAGTTCATTTTTCAAGCTGAAACTGAATGATAATTGATAGTGTTGGGGCTCAGAACACAATACCCCAAAGTATGGTGCTTTGGCATGCTGAGTACATAAAACTAAAGGAGATTGCAAGGCTTCAGAAGTAGCCTCAGAAGAAAAGCCTCTCTCTGACTGTCTCCTACCCTCCTTTCTCTTGTCCTTGTCTCTCCCCTGAAGTGAGTCATAGAAACCAGAATTCTTCTTCTTCAAGGTAAGTCATAAAAACTAGAACCCTTCTCCCTCAAAGCAAGCCATAACACCTAGAAAGGTTACTGTCTCTCTTCTCCTTCTTCCTTGAAGATCCTCATTTCAGAAGGGGTCCTGCCCCGTTGGCAGGGAGGAAGTTTCACTACACAGTGAGGCCAAGATGAAGCTGGACAGGCCTTGCTGAGCTTTCCACCTTCATCTGTTACCATTGGGTTATACCCCTTTGTCCAGTTACCTATCTGTACAGCTGTTCATTCTTTATAGAACCTAAGCAGTTTTCCCTTGGTCTTTGGGTCTTCACTTCTGAAGACTCTTGTGTCATGTAAAACTTTGATTTTAAAAATATGTTATGCTTTTCTTTTGTTAACCTGCCTTTTTGTTAGGAGTATTAAGTGTCGGCTGTGACCTTTATGATGAGCGAGGAAAGGTATCACATCTTTCCACTCCTACAATAGCAAAATTCAAATTTCATGATCTCGTTTTTCTATTGCTGGTGCCTCCCAGTCTCTCATTCTAAACTCCCATAAATTCACTCACACTGTTCATCCTTGCTTCTCTCTCTGCTCCCCTCCTTCACCTCTTGGGACCATAACATGCAGTTTTCACGTCTCATTTCTCAGCAAAATTATGAAGTGTGTTGAATGAATTCACATTAATAATATTTTAGCTAACAACACTTGGAAGAGTCTACAGATCATTTACCAAGGAAACTAAATTATTTCAAATACTGGTGTCAAAATAAATGAACCAAGCCTTCTCTGACGTAGTAGCTTAACATTTTATTGTGAGTGTGAACACAATTCCCTAATCTCCAAAATACAGCAATCCTTACTGGGTTCTTTCTTCATTAGTGAGAGTACAAAATGTTCTGCTATAGATTTCCCCATAACTTGTAGTGGTGGAATAGGGCATTTCTTTCCTGAAGTAATTCAAACTAATATGGAACTCTTTTCTAATATAAAGATGTCTTTAGAACACCTTGGAATTATTGCAAACGATAAGTAGAATTTATTAACGTTATGAATCAAAGAGAAATGTTGTGTGTTTTTGTTGTCATTAAATAAAATTTAGAGGTGAATCTTTTCTCCATTTTTTTTTTGCTTAATCATGACTCTGTTTTTTCTCTCTCCTAATAGGTTCTCTTCAGTTCCAAAGTATTCCCAGCTGCCGAGAGTCACAAATTCTGTCTGAAAAGCAGGGTGACCTTTTCAGAGAGGAGCCAATGTTTGGAAGCTGAAATACAGAGGAAGGGAGAAAGTTTACTGAATGTGTGCTGGAAGAGGAGAGCTCATTTAGCCAGCCCTCTTCCACTTCACTCATTCCCAACCCCACCCCTACCCACATATTCCAACTCCTCCGCCTCTCCATTCCTCCCTAACCTTACTGGACAAGTAGGACCGCCAGCTATAGGACTGCCAGCTACAGGGATGTGGTAGTCCACTCGGGCTCTTTGAAGTCTTTAAAATTCTCCCTCGGTGTCTGCTTCTTTCCTGGGGGCAGAAAGCAGCACATGGCACCTCAGATCCATGGAACACAGCCCACCACTCCTGAGAAGCAGAGTCGAGGAGCAGCCGACCTGACTTGGAAGGCAGGCTAGCTGGGTTACCCCTGCCCACTGCCAGTTACACAGATTAAACATTTTGTCTGGATATGACCAGATGTCCTCAATTCCCCAGGCTTGAACACACTTACCCTTGCTTCTCCAAATTGCTTTGCATGCCTTACCCACCCCCTCATCCCCACTATTCTTAGCTCTCAAAAAAAAAAAAAAAGATGCTGCAGTTGTCATCCATCTTCCGACTTTTTATCATAGCTTTGCATACTCTTTTCAAATATTCTTTCTCTTTCTCCCTCTTCTTTTTAGCCTCACAATTTTGCTTTTTGTAGACCAATCAAAGATTTCTATGTGTGTCTTCAAAGAAATATTACAAGACAAACCCTCTCCTGGTACAAGAGCTACAGAATTATTTGCATATATAATCTCTTCTTGTGCCTCCTGCTAGCATGGGCCTTTTCGTCTTCAATCCTCATGGTATAACAAAAGAATAAATTATGGTACTACTGATAGAACGTTAAACTGACAATCTTCTGAGGCACCGGCAGTTTAATGGAAACCAAAGAAAATTCAAGATTATACATTTTCTCATAAATGTATTTCTTTTTCCTGTCTTCTCTTTCACATACTATCAATTTTCTTGCCTTCTTATTATTCAGTTTCCTATCTGTCAAATAACAAACCCAAAGCTGCCTTCGAGCCAATCTCCTGTCAATGGAACCGTACTTGCTGATAGAGGATTAAGGTATTGGCAAATCTGTTACAAGGTGTTTAGGTTTATAATTAAAGATTTAGTTAAATTAATAAACAGCAGCAATTTCAAGAAGACTAAAAGGATTGCCTTACCTGATATTTTGCCTCCTTTCTGACTACTAAGGGAAGATGTGAAAAGTGAAAATGAAGGTGTTTATATAGTGCCATCTAGCGACAGATACCTAAAAAAGCTCTGTATCATTTATTGATTGCACAGAGAAAACAAAATCCTTCTACTGGGGTCTGCTTTGGAATCTCCAGGTTTAATTCTAGTTTTTGGGCTTTTGGGTTTTTTTGTTTAACCTTCTATGGGGATAATTCAATCCTGGGGTCTCTTTTGTTTTCACTGAAAGTTTTAAGCTTTAATCTGCTTTGTGGAGAGCCAAAAACATGAAAACTCTTTCAGTATCCAGAGGAACTGCTGCAGTGGTATTTTAACTTTGGACTTTTTCTTGCTATCCCGGTTCTGTCTGTCACACTAAAATAAAACCTTGATTCTGCGAGGTATAGGAAAATATGTTAATAAGCTAAGAAAATGGAAATGATCATGTCATCTAAACCATAATATTGCTCCCCTCTTCCAACTCTTCTCACTTGAATTTATATTTCTCAAATTTTAAATATATGGACATGAAAAAACAAAGATGTCTTCAATTATGCATATTAAAAATATACACCTATGAGAACCATAACCAAGTTTTAGAAGTTGGCCCACTGTTAGCAAAGTTCAGAATGAATAAACAACCCCTATATATATGGAAAGAAACAAAAATTTAAAAAACCATCACCAAATCAGAAACTGCTGTCTAACTTAAGTGATTCATGTTTCCCAGAATCAGCTTGTCCTTTTAAAGGCTGATCTCTAACTTGAGACTGGCTTTGCTTTGACTGTGAGATACTTCTAAGATCAGGTCTCCATTCTGATCCCACTCACCGGCTGCTCTGTTTCCAAAGTACTTCTGCCTTCCCTAGGGGGGTCTCCTCCTGTACAGGCACTGAAAGACTGATCAAATCTGCATGTGTCAATCATTGCCTACTTCCCAGCTGGTGATAGAGGTAGATTCCTACCAAATTTACTCGGAGGACTTGACTTTCTCAGGACCTCTTCCTGTTGTGCATTGTCATGATCTTGCGGCTAAACTAATAGATGTGAAAGTGAATTGAAATGTAAAACATGCTGGGCAAGTCTAAAATGCTTTGAATGATAGGAGGTAATTAAATGAATGACTTTCAAACCTCACTTGATGCCTGCTGAGATATCCTATATCTACTGATTCAAGGGCCAAATCTCTAATTTCCCAATACCACCCATCACTTGGAAGTTTCTCTTCAATACATTGATCTTCTCATGGTTGCCTGATGCTTAGTTATGAAAGGGTTTCTTTTGTCTTGATCTTTTCACCATAAAGATAGGAAAGGCTGGGCATGGTGGCTCATGCCTGTAATCCTAGCACTTTGGGAGGCCAAGGCAGGTGGATCACTCGAGGTAAGGAGTTTGAGGGCAGCCTGGCCAACATGGTGAAACCCCTGTCTCTACTAAAAATACAAAAAGTTAGCCAGATGTGGTGGTAGGCACCTATAGTCCCAGCTACTCCAGAGGCTGAGGCCTGAGAGTTGAACTCGGGAGGCGGAGGTTGCAGTGAGCTGAGATTGCGCCACTGCACTCCAGCCTGGGCGACAGAGCAAGATTTGGTCTCAAAAAAAAAAAAAAAAGAAAGAAACAAAAATAAACTTAATTTTTCAGGATGGTAGATTTTAGGACACTATACTTTCACCATGTTAATTAAAATAAGAGTAACTGAGTGAGATGTACCTGCCTAAAGCAGTTTTAGTTAAAAAGAACTCACACCTCTTTTTTTTTTTTTTTTTTTTTGAGACAGAGTCTTGTTCTATTGCCCAAGCTGGAGTTCAGTGGCACAATGTCAGCTCTCTGCAATCACCACCTCCCGAGTTCAAGCGATTCTCCTGCCTCACCCTCCCGAGTAGCTGGGATTACAGGTGCCCGCCCCACACCTGGCTAATTTTTGTATGTTTAGTAGAGATGGAGTTTCACCATGTTGGTCAGGCTGGTCTGGAACTCCTGACCTTGTGATCCACCTGCCTCAGCCTCGCAAAGTGTTGGGATTACAGGTGTGAGCCACCACGCCCGGCCAACACCTCTGATCTTAATTTCAGCTAAATTACTGCAGAATTTTTCTTTAAGAAACGAGATAGTGATCTCCTAATCTCTATGTTTCAGTACCCTTCCCTCATCCCCAATTCAAAGTCTCCTATTTTATTGACTGCATTAGCAGTGATTTCATAATTGGTAGTTAAAATTGGCATGCAGTGAAGTTTTAGCGGTTGTTGGGATCTTTGTTGATTAAAGAGTTTTAAATTAAATACTAGTTTAGTACTTGATGTTATTTGAAGGGGGCAATCTTCCACAGCAGGAATTTTTGTGGAAGAATGCCAAGTAATGCTTACTTTATGTCTCACTTCCAGTGCTCTCTAGGGGTGCCAAGTTTATTATGGGTTAGAAACTGAACAGGCTTAAGTGGTCCATTTCTAAAATGTAATCATTGAATTTTCATATAATTTTATGAAGGCAATTTAATTATTTTATAATTACATAACCAGAACATAATACGATGTAAAGTCATGATGAATACACTGTCTTGTCTTAAGTATGGCAAAAAACCTTAATCAAATCATATACAGAGATTCAATTAAAGTAATACATAATCTGTTTTGGCATCTCTCTTTCTTTCCTTTCTGAGTAGGCATTAACCCAGAGTTTTCCTGGGAATATGGTTTTTTTAATAAGCCTTCCTTTTATTTATTCTGGCTTTCTAGTAACCTGTAAGACTATTTTGTGTTGCTCTTAAGTAGCATAATGAGACCCAACAGTAAGACACGAGAGTAGCTCTACATGAGAGGACCCTCCTCTTGGAATCTGTCCGCTCACGTTTGGCCTCTGCTCTTGTCAATGTCGTGCAGATAGAGCAGGCATAGATGTTGGAGGTTGGGGTTTATTCTCTGCCCCACTTAAAAACAAACAAGCAAATATGTCTGTGATGTCCAAAACCTATTAATGGAATCTAGATTTCTTATTAAAGTTTCATTAGTTTTATGGATATAATTAAGAGACGAAAGGACATTCCATCTTATAAGATAAACTCAAATGCTGCCGAGAGCTCTAAGGGACTAATGACCTCTCATATTAGAGTTCTTCTTATTTTTAAAGAAATTTTTTATGCTTCAGCTACTAAAGAGACAGTGACTAATAGGGATGAGCATAAATAGATATTTGTATCTTTATGGTTTAGAATTCAGGTCTGTAGAAGCAATATAACTATATGTTCAACAATAGGGGCAGAATAATTCCTGTGTGTTAGGGACAGGGGTGAGAGGTACATTGACAGGAACTGGCAAGGACAGATATTATGGGTTCCATCAGGAAAGAGACATGAGCCTGCTTGGACATCACACCTCTACAAGGAGAAAACTCAGTGTGGAAATGTTAGTGCTGCTGACAAACTGGGCACTAGGGCTGTGGTATGGGGAATCTGATTGAACTGTCTGAGCTTAACATAGGTAGTGGGGAGAAACTAGACTGCTAGCAGATAGTAGCAGATAGTCCTCTGAGGGAAGATGTATGTAAAGGCTTGAATAGGAGCTGGACCAGAAGATTCCATAACCTTATATAGTGTCAATGGCAGAACAGCAGAGGACTAGCAGTGACAAATGGGTCACAAGACATCAAAGAAAAATGCAGCAGCTGCGACTGTAGACTAAAAAATCAAAGATGTTCTCTACTCAGAATGTAGCCACCCTCAGCACTGAGGGTCCTGGTATAGTGGAGGAAGTATTTCAATGATAAATAAGACTTGTACTCTAATGGGATATATATAAATAAATAGAGAAGTATATAGCTAGTTCTATACATATATATTTATCTTTTTATATTTACGTATAAAGACATTTATACATATAAAATACTAGTTATAGAAAATTTAAAATATGGCCAGGCACGGTGGCTCACATCTGTAATCCCAGCACTTTGGGAGGCCGAGGCGGGAGGATCACCTTAGGTCAGAAGTTCAAGACCAGCGTGGTCAACATGATGAAAATCCATCTCTACTAAAAATACGAAAATTAGCCAGGCATGATGGCACATGGTAGCCTCTCAGCTACTAGGGAGGCTGAGGCAGGAGAATCACTTGAACCAAGGAGGTGGAGGTTGCAGTGAGTCGAGATTGCACCACTGCACTCCAGCTTGGGCAACAGAGCAAGACTCTGTCTCAAAAAAAAAAAAAAGAAAAAGAAAAAGAAAAAGAAAAAGAAAAAAGGAGTTCCAGACCAGCCTGGCCAACATGGTGAAATGCCATCTCTACCAAAAATACAAAAATTAGCCAGGCATGGTGGCATGTGCCTGTAATCCCATGTATTCAAGAGGCTGAGGGAGGAGAATCCCTTGAACCCAGGAGGCGGAGGTTGCAGTGAGCCAAGATTGTACCACTGCTCTCCAGCCTAGGTGATAGAGTGAGACTCCATCTCAAAAAAAAAAGAAAAAAAGAAAAGAAAATATAAAATATTTATACATTCTACATTTAATATATATTTTTCAAGTAAAGGCTTTATTTTCATATAGAAACCAAGGACTACAGAACAGCCTCCAGATTCAAAACTTCTGTTTCAGTAATCCTTGGTTTGCATATTAGGTAGGAAAGATTCTAGGAGTGCTAGATCTTTACAAGAAAACTTCTTAATATCATCCTTTACTTCCACCTTCATAATCCCATACATACTATATACAGTTTTAGGTCTATATTAAACTGTTCAAAGAGGACGGGCCCAGTGGTTCATGTCTGTAATCCCAGCACTTTGGGAGGCTGAGGCAGGTGGATCACCTAAGGTCAGGAGTTCGACACCAGCCTGACCAACATGGTGAAACCCCTTCTCTACTAAAAATATAAAAATTAGCCAGGCATGGTGGCGTGTGCCTGTAATCCCAGCTACTCAGGAGGCTGAGGCAGGAGAATTGCTTAAATCCAGGAGGCAGAGGTTGCAGTGAGCCGAGATCATGCCGCTGCACTCCAGCCAGGCCCACAGAGCCAGACTCTGTCTCAAAAAATAAATTAAATAAATAAATAAATAAATAAATAAGCCTGGGCGCAATGGCTTACACCTGTAATCCCAGCACTTTGGAAGGCCGAGGCGGGGGGATCACCTGAAGTCAGGGGTTCAAGACCAGCCTGGCCAACATGATCAAACCTTATCTCTACTAAAAATACAAAAATTAGCCAGTCACTGTGGTGGGCACCTGTAATCCCAGCTACTCAGGAGGCTCAGGCAGGAGAATCACTTGAACCCGGGAGGTGGAAGTTGCGGTGAGCCCAGATCGCGCCAGTACATTCCAGCCTGGGTGACAGAGTGAGACTCCATCTCAAAAATAAATAA
This sequence comes from Homo sapiens, assembly GCF_000001405.40. Lineage (NCBI taxonomy): Eukaryota > Metazoa > Chordata > Mammalia > Primates > Hominidae > Homo > Homo sapiens. The sequence continues at coordinate 82,265,699 of NC_000006.12, read as the reverse complement.
ATAAAATAAATAAAGTGGTCAAAGAAAGGGAAAAATGAAAAAGGTATATTAATAAAGAGTTACTCAAAATCATGTTAGATGAAATGTGTTAGTCTTAAAAAATAGTTTTTGGCCAGGCATGGTGGCTCACGCCTGTAATTCCAACACTTTGGGAGGCCTGGGTGGGTGGATCACGAGGTCAGGAGTTCTAGGCCAGCTTGGCCAAGATGGTGAAACCCCGTCTCTACTAAAAATAGAAAAATTAGCCAGGCGCGGTTGTGGGCGCCTGTAATCCTAGCTACTCAGGAGGCTGAAGCAGGATAATTGCTTGAACCCGGGAGGCGGAGTTTCCAGTGAGCCGAGATCACACCACTGCACTCTAGCCTGGATGACACAGCGAGACTCCATCTCAAAAAAAAGAAGAAAAAAAGAATAATTTTTAAAGTAGGATGCAATCAGAACTTTTATACATATATAAAATTAACACGTCAAAGATTTTATATAGCTTTGTAATTAATGAGGGAAGCAGTAACATGCTACAACTGATTCATAGATAGGAGAATTAAAAATATCACATATATAATAAGCAATGAGGAAACAAATCTATAAACAAATGCAAAAGCCGTTGGTGTGAGGCAGCCAATAGTGAAGGTGGCTACATGGGTTGCCATGGGGACAGGGCTGTTTCCAGGGAGGCTGTGATGGGGTAACAAGTGCATGACAATGGGAGTTACTCTCAGCAAAGAATGTACAGCAAAGGCAAGAGTAACAGCAGCATTAACCCATGTGACAGCCACACCTTGGTGAAGTTAGCACTTTACATATATGAATATCTGCTCCATGTAGGAGTTCAGAGATCATCCCGAACATTTTTATCAGAGATAAGATGGGGGAAAAAATTGGGAGAACCACCAGGATTCTTACATTCCTGGTGTTGTGTATTTTGGGATCTCTATTTGGCAGCTCCAGAGCCAAAGGAAACATGTGAACACTCAAGTGTAACAAAAAACTTCCATGATTATCTTTTTATATCACCTTGGTACCCTGGAGGTCCAAGGTTCCCATTGAAGATACCTAAAGAGGCACTTGGAAGTATCCTAGGAAGTCAGCCATTACTCCCCAGTGGAATCCAACTTGACAACAAGGACATTTAAGTATGGGTGGGCCAATTTCTCCAAGAGGAATGGTGCCCTGAGGGCCACAGTCTGATCCTTGGTTGTCAGTACAGAATGATGAAGGTGCAATGAGATGCCCAGTGAATGCTTTAGGTGGCTCTGGAATGCCTAGAATGAACATGGGTCTGGAGGGTGGCAGATCTTGGCCAAACCCAACAAATGCCAATTCAGTACCATACTCCTCAACATCTCCTGGGAATTACATAGGCCCTCCAGGAGGTGAGGTCCACAGGAACACCCGTCATGTCTAGTCTAGCAGATTTAATCAACCCTGGAGATATGAATGAATGCAGTATGTTGTAGACCTAACAGACCTAATTTTCCAGTGGAATCTGGGTCAGATGGTACCATGGATGGAGTAGGAGGAGGAATGGAGTCACATCACATGAATGGCTTTTAGGCTCAGGAGATATGGACGGTATTTCTAAGAATTCTCCTGATAAAATGAGCCTGAGTAATCAACTGGGCTCAGGGATAATTGCAAAACTGGGGGAAATTTTTAAAATCCTTTTCAGGGAGTTACTCCTCTCGCATAACAGTGAGTGTGTGATCCATTACCAAGTACCCTCATGTAAACCACAGTGAACTAGCCCATCACAGAACTATCATAAAGGAAAATTATTTATCACAGCGTACATTTAAACAAAGGAATCTGTCCGGGCGTGGTGGCTTACACCTGTAATCCCAGCACTTTGGGAGGCCAAAGTGGGTGAATCACTTGAGGTCAGGAGTTTGAGACCAGCCTGGCCAACATGGCAAAATCCTGTCTCTACTAAAAATATAAAAATTATCCAGGCATTGTGGCACATGCCTGTAATCCCAGCTACTCAGGAGGCTGAGGCAGGAGAATCGCTTGAACCTGGGTGGCTGAGGTGGGAGGATTACTTGAGTCTAGGAGTTCAGGACCAGCCTGGGCAACAAAGTGAGATCGTGTCTACTACCAGCTAGTCAGGAGGCTGAGGAACAAAAATTGCTTGAACTGGAAGGCGGAGATTGCAACGAGCCAAGATCACACCACTGCACTCCAGCCTTGGTGACAGAGTGACACTCTGTCCCCCACCCCAAAAGAAAAGAAAAGGTACAAAGTGGCATATTAAAGTTGACTTAAACTGAACTGCAAATAATTATGTTTGTATGTATATGTGTGGGAAGAAGAATGTACTGTATCTGTGTGTGTTATATGGACATATACACAAACATACATTGACCCTCAGGACATTGTAAAATATTATCACATAACATCTTAGGTAGAAATAAGTAGGGATATTTATTCCATCCTTTATTCACATTAACATTTTAATTACTAAAAGTTGCTTCTGCATCCTCCCTGAACTATTGTGTGCTATCTATGTCCCTGCTTTATGCAAGTTCATTCGTCCGTTCTTTCTTTTCTTTTCTTTCTTTCTTTCTTTCTTTCTTTCTTTCTTTCTTTCTTTCTTTCTTTCTTTCTTTCCTTCTCTTTCTTTCTTTCTTTCTTTCTTTCTTTCTCTTTCTTTCTTTCTTTCTCTTTCTTTCTTTCTTTTTCTTCCTTCCTTCCTTCCTTCCTTCCTTTCTTCCTTCCTTCTTTTTTTTTTTCGACAGAGTCTCACTCTGTCACCTAGGCTGAAGTGCAGTGGGACAATCTGGGCACACTACAATCTTCACCTCCTGGGTTCAAGTGATTCTCTTTCCTCAACCTCCCAAGTAGCTGGGACTACAGGCATGGGCCACCATGCCCAGCTGTAAGTTATTTCTTAAGGTGAACTCAGATGTTATGTTTTTGTAAGTGTCTGCAATCATGGACAGGAATAAAATCACTTAGTTGAGAGTTTATATTAAAAAAAGTAAATAAATACAAAACTTGCTTATTACAGAAATGGAAATAAAGAAATCAGTTGTGTTTCCACCTGACAAAATTAATTTGCATGTTTGTGAATATGAGCTTGTTTGCACTGCTATCCATTATCTACAATTTGCAGAGTTGTAAAATATCTCAAAGACAATGAAAGGTGCAATGATCCCAGCTAAACCACCTAATTTTCTACTGAAGTCATCAGTAATCTTTTTGATGCATTTCAAAGTCTTTTATAGTTTTTCTCTACATTAGCAATCATGGAAAAAGTAGATTCCTTTCAGATGCTCCTATTTATCCCTCAGTTCTTTCACAAATAACTCCACTAGAAGCTTTCAATTAGCCGGGTGTGGTGGCAGGCACCTGTAATCCCAGCTACTTGGAAGTTTGAGGCAGGAGAATCCCTTGAACTTAGGAGGTAGACATTCCAGTGAGCTGAGGTTGCACCATTGCACTCCAGCCTGGGCAACAAGAGGGAAACTCCGTCTCAAAAAAAAAAAAAAAAAAAAAAAAGAAGAAGCTTTCCCTGATCCTTTCAACTGATTGTAATCTCTCTCTTTTTGTAGCTCCACAATCCCATTGTCTCTTTTATGACAGTGTCTCACTTTACTATCAGTGATACTTATGTATCTACCTTATTCTCCATACTAGATTTTAAATTGCTTTTCTTGAATCCTCTGCATTAGCTAACAGTGTCTACATATATAATATGCTCAATAGATATGTGTAATTGCATTTAATGTAATTCTTATATGCATTCAACTAGTCTTAATCAGCTTTGCTTATTATAGGTAGAGATAGCACCCTCCTGCAAAGTAAGATCTGAGGAGTGATCTTTATCTGAAACAGGTCTTAGTCAATTTAGGAAGCTTATTTTACCAAAGTTAAGAACACAGGCCCATGACACAGCTTCAGGAGGTCCTGATGACATGTGCCCAAGGTTGTTGGGGCACAGCTTGGTTTTGTACATTTTACAGAGATTACAATATGTAAGATGTACATTGGTTCTGTGTGGAAAGGCAGAATAACTCAAAGCGGGGAGGGGGCTTCCAGTTCATAGGTAGGAAAGAGACAAAGGGTTGCATTCTTTTGAGTTTCTGATTAGCCTTTCCAATGGAGGCAATCAGATATGCATTTATCTCAGTGAGCAGAGAGATGACTGAGTCCTCTCTGTCCTTTCTCTACAAGGAAATTTCTTGTGAGAGAGGTATGTAGCTTTTTATCTTAGTAGCTATCTTTTTTAGGAATAGAATGGGAGGCAGGTTTGCCCTAAGCAGTTCCCAGCTTGACTTTTTCCTTTGGCTTAGTGATTTGGCGAGGAGTGGGTGGGGGTGGAGGGTGTCCCAAAATTTATTTTCCTTTCACAGACTCATATTCCACAGCATTAATACAAATCAAAGAACTCCAGACAATGCTTGCTTTAGATCTGGCCTGTTCCCAAATCTCTCTCTCTTGAACTATGAGTGCCTGAAAACATTTCCAGTACTAGATTTACTAATGAATTTAGTGAATTAAGGCATCATCACTAAAAGGCAATTATGGTGCCTCACTACCCATTAGCTGCTATTAATAGAGCAGTATGGAGCAGTTTACCAGTTTGATAGGTCTCAAAAGAATGGTAAAGAAAAGGAAGTGAGTTTTTTTCCTTTCCTTTAAATAGGAAATGAGGAAGTAGAACACTTGTAGTTGGGGATGTGTTGGGTCTACATTTAATAAAGATAAACAGAAGTCCTTCATGGTCATCCTTATGAGAAGATTTTACTGGTATTTTCTCTAGTGCAATTAGAAGTTTAGAAAAAGATTTCCATGAAAAGTGTGAATAAAATATTTTAAAACCCTTTTAATGGATGCCTCTTATTTTTTGAAATACAGTTTAGATCGTGATCATCAGCTAATATTTATGGGTTGGCATTACATTGAAATATTTATGTTACTGGATGTGGAAACAGATTGGAGAAGTTTAAAACACTGTCTTTAAAACTGGCAATGATTGCTGTGGGACCCAGAAACAGTTGGCATCCTTGCATAAAAGACACTCGATGCCAATTACTTATGCACTAAATGGGTCTAGAATTCCAGATTAAATTGTCTGCAGTTTTGATTCAATTAGCTTTTGATTCAGTGCCTATGTCTTTAATGACAAAGCTATTCCAGGAAAAGTTGAGCCCTGGAAAAGTTTTATCTAGCTAAGATCCCCCTGAAGGGAGGATGTGAGTCACACTGCACTTACATTGGCAAATAAAACCGTAGTGCATGTCTGCTCCCTGTGGATTTTAATTTGCAGCAACAATAAACTTCAAGTAATGGGTCTTAGGTTAAGTGGTTGAATATCAAATTCAAGTCACAACTAGAAGGTCTTGTCTTAAAAAAGGTGAGGTAAATGTCATAGGCCAAATGGTCTCAGAGGCCTTGTAGAAATGCCTCCCCTCTCACATTGAGATAGCTTGATTTTTCCTCCACCCCAGATATTGTCATGTGAGTCTTTTCACTTTAATTAGTTCTTTTTTTTTTTTTTGAGACAGAATCTTGCTCTGTTGCCCAGGTTGGAGTGCAGTGGTGCAATCTCAGTTCACTGCAACCTCCACCCACTGGGTTCAAGCGATTCTCATGCCTCAGCCTCCTGAGCAGCTGGGATTACAGGTGTCCACAACCATGCCTAGCTGATTTGTGTATTTTTAGTACAGACAGAGTTGCACCATGTTGGCCAGGCTGGTCTCGAACTCCTGACCTCAAGTGATTTGCCCACCTTGGCCTCCCAAAGTGCTGGGATTACAGGCGTGAGCCACTAAGCCTTGCCAACATTTTTTTCATCTATATTTTTATCCACTCTCCCCACTAACACTTGTGTTTTGAAACAAATCCCAAGTAATATAATTTTATCTGTAATATTTCAGTAAATATCTCCCAAACTTAAAAAGTCTTTTTGTTTGTTTGTTTGTTTGTTTTTAAATAACTGAAATGCCATTATCCCAATGTCACACTTTGGGTTCCTCCAGAAGCTGAAACAAAGACAAAAATTTAAGTGCAAGTCATCTGAGAGAGGGAAACATCAGTGGGGAAGTGGAGGGAGTGAGACAGAAAAAGGAAGGTTCTAAGTAAGACTTTCGCAGATGGCTGAATCTGAGTTGGGCAAGCATTACCTCCTCAGCACTTGCAGAAAGCCACAGGGGCAGGCCAACAAGACTTCAGGAGGCAAAGTCTTCAGGCAAAGAAATGCAGTTGTTGGCTGCTAAATTCAGGGTAGCATGCCCTGAAGTGGTAAGGGTGAGAGACTGTGGAGCCCAGGGCCAACAGCTTCTCTTACACAGGCTTAAAAACAGTAAACAGCCTGGGCGCAGTGGCTCACGACTGTAATCCCAGTACTTTGGGAGGCCAAGGTGGGTGGATCACGTGAGGTCAGGAGTTCGAGACCACCCTGGCCAACATGGTGAAAACCCATGTCTACTAAAAATACAAAAAATTAGCCGGGTGTGGTGGTGTGTGCCTGTAATCCCAGCTACTTGGGAGGCTGAGATAGGATAATTGCTTGAACCCTGGAGGCAGAGGTTGCAGTGAGCCGTGATGGCACTCTTGCACTCCAACCTGGGCAACAGAGCAAGACTCTGTCTAAAAAAATAAAATAAAATAAAATAAAAACAATAAACAAGTAACAAGCCAGTGTTCAAATTATTGCTAGTATGTCATACTATTTGATTTTACAGCTTATGTGTCCAAATCATTATCCAAGTAAGGTCCATTTATTGTAACTGATTTACCATCATATGCTGTATAACAACATTTTGGTCAAAGACAGCACATAATACAACAGTGGTCCCAAAAGATTATAATCCATATTTTTACTGTACTTTTTCTATGTTTAGTTATGTTTCCTCACACAAATAAGTACCATTGGGTTACAATTGCTGACACTATTCAGTACAGTAACATACTGTACAAGTTTGTAATCAAGGAACAATAGGCTAACCCACATGGCCTAGGTGTGTAGTAGGCTATACCATCTAGGTTTGTGTAAGGATACTCTATTATGTGGGCACAATGACAAAATTGTCTAACAACACATCTCTCAGAATGTGTCTCCATTGTTAAGTGATGCATGACTGTACATGTTTTTTAAGTCTCTTTTTCTTTCCATTTTTTTATTTAGAAATTTTGAAGCATACAACAAACTTAGAAGAATATTATTGTGAACAAATATGTTTATCGAGATTAAACCATTAACATTTTAAATATATTTGCCTTATCACATATCTACCCATTTGTTCATCCCTTTATGCATTTCAGAGTAAATTGCAGATATTGATCATTTATCCCTAAATACTTTTACCCTGAAACACTTCAGTATAAAAATCATTACTAAGGTTTATATTGTTTATTTATTTATTTTTTTGAGACGGAGTCTCACTCTGTCGCCCAGGCTGGAGTGCAGTGGCATGATCTTGGCTCACTGCAACCTCCACATCCTGGGTTCAAGTGATTCTCCTGACTCAGCTTCCCAAGTAGCTGCGACTACAGGTGTGTGCCACCACGCCCGGCTAATTTTCTGTATTTTTTTCTTTTTTTTTTTTTAATTTTTTGTATTTTTAGTAGAGACAGGGTTTCACCACGTTAGCCAGGATGGTCTCCATCTTCTGACCTCGTGATCTGCCCGCCTCGGCCTTTCAAAATGCTGGGATTACAGGCATGAGCCACTGCGCCCAGCCCATTTTTTCCTTTTGAGGTAAAATTTGCAACAACGAAATGCACAAATTTTAACTGTATATTTGTGGAGTTACGATAAATGCATGTACCCTATGTAACCTACACCTCCATCAAGATATGGAATATTTCTACAACCTCAGAGAGTTTCCTCATTCTCCTTTTCAGTCAATCCCTACCCTCAACTTCTCAAAGGCAACTTTTTTTTAACCTAATGTTGTTCACAATGTTCTCTTACTTTATTTTATTTTATTTTTTGTTCTAATGTCTGTGGTATCTGTGGTGATAACTACTTTTTCATTCCTGATATTGGCAATTGGTGCTCTTGTTGGGAACAAATTTCCTGTGGGTTCCTTCATGTTTCTGCAGGTCCTGTGAGTAGAGGCACTGACAGCCTTTGTTCTGAGTTATCTTTTAAAGATGTTTGTATTGCAAATCACTTGGTAAATAGTGACAGTGGAGCCCTCTAGAGCAGGGACAGGTTTTTATTTTTTTTTATTTTTTTTTATTTTAACTCTCTGGTACAATAAAGATAATTTCTACCTCAGGGGTAAAAGTCAGTCAGGTTTTCTTGCAGTCTACTATAAAGGATTAAGTTACTAAGCCTGGGTTTCCTTAACTGAGATGCCAACCCACTACATTTATAACACCTATAACACCTACCTGGGCCACTCTGTGTCTTTCTCATAGGACTTGAGGGTCTAAAAGAACTAATGCAAATGTGAAGCTCATGCTGCTTGCTGGCTGTGAGTGGTAAAGTGCTAGTCTCTGGCTTAGGAATCTCATTTAGCAGGCCAGATTCCGTGAAACTCTGGCAGATTAACTTGTTAGCTTTAACAGGAGGGTACAATCTCAGACTCTTGAAATTCTTGATGTTTGTCTTCCTTCCTTCCTTCTCTCTCTCTCTCTCTTTCTTTCTTTTTCTTTCTTTCTAGATGGAGTTTCACTCTTGTTGCCTAGGCTGGAGTGCAATGGTGAGGTCTCGGCTCACTGCAACCTCCACCTCCCAGGTACATGCAGTGATTCTTCTGCCTTAGCCTCCCAAGTAGCTGAGATTACAGGCACCTGCCACCATGCGCGGGTAATTTTTTTGTATTTTTAGTAGAGACGGGGTTTCACCATGTTGGCCAGGCTAGTCTCGAACTCCTGACCTCAGGTGATCCGCCCACCTCAGCCTCTTTGTAATCCCCTGTTGGGATTACAGGCATGAGCCACTGCGCTCAGCCTTTTTTTTTTTTTTTTTTTTAAATAACTAATTCTAGCAAGGAGTTTATCAATTTTGCTGATCTTTTCAAAGAACAATTTTCAGCTTTGCTAATTTTTTCTATTACTTTCCTATATTTTAGTTAATTGATTTCTGTTGTTATCTTTATTTCCTCCCACTTACTTCGGGATTTACTTTGCTCTTTTTTTCCCTAGCTTATTTATGTGGAACTTTTGGTCATTGATTTTTAGACATCTCTTCTTCACCAACATAAGCATTTAAAGCTATATATTTCTGAATAGGCATTGCTTTGGATGCATCATACAAATTTTGATATGTTGTATTTTTATTCATTCAGTGTGAAATACTATCTAACTTCCTATGTGATTTCTTCTTTGACCAATGGATTATTTTAAATATCTTGTTTATTTACACATATTTGAAGTTTCCCTAGATCTTAGTTTTATTGATCTCTAATGTAGTTCCATTGTGATCAGAGAACATACTCTGTATGATTGCAATTTTTAAAAATTTATTAAGACATTTTAAGATCCACTATATGGTCTATCTTGCTGAACATACCACATGCACTTGAAAACAAAATGTATTCTGGAGTTGTTGGATGTGGTGCTTTATAAACATCAATGAGGTTGTATCAGTCAGAGATCACCAGAGAAACAGAACCAGTAGGATGTGTAGATGAGAGAGAGGGAGGGAGAGAGAGAGAGAGAAAGAGAGAGCGAGAGGTTTATTATAAATAATTGGCACATGTAATTGTGGAGGCTGATAAGTCTGAGCTCTGCAGTCAGCAGGCTGGAGATCTAGGAGAGCAAATGGCATAGTTCCAGTCCTGGTCCAAAGGCCCAAGAAGTAGAAGAGCTGATGTTGTAGTATCAGAATGAAAGCCAGCAGGCTCAAGACCCAAGAAAAGCCCATGTTTAAGTCTAAGCCTGAAAGCAGGAAAAAACCTGATGTCCCAGCTCTAAAGCAATCAAGAAGGAGGAGTTCCCTTTTGTTCTATTCAGGTCTTCTACTGATTGGATGGGGCTCATTCACATTAAAGAAGGCAGTCTATTTTACTCAGCCTACCAATGCAAATGTTACTTGAACCCAGAAATACCCGCACAGACACACACAGAATAACATTTGACCAAATGTCTGGACACTCTGTGGCCTAGTCAAGTTGACACATAACATTAACCATCACAGAAGTCAAGGTGGTTTATAGTATTGTTCAAAACACCTATGAATTTCTTGATTTTTTTTTGTTTAACTGTTCTATCTATTGCTGAGAGCAGAGTGTTAAAATCTCCTGCTGAGATCATGAAATTGTCTATTTCTCCTTTTAGCTCAGTTGATTTTCACTTCATGTATTTGGAAGTTCTGTTATCAGGAATGTGAATCTTTATGATTAGGTATATACAAATTATTCTTTTTTTTTTCTTTTACTACATCTGTAGCAAAACTGCATACACATTATTTCTTCTGAAGAATTGACCCTTCTTTTTCTTTTTTTTTTTTTTTTTTTGAGACAGAGTCTGGCTCTGCCACCCAGGCTGGAGTGCAGTGGCACCATCTCGGTTTACTGCAACTCCGCTTCCTGGGTTCAAGCGATTCTCTTGCCTCAGCTTCCCGAGTAGCTGAGACTACAGGCACGTGCTACCACGCCCAGCTAATTTTTGTATTTTTAGTAGAGACAGGGTTTCACCATGTTGGCCAGGATGGTCTCAATCTCCTGACCTTGTGATCTGCCTGCCTCAGCTTCCCAAAGTGCTGGGATTACAGGCATGAGCCACTGCACCCTGCTGAGAACTGACCCTTTTATTATTATCAAATAGCCCTCTATCTCTGGCAACAATTTTTTAATTTTATTTAATTAATTAATTAATTTACTTATCTTTATTTATTTATTTATTTATTTAGAGACAGAGTTTCGCTCTTGTTGCCCAGGCTGGAGTGCAATGGCGCAATCTCGGCTCACCACAACCTCTGCCTCCCGGGTTCAAGTGATTCTTCCGCCTCAGCCTCCTGAGTAGCTGGGATTATAGGCATGCACCACCATGCCTAGCTAATTTTGTATTTTTAGTAGAGACAGGGTTTCTCCGTGTTGGTCAGGCTGGTCTTGAACTCCCAACCTCAGGTGATCCACCCACCTCAGCCTCCCAAAGCGCTGGGATTACAGGCGTGAGCCACCACGCCCAGCTACTGGCAACAATTTTTGTCTCAAATCTGCTTTTCTGCTATTATAATAGCCACTCCAGCTTTATTGTGCTTATATCTTTTTCCATGCATTTCTTTTCTATTCTTTTTTTGAGACGGAGTCTTGCTCTGTTGTCCAGGCTGGAGTGTGATCTTGGCTCACTGCAACCTCCACCTCCCAGGCTCAAGCAATTCTCATGCTTCAGCCTCCTGAGTAGCTGGGATTATAGGAGTGTGTCGCCACACCCAGCTAATTTTTTGTATTTTGTTTTATTTTATTTTTTGAGATGGAGTGCACCACCACACCCAGCTAATTTTTTGTATTTTGTTTCATTTTATTTTATTTTTTTGAGATGGAGTGCCATGGCACAATCTTGGCTCACTACAACCTCCGTGGGCCTCTGCCTCCTGAGTAGCTGAATTACAGGCACCTGCCACCATGCCAGGCTAATTTTTTTGTATTTTTAGTAGCAACGGGATTTCACCATGTTGGCTGGGATGGTCTTGACCTCCTGACCTCAGGTGATCTGCCTGCCTCGGCCTCCCATCCCTGGGATTACAAGCGTGAGCCGCTTTTCCCCGACTCTGCATCCTGTTTTATCAGCAGGTTCTTCCTGTATCTTGTGCCAGTCTCCTATCTCATCCTGTGACTATTCTTGCCTAACCTTCTGGGGATGCAGCCCAACAGATCTCAGCCTCATTTTACCCAGCCCCTATTCAAGATGGAGTCACTATGGTTCAAATACCTCTGACATCCCCCTACACCAGTCAGAAGTTCAGACCTCCGGAACTCCTGACTGATTGGCTTCAAGTTGGGGTTCCCATGACTCCCTCTTTGAGTTCTATTAATTTGCTGGAGTGGCTCAAAGAACTCAGGAAATAATTATATTTACTGTTTTTTTGTTTTGTTTTTGTTTTTGTTTTTGTTTTTTGAGACAGAGTTTTGCTCTTGTTGCCCAGGCTGGAGAGCAATGGCATGATCTCTGCTCATTGCAACCTCTGCCTCCCGGATTCAAGCGATTCTCCTGCCTCAGCCTCCCGAGTAGCTGGGATTACAGGCTTTTGCCACCATGCCTGGCTAATTTTGTATTTTTAGTAGAGACGGAGTTTCTCCATGGTGGTGAGGCTGGTCTCGAACTCCCGACATCAGGTGATCCGCCTGCCTCGGCCTCCCAAAGTGCTGGGATTACAGACGTGAGCCACTGCGCCTGGCCTACTGGTTTATTAAAAAGGATATTGCAAAGGATACAGATGAAGAGACGCGTAGGGTGAGGTATGAGGGAAGGGACGTGGAGTTTCCATGCCCTCCCTGTGTGTGCCACCCTCCAGGAATTTCCATGTGTTCACCTATCTGGAAGCTCATGAACTCTGTCCTCTTGGATTTTTATGGAAGCTTCAGGACATCAGCATTCCTTCCCGCAGGGTATAGGGTGGGACTCTCTCGTGGGAGGGTCTTAAGACCCAGAGTCAGAAAGGTGCGGAAACTATGGAAGAAGGGCAGGAGAAGGTCAGAGGCCTGTTCCTGAGGTCTAACATACCCAACTTTATAACAAATGACTGTAACAAGGGCTATGGGAGTTATGAGCCAAGAGCTGTGGATGAAAACCTATATATATATCACAACACCACAGGCTGTTACTTTTTCCCAATCTAGCCTCTTATCCACTTTTCAAGGACTCTTCATAAGTTCTGGACCTTCAATGGCCAAGGTTCTTGTTTTCCAATGCACTGATAAGTTTAAGTATGTTAAGTATGTTTTCTTTTCTTTTTTTTTTTTTTGAGACAGAGTTTTGCTCTTGTCGCCCAGGCTGCAGTACAGTGGTGTGATCTTGGCTCATTGCAACCTCCATCTCCCTGGTTGAAGTGATTCTCCTGCCTCAACCTCCCGAGTAGCTGGGATTATAGGTGTCTGCCACCATGCCCGGCTAATTTTTGTATTTTTAATAGAGATGGGGTTGTACCATGTTGGCCAGGCTGGTCTCAAACTCCTGACCTTAGGTGATCTGCCTGCCTTGGCCTCCCAAAATGCTAGGATTACAGGTGTGAGCCCCCACACCCGGCCTAAGTATGTCTTTTCTATCAGTCCTAGGGATTTATGGCATGAAGAGAAGGCTCCAACCACTATGTATCAAACTCACTCTTTTTCTTTCTTCTCTCTCTCTCTTTCTAATAGTGACAACACAGATTTAATTATTTAGCTAAGTAGAAAAGGAATAGGAGCAATTCTCAGTAAGATGGGCTGAGAAAGGCAAATGATACATTTTTCAGTCATCGTAAAGGGAAGACTTTTAGGAGTTCAGTGTTCTGATTGTAATAGAATACTAAGCCTGTTAAGTTTATAAGTTTGATTTATCTCAAAGTTCTGCTTATTTCATCTAGGCTTTGAATTTACCTTGAATTTCTCCAGTATTTGCCTTGAATTTCAGATTTTTTTGGTGGACTATGCTTTTAAACATAAGATTCTAAAGTTACATTCAAATACTGCCACCTTGTGGGTTATTCTTTGTTTCCCCATCCCACCCTTTAATTTGGTGGAAACAGATTCATCCAGGCAGTTCATTTCAGGTTATGTCAATTAAGTTGCTAAGAGTTGTACTAAGAGCTTCATATATATAATATATACATTATATTATATATATATATAAAATCTCATTTAAACTTCTTAAGAACTTTATGAAAGCAATACTATTAACCCTATTTCAGAGATGAGGAAACTAGGCTTAGAGGGTTTATGTAACTTGCCTGACATCTCACAGATAGTAAGCATAGGAGTAAAACTTTATATCTGGGCACCTTGCCTCTAGAATCCTTGTCTCCAGGAGTAAAACTAACAAATCTAAAAATAAAACAGTGTGATACATTATATGACTAAGTGATAGAAGCAGTATAAAGGGAATAATTGCTAGGAAAGGCCATCCGGAAAGTCTTCACAGATATGTGGGGAGGTGACCCTCTGTAAGTAAGGATTGGAAAGATAATGATTCTATAGGAAGAACGCAGCTGGGACCATACACCTGAATCCAGAAGAACACAAACACCCTATGTGGCCTATTGTTTTGTCTGCCTCACCCTGCTTTCTTTTGGGGAACTACTCTTCACTCTGCTTTAACCATGACTCTAATAGAGGATGTCAATCATGTTATCCTTGATTCCTCACCTAATCCAAGCCGACATGAGTCCGTCAGGTGCCTAGAACTTTTGTGCTTGAGATAATAGGCTCAGTGCTATCTTCCCTAATGGCAAACCTGAGGTGAGATATGTGATTTATGTGAGGTACTTAATTTGTGTGCCAGAAAGTTGTAGTCAACCAGTGATGTCCTGTAGAAGATGGTGTGGAGTAGAAGAGAATGAGGCTAAACAATAAGGTTCCAGTCATCTCTAGGCCAGCTGCACTATTGATCTTCCTCTAAAAATCATTCTTGTAGAACCTAATCAGGTTTGGGTTTCTAATCAAATTCTAGTGTTTTCTCTTCTGCCACCAGCACTGTCATTTCCTACTCCTATACAACTTGAAAGACAGCAAAATACACATAATGATGTCAGTACTTTTAATTATAAAGGATAGTACTACCAATTTATTTTGGAAAAATGGTATTTAGGGAGTTTATTATAGATGCCATGTGGCTTAGAAATATTTCTGCAGTGCTCCACTCTTGATGCCTGTACTATTCTTTTTCTACTCCCTCCGCCCATCACTGCAATCTTTTTATTTATTTATTTATTTATTGAGACAGAGTCTCGCTCTTTCACCCAGGCCGGAGTGCAGTGGCGCTATCTTGGCCCACTGCAATCTCCACCTCCCAGGTTCACGCCATTCTCCTGCCTCAGCCTCCCGAGTAGCTGGGACTACAGGTGCCCGCCACTGCGCCCGGCTAATTTTTTTTGTATTCTTTAGTAGAGATGGGGTTTCACCGTGTTAGCCAGGATGGTCTCGATCTGCTGACCTCGTGATCTGCCTGCCTCGGCCTCCTGGGATTACAGGCATGAGCCACTGTGCCTGGCCCATCACTGCAATCTTTTAAAGTCATCTCTGGTTTTTTTATTTTTTACTTTAAAAAATAAAACTACTTTAGAAACTCTAGTCAATTATTTTTCCAAACTTTGATTTTTTTAATCATTCAAGTAATATTTAAATTATTGCAATGAAAATTACAAAAGTCAAAATGATAGAAATTAAGAATCACCCATAATCCCACCATAGAAACAATCATTGTAGATATATTTTGACCTATTCTTTCATGTGTAAACACAAAATTTTTTTAAAAATCAAACAAAATGGCTCATTTTGATTTCTTCCTCCCTTAACCACATCTACAATATATTTTTCATTTAATTGTATTTCATTTGTACTATTTCCTAATTATTTTAATATTTTGTCTTGCAAATAACCAGTAAGTACTTTTGAAAGCATCTAACTTTCCTGGGAAAAGGGGAGCAATTCTACATTCCTTTGACTGGAATGTTATTTCTTTCCTGCTTCATCTACTTATCTCCTCGTTATCTAGTTATCTGAGTTATCTTCTGCTCAGTCTTTAGTTCATGTGTCACATCTTTTGGAAGTCAGATAAATCTATCAGATTAATACTTATAAACGTTGCAATTTATTATGCTTGGGAATATCTGGGTCTACATGTATTTTTGTTCACTGTTGGATCCCCAATGCTTACCACAAATTGTCCGAGACCTGGTAATTTTAACTTTTATTTATTACTATTTTTTGAGACAGGATCTCACTCCGGTTGCCTAGGCTGGAGTGCAGTGGCGTTATCTTGACTCGTTGCAGCGGCGTGATCTTGACTCACTGCAGCCTTGATCTCCTAGGGCTCAGGGTATTCTCCCACTTCAGCTTCCTGAGTAGCTGGAATCACAGGCGTGCGCCACCATGCCTAATTTTTTTTTTAATTTTTAGTAAAGGCGGGGTTTCACCATGTTGTCCAGGCTGGTCTTGAAATCCTGGGCTCAAATGATCCACCTGCCTCTGCCTCCCAAAGTGCTGGTATTACAGGTGTGACTCACCTTGCCTGGCCGTAACTTTTAAATTAATGAATGCCTGCTTGGACTAATTCAGCCACTAAGGAAATACTTTATTCATTAGCACTATTTATGAAGTATTATTGTGTGTGACTAAGGCTCTCTGCTAAGTGCTATATATCTCTATCATTACATTTTCACAACCCCAAAATACATTATTTCTCCCATTTTGCAAATGAGGAAACTGAGGCTTCAGAAAAGTGAATTAACTTGCCCAGATACAAGAGAGAGAAGTTACGAACTCAGGTCAATGCATTTATTTACACTAGCAGCTTTATTTGCCATTATTGGCTTCTTTGTTCATGAATATGAAAGTCATTATATGTAGCTTCTTTTTTTAAATATCTGGAGATACAACTTAAGCTTATTTTCTTTCTTTTTTTTTTTTTTTTTTGAGACGGAGTCTCACTGTCACCCAGGCTGGAGTGCAGTGGCTCGATCTGGGCTCACTTCAAGCTCCGCCTCCCGGGTTCACGCCATTCTCCTGCCTCAGCCTCCCCAGCAGCTGGGACTACAGGCACTTGCCACCACGCCCAGCTAATTTTTTGTATTTTTTTAGTAGAGGTGGGGTTTTACCGTGTTAGCCAGGATGGTCTCGATCTCCTGACCTCGTGATCCGCCCGCCTCGGCCTCCCACATTGCTGGGATTACAGGCGTGAGCCACCGCGCCCGGCCAACTTAAGCTTATTTTCAAAACCACTCAATTTTGACATTACAAACTGGTTTTTGTTTTGTAGAAGGACATTAAGAATAAAGAGCAAAGAAACAATTATGTGCTGGGAAGGGCAGTAGGAGGGCTGGGTCCTAGTCTCCCTTTCTCTTTCGCTAAGCAGCTGTGTGGCTTTGGGCTAGTAACCTACCCTCCCACAAAAAAGGCTTCAAAAGAGAGCAAGCAGAGCTCAGTGGGCATTAAGACATGCGCAACTCCTTTCTTTTAGAGATTAGATGAGGTCGACTCAGTGGCTTGTAAAACTCAACGTGGCAGAGCTGTACAGCCAACTCATGATTCTTAGTGTCGTTTGTTTTGAGTCACACTACACCTCCTTGAACAATCATTTACTGAGTGCTTACCGTATTAGGCATTCAGCAGCAGTGTGTTTCCCATTCAGTAACCTAGTATTGATTATTGGCTACTGTCCCTCCTAGCATTTTTCACTTGACCACTTTCTAAATGGCCTTTAGATTCAGAGTTCAAGTGGAAAAAGCCTAGTGTAAGCCTGGTGTCAGGCAGTGAGTGGCGTGACCCGGGTCGGCAGCTAGTCCTACGGTGGTGATCTAAGAGGGCAGTGACGCCTTCTGACCAAGGGAGTGACTGCCAGATAATCCGGGTGTATGGAGATCCAGAGAGGGGTGAGGCTGGGTTTACGGAGACTACACCTTTGGCTTTGCAGTAACCCCACTGCTAAGGCCATGGGAGGAAACTCTTCTGTGCAGGACGCCTATGCACTTGGCTTCTGCTGCGTAGCGACCGGGTGTCCAAGGCATCCTGCCAGGTCTCCTTCTCCACTCGGGTTTAGCCTCCCCCGCGAGTCTCCAGCTACCTAGAGAGACGTTTCTAACTACGAGATGGCTGGCCTGAAAGGGACACTCCCATCACCGTTGTTGGCCTAGAGTTCCCCGCTGCGGCCTTTTTCTTTTCCCCGCCCCTGGCCTGAGTCAGCGGCCCCAAGGCCGGCGAGGTCAAGTTCCTTTGGGGCGCCAGGGAAAAGGCCATGGCAGAGGTGCTGCCACGCGAAACCTTCTGGGCAGGCACCAGCCAATCATCAAGAGACATACAGGAGCCCCAGCCAACCAGCGCCCGCCTTATTACTGGGAACCGCCCGCTCGGGCCCTTCCTCTACATCCCCGTTCCCGATTCCTGTAGTAGCGGCTGTATTGCAGCCGCCTGCCGAACTGACCCGGGTCTGGGGACTGGCCCCTCTGGCGCCGTTCGGTTTCTCTTATTGCCTTCACTGAGGATGAGTCCCTTTGTGGCTCTATGTGGACCCTGCGGAATCCACCGGCGCAGTTTCATCTAGCGACTGGTGAGGGAGGGCTTGGCGCTGCCCGACCGTGCGGTGCGGCTTCCCTTCAGCCCGGGGGCAGGGGGAGAGTATTCGCCTTCTGGAGGGTGCGGGTGGCTGCGGACGGCGGCGCGGGGGGACCGTGGGGAGGGGACTCTGTGGCCCCGAGGCTGCCGGGCTTCGCGCGAGGCGGCGCGGAGAGGGCCGAGTGGCCAGGGTCCCTACCGCCCCCCTCAGCTAATGAATGGCCTGTCCCGGCGATGCGCTACGCTCCCGTCCTGCTGGACACGCCCTCCAGCGACATTGCATTCCTAGTTGTGATAGTTATGTAGTGTCACTTTCCTTCGAGTCTTGGATTTGAAGCCATTCCTGTGGGCGCTCATGTTCCTTATCCCCTTCCTGGAGTCACAAGTTTGAGTCCACCCTGGGGATACTGACTCTGGGGAAGCAGGTCGTGAAATCTGATAAGTGGACATTGATTGCTATGTAAAAAGGAACTGATTCTTTTTGGAGGGTGGAGGGTTGAGAGAGACAGAGAAGACAGGCCCTTTGTTTTTGTAACAGGCAGAGCTGTCTGGCTCAAAGAGTTTTAGTTCAGCTGCGAATTAGGTAACATAGGCCGTCCTTGACTCCTGTTTTCCAACGTAGTTCATAAAACTTGACTGTGTTAGCCAGAGATTCATGTAGCACCTTTTAACTTATGCCTCGAAGTAGGCCATTTGAAATTTATCAGAAATACTGAAAGGATATGACTTTTATGAGTAGTAGTGTTTCAGTGCCCATAAAGTGGTGTAAATTCACAGGCTTGCCAGCCCCCTCTTGATCATTTCTCTTTTTGTATTTTGAATTCCTTAACTTTTATTTGTTTTAGAAATTGAGGCAAGGTAGATGAGGACAAAACTGGTTTCTAAAAATAATTACATTTGCAAATATTTGCAGAAGCTTTAGTCAAACCAGAGTTTACTTCAAGAAATTTTTTAGGCCGGGCGCGGTGGCTCACGCCTGTAATCCCAGCTACTGGGGAGGCTGAGAATTGCTTGAACCCGGGAGGTGGAGGTTGCAGTGAGCCGAGATCGCGCCGCTGCACTCCATCCTGGGCGACTGAGTGTGGCACCATCTCAAAAAAAAAAAAAAAAAAAAAGATGCCTGTAATCCCAGCAGTCTGGGAGGCCAAGGTGGGCGGATCACTTGAGGTCAGGAGTTCGAGGCCAACTTGGTGAAACCCCGTCTCTACCAAAAATACAAAAAAATCAGCCAGGCATGGTGATGTGTGCCTGTAATCCCAGCTACTCGGGAGGCTGAGGCAGAATCGCTTGAGTCTCCAGCTGCCCTACCAAACTGCTTTTGAATTCAATTATTTTGAATTGAATTCCATGGTACTTTTTTCTACTACACTATACTACTTGCATTGAAATTTTTCTAACTGCCTTTTGGGAGAGCAGTTTGGTAGCATAGAATAGGTGGGATCAAGAGCACTTTTCTGTCGGTATTATTTTAGGTAGGCTTTTTAAACTTTCACATGAATCTC
The DNA here is from genome assembly GCF_000001405.40 of Homo sapiens. Lineage (NCBI taxonomy): Eukaryota > Metazoa > Chordata > Mammalia > Primates > Hominidae > Homo > Homo sapiens. The sequence goes on along the minus strand of NC_000006.12, from coordinate 82,246,054 downwards.
CTCATCAGAAAATGAAAGTGATCATATTTACAGGGGCAATAATAAGGATTATATTTATGTAGAGCACTGTGTATAATGTATAAAACAAAATTTCACCTATAATTTTTGTGTGTTTTTTCCGTTGTTTAATTTTGTTTTGCTTTACTCACTTCCAAAGTATTGACCCCTTACTCTTCTTTCTAGTTTCCCTATCTGTTCTCCAAGCCAGAAACCTGGGAATTACCACCACATCTTGTCAATTCAAGATCCTAAGTATGTCTTTGGATTGCCTGCCCTTTTTTTTTTAAATCTCTAAGAAAAGGCACATAAGGCTGTTCAAAATCCTGTCTATCCTTGTGTGTATGTTAGGCCTCACTTCTTTCTGTCTTCTGAATTATTTAGAAATTTTGGAATGGACCAAGATGATTCTAGTTCTTTTATATTTACTATCCCTTCTGCTTCAAATGTGCTCTCACCCAGAATTTATCAGGCCAACACATATGGTACTCTTTTTTTTTTTAGAAGGAGTCTCGCTCAGTCGCTCAGGCTGGAGTGCAGTTGCATGATCTTGGCTCTCTGCAGCCTTGACTGACCAGTTTTAAGTGATCCTCCCACCTCAGCCTCCAGAGTAGTTGGGACTACAGGGATGTGCCACTACGCCTAATTTTTGTATTTTTTTTTGTAGCGATGGCTTTCACCATGTTGCCCAGGCTGATTTCAAAGTCCTGGGCTCAAGTGATTTGCCTGCCTCAGCCTAACAAAGTGTTGGGACTACAGGCATGAGCCACTGTGCCTGGCCAGTACTCATCTTTTAAGTCTTAGTTTATACATAGTTTATCTCCTGTAGAAAGTCTTACCTGGACCCCTCTTCTGCACTCCCCGTTCCTATGTGTCACTTGTTTTATCTTGACCATAGGTTTATAATTATGATATGTTTTAGTTACTTGCCTAAATAAAATTACTCTCTTCTACCAAACTGTGACCCTTTGATAATAGGAACTGTGTAATAGATCATAAGTTTTGTTCAGTTAGTACATATGTTAAACTAGCTATGCATCCACCTGAGTATTATCCATGAACCTGTATTTTATTTTATCTAAAATATTTAGGTCCTAATTATTTTTGTATTCCCAATGCCTTGTGACCTACTATGGATGCGCTGAAGAAGACAGTGTAACGTAGCAGAAATAGCACGGACCTCATCATTAAACAGATCTGTATTTGAAGTCTGACTCCCTCTTTTCTTGGTGGTATGATTTAGGTGGTTTACTTGACTGGTCTGATGTAAAGCATTCCGTATGTATTAGGTCTTTAAATGCTTATTTCCTTTGCTTTCTTCCCCTTCTTTAAGCAGTTTTTGAATGCATAGATAAGAAGTACAATAGGCATTGGAAATATGGGCCTGGAGTTTAGGGCAAATATGTGAGCAAGAGACAGATTTGGGGATTTATAATCATGTGTACGGTAGAGTTAAAAGCATGAAAAGGATTGAAACTATCAGGAACAATATGAAGTAGAGGACTGAGGATTATTTCAGAGAAGCCCAGTTTGAAGGACAGGGGAAGCGATAATGCCCTAGGAAGAAGTGGTTAAGAGAGAGAGCCCATGCTTAAATGTTTCTGCGACTTCCTGCCCTTCCTGGATCTCTTTTAGACTCCTTAAGGGAATGAGGTTTTAAAGACATAAAAGCAGGGAAGGCAAGTAAGAATTGAAAATATCTAAAAGTGTTTGGTAATTTGGAAGTCATTAGTAACTTTAGCAATAATGATTTCTTTGGAGAAGTGGTAACAAGTGATAATGAAGCTCAAACATGAATTTTGGAGTTAAAATGTATTACCTTTTTATGACTGAAGAAACAATAGTAATGAAAACTATTATTTGTCGAATGCATATTTAGTGCCAGGTACCATGTTAGGTAGTTTCATTTATCATTATAGTAACCATGTGAAGTCCATGGATTGTTTCTATTTTCAGATGAAGAAACGACTTGGAGAGATTATGTCATTTTTTAGTTATATAACTGATAACAGCTGACATTGCTATATTTGAATCTATGTATGTAAAACTCTAAGAAATCCTAGCTCTTAATCGCTTCCATGTTTATGTTCATAGTATTCTGTAGGTGCCGCTTTCTCTATATGATAGTATGGAATGACTTTTTAACATTCTTTTTTCCCCCCTTTAAATGTTTACATTATATATACTAATGAATTAGGGAATTCTTTTCTGTTGTATCTTAATTCTTTAATGTAAGGTTTGAGTGATTCACCAGTAAGTAGTTCCTTCCAGGTATTATGCATACAATGAAAATACAAACATGGTGGGATTTTAGAGCTTTAAAAGAATGAAATTAACTGGATGAACTATTTTGCCACATACAATAAATAGTCCCTACTTATCCAAGGACACATTCTAAAACCCCCAGTGGATGCCTGAAACTGCAGAGAGTACTGAACCCTATATATGCTATGTTTTTACAATTTGCTAACCAAGAGGGCTACTCAGTGACTATCGAGTTGGTAGCATGTACAGTATGGCAATGCTGGACAAATGTATGATTCATGTCTCAGGTGAGGTGGAGTGGTTTGGAGTGGGACACTATGAGATTTCATCATACTGCTCAGAATAGTATGCAATTTAAAACATAAATTGTTTATTTCCAAAATTTTCATTTAATATTTTTGGACTATGGTTGATTGTGGGTAATAGAAACCATAGAAAGCAAATGGATAATGGGGAACTACTGTGTCATGCTTTCCATTTTTAACCTTTTAAAGTACTTGACGATTGGTACCTTTTTTTCTCTTTGCTACCAAACACTTTTTTTTTTTTTTTTTGAGACAGAGTCTCTCTGTCGCCCAGGCTGGAGTGCAGTGGCACGATCTCGGCTCACTGCAAGCTCCGCCTCCCAGGTTCACGCCATTCTCCTGCCTCAGCCTCCCAAGTAGCTGGGACTACAGGCGCCCGCCACCACACCCGGCTAATTTTTTGTATTTTTAGTAGAGACGAGGTTTCACCGTGTTAGCCAGGATGGTCTTGATCTCCTGACCTCGTGATTCGCCTGCCTTGGCCTCCCAAAGTGCTGGGTTTACAGGCATGAGCCACCGTGCCCGTCTTTTGTTTTGTTTTGTTTTGTTTTTGAGACAGAGTCTTGCTTTGTCACCAGACTGGAGTGCGGTGGCGGGATCTCGGCTCACTGCAGCCTCCACCTCCTGGGTTCAAGCATTTCTCCTGCCTCAGCCTCCCAAGTAGCTGGGATTACAGGAGTGTGGCCAGCTAATTTTTGTATTTTTAGTAGAGATGGGGTTTCACCATCTTGGCCAGGATTGTCTTGATCTTTTGACCTCATGGTCCGCCCACCCCGGCCTCCCAAAGTGCTGGGATTACAGACGTGAGCCACCGTGCTCGGCCCCCAAACACATTTTTATTTGTTTTATCTTGTTCTTTTTGTTGCTGTTGTTCAAATCAGTGTTTTAAGGGGGAGATGATTTTTATGAGGACTATATCAAATTACAGAATGTATTAGTAGAACAGATCTGGAGCTATTAAGTTGGTACAAAAGTAATTGTAGGTTTTGCCATTAAAAATAATCGCCATTACTTTTAGAGGGTTGGTTGTTGTGTTGGTGGTGGTGATATAGTTTTAGGGGGTATAGGTTTGGGATTGGATTCTTAAAAGTAATTGCCATTAATTTTTTTTTTTTTTTGATACAGAGTTTTGCTCTTGTTGCCCAGGCTGGAGTGCAATGGTGTGATCTTGGTTCACCACAAACTCTGCCTCCTGGGTTCAAGCGATTCTCCTGCCTCAGCCTCTCGAGTAGCTGAGATTACAGGCATGTGCCACCACGCCTGGCTAATTTTGTATTTTTAATAGAGATAGGGTTTCTCCAGGTTGGTCAGGCTGGTCTCAAACTCCCAACCTCAGGTGATCTGCCCGCCTCGGCCTCCCAAAGTGCTGGGATTACAGGCATGAGCCACTGCGCCTGGCCATTGCCATTACTTTTACTAGCAAAATCTGCAACTACTTTTGTACCAACCTAATAGAGAAGATTATAATCATCTAGTTTCCAGGTGGAGAAATCAAAGTAGTTAAGATCAGAAAACTAGTTAGATCTCAGATTTCTGACTCTTTGGTGTGGTATGAAGTGGGAGTGGAAAAATACAGATTTAGAATATTTCATACTTCCCTCTGATGCATAGAAGCTTTCCCTATACATATAGTAAACTCAAGTATGTCCTTCTAAATAGTCTTCTTATAGCCAATTTTCTCTGCTCCCAAAGACTACACATTAAGGAAGATCTAAAAGACCATATATATTGAGGCAAATTTTTCTCCTTTTGTCTTTAAACTTTTTAATGTAATTTTTAAACTATTGAATTAATCTTTTATGACTTTCGGATTTCAGATCCTGCTTAGAAAGGTGTTTTGTACTTTGTGATTATAAAAAAAGAGTCTTTTGTATTTTCATCCAGTGCTTTTGTAGTTTCGTTTTTTTGTTTGCCTTTGAACCATCTAGAATTTATATTGGTATAAGATATAAAGTAAGTACCGTATCTAAAGTTGTTTTTTAAAGATAGCTATCCAGTTGTTTTAATACCTTTGTTTAATTATCATCTCTTCATGTGATGAAGGACTTTTCAGGCAGAGGTAACAATATTAACACAGTGCCTGGGTACTTAGTAAAAACGGAGTAACTGATGAGAGTGTTGGTTATTGTTGTGTTGGTGGTGATGATACAGTTTTAGGGGGTATAGGTTTGGGATGGGATTCTTAGAAAGATGGTAGATTTAAGCGTATTCATAGCTTGTGGGGACATAACTAGTAGAGTGTAAAAATACAGCATAGAAGGAATGAAGGACTGGAAAGAAAGAGAAACTCCAGAGTACAACCAATGTGGGTTAACTTTAAACATGAGAGTGGAAAAATGGAGTAAGGATGACTGATAAAAATATAGGTACCATAAATATGAAAGGTCGATAGATTTAAGAAAAAAAAGGAATTAACCCGTTTATGCCAGAGGTTGCAAATGTTTTTTGTGAAAAATCAGATCTTGGCGATGACCTTGAGCATTAGGATATAAATAACTCCCGTAAGCTTAGTGTTCCAGTAATGGAACACTAAGCATAAATGGGTTAAGGGCATCTAAATATGGAGGTAGTTGTGTTCTAAAGTACTCAAGGAGAGCGAGAGACAGATTTTGAATTTTTATTTTCTCTTCTCTTTCTCTTATAGGTCACCCTTGCAATTATGGATATTTAAAAGGGTCAGACAGTGTGGAGGGGGAGTTCCCCTCCTCACTCCCCCTTGGTGCTTGACTCCAGGAATAATTTATAAACTGTGGAATTTTTTTAAATGAAGAACTTGTATTTGATATGAACTTTATAGAGCTATTTATAATTTTTTTGATTTAAGTGCCAAAAAATTGTATAAAGATATATAGTTTTATACTATTGTCAGGAGGATTTAAATTATCCTAAAAAGGTAATTTATTCTCTGTAACTTCCTCAATAGCACCTTTGTGTCCTGGCTTTTTCATTTTTTAAAATTAGTTTTCACGATTCTGAAGTAAGTGGTATAAAAACAGTTAGGATGAGTTCACCCATGCCTGACTGCACATCAAAGTGTCGATCCCTGAAGCATGCTTTGGATGTCCTTTCTGTGGTAACAAAGGGGAGCGAAAACCAGATTAAGGCCTTTCTCTCCAGTCATTGTTACAATGCTGCAACTATCAAGGATGTTTTTGGCAGGAATGCCCTCCACCTTGTTTCCTCCTGTGGAAAGAAAGGAGTGTTAGATTGGCTTATTCAGAAAGGAGTGGATCTGTTGGTGAAAGACAAAGAGTCTGGATGGACAGCATTGCACAGAAGCATTTTTTATGGACATATTGATTGTGTTTGGTCTCTATTGAAGGTAATTGTCATTTGTTTATTTTAAACGTATTTAGTCTGGAATATGTTTTTCTTAATCATTTTCATACATCCTACATGCTTTTTGGAAAATATTTGCATTTTTTCTTGCTTGTTTGCTATCTCTTACTACTGTAACTGATCTTTGGAATTAAAACTCCATATATCCTTTTACTTAACTTTTTTGTGATGTAAAATTTTAAACATTTATCATGCTTACTATATATAATGAACTGTTGGCCAATTTTGTGTTATTTGTACATCTCATAATATTTTGAACTAAATCCCATACATCATTTAATGAGTATTATACATTATTAAAAGAAATACTTTACATTAAGTAAGCACAATTTATTTGCACAAAGAATGATTTATGAATCGGGCAGCATTCAGAACCAGAAGAGGCTCAGAGAGCTGTGCTGCAGCCTGAGCAGTGAGCTTTTATAGGCCGATGCAGAATAAAGACAAAGAAAATATATTTAATTGGTTAGAGTGGAAAGACCCTAGTTAGAGGTTAGTTGGTGGTTTCTGATTGGTAAAGACTCTAGTTTCATTTTACTGTTTACTGGCTGTGTGTTTACTTATGGATAAACTTAAAGTGCTAGAGTTGCCCCAGTCTAATGGCATCTCAATTAGTATTTTTGTAACAATATCTTTTAGTATTTTAAAATGATTTATTCTTAAATAACTATATTATTAACTTTATTTTATTTATTTATGTTTTTGAGATGGAGTTTCGCTCTGTCGCCGAGGCTGGAGTGCTGTGGCCCCTGATCTCGGATCATGGCAAGCTCCGCCTCCCGGGTTCACACCATTCTCCTGCCCCAGCCTCCCAAGTAGCTGGGACTACAGGCACCCACCACCACGCCTGGCTAATTTTTTGTATTTTTTTAGTAGAGATGGGGTTTCACCGTGTTAGCCAGGATGGTCTCGATCTCCTGACCTCGTGATCCACCCACCTCGGCCTCCCAAAGTGCTGGGATTACAGGCATGAGCCACCATGCCCAGCCTATTATTAACTTTAAAAGGGCAGTAGTTGTTGAACATTATTTAGGAATTGTGTTTTTGAGTAGTATGTTTCATTTCTTGTTTAGTTAACATACGGTGTTTATAAGCTCTAAAGAAACTGATGAGGCCAGGTGTGGTGGCTCATGCTGTAATCCTAGCACTTTGGAGGCCGAGGTGGGCCGATCACTTGAGGTTATGAGTTCGAGACAAGCCTGGCCAACATAGTAAAACGCCATCTCTACTAAAAATACAAAAATTAGCCAGGTGTAGTGGCGTGTGCTTGTAGTCTTAGCTACTTGGGAGACTGAGGCATTAGAATCAGCTAAGCCCAGGAGGCAGAGGTTGCAGTTTGCCAAGATCGTGTCACTGCACTCCAGCCTAGGCGACAGAGTGAGACTCTGTCTCAAAAAAAGAAATTGATGGCCAGGCGCGGTGGCTCACGCCTGTAATCTCAGCACTCTTGGAGGCAAAGGCAGGTGGATCACCTGAGATCAGGAGTTCAAGACTAGCCTGGCCAACATGGTGAAGCCCTGTCTCTTCTAAAAATACAAAAATTATTAGCTGGGTGTGGTGGCACATGCCTGTAATCCTAGCTACTTGGGAGGCTGAGGCAGGAGAATCACTTGAACCCAGGAGGCGGCGGTTGCTGTAAGCTGAGATCGCACCATTGTACTTCAGCCTGGGCAACCGAGGACGACTCCATCTCAAAAAAAAAATCATTAAAATTGTTTAATTTATATAAAATTTTCTTTCTAGTAGATTAGGTGTGTTGTATTGAATAGGCAAATAATAAAGCGTTTTGAAATACACCCCAATGTCATTTCACTAATGAATGCAAATTAGAAACTCACTGTCAGAAGTCATGAGTTTTAAATTTAACAATTTTATTTTATTTTATTTTTATTATTATTTTTTTTTGCGACGGAGTCTTGCTTTGTTACCCAGGCTGGAGTGCAGTGGTGTGATCTCCGCTCACTGCAACCTCCACCTCCCAGGTTCAAGTGATTCTCCTGCCCCAGCCTTCCCGATACCTGAGATTACAGGCATGTGCCACCGTGCCCGGCTTATTTTTGTATTTTTAGTAGAGACGGGGTTTCCCCATGTTGGCCAGGCTGGTCTTGAACTCCTGATCTCAAGTGATCCACCTGCCTCAGCCTCCCAAAGTGCAGGGATTACAGGTGTGAGCCACCATGTCTGGCCTTAAATTTAACAATTTTTTTTGTATAGGGATTTTGTCATGTTTGTGGAGGACCTGGAAAAGAAAAAAACAGTTCTGGTCCTTAAGGAACTTCTGGTCAAATTCAGAAGCTTACCTTCAGTGTCTTCATTTAATTTTGACTTAAAAAATATTTCTGTAGTGGCTTTTATGTAGTAACATTTACTGATAAGAATAATTTTTATTATATAGTAATAGTAAAATATTCTTTTGTGGAGTTAAACTCCCTACTGATCTTCTACTATTACTGCTACTACTACTACTACTACTACTACTACTACTACCACTACTATCTTCTACTACTACTACTACTGCTACTACTACTACTATCTTCTAGTACTACTACCACCACCACTACTACTACTACTACTGCTGCTGCTGCTGCTGCTGCTGCTACTACTACTACTTAGTGAATCATCGTGGACAAATTATTAAATCTTGAACTTCAGTTTTATCTATAAAAAGAGAGTAATAATAGCACTTTCCTTTTTTTTTCCCCCCCAGGGACTATCCATGAAGTAAAGCATTTTTAAGTTTGTTAATGGTAGAGAAGATTCCTCTTATATCTGAAACCTTGGGGTATCTGTTTAATTCCCTTATTGTCATTATAGGGAAAGCTAGGTTAGTAAGAGTTAAAGCATCTCTCAGCTCCATTCTTACCCTTTTCCATCTGTAAAACCTTGGCTTTTTTTTTTTCAGTTTCTGCTGGAAAGTTGGATGACTGCCAACCCTGCTGAGTTTGAGAAGGTCCCTGGGTTTGGGTTTCCTGCCATCCTAGGGGTTGCCATTTAGGTGTTAGCATTTAGGGCTACAGTTTGAAATAGTTATGGTCTGGACTGAATTTTGGTCCTTTCCTTCCTGTGAGATTTTATTGCCCCATCGAAATCCTCAGTCACTCTAGCCACCTTGGCTAATAGAAGCCAGGAAATTGTGCCGTTGTCACCTTGCCCTTAGCTTGACTGTCTTATTGGCATCAGAGCCCTGCTGATCAGTGATAGATACATAACAGTGGATGTATTCCACTGACGGTTTTCCCCTAAATCCTGTATTAACCATTCAGCATTCTCATGTTGGTAGGCTGTCTGCTTTTGTTCAGCATATTTTTTTACTTTGACCTTCCAACACTTCTTTAATTGGAAGGGGTGCAGTGATAGGTGTCTTCATGTCAGTTCCGTCTCTGATGTCAGCTGTAGCACTTCAGGTATTATGGATTATCAGGAAGAAACCACACACATTTTAATGAATTTAAATTTGATAAAACTTCATAGCTATAACATTTGTAAATTGCACAGTAAATTGTCAGTTTCTTAATGCCAAAGATATAAAACCTTAGCAGAAACTTGTTGCCTACAAAAAGCTGGAATAGAGACAGATTATCTTATGTAGCTCTTTTGGGGCTTCTTGATTCCATGACAGGATGCATGGCTGGTAAAGACTGTTTATGCTTGTGGAGTCCTGCTGTATCTGTTGTTGCTAAACCATTGCTCTTTTATACTGGTGGTTTACTTACTATTCTGGAAGAACTTGCTTTAATTTTTCCCATTTGTAAACAGAAGACTTCACAGAATCATAGGTTATATGGATTAAATAATATACTGTCTGTGAGGTATTTGGAACAAATATTTTTTGAGTGCCTGATATGTGCCAGGCAGTAATCCAGGTGCTAGGGATATTGCAGTGAACAAGACAGAATCCCTTCTTTGTTTAAGTTTTTATTCTACTAGGGGGAGATAGACCAAAACCAAAACCAAGCAATTAAATTAATGAACAATGGCCGGGCATGGTGGCTCACAACTGTAATTCCAGCACTTTGGGAGGCCAAGGCGGGCAGATCACCTGAGGTCAGGAGTTCGAAACCAGCCTGGGCAACATGGCAAAACCTCATCTCTACTAAAAATACAAAAAGTAGCTGGGCGTGGTGGCACATGCCTGTAATCCCAGCTACGGGGGAGGCTGCGGCAGGAGAATCGCTTGAACCCAGGAGATGGAGGTTGCAGTGAGCCGAGGTCACGCCATTGCACTCCAGCCTGGGTGACAGAGCAAGACTCCGTCTCAAAAAAACCAAAAAAAACAATAACAACAAAAATTAATGAACAAATAGGAACATGCTTGATAAATATTGATGTATTAGAGTTATTTTTGCCTGCAACTGGAACCAACTATGGTAACATAAACAAAATATATTGAAGGGATATCAGATACCTCGCAGAATAAACAGGTCATCAACAATTAACTGTCAAATTATAAATAAGAAAAAATTCCTCAAACTAAAATAGAGTAAGTATAAACTAAATAAACTGATTTGAAATTTTATGTCTCTCCTTCTCCAGATAATTTTTTTTTGTTTTTTTGAGACGGAGTTTCACTCTTGTTGCCCAGGCTGGAGTGCAGTGGCGCGATCTCGGTTCACTGCAACCTCTGTGTCCCGGGTTCAAGTGATTCTTCTGCCTCAGCCTCCCAGGTAGCTGGGATTATAGGCATGCACCACCACACCTGACTAATTTTTGTATTTTTACTACAGATGGGGTTTCAGCATGTTGGCCAGGCTGACGTTGAACTCCTGACCTCAGGCGATTCATCCACCCACCTCCCAAAGTGCTGGGATTATAGTCATGAGCCACTGCGCCCGGCAGAGTGTGGCTCCTCAAATGCAAGAAGAGTTAAATGTTTATGTTCAGATGCACTCCCACACAGACACAAACCCAGAGCTAGGGACTTGTAGGGACAGTGTATTTATGGGGTATTAAAGGGGTATCAGAAATGCTTTATTGTTAAAAATGTTCACATGGCCGGGAACGGTGGCTCACACCTGTAATCCCAGCACTTTGGGAGGCTGAGGCGGGCTGATCACGAGGTCAGGAGTCCGAGGCCAGCCTGGCCAACATGGTGAAACCCCATCTCTACTAAAAATACAAAAATTAGCCGGGTATGGTGGTGGGCACCTGTAATCCCAGCTACTCGGGAGGCTGAGTCAGGAGAATTGTTTGAACCTGGGAGGCGGAGGTTACTGTGAACTGAGATCGTGCCTTTGCACTCCAGCCTGGGCGACAAAGGCGAGATTCCGTCCCCCCTGCAAAAAAAAGTTCACATGTAGTTAATTTTTATTTAAAATGTTAATTTTTTATTTCTTCACATTTTCTGATTCTTCCTTATTCCAGCAAGAGTCGGATATGTGATTTTTCTTAATTATTCTCTGCAGTATGTGAGAGAAAAATGTGTGTGAATATGAGAGATAATCATTATTAAATTTTTTTTCAGTGTATTTATGGGGTTGATTATCTGACTTTTTGATACATAAGAATAGGAAGTCGGCCAGGTGTGGTGGCTCAGCCTGTAATCCCAGCACTTTGGGAGGCCAAAGCAGGTGGATCACCTGAGGTCAGAGGTCGAGACCATCCTGACCAACATGGAGAAACCCTGTCTCTACTAAAAATAGAAAATTAGCCGGGCGTGGTGGTGGATGCCTGTAATCCCAGCTACTTGGGAGGCTGAGGCAAGAGAATTGCTTGAACCTGGGAGGTGGAGGTTGCGGTGAGCCAAGATTGCGCCATTGCATCACTCCAGCCTGGGCAACAAGAGCGAAATTCTGTCTCAAAAAAAAAAAAATAATAATAAAATAGGAAGTTACTGATGATATAGGTAATTAATAATATATATATATTTATGTATTTGTTTGTTTGTTTGTTTTAGCATGGTGTTAGTCTGTATATTCAAGATAAAGAAGGCTTGTCAGCTTTGGATCTTGTAATGAAGGATAGACCAACTCATGTAGTATTCAAGAATACTGGTAAGAAAATTTCACAAATGGGCTGGGCGCTGCGGCTCACACCTGTAATCCCAGCAATTTGGTAGGCTGAGGCAGGCGGATCACTTCAGGTCAGGAGTTCGAGAATACTGGTAAGAAAATTTCACAAATGGGCTGGGCGCTGCGGCTCACACCTGTAATCCCAGCAGTTTGGTAGACCGAGGCAGGCGGATCACTTGAGGTCAGGAGTTCGAGCCTGACCAACATGGTACAACCCCGTCTCTACTAAAAATACAAAAGTTAGCCGGGCATGGTAGCAGGCAATCCTAGTTACAGGCAATCCTAGCTCCTCTAGGCAATCTTAGAGGCTGAGGCAGGAGTATTGCTTGAACCTGGGAGGTGGAGGTTGCAGTGAGTTGAGATCTTGCCACTGCACTCCAGCCTGGGTGATAGAGCTAGACTTCGTCTCAAAAAAAAAAAAAAAAAAAACTTTACAAATGTATTCCATTAAGGTGCAGCTTAGCTTAGAAAATTTTAATGAAATTTTATTCTTCTTAAAGTAGTGGGGAAATTTATTTGTGTGTGGCTATCTGCAAAGAAATTTTACTTTGGTATATGTTGGATATTTTTTGTTTCATATTCAGAACAATTTTATTTTGCATTTTAAAATTTCAATCCATATTTATGTCTATATAAAAGTACAATCTAAAATGGGAGGACTGTTATAATTGTAACTACTGTAAAGTAATTGATATATACTCAGAAAGTAACATCAGCATTGAGGTAGAAGGAAAAAGGAATGTAAATTTTTATTCCTTTTGTTATTTTTGAGATAGGGTCTCTGGAAATTATCATTATTTTTGTGGTTGTTGTTGAGATAGGGTCTCGCTTTGTCAGTCAGGCTGGAGTGCAGTGGCAAGAACACGGCTCATTGCAGCTTCAACCTTCTGAGCTTAAGCCATCCTCTCACTTCAGCCCTCCAAGTAGCTGGGAATATAGACCCATGCCACCATGCCCAATTAATTTTTTTTTTTTTTTTTTTTTTGAGACAGTTTCGCTCTTGTTGCCCAGGCTGGCGTGCAATGGCGCGATCTTGGCTCACCGCAACCTCCGCCTCCCGGGTTCAAGCTGAGAGGCTCTCTTCTCTCAGCCTCCTGAGTAGCTGGGATTACAGGCATGAGCCACCATGACCAGCTAATTTTGTATTTTTAGTAGAGATGCAGTTTCTTCATGTTGGTCAGGTTGGTCTCGAACTCCTGACCTCAGGTGATCCGTCTGCCTCGGTCTCCCAAAGTGCTGGGATTACAGGCATGAACCACTGCGTGCGGCCAATTTTTATACTTTTTTTATAGAGGTGAGGTTTTGCCACGTTGACCAGGGTAATCTGGAACTCCTGAACTCCAGTGATCCTCCCTCCTCGGCCTCTCAAAGTGCTGGGATTACAGGCGTGAGCCACTGTGCCCGGCTCCAATTATTTTTTTATTCACACATTCTCAGTTTCACTTATCCCTCCAGTTTGTTTGCTCTTTGAGATTTGGAAGTGGGAATTGGCAGAAAAGAAAAGATTTAATTGGGGCACTGTATAGTTTGCATTTAACTAGTAAGCAAGCTGAGTAAGGACACATTCTGTATTTCTATTTCTACCCTGGATACTGCATTGCAGGTTAACAGTGATAATTCCATTCTAAGACTTTATTCATCTTCTAAAATAAAAATGAAGATTTATATCATGAACTTAGCTGTGATTTGTATTCCAGTTTAATGGGCTTTACCCTAATCACTAGTGTGATTTTGTGTCTATGAAAAACAAAGTATTGAAAGTTAGTGTTCCTGTACAAAGAGTAATATCACATTTGCAACATTTAGAACCTTTGTATGTGTGGATTAATAATATCTTACATTTGATACAGTTCTATATATTATTTTCATGGAAACTAAGTAGATATGGCCGGTGGTGTTTTACTCATTTGGCAGTTAAACTTTAGCTGCTAAAGAAACAAGAAACAGCCTGGGCAGAGTGGCTTATGCCTGTAATCCTAGCACTTTGGGGGGCCGAGGTGGGAGGATCACTTGAGCCCGTGAGGTGAAGACCAGTCTGGGCAACATAATGAGACCTTGTCTCAATTATTAAAAAAAAACAACAACAAAAAAAAAAGAAGCAAGGAACAAATGTTTGATTGCTTGCATTGAGACAGGCCTGTACTATGATTTGGATTTTCTATTTCTAGAATTACCTAATATCATATTAATATATTCATTCAGAGAAGAGCGTTGGCATCTTTCTAAATATTGTAGTTAAATTAGTTCTTATATGTGTTTTAAAATATAAAAAAGTATAAAAACTAATTTTTATTTTAGATCCTACAGATGTTTATACTTGGGGCGATAATACAAATTTTACCCTGGGTCATGGAAGCCAGAATAGCAAACATCATCCAGAGTTGGTGGATCTGTTCTCCAGGAGTGGGATTTATATCAAGCAGGTATTTTTGAAGTACAATCTATATACTTTTAGAGATGAGAAAGAACTTTTGTATTTGATTGTTCAGCTTTTCATGTGGATTACATAACTTTGTTTCAGGTACAGTAACATTTTAATGAGGAAATCAATCAATAGAACTTTGCTAATTTTATTTTAGATATTGTTAGCCTTAATTATATTTAGACTTTGTAAAATACCCTAAAATATAAGATATTTGTGCAATTAGTGTTAGAAATTAGAAAATGTTATACAGATAGTAGTTTAATTTAAGAGGGTAAAGCTTCTCTTGATTTTCTAGCTTTTCTATTTAACAAACATTACAATTCTGTAAGCTGTTTCTCAAGTGAATTTGTTGTTGAAGCTCAGTGTTATTTTTGATAAGTGAACAACAGTTCTTTTTTTTTTGGTGGCATTAAAAAATAAAATAATTTCAATTTAGAAAACAACACACTTCTTGCAATTTTTTGTAACAAAATAATGTTTTTAGGTTCCAAGCTATTTATCATGAAGAGAATATGTTTAATCTTATGTGAAGTTGGATGACAGCAGTCTGGAAAGGCTATAGAGTTTTTTAACTGAGGGTCTGGTAAACTGCCAGTCATTCTATTTAATTATTTGTATTCACACTGACAAGCAATAAATAATTAAATGTCTAAGTCTCAGTTCTCAGTTTGGATAGTAGATAGAACTAAAATTTCATCACTTATGGAGACAGATAAGCAATGTTTTGGAAGTGTGGGGTTCAAAAATTTGCCCTTAGATGCTTAGGCACGAGTGATGCTTTTTGTGAACCTGAGTTCTTAAATGTAAGTAATTGTAAAATTTTAATAGATACAATTGTAAAGATTTGGTCTGTGGTCTTATATCCTTACAATGCATGATATCTTCTACTTCCCCAGATACAGCTACTGTTGACAAATCTTTCTGTATTACATTGTGTATATGTGTGTATGTATGTGTATCTCTAGCCCCAGTCTTTCTCTTGAACTTTATTTCAGTTGTACTGTGGGTATTCTTTCAAGATATTTAAATTTAGAATGTCTGAAGTGTTATTTTTGCCACTCCTAAACTACCCTATTCAATTTTTAATGTTATAAATCTCAAATTCTAAATCCTGAAGATGATACCTCAGAGCATGTCTATTTAGTTCTTTTCTGTCTCATGAACCTAGGTGCCATGTCCTTTTCAAGCTCTTTTTTTGGACAGTGACAACAGTGTCCTAATTTGACTTTTTGGCTCCATTCATTTCAACCCCAATAATATTCTTCTCCAGAATTATTTGTCTTAAAAAAGAGCTAATTATGTGTTTATCTACTAAGTCACCTTTGGATAAAGTCCAAACTCTGTGGCTTGGAATGTAAGAACTTTTTCAGTCTTCCTAAATTACCATTTCAACTTACATTTCCTACAACTTCCTAGTTATATTCTTTCTGCATTTTGAAGTTCATAAAACTTCTTTGATCCAGAATATGAGCTTGGAGTGTTTTTATCACTATAGTACTGGCTCTTTCCAACTTTCACCTATTATTTATATATGACATACATAACAACACTTAGTTTATATCCTGAGATTGAATTCTTAGACAGTTTTTAGAGCTACTTTGACAACATATCCCTAGTTTGCCCAGGACAGTTCTGGTTTATGATTATTTTCCTAGTGTAATTGTTAGTATCCCCTTTCATTCTCAAAAATGTTTGCATGATAAATAATATGACCACTATATTTAGGGCTCCATAGAACACTATTTTTTAAACTAAAAGTCACAACCTAATGCATCACAACCAGCAATTGAACAAAAAAAGCAATAGAATCCTTAAACTCTAGAGAATATTAAATTTTGAGAGAACAGGAATAAAAACCCATATAGGAATGAAAAGTGGCTAGAGAAGTAGGGAGTAGAATGGTGTCATGAAAGCTAATATTCTTGTGGGTCTTCTCTGTAGATGTGGAGGGAACTTAGGATAATGAAAGGACTTGTGATGGGCGAGAATCAAGCTTGGTGTCCAAGTCTTTAGTGAATGTGAGAGGGGTGAGCAAGATGGTGAGAAATCAGAGCAGGGGCAGCAAGTGTACAAGCTGCTCACCTAGTCTAGAGCTTTTTGCAGACATGCTAGTCAGTTTTTTTTTTCTCATGCTGAGCTTGAGTGGGTCCTCAGACTCCTCCTTAAAATGATAATCCAACCATTAGCAGCCACTAATGATTGATTGGAATTGTGGCACAAGAAAGACACCTGTTTTTCCTTTTTTGAGGTAGTACATGATATACCTTTATTTCATGAGCTGTTACGGAGCAGGGATTTTAAAGACAAGAGTGAGGGAATCATGATGGCATTAGGAAATCAGAGGGTGATTGAAATGTCTGATCCAAAGAAATATATAGTTTGGAATATTTGAGCATATTCCATTTGCCAGGGTTGTGAGTGAACTAGTGTACTCAAAGAGAAAGCCACATTTCAGGTAAGGCAAGGCAGTGGGCGTGTTTTGTGAAGGTATTAAGGATCTAAGGGATTTTATTTACCACAGAATGAGGGTGAAGCAAGCACAGTGGGTAGGTTTGAAGGAAAGAAATCAGTATAAATTTCAGTCAGGGAAGAGAAAGCAAGTATGGGAATATTAATTGAGTACCAGTTATATAGAGAGCCCCATTTGTTATTGAAAAGGGGCTGATTCTATATTATACAGTACCAAATTAATTAACTACCATGAGACAGAGATTATTAATGTTAGTATTATATATTCCAGATAATTAAAAGCGAAAATCCATGCTCAGTTCTTATTTAAAAATTCAGGGGTTTTAGGCTGGGCGCAGTGGCTCATACCTGTAATCCCAGCACTTTGGGAGGCTGAGGCGGGCAGATCACGAGGTCAGGAGATCGAGACCATCCTGGCTAACACAGTGAAACCCCATCTCTACCAAAAATATAAAAAATTAGCCAGGCGTGGTGGCGGGCACCTGTAGTCCCAGCTACTCGGGAGGCTGAGGCAGGAGAATAGCGTGAACCCGGGAGGCAGAGCTTGCAGTGAACCGAGATGGCGCCACTGCACTCCAGCCTGGGTGACAGAGCGAGACTCCGTCTCAAAAAAAAAAAAAAAGTCTGGGGTTTTTAAAGTTGGATAACTTAAAACTGTCTAGTATTGCAACTGTTGTTTAGTAGTAGAAGTCAGCAGTTGTAGGATGGCATTCTAATATTTAATATAAAATTGAATGAAATGTATTCTTTCTTATTTCATAAAATGAATTTCACTGACAACTTGTAAATTTAAAATACAAATTTGGATTTTATTTTTAAACTTTTTAGGTATTTGTGGTACAGCTAAATGAGATAATAATCTTTGCATTACTTTTTTTATTTGATAGCTATATTGTGCTTACAAAATTCCGAGCGGTCTAGGGTATGTGTAAATATTTAGAGCTTGTCTAGCTTATAATTTTTTTGTTTTCCAAAGGACCTTGACTTTCTGGAAATGATTTTAGGGTTTCTTTATTTCTTACTCATCTTTTTATATCCTAAGTTAGAAATATTTGCAGATGTTGTAAGAAATATAAATGCAAACAATCTTTAAAAATGAGAAGATTTTAAAAATATTATTAAGGTAAAGTGAGTATAATGAATATCAGAGCTTGGAAAATAGCAAAATGTGGCCCAGGGTTAGATATGTAAATATATATATATTTGAAACTGCTGATGGTTTCCTGTTATTGTGTTCTGCTGAGGCAGTTCAACTGTTTCAGTATCTTTGTCTTCTGTAGTATGTGAATAGTAAGTCTGTGTATCAGGGGCAAGGGAGTGTACTGAGATTGAGGCAGATAAGGAAAAAGGAAGTGGGAAAGGAGAGAAAAACTTGAAAATAAATATAAAATTATTTATTAAAATAATTATAAATGTATATTAAAGACATGTTGATAAAACCAAAGATAAAGAAAAGGACATACTGCCCCCTACGCCATGTATAAATGGCTTTATTGTTTTTTGAAAACACTCTGAAGATGTTTCTATTATTTTTATTAGTACCATATATCACTATTTGGTAATCTTTATGCTTCCTGTTGCACTTTGCTCATTTCTTACTGTTTGATATTTCATGAAACTGGAAAACAACTGGCTACTAATTTTTGGAATTGAAGGTTTAAAATTATATTTTCCTTTGGGTAATCTCTTCTGTGGGTAACACATGCTTAATTCTTTCTTTGTTCTTTTTTTTCGTGTCAATGTTTTTAGACATAATTTTAAAACAAAGCATATGTATCTTTTATTTTTATTACAGGAAACTTAAAATGTGGAAATTAAAGTCTTATAAATTCCCCTTGTATCCATTATCCTGTTTAAACAATTAACAATATTCTATTTCTTTTTCATAAAATAAAGGATATTTTATTCAGAGAAGTTTAATAATATTCTCTTGTTTTCCCTTAGGTGGTGCTTTGTAAATTTCACTCCGTGTTTCTGTCTCAGAAAGGGCAGGTTTATACCTGTGGTCATGGTCCTGGAGGGCGATTAGGACATGGAGATGAACAGACATGCTTGGTAATTGAAATGTCATTACACTATTTAGGTAACTTTAGAAAAATGCTGATAAGCTGAAAGATTTAATTAACTAAATTTTTTTTTCAACTGTAAGGACGAAATAATACATCAATTGATAATAGATTTTAAAAAATCTGTTTCCTGATATATCATGTTTAAATTAAGGATTTACATACAATGCAAAAGGATTAAAAAAAGTAATACTTTGCTTATAGCAAATACTGAGTCAGGAGCGTTACATAAGCTTTAAAATGTTTCTAGAGTTGAAATAGAAGAAGGCAGACTAGGCCGGGCGCAGTGGCTCACGCCTGTAATCCCAGCACTTTGGGAGGCTGAAGCAGGCGGATCACCTGAGGTCGGGAGTTCGAGACCGGCCTGGCCAACATGGAGAAACCCTGTCTCTATTAAAAATACAAAATTAGCTGGGCATGGTGGTACATGTCTGTAATCCCAGCTACTTGGAAGACTGAGGCAGGAGAATTGCTTGAACCTGGGAGGCGGAGGTTGCGGTGAGCCGAGATTGTGCCATTGCACTCCAGCCTGGGCAACAAGAGTGAAACTCCGTCTCAAAAAGAAAAAAAAAAAAACAAAAAAGAAGGCACACTAATTGTAAAACACTTTTCCTGAAGTAGTTCTGGTTTTTGTTTTTAACTTCTCATTAAGATTTCTGTGGTCTAAAAATTGAGCCAGTATTTTCATTATGTAGTCACAAAATTTATATTTGTGCTACTGAAACTTAGTGCTAATTAGAAGAGACCTAGTACATTACCTATCAGAAAATTGGTTCACTACGTTATTTTAAGATGTTTTTTGTGGGGACTTCTGATATACTTATCTATTAAATGGTGCTTTTAAAAAGAGGGAAAGCTATAATGATAATAGCTTCCATTTTTGAGGGTTTATTTTGTTCCAAGCATTGTTTATGCTTTTCATATATAATATTACCTTAAGCCTCACAACAGCCCTGTGAGGCACAGGTATTATCTTCATTTTATGCATGATGATGACACTAATAATAGCAATCGTTTATTGACTGATTACTGTTTTCAGATGAAGAAAATGAGGTACAGAGAGGTTAAGAAATTTGATTTGAGATCAAATAGGTAGTGACAGAAGTAAGATTTGAACCCAGGACAGATAAATGACTCCAAAGGAATATGATACTATATGTTTGGCTACTCCCCGAAGGGAAACATTGATTCTGTATTTTTGTTTTTTTTTCAATGTACCCGTGTATACTTTGATGAGCTCCCTTTATTCATACCAAACAAATTTGCACTTGGTAAGGGCTCAAAAATCATTTGTTGAATTGAATTATTTCACTGGAATGTCTTACTGGGCTTATGTATTTTGCTCATAAACTTACAACCATATCCTTTTAAACTCATCTACCCTTTGCTGAAATGTAGAATTTACCTATGATAGATACAGCCATGTATCAGTCATGTCATTTCATGTCATTTTAGATGTAGTATCATCAAATTCTATTTGCATATCTGTATAAATGGTTAATGTAGTATACTAAAGTTAATTTTATTTTGTAGGTCCCTCGGCTTGTGGAAGGACTGAATGGTCATAATTGTTCCCAAGTGGCAGCTGCTAAGGATCATACTGTTGTATTAACTGAAGATGGATGTGTTTATACATTTGGTCTAAACATTTTTCATCAATTAGGAATTATTCCACCGCCTTCCAGTTGTAATGTACCCAGACAGGTAAGCTTTACTCTTTTAAATAATAAGGTTTTACATTTGCAATAAAACCTGTATGAACAAAAAAATGTAAGTTATTGACAGAGCAACTTATTTTATTTCTGTTATTTAACTTTATCTTCAGTGGTATATACTGTCTTTATTATTTATTATTATTATTATTATTTTTTGAGACAGAGTCTTCCTCTGTTGCCCAGGCTGGAGTGCAGTGGTGCGATCTCAGCTGACTGCAACCTCTGCCCCTCGGGTTCAAGCGATTGTCTTGCCTCAGCCTTCTGAGTAGCTGGGATTACAGGCACACACCACCATGCCTGGCTAATTTTTTTTTTTTTTGAGTATTTTTTAGTAGAGAGGGTTTTGTCATGTTGACCAGGCTGGTCTCAAACTCCTGACCTCAGGTGATCTGCCCACCTCGGCCTCCCAAAGTGCTGGGATTACAGGTGTGAGCCACTGCACCCAGCCTGTTGTCTTTATTTTTAACAGGAGAAATTAAGCATAGTACATATTAGCATTTGTTTGGAGTAAGAAAGAAAGCACTTGGGAAATTCTGCACTTGGGAGATTAGCCACCAAACTGCATCTTTTAAGTCTTCATAAGCAAAGGGAGGTCCAGATATTTTGGATTTGAAACTTAAACACTTTTTAGGCCCTCCATAAGAAAAAATATGAAATTTATCAATACCAAATGGGTTCATGCAAGTGAGGAACTCAGAGACTTAAGTTTTATTTGCTTCAGTAAATCTGCCTCTGCACAGATATCACACGTGACAAGTTGATGTTAGGGGACATGGGTCCAAAAACCAGTATTCTTTATTCTACTTTTTTACTCTCATGTGCACAGCCATCTCCAGAAGGTGCACAGTAGTGCACAGGACAATCGCACGACAAAAAAACATCTAGCCCAAAATGTCAATAATGCCACTATTGAGAGACCATGGAAATATCTAATTTAGAAGCACTGTGTTTTCTATTAAGAATGAGACTGGCTGCTTTGCATATTGCTTGTTAGAAAAAGAAAAATAGCTAAAAGTTTAATAATTTGATTCTTACACCATGTCAATTTTCTATATGTTAAAACTGCTGACTGAAAGTGGCTGCATCACAATGTTTTGTGTTCCGAGAAGGATTCAGGTCTTAGTATGAGTGCTGAGATCTGTTAGTGACAACTGCCAATTGCACTTGAGTGGACCACTAACAGCAAGTATACCATATATTTGCTGGTCTGCTGGATCTTTAAAAAATTGTACTAGGTCATAAATATATAGTAAATTGCAGTTTTATTTGTCTTTAAATAGATACAGGCAAAATATCTGAAAGGAAGGACAATCATTGGCGTTGCAGCAGGCAGGTTTCATACAGTCCTATGGACTAGAGAAGCTGTTTACACTATGGGACTAAATGGTGGACAACTGGGTAAGAAATCCTTAATGACAATATCTGGAAATTAAATTGGACTCTTTAAAAAATTATCTTTTCTTTTTAATTTTTATTGATTAGAATGAGATTATGAGTGATTTTTTGTTTGTTTGTTTGAGACAAAGTCTCACTCTGTCATCCTAGCTGGAGTTCAGGGTGCGATCACAGCTCACTGAAACCTTGACTTCCTGGGCTCAAACGATCCTCCCATCTCAGCCCCCCGAATAGCTGGGACCAGAGGCCCCTACCACCATGCTGGGCTATTTTTTGTAGAGATGGGGTTTCACCATGTTGCACAGGCTGGTCTCGAGCTCCAGGGCTCAAGGGATCTGCCCACCTTGGCCTCCCCAAGTGCTGGGATTATAGGCATGAGACACTGTGCTTGGCTAAATAGGACTCTTAAAAGAGCTATTTTGTGATTTGCTTATTTGTATCATTTTTTAGGTTGTTTGCTAGATCCCAATGGAGAAAAGTGTGTAACTGCTCCTCGTCAGGTCTCTGCCCTTCACCATAAAGACATTGCTCTGTCTTTGGTTGCTGCAAGTGATGGAGCTACAGTCTGTGTTACCACAAGGGGAGATATTTACTTACTTGCAGACTATCAGTGCAAGAAGATGGCTTCTAAGTATGTGTATTTCTGTGAAAGAAACGTAATTTTAATAATAATTCAACTCTTCCAGCAAATATCTGAGTGTTAGCTTTATGCTATGTTCTATAAATGTCAAATGGAAAAAATTGAATGAGGAAAAACATCAGGAATTTTTGTCTTTGATTTTTGTCTTTTGGCATGGATCCAGTGAATATATATAAAATTTCTGTGTAAATTGTAAAGTGGTATTTCTGAATTATGTTTAATATGTAGTTAAATATGAGCTATATATTTTTTTCTTTTTTTGTATTTTAGGTGCACAGAAATAGATTAATCATAATTCTTGATTCGTGACACTCTCATCATTGGTTCCTGTATAGCCTTTTTTACATTATACATTTATTTATCTTTAGAATATAATCATATATCATGAGCCCTCTAACCAGGCTTAGTGTTTATAACTGATAAGTATATTTTTTAAAAAAACATGTTATTATAGAATGCAGTAAAGTAGCAGTTGGTTGACTAGTCAAGTCAAAGCAAAGAATCATAAAGTTTTTGTTTTTTTTTTTTTAATTGAGACAGGTTCTTGCTCTGTAGCCCAGGCTAGTCTTGAACTCCTGGGTTCAAGCGTCCCTCCTGTCTCAGCCTCCCAAAGTGCTGGGATTACAGATGTGAGCCACTGCGCCCAGCTTCATAAAGTTTTAAGTATGGGTGGGTGCACCAACTGGAATTCCCTGTGTTTTCATATAAACCATACTCATAATGTGTCACCTGTCATTTCATTTTGAATGATTTAAGGAACCAGTGCTTAAAAACAATTGTGAAGTAATGTAAGTGCAGAATTGTACATTTTTAATACATTTTGAATCTTTTATAATTGATTAATTAGTTTGACAGTTTTTTGCTGCTCATATTTATTGTGCCATTCCAAAGTATTCAACTTCTATAGACAGGTTTCAGACTAATATGTTACCATTTATATAGTATTTTACTGTGATAAATTCATTATAAATATATACATTATTAGTTTAAAAAAATACAAGTACTTAAATAGGTCATTGTACAAATATAAATGATTCTTGAAAGTGGATAGCTCAACTAGTGGGAGCAGTTGTGTACAGGAATTCTGGAGAATAGCTATCTAACTTTTAAAACAATTGGGGATTTAAATTTAAATGCAACAAAATGCTTTTGATAATGTAAAACAGGTACCATCCATGAAGTTACTCATGAGCAGAAAATGTCTATCAATTTGTAAAAACTTACCTTCTTTGAGTAACAATTACTTTTTTTTTTTTTTTTTGAGACATTGTCTTGCTCTGTTGCCCAGGCTGAAGTACAGTGATGTGACCTATGCTCACTGCAACCCCCGCCTCCCAGGTTTTCAAGCAATTCTTCTGCCTCAGCCTCCCGATTAGCTGGAATTACAGGCATCTGCCATCATGCCCAGCTAATTTTTTTTGTATTTTTAGTAGAGATGGGGTTTCTCCATTTTGGCCAGGTTGGTCTCGAACTCCTGACCTCAGGTGATTCGCCCACCTTGGCCTCCCAAAATGCTTGGATTACAGGCGTGAGCCACTGCACCTGGCAGAAAGTTACTTTTGACTTCAATTTTAGGTTATATTTTAGTGATAGAAACATGAAAATGTGAATATGTTTCTTAAAACTGACTAAATAGGTTTTTTCCTGAGTTTGAGGTGATATGTAAGATGTTGAGTTGTATTTTTAGTTAACATTTATAAAACTTGCCTATATAACATTAAATCACATAAATATGTTATATCCAAGAGTACATTAAGGAAATTATTTTGTTACAGATTAAGTTATACAATATAGTAATTTTGAAAATTTTTTTTTCCTTTAATTTAAAAGGGAGGACAGTCATTGGAGTAGCAGCAGGCAGATTTCACATAATGCTATGCACATCAAATGTGCAGATATAATGAAATGTGTAGCTAATGAATGAGTTACTGAATAGCAGTACAGATGATTTTCATGGTAGCAATATCTGTTTAGGATTAGCCATTTTTTAAATTAAGCATTTCTATTTAATTTTGAGGTTTAAAATTTGTCTTTTCTGTTAAAATAGAGATGCACTTAGGAGCTTATAGCCATACCAGTTATTTATTTATTATTTATTTACTTTTTTAAGACAGAGTCTCTCTCTATCACCCAGGCTGGAGTGCACTGGTGTGATCTCTGCTCACTGCAACCTCTGCCTCCTAGGTTCAAGTGATTCTTCTCCCTCACCCTCCCGAGTAGCTGGGACTACAGGGGCGCATCACCATGCCCGGCTGATTTTCGTCTTAGTAGAGCTAGGGTTTTGCTATTTTGGCCAGGCTGGTCTCGAACTTCTGGCCTCAAATGATCCACCGGCCTTGGCCTCCCAAAGTGCTGGGATTACAGGCGGGAGCCACTGCACCCAGCCCATACCAGTTATTTAAACTCCAGAGTGAATGTTTGAATTAGCAGGTGGAACTTCAGGCATTTAATGTGTGTGTGTGTGTGTGTGTGTGTGTGTGTGTGTGTGTGTGTAGGTAAAGTCATTTAAGAGAAAAAGACTTGACATAGAAAGGAACAGCCCCCTTGTAGGGGAAATTTACAGAATGGAAGGCTAGAGATACCAAAGACCAAATCATTTTACTTCACCTTCACAATAATTGCCTATAGATTGTTGTTTGAATACTAACTTCTTTGAAGTTTAGGCATGTGTAGTTTAGAGAACATATTAATCTAGGATTTTTTTTTTTTTCATCTAGACAGTTGAACTTGAAAAAAGTTCTTGTGTCTGGGGGTCATATGGAATACAAGGTTGATCCTGAACATTTGAAAGAAAATGGGGGTCAAAAAATTTGCATTCTTGCAATGGATGGAGCTGGAAGGGTAAGTACATGTTTATGTAAAAGTGTAATCTTACTCTCAGTTGATAGCTGTAGCAGACCTGGTAACATGAAAATGTATTGCTATGTTAGTGACAATTCCTATTGACTTTGATGATTAGTATTGGGTGCCAAAATAAGTATGTTTTAGACATCCATTACTAATTAGTATGGAGGTGGGATTTAGAGAAAGTATGACAGACAGCATTTAATCTAATGTTGCACAATACTGATTTGTTAAACTGTAATCAAAAATTTTATTGTGCTTAAAATGAAAAGAGATTTTGATGTTATTTGGTGTATACACTGAATACTGATAAATGACACTGAATTGCGTAAATATAAGATATGTAATGTAACTATAATTTTATTTATTTATTTTTTTTGAGACAGTCTCGCTCTATTGGCCAGGCTAGAGTACAGTGTCATGATGTCGGCTCATTGCAACCTCCACCTCCTGGGTTCAGGCGATTCTCATGTCTCAGCCTCCTGAGTAGCAGGGATTACAAGCATGTGCCACTACGCCTGGCTTATTTTTGTATTTTTAGTAGAGACGGGGTTTCGCCATGTTAGCCAGGCTGGTCTCAAACTCCTGGCCTCAAGTGATCTGCCCTCCTCAGCCCCACAAAGTACTGGGATTACAGGCATGAGCCACTGCGCCTGGCCTCATGTAACTGTTAAAAAAGTAAAGATCAGGCAATATGATAAATTTGGTGCATAGTTGGAAATTTTTTTCCATATTTAGTTTTATACAAATGTATGCATTATAATATATGTATACATTATAACTATCCACATTATATATGAAATATTTCCGGATCACTAGTGTATAAGGAATTTCTTATCTCTTAAATAAAAAGTTCTAATTTTAGTTCCTTATGCAAACATATCAGTACATTTCTCTAATAAAATTATTAATTTAAAATATTTAAAAAGATTATTTTCTGAAATATATGCTTCAATTAATGTATTTATATATTATATAAAATACATCTCTAAATTGTTTTTGAGGGGTGGGAGGGTGGGAGCCATCTCTAAATAATATATTTAGATTTTAAAAATTATATTTAAAGGTATATATCATACACTAATGATACTGAAAAACACACAGTATGGGTAGAAGAACACAGATAACTTTCTGGTTTTACTTATCAAATTAAAATAATGTTTTCCGAGGTTTATAATGTGCTGTAAAGTTTGACATTTTAGAAATTGAGGAATTAATCATAAAGCTCCACATACTGGGTCATTATAGGCATATATTGTAGGGATGGAGAATGAAGATGATTTTAATAGTAGTAACTAGGTTTAAATATTAGAGCTCTACATCAGGAAGAATAGCTGTTGGATGGTGGGCGTAATACTTGGGTGATGTGATGCTCTGTGCAGCAAACCACCATGGCACACGTTTACCTATGTAACAAACCTACACATCCTGCACATGTACCCCTGAACTTAAAAGTTGAAGGAAAAAAAAAAAGAATTAGAGCTCCAGTTTGTACTAGTGGAAGGAAACAAATGGGGTTACATAAAAGAGTTGAGTATAAAAACTTATATTTGATTTTGGGATGTGTATCACTTACATTGAAATGGATATAGCTTATACTTCTGGATATTTACTTCCTGCAAAATAGAGTCTCATTAAGAAAACCAAGCTCTGAAAGCATCAGTCAGTCTCAATCAGTATAGTCTTTTTGTGTGAATAACTTTTTAGCGACCTTGTCAGATAACCATTTTGTGTTCTAGTTTTCTTAACTTGATTATGAGGGAATTGGACTTTTAAAAATCAGCAGTTCCAATTTTTCAAATGAAATTGTGCTTGGAATACCGGTATATGAAACAGATAAAACAATTGCTACTGTGGATTGGGAAGCCTGACACCCCATCTCTCATCATTCTCCATCCCTTAGCAAGTCCCCTGGAGCTACTTTTCAGGGACTCTGAGGTTTGCAGAACCATTTACAACCATTGAATTCTGTAATGACTTTTCTAAGATTTTGTTTTAGTTATATAATTGAGTTATGCATACATTTACTTTTTTCTTGAGAGTAAAGTTTGGATTTTCATAGGGGGCTCATTCTTCTTGTAAAGAGATAGTACTACAAGAAGCCTGACTTGTAAGTTGTAGCTTTAAGATTTTGTTTTTCTTTAGCATTGTAGCACATCTGTTTGCCCTAAACAGGTAATACTGGAAATTGCTACTTCTTAAGAGGAGTGCCTTTGAAATAATTTCTAATGCTTCAGGCTTGCTTAATATACTTTTCTGAAAGATATTTCTTTAAAATCATCTTGATTTTTCTTATAGTAGCTATCTTTTTCTGTGGAAGAATAAACATTGAAACATACTAATGAGAGCTTTTATTTTAACAGCATTGTCTCTTGATATCTTGATTTAAGGTTTTGGTTGTTCAAATGCTACTTGCTTTATATTTCAATGTGATTTGGTTTTGTTTTAGGTGTTTTGCTGGAGATCAGTCAACAGTTCTCTGAAGCAGTGTCGATGGGCCTATCCACGTCAGGTCTTCATTTCTGATATTGCTTTAAATAGAAATGAAATTCTATTTGTTACGCAAGATGGAGAAGGATTTAGAGGGAGATGGTTTGAAGAGAAAAGAAAGAGTTCTGAAAAGAAAGGTCAGTTCATATATTGAACAATACGTAAAAGTACCTTTCAATTATCCTTTAATTTGACAAGTATTAGGTTCAACTGACAAGTGTTATTAGGTTTTACTTTTATGTATTTATCTTTGTGATTAGTTTTTTAATGCCTGTTTCCTATTAGAGTGTAAGGTTAGTGATGGCAAGGGCCATGAATATTCGTCTATATCCTTAGCCTTTGGCATATTTCCTGGCGCATTGTAGTCACTCATTAAATCACCTGTTGTATGAATAACTCAGTTATTGTGTGCCAGAACAAAATCAAGAATGTTTATAATTACTCAGAAAATTATAAACGTATTCTTCAAAATCATAAAGCCACAGATAAATGACTTTTGTAAAATTTAATGATTTACTTGTATTTCTTTTATTTCTTTATAGATTATTCAAGTCTGTAAACATTTAATATATATTTACTATGTGCCAGATATAGGGGAAAGTTTTAAAGATGCAAGAATATATAAAATGGGCCTCTATACTGAGGCACTCATAGGCTTGTAGGGGCAATAGACATGTATGTAAATATTTGCAGTTCACTGAGACTAATGTTAATATCCACATAATAAGTTTCTTGAGAGCATAGAAATTGGAATGACTGAGTGTCAGAGAAGATTAGTAAAGCCTCATAAGACTAAAATAGAGTTAATTTGTGGGAGTAACTAGAACGTAGGTTCAACTTATGGAAGTCTTTAGAAGTGTGTCTTAGTCATATTTAGTGATCTGAAACTGAATTCATGATTTCATGCTCTAACTTCTGCTTCTCAGTGTTTTCTATTTCTGTAAATTATTATCTTTGACACTCAGATTCCCTTACACTAGAATTAATCAGTCATCAAGTTTTGTTCTCTTTCTCAAATGTTTCTTATATCTTTCCACTTTTTTCCAGATTCATTGCTACAACCTAGTCTATATCATCTTTTAATTCTTTTCCTGGATTTACAGTAATTCCTTAAATGGCCTCTTTTTATCTATTCTTTGTTTACCTTAAACATTCTTCACACTACAACCAGAATCATTTCATTCATGTAAATTTCATATCTTTGTGGAAGCACTATATCCTTTACCTTCATAGCCTTGATTTTACTTGTAATGATATAATCATTTGTGTAATGTCTGTCTTCCCTGCTAGATTGTGTACTCGAGGAGAGCAGGCACATGTCTGTCTTCTTCACTACTATATCACCAGACTGATGATATCATAGTAGCCCAGTTTGGTTACGCACATATTTTCTGAATACATGCAAGAAAGGGGGAAGAGAAAGGGAGGAAGCAAATAAACAAGCAGATTATGAAGACAGTAGATTTATATATTTTTAATCCAAGTTGAAGAATTTTTTTCCCTTTGGGCAACAGGAAGTATAAGTTGAAAAGTTTTAAAAGCTAGTATGACACTAGATTTGCTTTTTAGAAAGGGAACTTTGGTTGCAGTATGGAGGATGTGTTTGTTGAAAGAGATGGAATCATGGATAATTGAGAATCCATCCACCAAAAATTTCCTGTATAATACAGCCAATATATTCAGTGGAAAATGTGTTGAAGAGAGGATGTAGTTCTTCAAAAACACTGAATATATGTGAAAAAGATTTCCATATTTTTCTAACTCCTTTTCTATTCCATTTACTTCTCAATCATTTTAGTAGTTTCAGTAAAGCCTTGATTAATGGTAGTTTATTTTTTTTTAACAGAGATTTTATCAAACCTTCACAATTCCTCATCAGATGTGTCTTATGTCTCTGATATAAATAGTGTGTATGAAAGAATTCGACTTGAGAAACTTACCTTTGCACATAGAGCTGTTAGTGTCAGCACAGATCCAAGTGGATGCAACTTTGCAATCCTGCAGTCAGATCCTAAAACAAGGTATACTTGTATATATTAAATTTCATTTTTTAGAAGGAACAATCACTGAATTTTCTTGTTTTCAGTAGCTGCTGGTGCAAATTTAATTGAAGAGCTGTTGCCAAGACCTATAGAGACCTTAGACATAATCATGTTTACAGATTATGTCTACAGATAATCCAGAGGTAGAATTTGTTATACTTGGAGTGATGAATGTTTCCTTTGGTTTATAAACTGACATTTATTGAAAATATTGAAAATATCTATACATGCACTCACAAAGTTTATTGTCTTTCTTTTTTTTTTTTTTTTTTTTGAGATGGAGTCTTGCTCTATTGCCCAGGCTAAGTGGCAAAATCTCGGCTCACTCTAACCTCCACCTCCCAGGATGAAGCAGTTCTCTTGCCTCAGCCTCCCAAGTAGTTGGGATTACAGGTGCCCGCCACCACACCCAGCTAATTTTTGTATTTTTAGTAGAGATGGGGTTTTGCCCTGTTGGCCAGGCTGGTCTTGACCACCTGACCTCAGGTGATCCGCCAGCCTCGGCCTCCCAAAGTGCTAGGATTACAGGCATGAGCCACCGCACCCTGCCTTATTTGTCTTTCATACTGTATGATGTACCCTGGGTTCTCAGATTCTGAAAAATGTATTATAAATATTTCTTAGGCAGTTTGCAAAGATTTCTGACCCTTGAATATGATGAGAATTGGCAAAATAAGTGTTGTGGCGCCATCTGTAAATCGCAATGCAAATCTCCTAAGTCACATAAGCAGAGAGGTATCAGATTAAGATAAACATCAAGGGTACTGTTGAAGAGGGAGGAAATTCTGCAAGTAGGGTCATCATCCATCCTGGTTTGCCCAGGCCTGCCCCAGTTTTAACATTGAAAGTCTCATCTGAGAAACTCGTCAGTCCAAGGCAAACCACAGGAGGGTTGGTCTTCCTACTGAGAAGGGTGAAATGTTGGTTGGGAAGGTGTAATTGCATTCCCACAGTACTGTAAGAACCAGGGATACGGACAACTTAGTTCTTATCATTTTAATTTGAGAGAAGAATAGAATATAAATATAAAAAGGAATAGAAAAAAATTAAAGGATGATATAGCATCTAGGACTTTGTGCAATATTCTTGTATTTTAGGAAATGCCAAATTTAAAATTTTCTAAATATTGTTAAAAAAATTGCATTTTAAAGGAGAATTGGCTAGGTATGAAAAAGGATTTCCTTCATATTTTTTGAAGCATAATTTGTTTTTGTCTTCTTTCTAGCCTTTATGAAATTCCAGCTGTGTCCTCATCATCCTTTTTTGAAGAGTTTGGCAAACTGTTGAGGGAAGCAGATGAAATGGACAGCATTCATGATGTGACATTTCAAGTTGGCAATAGACTCTTCCCTGCACATAAATATATTTTGGCAGTGCATTCTGATTTTTTTCAGAAATTGTTTCTTTCAGATGGTAATACTTCAGAATTTACAGATATTTACCAGAAAGATGAAGATTCTGCAGGGTGCCATCTCTTTGTGGTAGAGAAGGTTCATCCTGACATGTTTGAATACCTTTTACAATTTATATACACAGATACTTGTGACTTTTTAACTCATGGCTTCAAACCAAGAATACACTTAAACAAAAACCCAGAAGAATATCAGGGAACTCTGAATTCTCATTTGAATAAAGTGAATTTCCATGAAGATGATAACCAGAAGTCTGCATTTGAAGTTTACAAAAGTAATCAAGCTCAAACAGTTAGTGAGAGGCAGAAGAGCAAACCTAAATCTTGTAAAAAAGGAAAAAATATTAGGGAAGATGATCCTGTAAGAATGTTGCAAACTGTTGCAAAGAAATTCGACTTCAGTAATTTGAGTAGTAGGTATGATTTCTCTTTTATATCTGTTCCTGTACCTCATTCAGTCCTCCTTTAAAAAATTTCCCACCCTTACTGTGAAACCCCATCTCTACTAAAAATACAAAAAATTAGCCGGGTGTGGTGGCGGGCGCCTGTAGTCCCAGCTACTCAGGAGGCTGAGGCAGGAGAATGGCCTGAACCCGGGAGGCGGAGCTTGCAGTGAGCCGAGATTGCGCCACTGCATTCCAGCCTGGGCGACAGAGCGAGACTGTGTCTCAAAGAAAAAAAAAAAAATCCCACCCTTTTTGCCTTGCTTTGCTTTTCTTTCCCCTCCCCAAGTCTCCTCCCACTTGTTCCATCCCCTTCTCTTTCTCCTTCCCCTCCTCTTCCTCTCTCTCCCTTTCTCCCTACCCATCCTTTTTTTGGGGAGGTACATGGATATGTCTTTCCTCCATTTGCGGGCAGAGCTATCTCTGGGACTTCTTGGATTACATTAATGGATAGGAAAGCTGTTGGTGGGTTTGAACTCTGGTTTGTGTATGTAACAGGGATCTGGAGTGGCAGGCAATGTGGTATGCTGGAAAGGTCTTTCAAGTTAGACATACATATCTCTTAGCTTTACTATTCCTGGCTGGGACAATTTTCTTTTACCTCAGTTTCTCGAACTCCTGGGCTCAAGCGATCCTTCTTACTTCAGTTTCTCAATATAAGAAATGGGAAAGATAATATTTGCCTCATATTGTTGATATGGTTTTGTCATATGTAAATTGCCTAACACCATAGTATCATATTATGAATCAGATTATTTGAAATTCTTTCTTTTTTTAAGGTATTTATGTTGCTTGTGGCAGTTAAACCTTCGTTGTAGGGTGGGAAGAGAGGAGGGGTGTGTATCGTGTTTCCTGTTTAAAAATAATGAAGGGGCCGGGCGCGGTGGCTCACGCCTGTAATCCCAGCACTTTGGGAGGCTGAGGTGGGCAGATCTCCTGAGGTCAGGAGTTTGAGACCAAGCTGGCCAACATGGCGAAACCCTGTCTCTACAAAAAATTACAAAAATTAGCCGGGAATGGTGGTGAATGCCTGTAGTCCCAGTTACTGGGTTGGCTGAGGCAGGAGATTCATGTGAACCTGGGAGGTGGAGGTTGCAGTGAACTAAGATCATGCCACCACACTCTAGCCTGGGCAACAGAGCGAGGCTTCGTCTCAAAAAAAAAAAAGGAAAAACTTTGTGCTATGGCTTTGATTTGTCTTTTGTCAGTAATGTTTAATCTATTTTGAATTCTAACTAAAATGGAAGAAAAAGTATGATATTTCTTTATCTCAGAGTAGGAGTTTGTTGAGATACTTTTCTAGGATACAGTATTATATTTAGATGTAAGCTAATTTGTTGGATTTTTTGTTGTATGTTTATTTTTGTAGGGGAATATCAATTGTTAATTTTTATCTATCCTTGATAGGTTAGATGGAGTCAGATTTGAAAATGAAAAAATTAATGTTATTGCCAAGAACACTGGTAATAAACTGAAGCTAAGTCAGAAAAAATGGTAAGTAAGGAAAGGAAGATTAACATTTCATGTCTGGATTTTGGCACTTAAGTGTGGAAATAGATCTCTGCTTACCCACATATGAAGCAAAATGTATAGGTAGATACCCTCTTACCTTTTCTAGTATTCTGCATTTCTGGAAATGTTGGGGAGCTGTTGAAGTAAATTGATAAAATATTAACTGCTGAAGACATCAAAGGAGTTTTTTCTTTCCGATGACTTTCTAATAGAGAGTGGAACTTTTAATTTTTATTTTTTCTTGCCTGAATTTTGTGCCTTGTTATAATTAGGAAATGTTATTAGCCCCCAAACCAATTAATTATACCTCTTCATCATTGTTATGATTATTGCCTTTAGTATAAAAAATTCTTAGTAATAAATATACTATTCTAAATATATTGTTAAAAAGTTTTGTTTTTAGGGCCTGGTGTGGTGGCTCACGCCTGTAATCTCAGCACTTTGGGGGGCCGAGGCAGGTGGATCACCTGAGGTCAAGAGCCTGATTAACATGGTGAAATCCTGTCTCTACGAAGAAAATACAAAAATTAGCCGGGCATAGTGGCGGGTGCCTGTGATCCCAGCCACTTGGGAGGCTGAGGCAGGAGAATCACTTGTACTCGGGAGGCGGAGGTTGCAGTGAGACAAGATTGCACCATTGCACTCCAGCCTGGGTGGCAGAACGAGACCCCGTTTCAAAGAAAAAAAAAGTTTTGTTTTTAGCTATTCATGCTTCCTCTGTAAGTGAAAAGGTTTTGGAGAAGGATAAACTGTGGAGTTGTTTCAACTGTGCTTGGCCCAGATTAGCTACTACAAATAAGTGAATTACAGAGACTTAAATATGATATCACTTAGTATTATATTATTAACAGTTTTTCTGGAATAAAAAAAAGGAAAATCAGAAAAATACTTTTTGAATATTTGTATTCGGCTCCCTTTTCAAATATTGTCTTTACTCTAAGGCCCTTATCTTCCCTGTGGTGGAAAAAGATGAAGTATTTTATTGTATGTATTCCTGCAAGTTATTTATTCTCTGCCACCTTTAAGAGAAAACTGAAAGTTAAGCCAAATCCTATAATCTTTTTCACTAAATATGTAAAGAAATTGCTCTTGCTTCAATTAAACATTTTCTTGCAGTTCATTTCTGTGTGACGTGACCATGAAATCAGTGGATGGAAAGGAATTTCCTTGTCATAAATGTGTTCTTTGTGCTAGACTTGGTAGGTGCACTTTTTAAAGCTGCTGATTTATTTGCTGTAGTATTGTTTCACTATTCTTATTGCATTGAACTTTTTTTTCTTTTAGAATATTTTCATAGTATGCTGAGTAGCTCATGGATTGAGGTAAGATTTAAGTAAAAAGCGCCTAGGTTGGTAACTATGTTTCTTTATATTTTGTGCAAAGTATGTAGTAAAGAAATTCAAAATCAGAACTGGATATTTTAGCTCAGTTTTTCATTTATATTAAACTTTATGCTTGAGGCTGCTGGAAAATAGCAACACTTAGAATTTAAAATTATTGCCAAGAAGCTACTTAAATAAAAATTTCCCCGTTATTATTTAGAAATGTATTAGGAACACCACTGTGTTTCTTGTTTTCTGAATTTTTTTGTTCCTTTTTCATGTTATGTTTTAAAATTAAATTTAATATTATTTTAGCCATGTGTTTTGTAAATTTTATGTTTTGCATTTGATGTGATTTCCTGTTCAGAGTGTTTTGTACCAATAACCCAAATTAGAATGTAATATTTTATTGTTTAGAATGAATTATTTTACTTTATTTTGTCTTATTTTATTTAGGCTTCCAGTTGTGCAGCTCTGGAAATGCCAATACATTCTGATATATTAAAAGTTATTTTGGACTACCTCTATACTGATGAAGCTGTGGTGATAAAAGGTATTAATAAGAGTTAGGACATTGTAGATACTTCACATATAATGGAATAATGGTAAAATCAACGTGAATCTTAATTTCTAATAGAAAAAAACCATCAATAAAGGCTTAATTTATTTTATTTTTAAAATATTTAATTTATTTTTTATTATTTATGGAGACCGGGGTCTTACTATGTTGCCCAGGCTAGTCTCAAACTCCTAGGCTCAAGGGATTATTCCACCTCGGCCTTCCAAAGTGCTAGGATTATAGCGTGAGCCACTATGCCTGGCCAATAAAGGCTTAATTTAGAATAAGCAATAGGAATGATTGCTAATAGTAAAGGAGCAGAAAAAGGTTTTCATTACCCATGTGAAAATGAACTCTTTGAGAATTAGTGCTTGCTTCGGCAGCAAGTATACTAAAACTGGAATGATACAGAGATTACATGGCCCCTGTACAAGAATGACACGCAAATTTGTGAAGCGTTTCATTAAAAAAAAAAAAAAAGGAATTGTAGGTAATGGTTGAAATTAGATTCAGCAGTTCAATTTCCAGCTACTTCTATGATGGAGATGAATGAATTGACAACAGGGATAGTTTTGACAAATACTTACATAAGTTCTTTCTTACCTGTTTTTCCCCTTTGTGGTTACACATCTTGAAAGAAACAGATTAAAAATTGTACCAAAATTTATGAAGAGAGGTCATTTATGTACTTTGTTAGGCAAAACAGTAACTTTTAGTTACAAGATATGTTTACTCATTGGAATGGTACTGGATGTTCTGTCATATTCCATTAGTTTTTTTTAACCCCAGCTGTATACTGGGGATAAAAATAAGTGGATAGACCTTTTTTTATATTCAAGAAACTCAATCTAGTGGAGAAGACAAATGTATAAGAAAACAAATATAATCCAACAGAGTAATTCTCTAAAAAGCAGATGCATTTTTAAGAAGCTAGCCTCTGAGTCTGCCTAGGAAATCTGGGTAGTCTTGTAAGGAGATAGAGTTTAACTGAGGACAAAATTTCTGAAGATTTGTATACTTGAGAGTAAGATAACTGAGACATGGTATGTTTTTCTCTACTTTCATTCTTTTTAAAAATCGAGAAATTATTTGCATGATAAAACTTATACTTTTAAAGCATACAATAAGTAGTTTTTAGTATGTTTATGAATTTGTGCAACTATCATCACTGTATAATTCTAGAACATTTTCATCACCCCAGAAAGATACCTTGTACCCATTAGCAGACACTTCCCACTCTCTCTTATCCCCAGTCCGTGGAAAACCCCTATTATGTTTTCTGTCTCTATGGATTTGCCTCTTCTGGACATTTTGTATAAATACAATCAAACAACATGTGACCTTTTATATTTAACTTATTTTACTTAAGTACGATGTTTTAAAAATTTATCTGTGTTGTAGCAGGTACCAACACTTCATTGTTTTTTATTGCCAAATAATATTTATTGTGTGGATATAACACATTTATTCATCAGTTGATGGATGTTGGGGTTGTTTTTACCTCTTGTCTATTAGGAATCATGCTGCTGTGAACACTCATGCCTAAGTTTTTGCGTGGGCCTATGTTTTCATTTTTCTTGGGCATATACCTAGAAGCGGAAATGCTGGGTCATCTGTTTAATTTTTTAGGAACTGCCGAACTGCACAGTGGCTAGCTGTACCATTTAACTTAACCACTAACAGTGTGAGGGTTCCAGTTTCTCCACATCCTTGCAAGCACTTACTAATATCAACCTTTTTTATTATAGCCATCCTAACGGGTGTGAAGTTATGCAACATTGTGGTTTTGATTTGTATTTCACTAATGACTAATGATGTTGAACATCTTTTCATATGCTTTTTGGTCATTTGTATATCTTCTTTGAATACATACTCAAATCCTTTGGACACTTTTTTTCTCAATTATTTGTTTTTTTATAATGTTGCAAGAGTTCTTTATATATTCTGGATATTAGTCCCTTATGGGATATATGATTTGCAAGTATTTTCTCTCCTTCTCTGAGTTGTTTTCACTTCCTTGATGAAGTGTCGTTTAAAACAAAAACTTAATTTTTTTTTATTTTTGAGACAGGGTCTTATTCCATTGGGCAAGCTGGAGTGCAGTGGCATGGTCATGGCTCACTGCAGCCTCGGCGTCCTGAGCTCAAGTGATCCTTCCCACCTCAGCCTCCCAAGTAACTGGGACTACAGCTGTGCACCACCATGCCTGGTTAATTTGTAAAAATTTTTTTAGAGACAGAGCCTCCCTATATTGCCCAGGCTGGTCTGGAACTCCTGGGCTCAAGTGATCCTCCTGCCTCAGCCTCCCAAAGTGCTGGGATTACAGGCATTTCATGATGTCCAAATTGTCTATGTTGACTTGTTACTTGTGTTTTTGGTGTCATATCTAGGAATTCGTTGTCAAATCCAAGGTCATGATGATTACCCTGTATGTTTTCTTCTAAGAGTTTTATAGTTCTGTCTCTCACATGTAGGTCTTTGATCCATTTTGAGTTAATTCCCCCCCCAGTCGTATTAAGGTGTAATTAACAAGTAAAAATTATATGTAGTCATAGTGTATAACATGATGCTTTGAGATATATATATGTATAATATCTATATTTATATATATAGAGAGAGATAATTACCACAATCAAGCTAATTAACATAACCGTCACCTCACATAATTACCTTTTTTTTTTTTTTGTGGTGAGAGTACTTGAGATCTAGTCCTTCAGCAAATCTCAAGTATGCAGTACATTATTATCAGTGTAGTGGCCATGCTGTATATAAGGTCTCTAGATCTTATTCATTCATCTTATAACTGTAATTTTGTACTCTTTGACCAATATCTTCCCATTACCCTAATCCCCTGACCTCTAGTAACCACCATTCTTATTAAGTTATTTTTTGTATTTGTTGTGAGCTATGGGTCCAAGTTTATTCTTTTACATCTGTATGTCCTATTTTTTGAGTACCATTTGTTGAAAAGACATTTGTTTTCCCATTGAATTGTTTTAGCACCTTTGTCAAAAATCAACTGACAATAAATTTAAAGTTTTATTTCTGTACTCTTCAGTTCTATTTCACTGAACTCTCTTTATGCCAGTACAGCAGTGTCTTGATTACCATTGCTTTGTTGTAAGTTGTGAAATTGGGAAATGTGAGTTTTCCTACTGTGTTCTGCTATTTCAAGATTGTATTGGCTATTTTGGGTTTCTTGCATTTTCATGTGAATTTTAGGATTAGTTTGCCAATTTCTGCAATAAAGGCAGCTGGGATTTTAATACAAATCACATTTAATTTGTAGATCAGCTTGAGGATTATTGTCATTTTAATATTTAAATCTTATAATCCATTAACACCAGCTGTCTTTCCATTTATTTAAGTCTATATATTTAAGTCTTTAATTTCTTTCAATGATTTTTGTAGTTTTCAGTGTACAAGCCTTGCTCTTTCTTAGTTAAAAATTATTAAGAATTTTTAGTGCTATTTTAAATGGAAATTTTTTTAATTTTATTTTTGGATTGTCCTTTGCTAGTGTTTAGAATTACAATTGATTTTTGTATATTGATCTTATATCCTGCAACCTTGCTGAACTTGTTCACTAATTCTAGTAGTTTTTTTAGTGGATTCCTTAGGATTTTCTATATGCAAGATCATGTCATCTGCAAATAGAGATGGTTTTACTTATGCCTTTCCAATTTGGGTGTGCTTTATTTCTTTTTCTTGCTTAATTGCCCTGATTAGATGAATCTCTAGTACTCTGTTGAATAGAAGTGGCAACAGTGGTTGTCCTTGTCTTGTTTCTGATGTTAGGAAAAAGCATTCAGCCTTTTTACCATTAATTAGGATGTTACTTGTGGGTTTTTTGTAGTTGCCATTTATCAGGTTGAGGAAGATTATTTCTATTCCTGGTTTATTGAGTGTTTTTATCATGAAAGGGTGTGGGATTTTTGTCAAATGTTTTTCTGTTTCTTAAGATGGCCGTGTGTTTATTATACTTTATTTTTGTGTATTATATTGATTGATTTTTCATATGTTGAATCATCCTTTCGTTTTGGATTTATTCTGTTAGGTCATGTTGTATAATTCCTTTTTATATGTTACTGGATTTAGTTTCTTAGCGTTTTTTGAGGATTTTTGCATCTTTAATTGTAAGGGATATTGGTTTAGTTTTCCTGTGATGTCCCTGTCTGTTTTTAGAATCAGCATAATATTGGCCTCCTTGTCTGAGTTGGGAAGTGTTCTTCATCTTCTACTTTTTGAAGAGTTTGTGGAGAATTGTATCAATTTATCTTGTATTAATTCATCAATTGTATTATTCATCTTTAAATATTCAGTCAGATTAACCAATTAAGCCATCTGGTCCTGGACTCTTCTTTGTAGGAAGTTTTTTGATCACTAATTCAATATCTTTACTTTACTTATTGCTAATTGTTTGCCCCCGTATAAAAGGCTGTTGTCACTGGGCAAGCTTTATGTCAGGTCAAATAAAGATAAGCATTCTAGTGGGATTTTCAGAGAACTAGCAGACAGGTCAAATAAGGATACTATTGCTCTACAACTGTTCTGTCTCCTGTGGCTACTAGGCTGTCAATGTGATTCCCTGTGATTATGGAGCTGTTGGTTTCAGTACTGCTGTGGAGGAGGGGAGAGGAAGATCTGAACAGGAAAGGCTGCAGTGTCCTGAATCCCACTGTTCTTAACAAGATTCAACTGCTTTTCTTAAGTAAACACTTCCTAGATTATTATAAGCTTTTGGCTGATTTCCAGAATTCTGGAAAAGTTGATTATGACAATTTTCCACAGTTGTCTGTTTTTTTTTAGAGGAGAGGATTAGAAGCTCTTAGTCTGTCATTCCTAGTGACTTCATCTTTGTCTCATATTTTAAAGCTGTTTTCTGTGTCAGATTTTTTTCTTCTTAATCTTTTTTTCCCTTTCCTCTCTTCCTCTGTTATTTTTTTCTTTCAATTTATGTTGTTATTTTGGCAGTGGCTCAGGGGCAAAAAGCCATTAGTAGTACTGAGGACCAAGAAAGTTGTTTTATTTTTTATTTTTTTGAGATGGAGTCTCACTCTGTTGCCCAGGCTGGAGTGCAGTGGCGTGATCTCGTCTCATTGCAACCTCTGCCTCCCATGTTCAAGCAATTCTCGTGCCTCAGCCTCCCCGGTAACTGGGACTACAGGCATGTGCCACCACGCCCTGCTAATGTGTGTATTTTTAGTAGAGATATGTTCACCATGTTGGCCAGGCTGGTCTCAAACTCCTGGTCTTAAGTGGTCGGTCTGCCTCCACCTCCCATAGTGCTGGGATTACAGGCGTGAGCCACCACACCTGGCCCAAGAAAGTTGTTTTAAATTAAGGAAGTCCAATAGTTACAAAAAAGCACTCTTAGATGACAAATTTTGTTTTAAATAAGAAAGCATAAGAGCATTATTTCCCCACCCTTTATATATTAAGTGTGATGCTGAGATTTGACTTTTCCCTCTTTGTATTAGCTTGAGAAGTGTTTTTCTAACAACATGGGAGATTATAAACAAGTCAGGCATTCTAGTGGGCTTCTAGACTGAAATGATCAATTTAAGTTGGCCATTTTATGGTCCTAGTGTGAGATCAAGACATTTTGGTGTAATTTTGTCAGCTTTCTACCTAAAAAATAGAAATATATTTTGATGTATTTACTTTTTATTATGGTTGCCCTTTCAACATTTAGAAAATAATCTTAAATCTCTTTTCTAGTGTACTAATTACTTCAAATTTTTTTTTTACTTAAATCTCTTTTCTAGTGTACTAATTACTTCAAATTTTTTTTTCTAGGTATAATGTATACAAAGAAAAAGTGATGCTTGTTTTCTTTCTTTTTTTAGAATCTCAAAATGTAGATTTTATTTGTAGTGTTCTTGTGGTGGCTGATCAACTTCTCATAACCCGGTTGAAAGAGATTTGTGAAGTAGCATTAACTGAAAAACGTGAGTAATTTTGAGTTTGAATATTAATATGTTTTCAGGTTCATCAAGGATTACTGTACTTTATTGACTTTATGATTCCACTTATGGTAAAATAGACCATTTTTTTGGTACCACGAAAACCTGCCAAAATATGTAAATTATTACATGCCATCATTTGTAAGTGAATTCTTATTTTAGAAATATGTGAAAATATATATGACTTAGAATTGAAATGTAATATTTGTATTGAAATGTCATAAAACCTTGAAGAATAAAGATGGTGTCAGATTTATTTGCTAATTTCAAGGGTGAGAGTTTAAAAGTGAAATTTTTGTACTCTTGCCCTGATCTTGGCTTTAGGTGTTTTTAGCTACCCATTTTCTACTATTTGCAGTGATTTTAAAAATTTAACTTTCCCATTATATATCTGAACAAAGCACATCTCTTTTTTTCTTGAACTCTTCTTTCTTGCTCTCTTCATTATCTTAGTTAATTTCATGGCTATCCTCCTGAACACTGTACTTTGAAATCCAAAATGAGTTTTTCTTTATTATTTTGGCCCTGACACTCAAATTCATTCAGTTGTCAAAACTTATTCCTTTTAACTATGTTGGTCACATTTCCCCTACCTTTGGGTTCTCACTGTTACTATGCAGTTGAGGTCACTGTTATCTGTTCCTTCTGGGTAGTGTCACAGTAGTGTTTTAAATGCTCTTTCTCCTGTCTACTTCTGTTTCTTTAAGCTTTCTGTAGGAAGTAGTTACATCTTCCCCCTGTTTACATATTTATAATTGCTTACTCTAGAATAAAGGTTAACTTTCCTTAGCTTCCACCTGACAGCCTTTTTGACTTTCTAATCTTATATCTGTTCTGCTTTACTGCTACTTCAAGAAGTGTGAAGGGAATTCCTGTCCATTTTTTCTAGTTCATACTTGCTAGGAGTTTGTCTTGGCTTTGGCATTTTAGTTCTCACTTTTCTTGAGCACTGTAGACTGTCTACTCCTTGGTTATTAAATAGAGAACAACAGCCCTGATCTCCTTTTAAGCA
Organism: Homo sapiens; assembly: GCF_000001405.40. NCBI lineage: Eukaryota > Metazoa > Chordata > Mammalia > Primates > Hominidae > Homo > Homo sapiens. The sequence continues at coordinate 82,203,829 of NC_000006.12, read as the reverse complement.
AGAAAAGAAAAATATTCTAAAATAAAGGACACAGCATACAACAGGTATAAGACATACATATAAGTGATATTTTACACTTGTACAGTTGCCTTTGCTGGTCTTCTTCCTCAGTGTTCTTTCATGGCTCTGGCTGCACAGTTGCCTTTATTAATTCCTTGATGTTCCTAGAACCTAGGAAAAGGAGGCTACCACCTCCTTTGGTCTCTGATTATTAGGAATATGTGGATACTTGTTCCCATGTGAACAACTCTAAAGAAGTTTTTATATGATCTAATTTTATCATTTCTTCAATTTCTCTGTTCATCATTAGTTGAAAATGTAGATTAGTCAGGAGTGAGACAGAGACCATTATTGACTGCAGTTGCAACTTTTGATAGAATCACAGGTGAGAAAGAAAAAGAAATGCAAGAAGCCAGATGTAGAAAACAACTGTGTTTCCCTATTGGCTGGTACTGATAGAGTAATTAAGAAAAATAGTGGAGGGAACAGGAAGCTGAAAGTTACCTGTTATGTAGGTAGAATATTCTGGGAGAGTCTCTAGGAAAATGGGTACTTTATATATAATGTTACTACAATTGTAACTAAATCCAGAATCTTTTGCACAGTATATCAGATTTTTCACTGGTGTGAAGAATATTATGATAAGATTGTGATGTACGTATTTTCAAAATATGTATATATTTATATACTTACATGTATATATATACACCCACATGAATTCTGATAGATAACTCAATATATTTTATAGAATTATTTCATCAGTTTTTCTTAGTTTTATATCTTTTTTAGTTTTATGGAAGAGGGAATAACTGCTATGTAAATGGAAAGGAAAGTTGTTCATTAATAAAAGCTTTTTAAAAATATTCAGAAAATGTTAGGTGGAAGATTGTCAGTTCTTATGTGTTTGCTTTTGGGTGGCACTATGCCCCTTCTGTATTCTGTTTTGCTTAGAATATGCTTGTGTGTGAGCTTATTTTTCCTCATAGCCAATCTTTTGAAATTACTTTGGCATATTGGGATGGAAGAGTTACATATTTGCCCCAGTATTAACTTATTTTTGGCAAGAAACTTTTTTTTCTTTATTCCAAATGTTCAAATCGTACAGCTTTAGACATAAATGTATTTTATTTTGCTGTGGTAATGTGCCTTTTATCTAATTTTGCAAATCTTTTCTTTCTTTGTAGTTACCCTGAAGAATGCTGCTATGCTACTGGAATTTGCAGCAATGTATAGTGCAAAACAGTTGAAACTGTCTTGTTTACAGTTTATAGGATTGAATATGGCAGCTTTACTTGAAGCAAGGTAGGTGAGGTGCATATGTTGTAAGATTGTTGCAAAAGGAGATATTTATATATAATAGCAGATATTATTAGTGATTTAAATGTGAATAATGATGTTTACCTGGATGGAAAGAATTTGATCAATGCTGATGATTTAGAAGTTATGTACATTTTAGAATTAGAGAGCTCTTGAAAACTTTTGAATGTTTTTAACAGTGATCTTTTTAAAATGAAATAAATGTATACTTTTTTAAAAATATAAGGTCAAAATATTTTACTTCCTATAAAGTCATTGGTGACAATATGAGAACACAGAAATTTGAGATTAGAGTTCCTGGTGTCAGTTTTTATTTTAAAGCTTCATTGTTTAGTTTATTTTTATATTTTACTTCAGTAGTAATGACTATTAACTATGTGCTAGACGGTGTTCTAAAAGCATTACATAGATTCATTTAGTTAATTTTTATGAAACTCTTATGAAGTAGAGAAGATTCTTTGTACATTTATTTATAATAGTTGCTTGAGGCCGGGTGTGGTGGCTTATGCTTGTAATCCCAGCACTTTGGGAGGCTGAGGCAGGTGGATCGCCTGAGGTCAGGAGTTCAAGACCGGCCTGGCCAAGATGGTGAAACCCTATCTCTAATAAAAATACAAAAATTAGCCGAGCGTGATTGTGTGTGCCTGGTAGTCTCAGCCACTTGGGAGGGTGTGAAGCAGGAGAATCACTTGAACCCAGGAGGCAGCAGTTGCAGTGAGCTGAGATTGCACCACTGCACTCCAGCCTGGGTGACAGAGTGAGACTCCATCTCAAAAAAAGAAAAAAAAAAAGAGTTGCTTGAGTTTTATTCAAGATATTTGTGTAATATGTTTGCTTTGCTGTTTATTTGAAATATGTAATATACAACCACATCTATTTCCAAAAGGAATTTGTAGCAACTGCTATATATAATGCTTAAAAAATAACTTTGTTACTTATCTAGCAATATGAAATATCTACGTATGTAAGCAACTTGACAGTTATCAAGTCACTTGAATCTTAAGATAGAATTTTGTATCCTATATTTTAGGTCTCTTGATGTTTTAAGCGATGGTGTTTTGAAGGATCTTTCTGAGTTTTACCGGAAAATGGTAAGGTTTATGTTTTAAGATTTTCGCGGCTATAATATTACCAGCTTAAGCAGTATATTAGATCAGACTTATTAATGGAATAGTTTCCTAATGACTTCTAGTACATTAGGATCTTTTAAAACTGATGATATAGGATTCCTTTACAGATCTCACAGATACATATGATAATCAGAATTCAAGATACTTAATAATAAAGTTAATATTTATTAATTTCTTTATAAATGAAAGTTACTGAAAGCCTCAGAGTAAGTCTTTTGTTATTTACCAGAGGTCAGGACCGTGCAAAAACATGAATTCATATGATCCCTAAGAAATGAATAAATCTATCTTTAATAATAAAGTGGAGCTTTTTCTCAAGTTTCCTTTTTGGCAGGTTTATGGAATAAAGTTTTTATTGAATTGAATCAAAATTTAACCCCCTCTTGTAAATTTAGGAAGTTATTGAGTATTCAAGGCTGTTCTAGTTAATGTCACCACATATTAAAAATGGAATATCTTACATAATTTAAAAAACATCTTTAGGCTGGGTGTGGTGGCTTATGCCTGTAATCCTAGCATTTTGGGAGGCCAAGATGGGAGGTTTGCTTGGGGCCAGGTGTTCCAAACAGCCTGGCCAACATGGCAAGAGCCACGTGTGCACAAAAAAAAAAAAAAAAAAAAAAAAAAAACTTCACAGATTTTGTATTTGAAAAGTGATATCTTCAATTCTGCAGATTCCAGCAATGGATAGAAGAGTCATTACACCATATCAAGATGGACCAGATATTAGCTATTTGGAAGTAGAAGATGGAGATATCTTCTTGAAAGAAGAAATAAATATGGAACAAAATCATTCGTAAGCTGTTTTCTTTTTTTTTTTTCTTTTCCTCCTTTTCTTCCTTCTTTTCTCCAGTGTGTCCCTTCACTCTCATCTTGGACATATGACACTTTTGTGTTGGTATTGGAAGATGAAATTGAGAAATTCTGACATAAGAAATAGGTAGTTACGCTCATTCTTAACCTTGGTATAATACAAAGTAAATACATAATTAATATCTGTAGGTCTAACACATTGAAAGTGTAAATATTTTAAAAAGTAGCCTTCAGGTTAAACATGTTGGGTTAAATAAGTGCATTTATCTTAGTTACCTCCCTAAACACTGCTGAAATTATGTTTGCTTTTTCCTAGGGAAACTATGTTCAAGAAAGCAAAAACAAAAGCTAAAAAGAAGCCACGTAAACGTTCAGATAGTTCTGGAGGTTATAACCTTTCAGATATTATTCAGAGTCCATCATCTACAGGTTCGTGGAAAGTGAGCATGTATTTCCAGTTCTAATCTTCTATGTCTCTATTCACATATGTCATCTGCTGGGGCTACTGAAATAAACAGTCCTTATGGAGGTACCAAAAGTGATAGTTTATTGTAAGTACTCCAGTTGAAGTTTGCTCTGGGAGCACAAAAGAGGTACTCAAACTAATCTGAGATCAGGGAAGTCCTCTTAGAGGAAAGCAATGCTGAGCTGAGTCTTGAAGAATGAAGTTATCTAAGAAAAGGAGGCAGATAGGTATATTAAGCAAAGGGGGCAATGTGTTCCCAAGCTTAGTAGCAAGAGAAAGAGTTGCACATTTCTTGTGCATATAGTTCAGTATAGGAGATAGGTTGGATAGGGTCAGATTTTGGAGGCTCTTATATGCCAAACTAAGGAATTTGTGTTTTATTCTAAAGGCTATGGGTGGCTGTTGATGATTTAAAACAGGATGTGACTGGATGAGATTTGTTTTTAGAAAGACTACTCTTTCCAGTGGCATAGGGGTTTAGAGGTTGGCAAAACATGACAGAGATAACTATTATCATGTTGATTCAATTTAAATATGTCAGTACTCCAAGTAAGATGCCATTCATATGCATAAGGGGGTTGTAATCTGGTAGTAGAATATAAAATGTATTTAGGCATTATGTGAGCCTGTTTGAAAGTAAAGGTCAGGTTATGTAGTTTTTCTAAAATATTTTTCCCCAGTTTTTTCTTTTGAGAATATTTAACTTACTGAAAAGATGAAAGAAAAATACCATGAACACCTATGTACATTTTATTCAGATTTATTGTTAACTTCTCATCACATTTGCATTTTCTTGCAGACTCTTTGTTGCTTACTGTCTCCTCTTTCCTCCATGTGTTACACACACACACAAACACACACACACACAATACAGAGACTTAAAAAAAAATTGTTCCACTTGGAATAAGTTGTAGACATGATACTTTTCCCCCGAATACTTGAATATGAATCTTTTAAGATGGGAATACTCTTCTACACAACCACAATACCATTATCATACCTGAGACAATTGACATTAATTAGTGTTAATTAGTATTATACTTCATATCCACATTTTCCTAATTGTTGACAAATGTTTTTATAGTCTTTTTTTTTTAACATTAACAAAAAAACTAGTATTCTATCAAGGTTCATATTATCTTTGCTTATTAGTATCTCTTTAGTCTCTTCTAACTAGTATAAAACTGCTGTACTTTTTTGTTTTTTGTTTTCTCTTTTCCAAAAGGTCAGTCCAATTGTGTTATAGACTGTCTCACATTCTAGATTCATCTGATCTAGATTAAACTATATACGTTTTAGTAGTTTCTTTAGATAAAACATGAATTGTGACTATAAAATAATGAGACTACAGTATGGCTTTCAGAAATGGTAGGTTACTCTTGTCTATAGCACTAAGGCATAACCTAGTACAGTTTCTGCTAACAGTACTTCATAGTCAATCAGCTGTATACAAACAACTTTGAAAAATAGAAGAGTACATTGTTTTGTGTCCCTTTGGAAAAAAAAGCTTGTTAGGCAGGGCAAAGAAGAAGGATTTTTTTTTTATGTTTACTGAGATGCTTCAAATTAGGTGCTTGATATGTTCACTAAAGCTCAAAGGAATAATGTCAAGAATAGTTTTAGATAACATAAAGATAAAAAAAGGATAGATAATATGCCTAAAATTTATTTATGAAGCAATGAAAATAGGAATCAGGAGACCTAGTAAATGGGAAAGCTATTATCTTAGGACTTTTCTAAATTTAAAATTCTGTGACTCTGTGTTCTCTGTGTTGTATGAATTACCGTTAGTGTTTAGAAGGAGGCAGGGGTGGATTGATGGAAGGATGAATAATGGATAGACAGTCTTGAAAGTAATGACTTTCCAGTCACCTAAATGACTTATGGAAAAGCAGATATTTGGTTTGTTTTAAATAATGTTATTGTTACCATATGTGTTAGAATCTTAGAATTTCAGAGCTAGAAGAGACATTAGTAATGAAATAATTTATGTCCCTTACTTTAAACCTAAGGAAAGAAGCTCAAAAAACATAAGTGATTTGAAGTAGTGACCAAAAGAAATAAAATTTGTTCTCTTGATTCCAGGTCCGTATTTTCCTGGTGTACTGTTCTTTCTGTGGCCAGGATATCTGTAGTCAAAGATAACTAAAAGGTCAGATTTAATTGGAGGCCAAAAAGACCTGTTAAGGAAGAAAATTTGAGTATGAGGCCAATTTCATCAAAGACAGTTGCGTAAAAGCTTAACATCTGTGTCGATCTTAAAGTTAGACAAACGGCATTCAGCAAAACTGTTTTTGACCAGAAGTAATTGTTGGCCACATTAATTGTCCTCTTTTTTTCTGGATTTATTTCTAACTGACTTTTGAGAGTGTTCTAATATTAGATGTATTCTCTTCGATGAAAATTTGCCAGCCTTAAAAATATTCAAAAAGAGGCAAGACGCAGTGGCTCCTGCCTGTAATCCCAGCACTTTGGGAGGCCAAGGCGGGCGGACCACAAAATCAGGAGCTCCAGACCAGCCTGGCCAATATGGTGAAACGCTGTCTCTAGTAAAAATACAAAAAAAATTAGCCGGGCATGGTGGTGCATGCCTGTAATCCTAGCTACTTGGAAGGCTGAGGCAGGAGAAACACTTGAACCTGGAGGTGGAGGTTGCAGTGAGCTGAGATCATGCCACCGCACTCCAGCCTGGGCAATAGAGTAAGACTCTGTCTCAAAAAAAAAAAAAAATTCAAAAAGATTGTGTGGCAAAAAAAATGTTTAAATGTTCTTTCCAAATTGTAGTGATAACAATAAAAGAAACATTTAGCTTGTTAAGGTGATTTACTTTAAAGAGAACAATGTATAAGAGATGGTAGGTTTTATTTTTAAATCAATTATACAGCTTTTAGTTACAAGTTAGATAACATCTTTATTTTATAGCTTATTTTGGTACTTCATTTAGATTCTAATAAATTTGAAATGTGTGGAAATGGACATGTGAATCTAAGCAAAAGTTTGAACCTGGATACCAGGTGTGGCATGAGGCCAGGCATTTAGCTTGCCTAAGAGAAGAAATGATATATACATTTCACAACAACCCTCTTGCTTCAAGCGAGCTCTCAATAGCCAGAGATTTCAGGGAAAAACACACTTCAAACAGGCCACAGTTGTCTTCTGCGGGAGCCTCTGCTATGGGGTCAGTCAGCTGGCTAAGTGAGAGGCAAAAAGGCCACAGGGTTCCTCCCACATAGAATGAAGCTACCCCCTTGCTTGGGTGCGGAGACCACTGTACCAAGAGACAGATGAGAAAGGGAAAAGAGGTCTGGATTTTAATTATTTTCCCTTTCTCCTTTGTCTCTTATGCGGACAAAAATATTTTAAATCACTTTTTAGAGCAGATCCCAAAGAACTATCTTCCTCAGGTTCATTACACAATTGGTGTGTGATTGTAATGAATAAAATTATTGTTTTAGAATCTCTTCCATTTCAGTTTTTCACTTAAACTGATTTCTTTCTCCAGTTAACTTGAATTATTAAGATTTTTATACCATAAATATAATTTGAATGTTATTAAATCTGGATAAATGAAAGCTTTTTTAGCTCTCTGGTTCATGGAATGTAATGCATATATGTTTAATGCATATGTGTTTAATTTTTTTTAATTTCATGTTTTAGGATTATTAAAGTCTGGTAAGACCAATTCTGTGGAATCTCTTCCAGAACTGTTGACATCAGACTCTGAAGGAAGCTATGCAGGAGTGGGTAGTCCTAGAGATTTACAGTCCCCTGATTTCACAACAGGATTTCATTCAGATAAGATTGAGGTTTGTTTTTTGAAGCACTACCTCCTTACCTTCAGATTTTAGATTTATAGATGGTTTATCTTTAATATTTCCTTATTTTTGCCCTAATTTTAAAACAGTTTCCAGGTTGGTATATAAGAATCACAAATATAGTGTTAGTTTTCTTAAATTTGCACAACATTTCTATTTTTAGAGATTGTAATGGCAGTTTTGAGCCCTTTATGATGTTATTTCTAGTCTTTGTGCAACTAAAATATAATGTTGATGTAAAATATAATAACACTATAGACATGTTGAAAAAATATATTTGTAGCTAAATTATTGAAATTTATCTTGTGAAATGTCAGTTAACATCAGTTAAAAATTGTCAAGGCAAATGATTTCGAAAATAAGCCTACTTTGAAAGTTCGCAGTCTCTTTCCTCCAGGGTATTAACTGGAGCAAAACAATTTGGAAATGATTTGAGTTCTTCTCCTAATCTAGCACATTAAGCTGCAGGATTCCTAGCCTAATCAGCTCTGGGGAGGGCATTTCTTAGACACTCCTTAACATTTGATTCCATAGCTGTTAACCTATTAGAGAAAAATGTGTAACTGAATAGAGATAGAGTCACTTTTCTGTAACTCCTACACATCCACAAAACGTATCGGAACTTCTAGGAATTCATAAGACAACAGAAGTTTACCCTTTCTTCTTAGAGTCTTTTAGGCCTCAAGGATTGATTTGATTTTTTTTTTTGAGACAGGGTCTCTCACTCTGGTTGCCTAGGCTGGAGTGCAGTGGTATAGTATCAGCTCACTGCAGCTTTGATTTCCCGGGCTTAGGTGATTCTCCCACCTAAGCCGGCAGAGTAACTGGGATTATAAGCACGCACCATCACGTCCAGCTAATTTTTTTATATTTTTAGTAGAGATGGGGTTTTGCCGTGTTGCTCAGGCTGGTCTCGAACTCCTGGACTCAAGCAATCCACCCACTTCAGCCTCCTAGAGTCCTGGCATTACAGATGTGAGCAACCACACCCCGCCAGGATTGATTTTTTTTAAAATATAGGATAGAAGTTTGGGGGCAATTTATATTCACACTAAGGTTGGTCTGTAAGACAATTGAGGTTTAAAGGAAGGCTCAGGGTATATTGTGAGTGATTTACAATAACAGAAGAATCTATCCTGGAAATAGACATATCATTTTAATAACTTCCTTGACATATTACAATAGCAGTAGTTTTAGGGTTCCTTTCAAGGTGTCAGTATTATTTGACTTTAATTTTATTCACAGTACTTTACATCAGAGTGAATTATATGACATTTATACAAAACTTTCATTTTGTTTCATATTCAAGCCATGGATATTAATTTTAAAATTACTGCTTCATGTCTTATTTGTACAACTTTTATATATTACATGTTAACTATTTGTGTAGAGATTTAATATGCAAACTAGTTTCCCTAAAAATTATTTTCAAAGCTCATAATAATTCAGTTATAGTCAATAATGTGATTTGAGAGTTGGCTAAGGCACAAAACTGTAGAAGAACATGATTTGAAAATACTAGATGGCTTATTGTCATAAGATTTTATTCTTCATTATAATGTAACTAATATTTATTAAGTACCAGCTATGTGTTAGTTACTGTTCTAGGTGCCTGTTAACTTTTTTTATTTTTTTTCTCTCCCCAGGCGAAAGTCAAACCGTATGTTAATGGTACATCTCCTGTGTATTCTAGGGAAGATTTAAAACCATGGGAAAAGTCACCAATACTTAAAATATCTGCTCCACAGCCTATTCCCAGTAACAGAATTGATACTACCAGCTCTGCCAGTTGGGTTGCTGGTTCTTTCAGGTAGGATTTTTATTTTATTCTATAACTGTTAGTTTGAGAAATGTCATTCATTTTTAATGCAATTTAATTTTTTAATGATGAACATTTAAGAAATATTAATATAAATTTCTAATGCACAGAAAATTGCCTAAATACCTACAAATTGCTAACCAGCTATAATAGGCTTCCCCCCCAACCAACCCCAGGCAAAATTTAGTTGCCTTTGTATTATCATCAGTGAATAGTAGCAAATACTATGTTTTACGTATATAGAGAGAAACTTAGTATCAGTAGTTATTTCTTAGATAATATGTATTGGTTAAAAATGCTGCACAGGAAGACAATTTTGTCAATCATAGACTTTATCTCTTAGAGCATGTGAAGGGGTATTTAAAATTTCACAAAATGTGTAACTATTCAGTTAATTTTCAGAGGATATTAATTTAATGTTATACTATCCTTTTAACTTGCCTATATTATATATATATTTTTTCATTTATTTAGAAAAGTCAAATGAAGGCTGGGCATGGTGGCTCATGCCTGTAATCCTAGCACTTTGGGAGGCTGAGGTGGGTGGATTACCTGAGCTCAGGAGTTCGACACTAGCCTGGGCAACATGGTGAAACCCCATCTCTACTAAAATACAAAAAATTAGCCAGGCGTGGTGGTACGCACTTGTAATCCGAGCTACTTGGGAGGCTGAGGTGGGAGAATCGTTTGAACCCGGGAGGCGGAGGTTACAGTGAGCCCAGATCGCGCCACTGCACTCCAGCCTGGGCAACAGAGCAAGACTCCATCTCAAAAAAAAGAAAAAGAAAAGTTAAATGAGTAGCAGATGTAATTAGAATGTAGTATTCTTTCAAAATGTTAATTAAGCTTGTGCTTCATGTTTATATGCCTACAATGGTTGATAAAGTCTAAAACTGTTAATTGACATATTATCATCTGGACTGTTTAATTCTTTTGAAATAGGCTATATTTTGCAGAGTTGGAACAAAGATTATGATGTTCCATTTTATGTGCTTCATGGTTTAAACTTTAGTTCAGAAATTAGTTTCAATTTTTTTTTTTGCATAAGTACACAAATTGGTAAATATTTAATATGTGGGAACATCTGGAAACATCTTCTGATTGCTAATGTTAGGATATTTTGTTAAACATGTTTTAAAAATACCCTGGTCTACAAGATAGATTAGGCTATTTCAGTACTATGCTCATTGACAAAATGCATAGCAATAGGCAATAAACATTCTCAATATTGACATATACACAAACATTTCTACATTCATTTTGTAGTATTGCCTAGTGTAAATAATAAGTAGAATTTGTTTTTGATGAAAGAAAAAAAGTACAGGAAACAGGTTCCCTTTAATATGAAGTAATATGACTTTTTTTTTTTTTTTTGAGACAGTCTTGCTCTGTTGCCCAGGCTGGAGTGCGGTGGCACGATCTCGGCTCACCGCAACCTCTGCCTCCTGGGTTCAAACGATTCTCCTGCCTCAACCTCCCGAGTAGCTGGGACTACAGGCGCGTGCCACCATGCTCAGCCAATTTTTGTATTTTTAGTAGAGATGAGGGTTCACCATGTTGGCCAGACTGGTCTTGAATTCCTGATCTTGTGATCCGCCCACCTCGGCCTCCCAAAGTGCTGGGATTTCAGGTGTGAGCCACTGTGCCTGACTGACTTATTTTTATCTGTAGTGTAGATTTCATTTAGGTCGAAAATCATCTATTTCTTTTTTTTTTTTTTTTGAGACAGAGTTTCGCCCTCATTGCCCAGGCTGTAGTGCAGTGGTATGATCTCAGCTCACTGCAACCTCTGCCTCCCAGGTTCAAGCGGTTCTCCTGCCTCAGCCTCCCTAGTAGCTGGGATTACAGGCGCCTGCCACCACCCCTGACTAATGTTTATATTTTTAGTAGTGACGGGATTCCACCACATAGGCCAGGCTGGTCTCGAACTCCTGACCTCAGGTGATCCACCCGCCTCGGCCTCCCAAAGTACTGGGATTACAGGCTTGAGCCACCACACCTGGCCAGAAATCATCTATTTCTAATGATTGTAGAATTTTGTCATTATGGTATAACTTCCTCTGGTGGGTCTCCAATATTATTTAGTATCCCCAAGTTTTTCTATTAAATGTTTGTTTTTGTTAATATTAAACAGTAGAATGAGTTTTGTTTGTTAAAAATAGAAAGGAAAGAATGTAATTTTCAAGCTTCATTTAACCTAAAGGTAAGAATTTAATTAGAACTTTGGTGAGTTTTTCTGCCTAATTTAGTTAAGAATCTTTCTATTGCTTCACTTTTTTTAAAAAATGTTTTTTTAAATATAGGAATTTCAGTTATATCACAACATTATGACTTTGGATACATATTAGTTGTTATTTGTATATGTGCTATATCACTTAACATTTTGGATATATATTAGTTAATATTTATATATGTGTATATAAAAGTAGCTTTTATTCAAAATATCCTTTATGAAACTGGCTCACAGCTGATAAATCTAAATTATACTCTGATTATTAATCTCACATATCACTTATCATTTCAGTGAAGTTGGGGGTTGGGCTTTATAGGTAAATGAATGCTTTGCAAAGTAACCTTTTATGTCTTTTAGTCCTGTCAGCCCTCCTGTTGTGGATCTCAGAACTATCATGGAAATAGAAGAAAGTAGACAAAAATGTGGAGCTACACCAAAGTCACATTTAGGGTGGGTTGAAAACATTACAAAAGATCATTTCATGTTGTATTTCTGCCCTAAGAATTGGACAGACTTACTGCATCTTTCTTATTATTTTTCTGCATTTGATGTTATAGTTAATTATACATCCTTTTCTGGGCAATTTAGCCTCCATAATATTATTTCTTAAATATGTGCTAAAGATAGAGTTGAGTTGATAATCCAGCTCTTGTAGAATACAGTATTACATCCCAGAAACTTGACTCTAAAATGATCATTGTGGACTATTGGCTACAAAAGCCAAAGAGTTAAGGCTTGTGATGCAAGTTCTTTTTGAAATTTGTGATATGTTGGAGGGCTCATATGTAGCTATTACTTGATCATTGTTAGTATAAACTGATATTTTCATTGTTGAAACTTGTGAGCATTTTGATCCAATAATGGTAAAATAACATGAAATAAATAGAAAACATTATTATTACCAGTAACCTTTATTAAGCAGAAATTAATGTTAATTGATATAATTTCTAGCAAAATGATTTCTCATGGAATTAAACTTTGTCAGAAGAAACCACTGAAACTAATTGGTTTAATTTCTAGCAAAACAGTTTCTCATGGAGTTAAACTTTCTCAGAAGCAACGAAAAATGATTGCATTGACTACCAAGGAAAACAATTCAGGAATGAATAGCATGGAAACAGTTTTATTCACTCCTTCAAAAGCCCCCAAACCAGTGAATGCATGGTATGCTCTTATTTTTATTAAAATTAATATAGATTTGTGCATTTGCTTTTAAGGTAGTACTTGACTTTGGAGTTCCTTCCCACTTCCAGTGTTTCTAAAGTCTTTTCAAGTATTTTATCTCCCCTTCTGTTTTCAAGTTAAAAATTGGAACTTGGGAAACAAACACTTTTTTTGTTGTTGTTTATTTTCTTTTAATTTGGGGTGTTTTGACATACAAGTCATGATGACACACATCATCATACACATCAAAATGTGGATATATTTTTCATATATAGATATAATTTCTTCTTGATATTCTAATTAGATTTTCTTGCTAAAGTGATTTAAAATTTATTTTTATTTTTTATAAGAAATTAAATACATCAGACACATATAAAAAGAAAACTTTATTTATACTACGCTAATTTCTTTGTCCTTCTGCATGCTCCATAAATATCTTTACATGGTTATAATCATAGCTTGTTATTTTTCACTTTTTAAAACACTGCTCCTTACTTAATGTTGTGTTTACATTTTCTCCATTGGAATTTACACATAGTGGCAGCATTGGAATAACCTCCAAAGAGGTCAGATATAATTTTGAGATATGTAAAATAGGTTGTACTCCAGCTTCCGTTCCATCCTTCCTTTTCTTGTAACTTAAAATATCTGGAAACCAATACTGGAGAACTACATGGAGAATGTGAAGCCTTACGAAGAAATCAGTAGAACTCTCTTTCTCTCACAAGGACTGGGGAGGATCTTGGCAGCTACCCATGGTTTAGGGGAATCCTTTCAATGTTTCTAAGGCCACATTATTCTGTTTGTAAGAAGGAATATTTTTCTCAATTAAAATGTTAATTATTTTGAAGAAAGTGGCAAATAATTTTATTCTAAATGTTACCAATGGAACTAAATCAGTGCTTGTTAGGGCTATTAGTAGGTCCAAAGCATGGTTACTGAAAAAGAAAGTAAAATAAGAGGTAAGAACACCCAAGGAAAAGAGAAAAGAGGGTAAAACTGGAGAGGATGAGCTTAGCAGAATTTTAAAATTTATCAGTATTTGTTAAGCACCTTCTAAATGTAAGGGACTGTGCTAGTTTCTGATGATAAGGCAATGAACAAGACAGATTTGACTGTTACCCTTGTAGGGTTTATGATATGACTGCTGCAATACTGAGTTGTGCTTTCTTTAAACAAAGGTATGGAAAATCCAAAAAGGGGGAAAAGTTATTGGAACCACTGTCAAGTACTAAATTGCAGTTTGAGAGAATTAACTAAGCTCATGATGAAGCTTTGGACTTGGTAATATAGCTGTAAGCATGCCATCAATCATTTTCCTTAAGCAAAAAGTGAACGAGTGAAAGTTGTTTCACTTATTTTTTTGGAGGCATATTCCTTAGAGTCCTGTGCTCTTTTGTGATCTGAACCGGGTCTTTTCCAGGCATGCTGAATATCTGTCATCTTGAGATTTTCTTTAACTGTTGTCTTGCAGGTCTTCCCTTCTCTCCAGTGTTTGATCCCCAGTTTTCTTGATCCTGTGGTTTTCTATTTCTTGATACACTCCTTGTTTTGATGTAGCACAACTCCAGTAGGTTTCTGATAAAGGATGTATAAGACATATATTTTTGGAGCTCGTATATTCATGAAAATGTTTTTATTCTAGCCTTCATTCTTCTTGACTGATAGATGGGAACGGGATTCTAAATTGGAAATCATTTGGAGAATTTATTCAATGCCATTTAATTCCTAAATCTTCTTATGTTACCTCCTGTTTTCTTCTCCACTTTTTTTTTCCCTGAAAGTTTACAGGATCTTTTCTTTATCTCTAATGTTCTGAAATTTTACAGTAATGTATCATAATGTAGGTCTTTTTTGATACATCCTGGGTACTTGGGCTCTTTTAATTGGCAACAGCATGTCTTTAAGTTCTAGGGAAATCTTATGTAATATTAATATTACTTTGATACTTTTCCTCCTCACTGTTTTCTCTACAAATCACATTAGTCAGATATTGGTCCCCCTAGGCTTCTCTAAATTTCTTACTTTTTCTTCTTTTTTTTTGAGATGGAGTCTCACCCTGTTGTTCAGGTTTGAGTGCAGTGGTGCGATCTTGGTTCACTGCAACCTCCGCCTCCTAGGTTCAAGCGATTCTTCTGTCTCAGCCTCCTGAATAGCTAGGATTACAGATGCCTACCACCACACCCGGCTAATTTTTGTATTTTTAGTAGAAACATGGTTTCACCATGTTGGCAAGGCTGGTCTCGAACTCCTGACCTCAAGTGATCTGCCTGCCTCAGCCTCCCAAAGTACTGGAATTACAGGTGTGAGCCACTACACTTTTTCTTTTCTATTGTCCACATATATGCCTTTTAATTCTACTTTCTGGAACATTTGCCTGACTTTTTCCAATCATTAAAATCTTTATCAAGAGCTTTTTTTGGTTTGTTTGTTGATGATACCTTTTTCTATAGTATTGTTTTAATATTCTAATGTTGAAGATCTCTGTACTCTGTAGGCATTTTCACTCTTTAGTATATACCCAACAGAAACACACACGTATGTACCACGCAACAAGTATAAGAATGTTCATAATTTATTATCTGTAATAGCCCAAACTGAAAACAATCTAGATGTCTATCAGCAGTCAGTGGATAAATTAATTTATTTTTATAGTAGAATACTACAGAGTAATGAAAAAGAATAAATCATGACTAAATACAACAGTGTGGATGAATCTTACCAATATGATATTGAACAAAATAAACCAATCAACCAAAAAAAAGAAAGCTAAAAATAGCCATTGATTTACATCCATGTTTTATTCATTCTACTCTATATGTGTTTTATTTTATTTCATTTTGTCAATTTATTGATTGATTGTTTTCTCTTAAGTTCTGACTGGAAGCTCTGTGTGCCTATGTTGTACAAATAGACTGATAGGTGTGACTATAGGGTAACGTATCAGATTCCTTAGGGACCCCTGAATCTCCCCATATGTTGGTTATCTCCATATCTTTTCTCCTTGGTCTCTTTAGTCTGTCAGTTTTTCTAAAGAGCAGCCTTTTAATTTTTTTTTGCTGTTAAGGTGTACATTTTGTTGCTAGCATTCTGGAAGCGTATCTCAGTGTAGGGAGGTTAGAGCTGGGACTGAACTTGTCACCATTTGTAATAGGTTTTCACATTTAGTGTATAGACTTTGTACACAACAGTTCACTCCCGCCATCCTCTATTACTAGTGACTTTGAATCAAATTTTCCTTCTGCCAGAGTAAAGGAGATGTAGTAATATGACCATATGGAGATAGGGAGTACATCTGGCACTTTCAGCCCCTCCTTAAATAAACTGAAACAATTTTCATGCTCATGTCGACTTCAGGATTTGATACATACTCTGTCTCCAGTATATGCCCCTTTCCAGAGTTCTCAGCTTCCCTCTTTACTGTCACCCACCTGATGACTGCTAGTATTTCTTTTTGTCCACTCGGCGACATCAGTTTTTATCATTCCATCTCTTTTGCTATCCTTCAAAAATGTGTTGCTGTTTTTAGACTGCCATTGTCTTAATAGCTTATTATTTTTGCCCTTGTGGGTTTATACCTTTCTGATTACTTTGCTGTACACTTTAGGATTTCAGAGGAAGGTATTCAAGTGGTCATTTATCTGAAACTTCTGACTAATTTTCAAACATAGGAAAAATTTTTCCTTGGTAATAGCAACATGAGCTTAGAGTGCCACATTGAAGGGACTATCTATCCAAATTTTAAGAGTCTATTATGGCATATTAAGGAGAATTCTAGAAAGATGGGAAGAAAGATGCCATAAATTTTGACCAAAAACATAGGTTATTTTTCTTTGAAAAGAATTTGATAATTATCTGGCTGGGCATGATGGCTCATGCCTGTAATTCAAGCACTTTGGGAGGCCAAGGCAGGCAGATCACCTGAGGTCAGGAGTTTGAGACCAGCCTGGCCAACATGGAAAAACCCCGTCTCTACTAAAAATACAAAAATTAGCTGAGCATGGTGTTGCATGCCTGTAATCCCAGCTACTTGGGAGGCTGAGGCAGGAGAATCACTTGAACCTGGGAGGCAGAGGTTGCAGTGAGTTGAGATCATGCCACCACACTCCAGCCTGGGCAACAGAGCAAAAATCCTTCTCAAAAAAAAAAAAAAAAAAAAGAATTTGATAATTATCAAATACAAGTGATATTTGTTATACATTTATTTTATGAAAACATGATTGGAAAACTTAAGTACAAACATGAGTAATGAGTTTTATGTATCTTAGTACACTAAGAAAATTTATCTAACTGACCAATTATAGATAATTTAGATAATTATAGATGTTATGGGTAATCTGAATTTTTGAGAATTATAGATATTCTGAATTATTATCATCAAGGTGAGAGGTATCTGAATTGTCTACAATTAGTAATTTATGCTCTTTTTAAGACTATACAGGCATACTTTGGAGATACTGCAGGTTCGGTTCCAGACTACCTTAGTAAAGCAAACATCGCAATAAAGCAAGTCACAAGAAATTTTTGGTTTCCTGGTGCCTGTAAAAGTAATGTTTATACTATACGTAGTTTGCTAAGTGTGCAATAGCATAATATCTACAAAAAAAAACCTTAATGTAAAACTATTTTATTGCTAAAAAATGCTAATGGTCATCTGAACCTTCAGTGAATCATCTTTTTATGGTGGAGTATCTTGCCTTGATGTTGATGACTGCTGACTGATCAGGGTGGTGCTTTCGTCACTAAGCTTAATTATTTCTAGCTTTTGATTTAAAGTGAGAGACATGTGACTTTTTCTTTCACTTGAACACTTAGAGGCCACTGTAGGGTTATTAGTTGGTCTAATTTCAATATTGTTGTTTCTTAGGAAATAGGGAGGCCTAAGGAGGAGAGGGAGAGAGATGGGAGAACTGCCAATTGGTGTAACAGTCAGAAAACAAACATTTATCAATTAAGCTTGCCAACTTGTATGGATGTGGTTCATGGTGCTCCAAAACAATTATAATAGTAACATCAAAGATCAAGATCACCGTAACAGATATAATAATAATGAAAAAGTTTGAAATACCAGGAGAAATACCAAAATATGACACAGAGACACAAAGTGAGCATGTATTGTTAGAAAAATGGCACGATATACTTGCTCCATGCAAGGTTGCCACAAACCTTCAACCTGTTTAAAAACACAGTAACTATGAAGCACAGCAAAGCAAAGCACTTCAGTATAAATTGAAATTACTGTTATTAAATTGTTGAATAATTTTCTTTCTTGAATTCTTAGAAGGCTGCAAAGTATTTTAACCTGAACTCTGGATAAAACATTAATTATTGAGTGAATATAATATGATATAATTTTTCATGTGATTATAAAATTATGAGATAGCCACATAATTCAGTATATCACTTGATTTTTAATCAGATACACATAGAATGTAAATACTTGTAATATATGCTTGAAGTAAAAATGGAATAGATTGTTTTCCTGAGAACATATCTCGTATGCATTGGTTTTAAAGAAAAAATTGGAACTTTTTTTTTGTTTTTGAGACAGAGTGCAGTGGTGCAATCTTGGCTCACTGCATCCTTGACCTCCTGGACTGAAGCAATCCTTCCACCTCAGCCTCCTGAGTAGCTGGGATCACAGGTGTGCATCAGCATGCTCAGCTAATTTTTTATTTGTTGTAGAGATGGGTCTGTATATCCCCAGCTGGTCTTGAACTCCTAGGCTCAGCAGTCCTCTTGTCTCCACCTCCGAAAGTGTTGGGATTACAGGCATGAGCCACTGTTCCTGGCTGAAGTTAACATTTTAATCAGATTTACAGATTGTTATTTATAGAATGTATTCATGA
Source organism: Homo sapiens (assembly GCF_000001405.40). NCBI lineage: Eukaryota > Metazoa > Chordata > Mammalia > Primates > Hominidae > Homo > Homo sapiens. The sequence goes on along the minus strand of NC_000006.12, from coordinate 82,185,223 downwards.
CTGTGATGATTTATCTGTTTTTTTTTTTTTTTTTTTTTTCTGAGACAGAGTTTTGCTCTGTCGCCCAGGCTGCAGTGCCGTGGCGCAATCTTGGCTCATTGCAGCCTCTGCCTCCTGGGTTCAAGCACTTCTCCTGCCTCAGCCTCCCGAGTATCTGGGATTACAGATGCACACCACTATGCCTGGCTAATTTTTGTATTTTTAGTAGAGATGGGGTTTCATCATGTTGGCCAGGCTGGTTTCGAACTCCTGACCTCGTCATGATCCATCCACCTTGGCCTCCCAAAGTGCTGGGATTACAGGTGTGAGCCACCACGCCCAGCCGATGTAACTGGTTTTTAAAATCCTTCTTAAAGGTACATCATTACCTGAAGTATCATCTAATAAGATTTTACTTCTTCAAAAGATTTTTAAAAATATGTTTACATTAATATTAAGGTTAATGTGCAATTCATTAGCAAAACACAAATTAGCACTCTAAATATACTTGAGGTTGTGGTAGGATTTTCACTAGTTTGTTCACACATTCATTCACCTAGTCTGTAGAATTCCCAGTGTTTATAGTTGTACTCCTGCTGCTGACAGTTAGGTGTGGCAATGGAAAGTATTAGGGATAACTGGGTTTTTGCATTAGATTGAAGTTCCAACCAGGCAAATTTTAAATTTAATGTGAAAACACTAAGTATGTATGGGATTTGGCTACTTCTCAAAATTAAATGTTTCACTTGGAGAAATAATAGAACCTTTCTCATCAGTCATCTTCAGTGGAAGAATACTTTTTCTTTGTGGCCTGGCTTGATGTTTGAATGTAAATTCTTTCAAATTCCATTTAGAGCTAACCCATACAATATAAAACAATTTCAATTATTTAATATTTTAAAGCTAAAATATTATTTAGAGTAAAATTACAGGGCTTCTTTTGCTGAGGAGCAAAATTCTGGTTAATTTTTATGCAGGTACAAATGTCTAAAATTCTTCTCCATAAATTTTCTGTGGCTGTTAAGGTAGAAAATAGCTGGAGCTTGTGAGTTAGGAAAATAAAATTGTGGGAAATCAGGTACTGTTTCCAATTATGGCATAGTCAGTGGAAAGAACAGTAAAACATAATTGAAGAAATCTGTTTGTCAATCCTTATGCCAGTATCACACAATCTTAGTTCATTTTGTGCTGCTGTAACAGAGTCCCACAGACTGGGTAATTTATAATGAACAGATATTTATTGGCTCACAGTTCTAGAGGCTGGGATGTCCAATATCAAGGTGCTGGCATCTGGCAGGAGCCTTGTTCCTGCTTCATAGCATAGTGGAAGGCATATGCCAGCAGGGTGAGAGACAGCAAAAAGGGTTAACCATTCTCAGTGATAATGGCATTAGTCAGTTTGTGAGGCACCCTCATAACTTAAACACCTCTTAAAGGTCTCATCTCACAATACAATCACAGTGACATTTACATTTCAACATGAGTTTTGGAGGAAATACATTCAGACCTAGCTTATACTATCCTGATTACCATAATTGGTTTTGTCTTCTTCCAACTTTCTATTTTTTTTAAAAGAATGCTTTGGCTAATCTGGGATATTTTATTCTCATGTAAATTTTAGAATCAGTTTGTCAATTTTTGCAGTTAAAAAACCTAGTGAGATTAATTCAATTTTTAAAATAGATATAGTCTATATAGACTTTCTGTTATTTTCAGTAATTTAGTTTTTTAAAAAAGATATTTGTCTATTCCATGTAAATTGTCAAATTTATTTGTGTTAAGTTGTTTATAACATTTCTATCTTTTTTTTTTCTCTGTTTTGTTTTTCATTTTTTGAGTCAGAGTCCTGCTCTGTCACCCAGCCTGGAATGCAGCGGCCCTGTCTCGGCTCACTGCAACCTCTGACTCACAGGTTCAAGCAATTCTCATGCCTCAGCCTCCTGAGTAGCTGGGATTACAGGTGTGTGCCACCATGCCCAGCTAATTTTTGTATTTTTAGTAGAGACGGAGTTTCATCATGTTGGCCAGGCTGGTCTCAAACTCCTGGGCTCAAGCGATCCACCTGCCTTGGCCTTCCAAAGTGTTGGGATTACAGGCATGAGCCACTGTACCTGGCTCTATAAGATTTCTTTATTACCCTTTTAATTTCTGTAATATCTTGTATTAGTTATTTATTGCTTCATAACAGATTATACTTGAACAACAGCTTAAAACAACCAACATTTATTATCATAATTCCTTTGGGTCAGGAATCTCAGCTGAATGCCTCTGACTCAGGATCTTCCACAGTGCTGCAGTCAAGGTTTGGCCAGGGCTATAGTCATTTCAAGGCATGACTTGAAGAGGACCTACTTTCAAGATTACTCAGATATAGAATTCTGGATTGACATTCTCTACCTCTTTCATCATATTAAAGATTCCTTTCCATCGTCTTTTGGGCTTCATTGTTTCAAATAACAAGCTACTCATTTTCATTCTGTGTTGTGTTTCTATGGCTGCTGTCAAGATTTTCTGTTTAGCTTTGGTTTTCAGCTGTTTATTTATTATGTGCCTAAATATGGTTTTCTTTGTTTTATCTTTTTTGGGGTTTGCCAAAATTCTGGAGTCTTTAAATTTATATCTTCCACCAAATTTGGGAAAATTTTGGCCATTGTTTCTTTTTCTCTGCCGTATCTCTCTTCTTTATTTCTGGGACTTCAGTTAACACATATGGCAGACCTTTTGATTTTATCTTATAACTCACTATGGAATAATTTTCTTCAACTTCTCTTTTTTGTTTTTCAGATTCAAAAATTTCTTTTGGTTTATCTTCAAGTTTACCGACTCTTCCATCTATACAGTGAATTTTTAAAAATATATTAAAAATTCTTGAATTTTCATTTTGCTCTTTTTTTAATAGTTTCTTTTCTTTTGCCGAACTTACCTATTTTTAATGAGCTTTTGTTGTTGTTATCTGATGCATAATTGTAATAGCTATTTTAATATTGCTAATTTTAACATCTGAGTTATCTCTAGACTTGGTCTTCATTGATTGGTTTTTCTTATGGAATAGTTTTGGATATTTCACAATTGGCAGCAAGAATCCAACATCACATTGAAAACTGCAATTGTATATTGTAAAATTTTTGGTATACGTTCTTATTGTTCTCTTATAACTTCCAGCAATGCCCTTTTACAAAATGGATGTTTTAACATGATCTTTGCTTTCTTTTGCAGGGCATCTTCTCTGCATTCAGTTTCATCCAAGTCATTCCGGGATTTCTTACTAGAAGAAAAAAAGTCTGTTACTAGCCATAGTTCAGGCGATCATGTCAAAAAAGTTTCTTTTAAAGGAATTGAAAATTCTCAGGCACCAAAAATTGTCAGGTAATAAAACAAACTTAAAACTAATACATTTTCTACCTTAAAATATTCTGTGGTGGTTTTATGTTCTGAAATAATCCTTAAAACTTTATGAGGCAGATTTTTTGTACACTCTTTTACATTCAGAATTAAAATTAGCATGTTTAAATTCCTTCCCCACTTAAAAAAAATTGAAACGGTTACGGAGATATAATTGACTTAAAATCAATTGCGTATATTTAAAGTATACATTCTGTAGTTTCAGCGTATATATACACCTATGACACCAACACAACATTCAAAATAGTGAACATAAGCATCATTTTCAGATGTTTTGTCATGTCCCTTTGTAATCCCTTCCTCTCTTCCTTCTGTTTCCCCCTCCCAAGCAGCTACTAATCTACCAATAAAGATTAGCTTGTACATTTTAGAGTTTTATATCAGCAGGGTCGTGCAGTATGTACCCATTGTAAAATCTGTCTTCTTTTACTCAGCATAATTATTTTGAGATTTATTCATGCTGTTATGGGTATCCATTGATTCTGTTTCACTACTGAATAGTATTTCATTGTATGGGTATACCACATCAATGTGTTTATCTGTGCATCTGTTGATGGACCTTTAGGTATTTGCAATTTTTTCTCTAGCTATTTTTTAATTTTAATTTTCATGAAAGTAGAGATGGGGGTCTCATTATGTTGCCCAGGCTGGTCTCAAACCCCTGGCCTCAAGCAGTTCTTCTACCTCAGCCTCCCAAAGTTCTAGGATTACAGGCATGAGCCGCCACACCTGGCCTAGCTATTTTTGATACTGCTTTAGAAAGTCCAATGTATTTAAAAAAAAGTTTCATATTTTAAATGCCTACATGAAACATCAAAATCTATCTATAATTTAAAAGCAGTATTTTCAGTGAGCTGTGATCAAACCACTGCACTCCAGCATGGGTGACAGAGTGAGACCTGGTCTCAGACAAAACAAAACAAAATAAGTAAGATATGTTATGTCCAATTCAAGTGCATCAAACAGATAATATAAACTTTTCTGACTGAAGCAAGGAACAGAGACTGGGAGCTATACTAGTTTAATGTCACTTTACCTGTCCTGAGGAACTATCAAAGTCTTCTGACAACAATGTTTGGAAACTCCTGATTTAGATTAAATGTTTAGGCATATTTTTATTGTTACTATTGTGACTGTCTTCTTTTTTACAGATACTTAGATTTAGGCGGAAAGTTCTTGAGCCGTTTTCTTGCAATACAGAAAATCAAAGAGCAAAAAATATCTGAAGTCATCTCCCTAACTTGTCTAATACTTCTAGCATTAAAATACTATTTTAAAATTAAAATCTTAGGCTGAGTTCAGTGGCTTAATGCCTGTAATCCTAGCACTTTGGGAGGCCGAGGTGGGCAGATCACTTGAGTCCAGGGGTTCAAGACCAGCCTGGCAACATGATGAAACCCTGTCTCTACAAAAAATAGCAAGAAAAATAAATTAGCTCGGCTTGGTGGCATGTGCACGTAGTCCCAGCTATTCAGGAGGCTGGGTGGGAGGATTGCTTGAGCCTGGGAGGTAAAGGCTGCAGTTAGCCATGATTGTGCCACTGCACTCCAGCCTGAGTGACAGAGGGAGACCCCGTCTCAAAAAACAAAACAAAACAAAATAAAAAAACCTTAAATGGAATACTAACATATGAAGCAGATTAAGCCTTTTTGCATATTTATAAATTACAATTATAATTATGATAGGCTTATAAATATAAAACTAGGTACATAGTCTTAAAATTGTCTATCAAACATTTATTGATTATGAGCTTTGTGTCAAACATTATGCTAAGTACTAGAGTTGCAGTGGTGAACAAATTAGCCCCTGCCTATGGTGAACAAATTAGCCCCTGCCTATATAGAACTATCCTCCTTTCTTGTTTTGTCATAGAAGAGTTATCTCTCCTATCTTAGGCCAATACCTGTGCTTTTATCTTAATGCTTCCCATTTCAGAAGCCTGAAAACTATTAATTACCCCTTTCCTTTCTTGTGTAAGATTCAACATTTTCCTTTTAACTAGATTCTTCCCCTCTGGTTTTGAATGTGCTCAGGTCTCTCATGTGGTCTGGGCACACTTTCTTCTATCAGTTGTCCTATCATTACCAATTCTCCATCCACTTCACAGCCAGATTTCTCAAAAGAGTTGTCACCTCCCAATCAGTCCGTAATTGATTCTATCTCCCAGCCCCATTACTAAACTGAAACAGTACCAGTACAGGCTAAGTTCAACAGTGACCTTTGTATTGCCAACACCATCCACTTTTTATGTGACTCATCATACTTGAAGTTCAATTACTGGTCGTCGTCTTATTTCACTTTATATTCTTTCTACACTATCCATTTAATGAGCATATGTTCAGTCGTCAGACATGTACTAAAGTCTCAAAATTTATATCTCTTGCCCATATCTATCATCTGAACTTTAGACTTAATTATCTCTTATTGACCCTACCATTCTATCTGGATGTTCAGAAAGACCACAAACTTCATGTCCAAAACTAAACTTAATGTTTTCCTCATACCCATCTCATAAAACCAAAATCAAACAAAAATATAGACAAAACATAGAACAGCCTGTTTTTTCGGAATCTTCTTCCTCAGTAAATAGGAAGAATTTGTGTCTTTGGCACTTCCATTTTCTTCACAAATATTCAGTCTACTGTTAGAGCATTCCACTTTTATCTCTTAAATATTTCTCAAATCCATATACTAAATTTTATCTCCAGTGCTATCACCTCTGAGTCAGTCTGGTGTGATACTTCACCTGGGCCACCAGAGTTACCCTCCTGACTGGTCTTGCCTTTCTTTACTCCAAATATATTAAGCCAGTATGTTCTTTTTTAAAATTTGGAGTTTACTGCTTTTAAGAGAAAAGCTATAGCATTCTTAACATGGCCTTCAAGGCCTACATAGTCTGGCTCCTGCCAACTGTCTTTAACTTGATTTTGTAACCTGATCTCTGTATTCTAGTCATCTTGGCCTTCTCTTAGTTCTCAAATGCACTTTCCTTCTTTCCACCTCCTTACTCTTTGACAGACTGACGACTCTGACTCTTCTTTCAATATCTATTCAGTTATATTCTTTGGAGAAGTCTGACTTACTGGGGCAGTTTGCTGTTGTTTGTTCTCATAGTACTTCTTTTTTATTGTACGTTCCATATTTATTAGTGTGATTCTTTAATATTTGTCTACTCTAAGTATTTTCATGTTTGTATGTTTAATTATATGTTCAATGAGAGCAAGGAGGATGTTTGTCTTTGCTCATCATTTTACTACCAGTGTTCATATTAGCTTCTGGCATGTATTGGGTGCTCAGTGAGTCTGGTGAATGAATGAGTAAATTAATTGAAATTGTAACCCTGTTTCAAGTAACATTTGTTTCTAATGTAGTGAGTTATATTGCATGTCTTAGATATATCAATTTAAAGGTATGAAAATTAAGATAAGTTTTGTATTTTTATATTTTAAATATTAATATTCATTGAAACTTAAAAAAAAGTCTTTAGATATATAACGATTTGTCATGGAACTTAAAATATGGATCTGTGGTTTCATAGTTGATCACTAGAGTGTGCTATAACATCAGGGCTCTTAATTATAAGTGTGCCCTGTTATACTGCTTTGGAAGTTTGACTCAATGGAGTTTATGACAGTATGATATATCCATAGCTTCAGTATTTTTGGTATGGGAGTTAATGTTTTAAATAGCTTTGGCTATCACTGCTAGTGATTCTGAGAAAGAAGACAGATAGCTTTGAGTTTCAGGGTTTTTTTCCATCATAGAAAACATAATAAGTATGCTTTTTTAAAAAGGAAATATTAAACATTACAGACAAACTAAAATATTCATTAATTTGCAAATTATGGGCTACCTGGTACTGGCCTGTGTTGGGTATATATAAAAGTAGAATGTATAGGTGCAGCCTTTAATGTGTCTGAAATCTAGTTGATAAATATTAATATACATACATGGAAGTTAAATGACAGAATAAGAATGAAATTACGATACAAGGGCCAGGCGCTGTGGCTCATGCCTGTAATCCCAGCACTTTGTGGGGCTGATGTGGGCGGATCACATGAGGCCAGGAGTTTGAGACAAGCCTGGCCAACATGGGGAAACCTTGTCTCTACTAAAAATACAAAAATTAGGCCGGGCGTGGTGGCTCATGCCTGTAATCTCAGCACTTTGGGAGGCCGAGGCAGGCAAATCACCTGAGGTCGGGACTTCAAGACCAGCCTGACCAACATGGAGAAACCCTATCTCTACTAAAAATATAAAATTAGCCGGGCCAGGGGTGGCACATGCCTGTAATCCCAGCTACTTGGGAGGCTAAGGAAGGAAAATTGCTTGAACCCAGGAGGCGGAGGTTGTGGTGAGCCGAGATTGTGCCATTGCACTCCAGCCTGGGCAACAAGAGTGAAACTCCATCTCAAAAAATAAATAAATAAATAAAAAGAGAAATAAATAAGTAAATAAATAAATAAGCTAGCCAGGCATAGTGGTGCATGTCTGTAATTTAGCTACTAGGGAGGCTGAGGCAGGAGAATTGCTTGAACCCAGGAGGTGGAAGTTGCAGTGAGCCAGGATCACGTCACCGCACTCCAGCCTGAGCGACAGAGTGAGACTCTGTCTCCAAAAACAACAACAACAACAACAACAACAAAACAAAAAGAAATTACGATACAATATGGAAGTATTAAAGAGATTACAATATGATGAAGTACCAAATGAGTGGTTCTGAGAAGAAAAACTGAGCATGGGCTGGTGTTGTCAGGAAGACTTCATTGCAGAAGAAGGGCTTGAGCTGGGTCAGTTCATAAGCACTTTTTATATTCATTTCCAAATATTTTATTATTATATTTATAAGCATGTGAAAAACATTAGAAAAAAAGAGATCACTTAATTCTTGATTCCTTTCATTGTCATAAGCTTTTGAATACAGGATGGGATTTTTAAAAGAAGAAATAAGAGAAGATGGGGCAGTATAAACAGAGGAAATCGTGGGAGTTAAGAAGATAGGAATGCTTATGGTCCTTTGGGGAGTTAGGGTGCCAGGGGTGGGGGACTCATCTCAGGAAATTCCACAAATTATACATTCTTGTTTTAGTTCTAGAAAATGTGATTTTTTTCCAAGGTTAGGGCAAGAATGACAATGTTGTTTGAGGGTGTTAACATCTAAAAGTGAGCAATTTGTACAATTTTTATTTGTTTATTGTTACTTAGGTATTCTTTTTTATTTCATGTGCTTTTATTTCTCATTTTCCTTTCACTGAAATGTCCCCTTATGTAATTCTGGAAAGAAAATGTAAGCTTGTGTTTCTTTTTTTTTTTTTTTTTTTGAGACGGACTCTCGCTCTTGTCACCCAGGATGGAGTGCAATGGCGTGATCTCCGCTCACTGCAACCTCTGCCTCCCAGGTTCAAGTGATTCTCTAGCCTCAGCCTCCCCAGTAGCTGGGACTACAGGCGCCTGCCACCATGCCTGGCTGATTTTTATATTTTTAATACAGACAGGGTTTTGCCATGTTGGCCAGGCTAGTCTCGAACTCCTGACCTCAGGTGATCTGCCCACAGCCTCCCAAAGTGCTGGGATTCCAGGTGTGAGCCACTGTGCCCAGCTGAGCTTGTGTTTCTAATTAGTGAAAAAAACTACTTGTGAGAAAAAAATTATTCTGTGATTATATCAGCTCCAATCTGATATAAAAATCTTTCTAATTAAGCCAGTACAATTTTTTTAAGGCCAACTGAGCAAAGAATAATTTAGTTCCTTTAAAGTGTAAATGTGACAATATTAATGTTTTTTGGTTTGAACAAAAATCTTTTTTTTTTTTTGAGATGGAGTTTCGTTCTTGTTGCCCAGGCTGGAGTGCAATGGCTTGATCTCAGCTCACCGCAACCTCTGCCTCCTGGGTTCAAGCGATTCTCCTGCCTCCGCCACCCTAGTAGCTGGGATTACAGGTATGCGCCACCAAGCCTGGCTAATTTTGTATTTTTAGTAGAGATGGGATTTCTCCATGTTGGTCAGGGTGGTCTCGAACTCCTGACCTCAGGTGATCCGCCTGCCTCGGCCTCCCAAAGTGCTGGGATTACAGGCGTGAGCCACTGCACCTGGCCAGAACAAAAATCTTTTAAGGAAAATTTCAGTTAACCTTTTTATGTTGCTGTTTATTTTCAGAAGGCTAAATTTTCTACAGATTGTCTCTTGCGATATCTACTTCTATGTTGCTAATGTTGAAAACTCAATAATGCTATATTTATTATTTGAAAGTTTAGAATGTTTTTGATATTTGTTTAATCATAGCTCTATTTTATTTGACAAATTTGGTTCATTTTAAGAAGAAATTTTGACAGACTCCACATTGGATAAATTTGTAATTAATGAAATTATCCGTTGAAACATCATGAGTGGAAAAAGTTATGGAATTGTAGTCTTAGGAAACATATTTGAGATTCAGTATAACATTATACAGCTCTTTCTGAGTCTTTCTGTACCTCAGTTTCATAATATGGAAATGAGAGTAGTAATACCTATCATGCAGGCTTACTACAAGGCTTATATCAGTTTGTAATTCAGTACTTATATCTCTAAGAAAAGTTATCAGTAATTTAAAGCAATAAAGAACCTAAAAACCTCTGCTTTTCATTATCGTATACTAAAAAAATACCCTTTGAGTTTCTGTTTCAGTCGTTAATTTTCTAATTAATTTTTCATAAACGACTATTTCCAAGTATTCTGGTGGACACTGAGATACAAAGATGAATGAAACACAGTCCTGTTCCCCAAGAGACTAGTCTAGCAGTTAAGATTGACATGTAAACAATAATAACAGTGTGTGATGCTTTATCATAATGATTGAAGTTTTGTAGGAGGAGAGAGAAGGTGACATTTGAGCCAACTGTAAAAGAGTGAGAAGACATTTGAAGTGGAATATATTCCAGAATAAGGGGAATAGTAAAAATAAAGGTAGCTGTGTGATCATGGAAAAAACACTGTACTCTAAATCAAAAAGACCAGATTTTTGTTATCTCTCTGCTACTTATCTAACTTGTTAATCAGACAAATTATATAATATTCTTTGAGTTTGTTTTTTAATCTCTATAATAGTTAATATATGCTTTCTTCACAGGGTATTGCAAAGATTAAATGGGATAATACACATGAAGTACTTAGGCTTTTAGTAAATTTGTTTGCCCACACATTAGGGCTAAACATTTTAGCTTTCAGTGCATTTTGTACTCTGGCTCTATTGTTTCTTTTAAACTTTATTTCTCTTTAAGTTTCTTCCTTACCCTGAATTCAGGCATTCTTTGCTTATTGAAGAGAACAGCCTGCCTTTACTTAAATAACTGAAATCTTTTTTAGGTCCATGTATTTGTACAACCAAAATTCTTTCTAATTGTACGTCTCCTCAGCTTTAATGTCATTTCCTCAGTGAAGCCATCAGTATATACAATCTTCCATATTGTATTTTTTCTTCTGTGCATCCATAGTACTTTATACATTGTTTTATCATTGCTTAAGTATATTTTTAAATCTTCCCCATCAGAATTTTTTGAGGGGAGAAGATTGGGTTTTAATCAGCCTGATTTTTAGCACCTACAGTAATCCTGACATGCTCAATAAATGTGTATAAATGAATCACGAAGTCAATATTTTAGGTCCTGTTAATTTACTCTCTGTTTGACTTTGTGTTGTTAAACCTGTCTAGTCCTCAGTTTTCTCATTGCTGAAAGAGAGCATTGGAGCAATCTAGATAATCTCTAGGGACCTTTCTAGCTGTAAAATTCCATAATTAGGTCCATCTGTATTGTACCTTTTTAAGTTTTTCTCCTTACTGGAATGCTTCTTACTGCTTTCATCATATACCTCTTTTTTATTATCTTCTCAAGTTCATTCCATCCATGAGGCCCTCTCAAATGATTAAATATTGTGATTTTTATAGTTGTTATAGCCAGTGTGACTCAATTTGTTATACTGTCTTAAATTCTGTTCTGTTATTTTATATGTCATTTTGTATGTTGTTTCCTCAACTAGCTTGTGAATTCTTAGAAGGTAAAGATCATATTTTATATTTCTGTCCTATCTGTAATCCTTTGCTCATAAAGTATATTAGTTCCTTACAAAATTCGGCTGTTAATTATCTGATTTAGAGATTATTGGTTTATCTGGTGTGTGTATATATATATTTATTATTAGAAATAGGCTATTTCTTGCAGTATCTTTCTCTATGATATTTTATACAGAAGGTTTTATAAATATAGATTATTTTGTTTACTTATAATTTTAAAGGTAAGCTTGACTGCACTCATTTAATTTGCCTCTGGAGTCAGGAGTTTACAATTCTTCCTCTGTATCTATTAATAAGCAGTTTGACTAATATTACTAGAAGCTTTAATCTTTAATTTTGGCATTTGTTTTGCAGATGCTCTACCCATGGTACCCCAGGACCAGAAGGCAACCATATTTCAGATTTACCACTTCTAGACAGTCCCAAGTAAGGTTAATTGATAAGTTATGGGCCTCCAAAGCTAAGTTGCTGCTTAGCATTGAAAACATTAAGGCTGAGTGCAGTGGCTCATGCCTATAATCCCAGCACTCTGGGAGACTGAGGCGGGTGGATCATCTGAGGTCAGGAGTTCAAGACCAGCCTAGCCAACATGGCAAAACCCTGTCTTTACTAAAAATACAAAACTTAGCTGGGCATGGTGGCGCATGCCTGTGATGCCAGCTACTCATGAAGCTAGGACAGGAGAATCGTTTGAACCTGGGAGGCAGAGATTGCATTGAGCCGCGATCATGCCACTGTACTCCAGCCGGGGCGACACAGTGAGACTCTGTCTCAAAAAAAAAAAAAAAAAAAGAGAATAAGAGAATGTTAAGAAATTGGGAATAGTATGGTATTGAGTAGAATGTATTACTTGTATCCTCTCCGTACTGTAGTTTGAGTTACCTTTCTGTTCAGTTATGTTGTTTCTGCTCCCTCCCCATTTCCTGGTACTTTCCAAAATTTTCTCTCTAATACTGGTCCAAATAAAACATTAGTTCTTCTGTTTTTCTGTTTCTCACCTCATCATTCTGTAATCTCTGCGAAAGCTTCCAGGTTCGCTCATCGTAGGTCACTGGAAAAAATTGTAGCATTGCTAAAGAGTATTTCAGAGAAAATTTTGCATGCAAAAATTTAGGAAGATGAGTGAAACTCATCATTCTGTAATCTCTGTGAAAGCTTCCAGGTTCGTTCATTGTAGGTCACTGGAAAGAATTGTAGCATTGCTAAAAAGTATTTCAGAGAAAATTTTGCATGCAAAAATTTAGGAAGATGAATGAAACTCATTATTATTATTCTTTCAGTCCCTGGCTATCTTCTTCAGTGACTGCTCCATCCATGGTAGCCCCAGTCACTTTTGCATCTATTGTAGAAGAAGAACTACAACAAGAAGCAGCTCTTATTAGAAGTCGAGAAAAACCGTTGGCTCTGATTCAGGTAAATAACATACTTAGTAGGGTTTAATTTAGAGAAGAACTACATTTCCTACTTAGGTTTTAAGAAAATCGTGTTTGTTTGTTTTGGACAGGTGCTTGTATCTATGAAATTAAAATGTAAATGCCAGGTAAAATTAAACTGAGGCATCTAGCAGTGTATGTATTAGTTGTAGATATTCAGGGCAATTAATTTATGACTAATAAATTATGATAAAGCTTATATTTTTGCTTTGGTGATACTTTGGATTATTTTAGTTTTTTTAAAATGACCAGTAGAGAATTTGGCAGTATTCTCTAGTGCTGCACTTGGCTTCTGTATCAGTAAGAATTCTAAGATTGTAAGCAACAGAAGCCCACTCTGGCTAACTTAAGGAAAAGATAATTTATTTGAGGGATATTAAGATTCCATAGACTTAGCTGAAAGACCAGACAGCCAGGCTTGGAAACAGAAAAGACGCATAGTAGCACTGGAAAGCTCAGAAGCAAGATTTAGAAGACTTGTACAACAACAGAAAGTATCTCACAGAATAAAGCTATTGGAATGAATGAATTTTAGCAACCATTTTCAGTTTCTTTTTCCTTCTGCTCAAGATTCAAATTGAAGAGCGCATGGGTATCTCATGATTCTACCTCACACCTCAAGCTTTCTCCTTGCCACAGAGATAGCAGGATACCTGATTTAAAATGCAGGATACCTGATTTAATTTCACTGTATTGTATCCATGGAAAGTGATAGTTCCTCAAAAGGAAATTGGAAGGCAAATACATCCTGCTTAGTTTATAATTAAAAGAGTAAAGAGTCTTCTTTCCCTTCCTCCTTTCAGATTGAGGAGCATGCCATACAAGATTTATTGGTTTTCTATGAGGCATTTGGCAACCCTGAAGAGTTTGTCATTGTTGAAAGGACACCGCAGGGACCACTGGCAGTACCTATGTGGAATAAGCATGGATGCTAGTTCACTGTGGAGTTGAGATGCATTTTACATAATTATGAGTTTGTTCATATAAAGAAAAGCTGTGGAAAAGAGTCTTAGAGATTTTGTAATATCATTCTAAATAGATTAAGAAAAGATATAATTTCTTTACTGCAGTTAAATCATATAATGTTTGTATGATTAAAAATAAATTTCTCAGAATTGTGATTTTAGTAACTTTATATAAAATGTGTGAGACAAAAACTTATTAAGGTTAAATAGAATTGTTTCTTCTGAATAATCTAACAAAGGAAAATATAAGTGATTGAATCATAAGATATAAGGGGGGTAAAGTATTAAAAATAACTTTTTTGTTTGATAACTTGAGAATTTAGAAGATTTTGCCAAGTATGTGTTGTTGCTTGACTTCTTAAATATGGCATTGATGAATTTAAAGTAGGAGCATCAGTTATTACTTCTGATTCATTAATGGCCAGAATTTTGTGTTTGGTGTAATAGTTGTGTCACCATTCTTGTTGCTTTTTAAAAATCAGGCTAATCATGTGGTCCATGTCTCTTCAAAGCTTGACCTGCACAAATGCCATATTTCTATTTGGACCACATATTCTCCATTTTGCATTGAGCAGTAGAGTACAGTGGAAAGGGAATAAGAATACTGATTATTCTGAACAGTTTAGTCCCAAGAGAATAGCGTTTTAAAAAAGAAAAACAAGATTTGGAGTCATTGTGGGTTATTTTTGGTGGGATGGAGGATCTTAAAAATGCCTAATTGTGAGAGAATCAATTGCTGAAAGTGTTAAAATTTCTGAAAATAAATGCTTAATTACATATACAGGAATTAAATAGTTTGGAAGAGGGTTGGATTATCATTACCTTTACAATACTGTATAATCAGAAGTTCTCTGAACCTCAATTGTATATCTAGACATAAAAATTGTTTTCTGTATAGGATGTTGTTTGGTTTGTTTCTGAGTGTTTAAATTTTGCAAAAACAAATGTTAAATTTGTGCTTCAGTACCTAGATAAATTGGAAAGGTTAATGTTCTAGTTTCTGGAAGGTAAGCCTGGGAGACACATAAGCAATTCACTGCTATAATTTAGTTGATGTAAAATGACGGAAACTGACTCAATATGTCAGGTTTAACTCTGCCCAAAAGCAGCAGACATGTAAGCAGATGTGCAATAAAAAATGATCTTGATCCATTTCACTAATGTGTGCTTGACATTTTTTACTATATTGACATTTATTATGGAAAGAGTTAATAATTATTTTTTCTGATGTGCTACACTAGTGGCCAGTATATGGTTAAGTTGATGCTGTATTTATTCTAAGACGGATTTAAAAAGGCAGTTTTCTAAATATGAACTTGTGAATTTTTGTATGTGTGTTTGAGTAAATTGAGAAATGAATTTTATAAATGTTCTATTGATGTTGCAGTAAAGAAGCCTTTTGAAGTAATTGATTTCATTTGAAGCTTTGATTCTTCTGTATATGTTGACATCTTTAATATTTACAGATGCTGTAAAGTGATGATTTTCTTGCTGTCCTCCGTGCTGCCTGGGAAGCACTCTTGGGGGTCTTTGTTGGATGGGGTGTGAAAGAGGGGCAAGAGCTGAACCGCATCTGTGAGGCTTTAGGCAGTTACAAACTACAACCAGAGCAGTTGCACTTTATGGTCTGTTTTATGTAGTGAGGTATTATATATAATTTTATTGGGAAAAAAGGAGTTCTTTTGCTAGTAAAGTTAAAGAGAAACACTGTCATAAACTGTATTTCTTCATAAATAATTCCATGAAGATAGCTATCTGACACATTGCTGTCAAAAAGCCCAGGAAAGTGATAAGGGTTTTCTTTCTCCCCTAACAAAATAACATTATTCTGCTACAGTATTCATCTCTAATTCCATAACCTCAAAAAGACCTGATAGAATTGAATAAATACTGGAAATGACAAATTTAAAATATCAGTGGGATAGAGAGATCTTTAAGATTTATGAAAACAATTACAGAACTCTTTTTTTTTTTTTTTAATTGAGGCACAATCTCACTCCATCACTCAGACTGGAGTGCAGTGGCAGGATCTTGGCTGACTGCAACCTTTGCCTCCTGGCAGAACTCTTCAGCCTGAAAAAGCGATGGTTGGGTAGGACATTGGGATAAGGGTATGTCAGAGGCAGAATATGCTTAAAACTTGCAAAATCAAGAAGACTGCTAATCAGGTAAAGTCAAATTTGTTGACAAAATATTGGGATTCAGGACTCTTCTTCAAGTCCTAAAGAGATGGTTTTTAAAATAAATTTAAGAAAACCTAGCTTTATATAGGAGCAATATCCAGTCATTTGAGAAAGCATTGCTAGTTATGTCTGGGTTGATTCCCTTTAACTGTTTTGGAGGCCAGGGTGTATATATTTGTTCATGATAAGGTGTAAATAGCTCTTTCATAAAATTTTAGATCTGAAGCCTTATTGATTAATTTTAATGTATATTCTCTTCATTTTATAAATTGAAGAAAGCTGGCCGGGCGTGGTGCTCATGCTATAATTCCAGTACTCTGGGAGGGCGATGCTGGTGGATCACTTGAGGCCAGGAGTTCAAGACCAGGCTGACCAACATGGTGAAACCCCGTCTTTACTAAAAATACAAAAATTAGCCAAATGTGGTAGTGGGCGCCTGTAATCCCAGCTACTTAGGAGGCTGAGGTAGGAGGATCACCTGAGTCAGGGAGGCGGAGGTTGCAGTGAACCAACATCATGCCACTGTGCTCCAGCCTGGGTGACAGAGTGAGACCCCATCTCAAAAAAAAATTGTACATATAGTGGTGGAGCCAAACTTGACCTGATGTTTCTCCCAAATATGGTTCAAGCTTTGCTCATGCTGATCTCTACCTAAATTTTTCTTTTTCTTCAGATAAAATTCTACCTATCCATAATTAAGGCAATCAAAATTCTCTTTCCTTTATAGTTTTTCTGGTTTCCCTCCATACACCCTCAAACATAAAGTAACATAAAAACAGTAGCATACATGGATCAGCTATGTTCTCATTTCCTTGTAACCCTATACCTTTCAGGGTACTTGTCATATTCTGCCATTACTTTTGTTTTTCTATTAATCTAGTCTTTTACTAAATTACTTGTACTTTGAGAACATAGACTAGGCATTCTTTTCTTTCTTGTATATGTGTATGTTTAAATCTTTTAAAATCTTGAACCATAACATAAAGAGGTAAGTGCACAAGACAAAAATATTTAGCTAAGTAATTTACCAGTAAGTCAAGAAGTGGACCATGACAGCACTTCAGAAAGAGGTCCTGGATTTGATTTGCTAACATTTCAATGAAGACTTTTGCATCTGTATTCATGAGAGATATCGGTCTGTGGTTTTCTTTTTCTTTTCCTTTTTTTTTCCTATCTTTTACTCTGGTATCACTGTAATAGCAGCCTTATAGAGTGAATTGGGAAGGATTCACTTTTATGGAAGTGTTCATAAATGATTGGTATTATTTCTTATTTAAATATTTGATAGAATTAACTAGTGGAATCATCCAGGTGTGGGATTTTCTTTGTGGGAAGATTTTAAATTATTATTATTTTTTCTATTTCTTTACATATTACAGGCCTGTTGAGATTTTCTATATGTTCTTTATTCAGTTTCAATAATTTGTTCTTTCTAGGAATTTATCTGGTTCATCTTAGTTGTCTAGTTTGTTCATAGTAGTGCCTTACAGTCCTTTTAATTTCATAAGGTTTGGTGGTCAAGTTCCTCCCTACTTTTGTAATTTTGGTAATCTTTATTTTCTCTCTCTCTCTTTTTTTTCTTTAACCATATCAGTCAACATTGAAGTTGTCAAAGAAGTTATTGAAGTCAAAGAACCAGCTTGGGGTTCATTGATTTTTCTCTGCTCTCTTTTCTTTTTCTTTGGTTCTGTTCTCTTTATTATTATTTTCTGCTTCCTTTAGCTTTAATTTGCTGTTCTTTTCTATACATTCAGGCTTAGAGAGTTCTCTTTTTCTCAAATACAGGCATGTAGACCTATAGATTTCCCTCTAAGCACTGCTTTAGCTGCATCTCATAAATTTGTATATGTCATGTTTTTATTTTCATTCAGTTCAAAATATTTTTAAATTTCATCTTGATTTCTTCTTTGAACTATGGATTACTTAAAAGTATATTGTTTAATTTTCAAGTATTTGGGAATTCTTACCAAATATGTGTTTGTTATTGATTGCTAATTTAATTTTGTTAAATTTGGAGAACTTATTTTGTATTGTTTCAGTCCTTTTAAGTTTGTTGAAATATCTTTTATAGTCTAGTATATGTGCTGTCTTGGAGAATGTTCCATGTGTACAGGAGAAGAATATGACTAAATTGACATCAATCTTATGAAATAGTAGCTTGTAGGACTTTGTATGATTGTATGTTTCCTGTGTTGAGGACATAAATGTGTCTACCTAAATAAAGGATAAGAATCTGAGGAACAAAAGAGATGGACCATATGGTAAGGGATATTGCTTATTTGCAGATCCATCCTTTGTTCTCTACTATATCTTGTGAAATTAATCTCTAGGACTTTACCAACCAGCTTATTTTCCCTCTGACATCCAGTTATCACCCTCCAAGTGATTCTGATGTGTACTAAAGTAGGTATTTTGAGCCGTAAGAGAAAGATATGCACAGGCTTGATAACCATTTGGAGCACCAGCAGAATATTGGCGTGTTGGCAGGAGAAAGAGAATGAAGCTTTTTTTTCTGCCCTCTCTCATGATGTTGTTATGAGCCACAATCGGGAAGGTCACAGCTCCTGTCGGGCAGCTCTCTCCGTATGACAATCTCTCCAGCTTCTGGGGATGTTGCTTTCCCACACCCTCAGGCCTAAGAATGGCAAAGGATCTTGCATTGTATCTAGCCCAACTAACTGCAGTATCCATTGTGGTTTTCCTACATCCTACCCAGACTTTTATAAATAATTTAATAATAATTCTCCCAAGTTGAAAGTGCTGTCTGTTTCCTGCTTGGACTCTGAAAGATGATCTAAGTAATGGAGAGAAGTAATAGAATGTAGAGATTTTGTTTGTTTTTTGAGACGGAGTTTCGCTCTTGTCGCCCAGGCTGGAGTGCAGTGGTGCGATCTCAGCTCACTGCAACCTTTGCCTCCTGGGTTCAAGGATTCTCCTGCCTCAGCCTCCCAAGTAGCTGGGATTACAAGCATGTGCCAGCACGCGTGGTTAATTTTTTGTATTTTTTTTTTTTTTTCAGTAGAGACGGGGTTTCACCATGTTGACCAGGCTGGTCTCGAACTCCTGGCCTCAAGTGATCCGCCTGCCTCAGCCTCCCAAAGCGCTGGGATTACAGGGTGAGCCACCGCGCCTGGCCGAATGTAGAGGTTTTGGTTCAAGGATATTTTACCTAGAAATTTGGCAGTGAACAGATTTATGAGAGACATAGATGGTAACTTTTAAATAGACGGTGTATTTGTTTTATATATATTTTTGAAAAAGGAGGTCTGTGCATCTAGAAGGCAGAGAGGAGTCAATGCATATAGAAAGAGACTGAGATGCTGGAAATACAGAAATAACGGTAGAATGAGAAGGAAGATAAAACCAAGAGTACAAATTTAAACTTGTTGGAAAGGAAAGAAGTGCTACTTAATTTTCTTAAACTGAGGGAAAGAAATTGAGGATAATTTTATTGATTCCTAGAGTAGCAACATCAACATCACTGGGAACATGTGATAATACAAATTCATGGGCTTTGCCTCTACTGAATTGGAAACAGGAAGGGGTGCCCGGCAATCTGTTTTAACAAGCCCTCCAGGTGATTCGGATACGTGCTAAAGTAGGTATTTTGAGGCGAAAGAGAAGGGAAGATATGCACAGGCTCGATAGTCTAGAAATATTTTCTATTGCATAGCAAGGGTTGGTAACTGGAAGAGAGTGGAAAACATTTGCTATACAAACTTAAAAGCCTTAAATTTTGTTTATTAGGAATGGGAGGCTTTTCATTAATTGATAATGAGAGGGAGATGTTTGTAAGTTGCTTACTATTAAAATCTCAAATATTTAGTACAGCTTAAAAAGATTTTGAGATGTCTTTGGGTGCCCTAGAGTTCACTAATTTTAATTATTTATAACTTCTGTGAAGAAAACAAAAGTTTTTCCAGCTACATGGTCTGTTAGAAAATAAAAATTAAATGGCTCAGACTAAGAAGATGTGGAAGAAATTATAGGGCCAGACTCATTTTCAGATACTCAAAACAAACGATCAGTTGCCAAGTAATCAAGTACCTTTTTTACATTCTTTCACCTCATCCATTCTTTATACATTTAATTATGTGTGTATGTGCTTTTTAGATCCCATACCTGTATAATTATCTTTAATTTTTAGTTTAATTTGCATAGGAAATGAATAACTGGATACATTAAAAATTTTGTTTTGATTATGAATTTATACTGCAAGTATTTTTCAAAATACTTACAATGTACTTTAGCTGTGGTGCTCAACTTAGGATGTATTTGCAGCCCCTAAAAGATAAAATCTGATAAATATACTCCTTTTAAAACAAAAGGCATTTGAAATAGCACATATCCATAATACCCTTTTAAAAGACTGAAAAAATTAAGGGAATTTCCAATCCCTTCACCTTCATATGAAAAGGTGAAAGAAAGATTTGGAGATAATATACCTTTCTCCTTTTTAGTAGAGACTTTGAGGCACAATTTAATGTGCAGTAGGATTTCTTTCTTTCTTTTTTTGAGACAGAGCCTCACTCTGTCTTCAGGCTGGATGGAGTGTAGTGGCGCGACCTCGGCTTACTGCAACCTCTGCCTCCTGGGTTCAAGCAATTCTCTTGCCTCAGCCTCCCGAGTAGCTGGAATTACAGGTGCCCACCACCACACCCGGCTAATTTTTTGTATATTTTTAGTAAAGACAGGGTTTCGCCATGTTGGCCAGGCTGGTCTCGAACTCCACGCACCTCAGCCTCCCGAAGTTTGAGGATTACAGGCGTCAGACACTGCTCCCGGCCACAGAGCTCTCTATTCAGTATAAAGATAGCATAAAGGTATTTTCAAATAAACAAAGTCTCTAATAAACCTACCATATACCCTTTCTTAGAGGCTGCTGGAGAATGTACTCCACTAAACGAAGAAATAGATTGAGAGGAAGACCTGATATCGAGGAAATAGGTAATCAACAATGAAGAGAAGGAGAGACAAGTAGAAATCTCAGATTAATGGTGAAGGGAAAGTTTATCAGACCCAGAGAGCAAACCATTCTGGTGAACTGGGGAGAATGGCAGGCCCCAGGAAGGTGACTCGAAAAGTGACAATTGGGTTATCTGACAGGTTTAACGATGGAAAAGTGTTGAGAGAAGCTTTACAGAGCTGTCAAAAGTTGGCTAAATATTTTATCCAAAGAGTTAAAAACAAAAAGCAACATATTAAATTATCTAGAGGTAGCAGAAAACAAAACAGAAAGAAGAAACCATTAAAAGAGTGCAAGTTGATTGGCTCTGGGCTGAAGTCAGGGGACAACTGTTTTGGTTTAAATCTTTTTTCTTTTCTTTTTTTTTTTTTTTGAGATGGAGTTTCTCTCTTTTGCCCAGGCTGGAGTGCAGTGGTGCTATATCGGCTCACTGCAAGCTCTGTCTCCCGGGTTCATGCCATTCTCCTGCCTCAGCCTCCCAAGTAGCTGGGACTACAGGCGCCCGCCACCATGCCAAGCTAATTTTTTGAATTTTTTAGTAGAGACGAGGTTTCACCGTGTTAGCCAGGATGGTCTCGATCTTCTGACCTCGTGATTTGCCCGCCTCGGCCTCCCAAAGTGCTGGGATTACAGGCATGAGCCACCACACCCAGTCACGACTGCAGTCTTTGTTAACACAGCAGTATAAATTCATATTCAAAACAAAAAAAAATTTAATGTATCCAGTTCTTCATTTCCTATGCAAATTAAACTAAAAATTAAAGATAATTATATAGGTATGGGATCTAAAAAGCACATACACACATAATTAAATGTATAAAGAATGGGTGAGGTAAGAGAATGTAAAAAAGGTACTTGATTACTTGGCAACTGATCGTTTGTTTTGAGTATCTGAAAATGAGTCTGGTCCTATAATTTCTTCCACATCTTCTTAGTCTGAGCCGTTTAATTTTTATTTTCTAACAGACCACGTAGCTGGAAAAACTTTTGTTTTCTTCACAGAAGTTATAATAATACCGCGCCCAGCTGGTTTAAATCTTTTAAAACAAGGTTTGACTTTTTCAAGCTCTGCATATATATCACTTTTATAATTAAAAAAATTTAAAGTATAAGCTCTAAAATGTAAGTAGATAGATGGCTTTATAGAAAAGAGAACCAGACATAATTCTTACTCATATAAATGTTAACTTTATGTTTTTAATATTTTAAAATTTGAGACTATAAAGCAATTACCTTGAACTTAGTTAACATGCAAGCTCTAATTAT
Organism: Homo sapiens; assembly: GCF_000001405.40. Classification (NCBI taxonomy): domain Eukaryota; kingdom Metazoa; phylum Chordata; class Mammalia; order Primates; family Hominidae; genus Homo; species Homo sapiens. Next base: position 82,162,979 of record NC_000006.12, on the reverse strand, counting down.
TATTATTATTATTATTATTATTATTATTATTATTATTTTCTTTTTTTTTTTTTAGACAGAGTCTCGCTCTGTCGCCCAGGCTGGAGTGCAGTGGCGCGATCTCGGCTCACTGCAAGCTTCGCCTCCCGGGTTCACGCCATTCTCCTGCCTCAGCCTCCTGAGTAGCTGGGACTACAGGCGCCCGCCACCAGGCCTGGCTAATTTTTCTTTGTATTTTTAGTAGAGACGGGGTTTCACCGTGTTAGCCAGGATGGTCTCGATCTCCTGACCTCGTGATCCGCCCGCCTCGGCCTCCCAAAGTGCTGGGATTACAGCCGTGAGCGACCGCGCTCGGCTGAAAGCTCTAATTATTAAGCCAAATTTCCTTCATGAAATAAGCCCCAGTTTTTGAAAATGCATCTATTTTCACCCTATCTTATAACTACCAGATATTTTAAGACAAAGTCTGCGATGGAATATAAAGTAAGCCTTTAGGTTATTTACATATATTAACTCTTGTTTTATAGCATTTAAACTTGTTTCATATTTAAAACTTATTTAAGTTTTAAATTAAACTTATTAAAGGTAAACCTTTGAATCCATTATGATGTGTTAATGCGAAGAGGCATGTAAGTTGTATATTCTGATAAATGACCAATGTAGGCCATATAGTTAGAGCACATTTGAAGAAATCCAATTCTAATACACATTAATTGCTGAGTTGTCTTAGCAGCTGGACTTATTAACTGGCAAGTTAACAACTAGTAACTTAGCAACTTACTAACTGGACTACCATGTAAAGAAATTGATTTAAAGGAGGATAACAAAATTAGTTAAGATTTATGAATGCTTGTGCCAATTTCTATTAAAGTTAAATACTTTTAAAATTGGTTTTAATTTTGTGCTCCACTGGACTTCAAATTCTTTGGAATCACAAGAACATATGAATCCTAAACGTATTCTGAAAGTAGAAATTAGAGCTTTTTTACAAGTTACTGGTTGTTCAGAAATCCAAATTTTCATGCTTTAATATAATAAAAGTTTCCAAATATGGCAACATTTTTAGATTCATAGCAACAGATGGCATGTTAGTTTAGAATTTAAATTGTGAATTGTATTACAATTATTAGCTTAAGACTGGAAAGGTAATAGCATTTTTGTATTCTGTATGAAAACCTCTAAAGTTTCTAGGTGGACAAGTGTTTAAACAGAATTAACACAAAGTACATTTGTCAATTGTTTTTTATTTTCATTGCATCGTGACCTGAATAAGCTTTAAAATGTTACAAAGTTAGAAGGCAAAGTAAAATTTGGTTTATTTTAAACCAAATCATGAAATTCAGATTAAGCTAAATTTTGTTCCACTCTAGTGTGTAGCTTACTCTAATGACTCAGTCTTAAGTCTGGGAAACAGTAAGTTCTAGTATATTATAAAAGTATATTTTATGTACTTTAAGTAGTTTAGGACACAGAAAAAGTAGTATTCACCCACTGTAAAAAATTAGTAATAAAATAGCAAATAAAAGCATATTAATTTAGTTCATTTGATTGGTAACAATTTGTGCCTGACACTGTTAAAAGCCTTAGTTTAGAACCTTTAAAAGTATTCTATAGGTAGAAATTATAGATGGTTCTATTAAAAATAAGTATTGTCTTATTTATTTTAGCTCAGTTTGGCATTTCTTATATTTAGAGAAAATAATTTTAATTAATTTTTAGAGAAAATGAGGAGTTTTAGCCATTGTTGTGTCTCTAACGTGCTGTTTGTTACATAGGTTACTGACCTCAATTAAATCATTTAAAGGGTTTAAAAATATCTTTAAAACAAATTACTAATTACACTTATCACTAGAAAGAGAAAAACATTCAAGTTTTTTAACTCTAGTGTTCGTTTTATTTATAGCCTAGTGAAATGGAAATACCAGCAAGCTGGAATGGAAAGCTGAATTTTCCTTTTCCTTATAAGAATAACATAGCAGTGACCAGCCTAGGTTTGCTCATTACTCTATGCTGTGACTATAAAATAGAACAGTGTATTTGACTCATTTTGCAATTGTATTAAAAATGAAAAAGTGATATGATGAGGCTTTGTGTCTTCACCCAGATCTCATCTTGAATTATAAACCCCATAATCCCCACGTGTCAAGGGAAAGACCAGGTGGAGGTAATTGGATTATGGAGGCGGTTTCCCCCATGCTGTTCTCGTGATAGTGAGTTCGTTCTTACGAGATATGATGGTTTTACAGGGGGCTCTTCCCGCTTCGCTCGGCACTTCTCCTTTTTGCCACCTTGTGAAGAAGGTGCGTTGTTTCCCCTTTGGCTTCCGCCATGATTGTAAGTCTCCTGAGGCCTCCCCAGCCATGCTGAACTGTGAGTCAATGAAACCTCTTTCCTTTATAAATTACCCAGGCTTGGGAAGTTTTTTATGGCAGTATGAAAGGGGACTAATACAAAGACATTTAGAAAAAAAAGGCACTTAGTATGATATTATGTTAGGTGTATGTCCATAACTTTGCATCTAAAACCATCATTGTCATCATCATCATCATCATCATCACACTCATTACCAAGCGTTTGTTTAAATATCTAGTTGACAGAGGGTAGAGTTCAAGGACAGGGAATAGAAAGTGTAGGGTCTGTCTAGAAACTGACATTTGAGCTAAGAGTGGTAGGAAATAATGTAGTATGTTACATGAGCCATGTACAGACACAGGCAATAGGTACTAAAATTAAAACCAGCGACTGAGATTTAAAGAAAGTAAATTCTTTGGTATATGTTAAATCCTATTTTGTACTAGTTAAATAGACACCCCCCAACCAATGACCTTGTTTTCTTAAACTTTTCACAGTAGTACACTATTCAAGGTGAAAATCAAGCTCATTAAGGGATGTTTGTTTTTTTTAACAGCACTTGCCTTCAGACTTGGTGTAAACTTTCTACTTCTCTAGGGTTATCTTCAGAAACCAAAGGAACACACACACACACACACACACACACACACACACACTCACACTTTACTACTTTTGCCATAGGGATTATTACCTCTATCGGTAAGATGCTATAATGCCATATAAATGAACTGTTCATTGAGTTCTTGTGACATAGTAGCACTTTGGTGCCTTTCTTACAGGATTATATGGTTTATAGAAATATCAGGTATTTTAAAACAGGGCAGAATGTAAGTTCAGAACAGAGTTCCCTAAAACATATTCTATGGAATTATGGAATGCTGGCTATAAGGAGTGCTGATTGTGTTTTTCTAAAAAGCCTTATGGCTAAATTAATTTGGGAAATGCTGGGTTAAACAATTACTTCTTTTAGCAGTACTTCTTGGAGGCTTTAGTATGCTAATATGCATTGAAAACTGTCAAGAAGGGACTTCTACAACATACTTTATTTTAAAATGTACACTAAATTCACTTAACCAATGAAGGCTTTTGTCAAGGAATTTATTTAGGGACTGAAATTCTATGGCAATTATTCTGGATCACAGAGGCATCAGCATTAGATATAAAAACTCTGCAATTAGACAAACTAGAAAGTCATTTTACCTTTTCGAGTCCCAGGTTCTTATCTGTACATTAGGAATAATAATTTCTACCTAATGAGAGTATTACAGATTGCTAATTCATTAGAGATTGCTAGAACATAGCTTATAATAAACACTAAAAGATGCTTACTTATCAAAACAGCATTAATTGCTGAAGCAGAGATCACAAGTGCAGCCAATATAATTAATTCCTTGACACAATGTATGTAACAAGCCTAGACAAGCTGAGCAGTATGTCACCAAAGAAAACTGTGATGTAACAGAAAAACTTGATCCATTTTATATTAAAATATAAATTTTACTTTGGTTTCTGATTCGTATTTTTGTGATATATAATAGAAATACTTTTGGGGGGTATATGTGATATTTTGCTATATTCGTATAATGTGTTATAATCAAGCCAATATAATTGGAATATTCATCACCTTAAAAATTTTTCTTTATGCTGGGAACATTTGCATTATTCTCTACCAGCTGTTTGGAAATATACAATAGATTATTGTTTACGATAGTCACTCTACTGATTTATCGAACACTAGGTCTTAGCTTATCTATTTAACTGTATATTTGTAACCATTAACCGACCTCTCTCTTCATCTTTCCCCATCCACACACACACCCTGGCCAGTCTCTGGTAGTTATTATTCTACTCTCTACACCCATATTAACTTTGTTAGTTCTCACCTATGGATGAAAATGTACAATATTTGTCTTTCTGTGCTTAGCTTATGTCACTTATCATAATGACCTCCAGTTTCATCCATGTTGCTGCAAATTATAGGATTTCAATTTTTTTTAATTTCCAGATTTTTTTTTCAATAGTTTTTGGGGAATAGGAGCAGTGTACACTGTACCCAATGTATAGTCTTTTATCTCTCAGCCCCCTCCCACCCTTCTCCCTGAGTCCCCAAAGTCCATTGTATCATTCTTACACCTTTGTGTCCTCATAGATGAGCTCCCACTTATAAGAACGATGTTTGGTTTTACATTCCTGAGTTACTTCACTTAGAATAATGGTCTCCAACTCCATCCAGGTTGCTGCGAATGCCCTTATTTCATTCTTTTATATGGCTGAGTATTATTCCATGGTGTGTGTGTATAACACACATATATATATATAACTACATATAATCACATATATATCATATATAAAATGTATCACATATTTTTTGTATATAAAATGTGATATATATATCACATTTTTAAACCACTTGATTGATGGGCATTTGGGCTGGTTTCATGTTTTTGCAGTTGTGAATTGTGTTGCTATAAATGTGTGTGCAAGTGTCTTTTTCATAAAATGACTTCTTTTCCTCTGGGTAGATACCCAGTAGTGGGATTGCTGGATGAAATGGTAGTTCTACTTTTAGTTATTTAAGGAATCTCCACATTGTTTTCCACAGTGGTTGTACTAGTTTACATTGCCACCAGCAGGGTAAAAGTGTTCCCTTTTCATGACATCCGCACCAATGTCTAGTATTTTTTAAAAAAATGATCGCCATTCTTGTAGGAGTAAAGTTGTATTACATTGTAGTTTTGATTTGCATTTCCCTGATAATCAGCGATGTTGAGCATTTTTTCATGTTGGTGATTTTTATATCTTCTTTTGATAATTGTCTATTCATGTCCTTAGCCCACTTTTTGGTGGGATTATTTTTTTTTCTTGCTGATTTGTTTGAGTTACTTGCAGATTCTGGATATTAGTCCTTTGCTGGATGAACAGTTGCGAAAACTTTCTCCCACTCTGTGGATTGTCTGTTTGCTGATTATTTCTTTTGCTGTGCAGAAGCTTTTAGGTTTAATTAAATCCCATATATTTATTTTTGTTTTTGTTGCATTTGTAACCATTAACCAACCTCTCTTTTCATCTTTCCCCATCCACACACACACCCTGGCCAGTGTGTGGTAGTGATTATTCTACTCTCTACCTCCATATTAACTTTTTTAGTTCCCACCTATGAATGGGTTCTTGGTCATAAACTTTTTGCCTAAGCCAATGTCTAGAAGAATTTTCCTGAGGTTATCTTCTAAAATTTTTATGGCTTCAGGTCTTAGATTTTCTTTTTGTTATTATATTTTAAGTTCTAGGGTACGTGTGCACAACATGCATGTTTGATATATAGGTATACATGTGTCATGTTAGTTTGCTGCACCCATCACCTCGTCATTTACATTAGGTATTTCTCCTAATGCTGTCCCTCCCCCAGGCTCCCACCTCCCGATAGGCCCCAGTGTGTGATGTTCCCTGCCCTGTGTCCAAGTGTTCTCATTGTTCAATTCCCACCTATGAGTGAGAACATGTGGTGTTTGGTTTTCTCTTCTTGTGATAGTTTCCTGAGAATGATGGTTCCCAGCTTCATCCATGTCCCTGCAAAGGACATGAACTCATCCTTTTTAATGGCTGCATAGTGTTCCATGGTGTATATGTGCCACATTTTCTTTATCCAGTCTATCATTGATGGACATTTGGGTTGGTTCCAAGTCTTTGCTATTGTGAATAGTGCTGCAATAAACATACGTGTGCATGTGTCTTTATAGCAGCATGACTTATAATCCTTTGGGTATATACCCAGTAATGGGATTGCTAGGTCAAATGGTATTTCTCATTCTAGATCCTTGAGGAATCACCATGCTGTCTTCCACAATGGATGAACTAATTTACAGTCCCACCAACAGTGTAAAAGCATTCCTATTTCTCCACATCCTCTCCAGCATCTGTTGTTTCCTGACTTTTTAATGATCACTATTCTAACTGGCGTGAGATGGTATCTCATTGTGGTTTTAATTTCCATTTCTCTGATGACCAGTGATCATGAGCATTTTTTCATGTGTCTGTTGGCTGCAGGGATATCTTCCTTTGAGAAGTATCTGTTCATTTCCTTTGCCCACTTTTTGATGGGGTTGTTTTTTTTTCTTGTAAGTTTGTTTGAGTTCTTTGTAGATTCTGGATTAGCCCTTTGTCAGATGGGTAGATAGCTAAAATTTTCTCCCATTCTTTAGGTTGCCTGTTCACTTTGATGATAGTTTCTTTTGCCATGCAGAAGCTCTTTAATTAGATCCCATTTGTCTGTTTTGGCTTTTGTTGCCATTGCTTTTGGTGTTTTAGTCATGAAGTCCTTGCCCATGCCTATGTCCTGAATGGTATTGCCTAGGTTTTCTTCAAGGGATTTTATGGTTTATGTCTAACATTTAAGTCTTTAATCCATCTTGAATTAATTTTTGTATAAGGCGTAGGGAAGGGATCCAGTTTCAGCTTTCTACATGTGGCTAGCCATTTTTCACAGCACCACTTATTAAATAGGGAATCCTTTCCCCATTTCTTGTTTTTGTCAGATTTGTAAAAGATCAGATGGTTGTAGATATGTAGTGTTATTTCTGAGGCCTCTGTTCTGTTCCATTGGTCTGTCTCTCTGTTTTGGTACCAGAACCATGCTGTTTTGGTTACTGTAGCATTGTAGTATAGTTTGAAGTCATGTAGCATGATGCCTCCAGCTTTGTTCTTTTTGCTTAGGATTGTCTAGGCAATGCGGGCCCTTTTTTGGTTCCATATGAACTTTAAAGTAGTTTTTTCCAATTCTTTGGAGAAAGTCATTGGTAGCTTGATGGGGATGGCATTGAACCTATAAATTACCTTGGGCAGTATGGCCATTTTCACAATATTGCTTCTTCCTATCCATGAACATGGAATGTTCTTCCATTTGTTTGTGTCCTCTTTTATTTCGTTGGGCAGTGGTTTGCAGTTCTCCTTGAAGAGGTCCTTCACATCCCTTGTAAGTTGGATTCCTAGGTATTTTATTCTCTTTGAAGCAATTGTGAATGGGAGTTCACTCATGATTTGGCTCTCTGTTTATCTGTTATTGGTGTTTAAGAATGCTTGTGATTTTTGCACTTCGATTTTGTATCCTGAGACTTTGCTGAAGTTGCTTATCAGCTTAAGGAGATTTTGGGCTGAGATGATGGGGTTTTCTAAATATATAATCATGTCATCTGCAAACAGGGACAATTTGACTTCCTCTTCTCCTAATTGAATATCCTTTATTTCTTTCTCTTGCCTGATTGCCCTGGCCAGAATTTCCAACACTATGTTGAATAGGAGTGGTGAGAGAAGGCATCCTTGTCTTGTGCCGGTTTTCAAAGGGAATGCTTGCAGTTTTTGCCCATTCAGTATGATATTGGCTGTGGGTTTGACATAAATAACTCTTATTATTTTGAGATACGTTCCATCAATACCTAGTTTATTGAGAGTTTTTGGGATGAAGAGCTGTTGAATTTTGTCAAAGGCCTTTTCTGCATCAAGAGATACTCATGTGGTTTTTGTTGTTGGTTCTGTTTATGTGATGGATTACATTTATTGATCTGTGTATGTTGAACCAGCCTTGCATCCCAGGGATGAAGCTGACTTGATCATGGTGGATAAGCTTTTTGATGTGCTGCTGGATTCAGTTTGCCAGTATTTTATTGAGGATTTTCACATCGATGTTCATCAGGGATATTGGTCTAAAATTCTCTTTTTTTGTTGTGTCTCCTCCAGGCTTTGGTATCAGGATGATGCTGGCCTCATAAAATGATTTAGGGAGTATTCCCTCTTTTTCTGTTGATTGGGATAGTTTCAGAAGGAATGGTACCAGCTCCTCTTTGTATCTCTGGTAGAATTCGGCTGTGAATCCCTCTGGTCCTGGACTTTTTTTGGTTGGTAGGCTATTAATTATTGCCTCAATTTCAGAGCCTGTTATTGGTCTATTCAGAGATTCACCTTCTTCCTGGTTTAGTCTTGTGAGGGTGTTTGCGCCGAGGAATTTATCCATTTCTTCTAGATTTTCTAGTTTATTTGTGTAGATGTGTTTACAGTATTCTCTGATGGTAGTTTGTATTTCTGTGGGATCAGTGGTACTATCCCCTTTTTCATTTTTTATTGCATCTATTTGATTCTTCTATCTTTTTTTCTTGATTAGTCTTGCTAACGGCCTATCAATTTTGTTGATCTTTTCAAAAAACCAGTTCCTGGATTCACTGATTTTTTTGAAGGGTGTTTTATGTCCCTATCTCCTTCAGTTCTGCTCTGATCTTAGTTATTTCTTGTCTTCTGTTAGCTTTTGAATGTGTTTGCTCTTGCTTCTCTAGTTCTTTTAATTGTGATGTTAGGGTGTCAGTTTTGGATCTTTCCTTCTTTCTCTTGCGGGCATTTAGTGATATAAATTTCCCTCTACACACTGCTTTAAATGTGTCCCAGAGATTCTGGTATGTTGTGTCTTTGTTCTCATTGGTTTCAAAGAACATCTTTTTTTGCTGCCTCAATTTCCTTAGTTACCCAGTAGTCATTCAGGAGTAGGTTGTTCAGTTTCCATGTAGTTGTGCAGTTTTGAGTGAGATTCTTAATCCTGAGTTCTAATTTGACTGCACTGTGGTCTGAGAGACAGTTTGTTGTGATTTCTGTTCTTTTACATTTGCTGAGGAGTGCTTTACCTCCAATTATGTGGTCAATTTTAGAATAAGTGTCATGTGTTGCTGAGAAGAATGTATATTCTGTTAATTTGGGGTGGAGAGTTCTGTAGATATGTATTAGGTCCCCTTGGTGTAGAGCTGAGTTCAAGTCCTGGATATCCTTGTTAAGCTTCTGTCTTGTTGATCTAATATTGACAATGGGGTTAAAAGTCTCCCATTATTATTGTGTGGGAGTCTAAGTCTCTTTGTAGGTCTCCAAGGACTTGCTTTATGAATCTCGGTGCTCCTGTATTGGGTGCATATATATTTAGGATAGTTAGCTCTTCTTGTTGAATTGATCCCTTTACCATTATGTAATGGCCTTCTTTGTCTCTTTTGATCTTTGTTGGTTTAAAGTCTGTTTTATCCGAGGCTAGGATTGCAACCCCGGCTTTTTTTTTTTGCGTTCCATTTGCTTGGTAGATCTTTCCGTATCCCCTTATTTTGAGCCTATGTGTGTCTCTGCACGTGAGATGGGTCTCCTGAATACAGCACACTGATGGGTCTTGACTCTTTATCCAATTTGCCAGTCTGTGTCTTTTAATTGGAGCATTTAGCCCATTTACATTTAAGGTTAATATTGTTATGTGTGAATTTCATCATGTTATTATGATGTTAGCTGGTTATGTTGCCCATTAATTGATGCAGTTTATTCATAGCATGTATGATCTTTACAATTTGGCATGTTTTTGCAGTGGCTGGTACTGGTTGTTCCTTTCCATGTTTAGTGCTTCCTTCAGGGGCTCTTGTAGGGCAGGCCTGGTGGCGACAAAATCTCTCAGCATTTGCTTGTCTGTAAAGGATTTTATTTCTCCTTCACTTAGGAAGCTTGGTTTAGCTGGATATGAAATTCTGGGTTGAAAATTCTTTTCTTCAAGAATGTTGAATATTGGCCCCCACTCTCTTCTGGCATGTGGGGTTTCTGCCAAGGGACCCACTGTTATTCTGATGGCCTTCCCATTCGTGAGTAATTTGACCTTTCTCTCTGGCTGCCCTTAACATTTTTTCCTTCATTCTGACCTTGTTGAGTCTGACAATTATATGTCTTGGGGTTTTTCTTCTCGCGGAGTATCTTTGTGGTGTTCTCTGTATTTCCTGAATTTGAATGTTGGCTTGTCTTGCTAGGTTGGGGATTTTCTCCTGGGTAATATCCTGAAGAGTGTTTTCCAACTTGGTTCCTTTCTCCCTGTCACTTTCAGGTACACCAATCAAATGCAGATTTGGTCTTTTCACATAGTCCCATATTTCTTGGAGGGTTTGTTTGTTTCTTTTTACTCTTTTTTCTCTAACCTTGTCTTCTCACTTCATTGCATTCATTTGATCTTCAATCACTGATACCCTTTCTTCCACTTGATCAAATCAGCTATTGAAGCTTGTGCATGTGTCATGAAGTTTTTGTGCCATGGTTTTCAGCTCCATCAGGTCATTTAAGGTCTTCTTTACACTGTTTATTCTAGTTGGCCATTCGTCTAGCCTTTTTTCAAGATTTTTAGCTTCCTTATGATGGGTTCGAACATCCTCCTTTAGCTTGGAAAAGTTTGTTATTACCAACCTTCTTTTTTTTTTTTTTTTTTTTTTTGAAACGGAGTTTCGCTCTGTAGCCCAGGCTGGAGTGCAGTGGCGCGATCTCGACTCACTGCAAGCTCCGCCTCCTGGGTTCACGCCATTCTCCTGCCTCAGCCTCCCGTGTAGCTGGGACTACAGGCGCGCGCCACCATGCCCGGCTAATTTTTGTATTTTTAGTAGAGACGGGGTTTCACCGTGTTAGCCAGGATGGTCTCGATCTCCTGACCTCATGATCCGCCCGTCTCGGCCTCCCAAAGTGCTGGGATTACAGGCGTGAGCCACCGCGCCCGGCCTTTACCAACCTTCTGAAGCCTACTTCTGTCAACTCATCAAAGTCATTCTCTGTCCAGCTTTGTTCTGTTGCTGGCAAGGAGCTGCAATCCTTTGGAGGAGAAGAAGCACTCTGGTTTTTAGAATTTTCAGCTTTTCTGCTCTGGTTTCTCCCCATCTTTGTGGTTTTATCTACCTTTGGTCTTTGATGTTGGTGACTTACAGATGGGGTTTTGGTGTAGATGACGTTTTTGTTGATGTTGATGCTATTGCTTTCTGTTTGTTAGTTTTCCTTCTAACAGTCAGGTCCCTCAGCTGCAGGTCTGTTGGAGTTTGCTTGAGGTCCACTCCAGACCCTGTTTGCCTGGGTATCACCAGCAGAGGCTGCAGAACAGCAAATATTGTAGAACAGCAAATATTGCTGCCTCATCCTTCCTCTGGAAGCTTCATACCAGAGGGGCACCCACCTATATGAGGTGTATTTCAGCCCCTACTGGGAGGTGTCTCCCAGTTAGGCTACAGGGGGGTCAGGGACCCACTTGAGGAGGCAGTCTGTCCATTCTCAGAGCTCAAACACCATGCTGGGAGAACTACTGCTCTCTTCAGAGCTGTCAGACAGGGACGTTTAAGTCTGCAGAAGTTGTCTGCTGCCTTTTATTCAGCTATGCCCTGCCCACAGAGGTGGAGTCTATAGAGGCAGTAGGCCTTGTTGAGCTGCAGTGGGCTCCGCCTAGTTCAAGCTTCCTGACTGCTTTGTTTACCGACTCAAGCCTCAGCAATGGCGGACGTCCCTCCCCCAGCCAGGCTGCCGTCTCGCAGTTTGATCTCAGACTGCTGCGCTAGCAGTGAGCAAGGCTCCGTGGGCATGGGACCTGCCAAGCTAGGCATGGGAGAGAATCTCCTTGTCTGTCAGTTGCTAAGACCTTGAGAAAAGCACAGTATTTGAGCAGGAGTGTCCCGTTTTTCCAGGTACAGTCTGTCATGGCTTCCCTTAGCTAGGAAAGGGAAATGCCCCAACCCCTTGCACTTCCCATGTGAGGCAACATCCCGCCCTGCTTCAGCTCGCCCTCTGTGGGCTGCACCCACTGTCCAACCAGTCTCAGTGAGATGAACCAGGTACCTTAGTTGGAAATGCAGAAATCACCCATCTTCTGCGTCGGTCACACTGGGAGCTGCACACTGGAGCTGTTCCTATTCAGCCATCTTGGAACAGCTATCTTCAGATCTTAGATTTTAATCCATTTTAATTTGACATTTGTATATTATGAGAGATAGGGATCTATCTTCTGCATATGGTTATCCAATCATTCTTCTGCATATGGTTATCCAATTTTCCCAACACCATTTATGGGAGAGATTGTACTTTCCCTACTGTATATTCTTGGAAACTTTGTCAAAAATGAGTCAGCTATAAATGGAGGGATTTATTTACAGGCTCTCTATTCAGTTCCTTTGGTTTATGTGTCAGTTTTTATATAACTACCATGCTATTGTGGTTACTGCTAATAGCTTTATAGTATATTTTGAAGTCAGGTATTGTGATGCCTCCAGCTTTGTTCTCTTTGCTCAGAATTGCTTTGGCTATTCAGGGTCTTTTATTGCTTGGTACTTGTTTTAAGATTTTTTTTTATTTCTGTGAAAAATGTCATTGGCATTTTGATAGGGATTGCATTGAATCTGTACATTGATTTGGGTAGTACTGACATTTTAATAGTATTAATTCTTCCAATTCATGTTCATGGAATATCTTTTTATTTTTTTTTCTGTCCTCTTCAATTTCTTTTACCAGAGGTTTTACTTTTCCTTGTAGAGATCTTTCCCTTTTTTCGTTACATTTATTTTTAGGTATTTTATATTTTTTCTAGAGATTTTAAATGGCATTGCTTTCTTGATATTTTTTTTAGATTGCTCACTCCTACTGTATGTAAATGCTACTGATTTTTTGTACATTTTTTAAATCCTGTAACTTTACTGAGTTTGTTTTTTAGTTCTAACAGTTTTTTTGGTAGAGTCTTTAGGGTTTTCTAAATACAAGGTTATGGCTTCTGTGAACAAAGATAATTTGACTTCTTTGTTTTCAATTTGGATGCCTTTTCCTTTTTCTCTTGCGTGATTGATGTGACTACAGCTTCCAGTATTATATTGAATAAAACTGGTGAAAGTGGGCATCCTTGTCTTATTTCATATGTTAGAGGAAAGTATTTGGATTTTTTCCTGTTAAGTATGATGTTAGCTGTGGGCTTGTCATATAGGTCTTTATTTTCTGGACATGTGTTCCTTTTATATCCATTTTTTTTTTGGTGGGGAGAGTGGGAGGTTGTTTATCATAAAGGAACATTGAACTTTATTGAATGTTTTTTCAGCATCTGTTGAAATGGTCATATGCTTTTCGTTATTAGTTCTATTAATCCAATGTATAACATTGATTTATTTGCATATGTTGAGCCATCCTTGCATCCTTAGGATAAATCCCACTTAATCATGATAAATGATCTTTTTAATATGTTGGTGAATTTGGTTTGCTGATATTTTGTTGAGGACTTTTGCAACTATCTTCATCAGGAATATTGGCCTGTAGTTTTTTTTGTTGTGTCCTTGCCTGATTTTGGTATCAGGGTAATGCTGGCCTAATATAATGGGTTTGGAAGTATTCCCTCCTCTTCAATTGGTTTGAAGAGTTTGAGTAGAATTGATATTAGTTCTTTAAATATTTGGTAGGATTCATCAGTGAAGTCATCAGTTCCTGAGCTTTTCTTTGATGGAAGATTTTTTTTTTAATTGTTGCTTTACTCTCATTACTTATTGGTTTATTCAGGATTTTTATTTCTTCTAGATTCAATCTTGGAGAGTTGTATGTGTCCAGGAAGTTATTCATTTCTCCTAGATTTTCCAGTTTATTGGCATCTAATTGTTCATAATAGTCTCATTATATATTGTACTGTAATTGTGATATTGTACTAAAGCTATATATATATATATTTTTTTTTTTTTGAGACGGAGTCTCGCTTTGTCACCCAGGCTGGAGTGCAGTGGTGTGATTTCGGTTCACTGCAAGCTCTGCCTCCGGGGTTCACGCCATTCTCCTGCCTCAGCCTCCCGAGTGGCTGGAACTACAGGCGCCCGCCACCATGCCTGGCTAATTTTTTTTTGTATTTTTAGTAGAGACGGGGTTTCACCGTATTAGCCAGGATGATCTTGATCTCCTGACCTGGTGACCCGCCCACCTTGGCCTCCCAAAATGCTGGGATTACAGGGGTGAGCTACCACGCCCGGCCCTATAGCTATATTTTTTATATTAACAGTTAGGGAAGTTGATTCAAGACTACAAGGGACTCTTACAACCTTCTGTGAGACTATAGTTATTTCAAAATAAAAAGTTTTTTAAAAATGTGCATGTGAGATGGGAGAGATTATTGCTACCACCTCAGAGACAAGTTGCACACACCTCCAGCTAAGTGAATAAATAGTAGTAGGGAGACTTAGAACTTGGGCCTCTGGAGCCAGGAAACTCAAATCATGATCCCAAATGATACACCTTTATTTGGTTGAGAGTACAGGGACAGAAGTCCTAGATAGCTCTAGATATTTGTTGGCAAAAACCATTAGGGGCTCTTTCTCCATTAACTCAGGCTCAGGATTTAGCACCTGTCTTTGAGGGTAAAGAGTGTACTAAATAGGGCAACTAACTGGCAAGAATTAAAGGGGAACCTAGGCAGAGACCCAATCCTGTAAACAAGACCAAATTGCAGAAAGGAATGGGCAACATGGGGATTAGGCAGAGCCAAGGAGTTTTTGCAGCAACTAACCTGAGCAGGGATAATCTGAACTAGTGGATCCTGTGTTGGTCAGTGGGACTTCTTACCAAATTCTACATTGTGGGCTTCAGAGGCAGATGAAATATACAGACTCTTGAAGATCTCTGAAATTGGGACAGACCTGAGCCCACAGAAGATGTCATGGTAAAGGGCTGGCGAATGCCTGCAGTGGAAATCAAGCAAGGGTCAAAGCACGATGAGAAAATAGGCACTTCCCTTTCCCCAAGGAATCCTAAGTTTTACGTGTTTTTTTAGAATTTTTTAATTTTTATTTTTTACCATTGCATCTTTTGCACGTTTTCAATTTAGAGATGACTATGTCCCAGCTGCTCAGGAGGCTGAGGCGGGAGGATCACCTGAGCCTGGGGAGGTTAAGGCTTTAGTGAGCCATGATTGTTTCACTGGACTCCAACCTGGATGACAGAGATCCTGTCTCAAAAAAATAAAAACAAAACTACAAAGTACTATACAGATTGTCCCAGACTTATGACTGTATGTCAGTCGACTTACAATTTATTGGCTTTGTGATGATATAAAAGTGATACACATTCAATCGAAACTGTAGTCAAAATTTTGAATTTTGATCTTTTCTGGGGCTAGCAGTATGCTTCATGATCTTCTTTCTTGTGATGCTGGGCAGTATCAGTGAGTTGCAGCTCCGAGGCAGCCATAATATCACGAGGGTAACTAACCAGTACTCTACAGTGTACTCTGTACCAGATGATTTTGTCCAACTGTAGGCTAATGTAATTTCTGAACACCTTTAAGGTATGCTAGGTTAAGTTAGGGTGTTCAGTAGGTTAGGTGTATTAAATACATTTTTGACTTATGATATTTATCAAATTATTGTTCAACTGTACTGCAATATGCTTGTCAGCATACCATGGCCTTCCCTGCCTAGTATTGCAATCTTCCAATAAGAATCTTGTTAACACCTTTTCCTTATTTCAGTGAGTTGCCATCAAAATTAGTTGTGTTTTTTTTTTTAAATACAAAGCTCTTTGAAACTCTTTGACATAAGTGGGACTTATTTTTATTTTCTATTTGAAAATAAGCCTAGGAAAGGAAGACACAGATCTGGGCCCAGGCCATATATAGCTAACGGTCCCCTTCAAACATTGTAGAAGAATATTAAGTTACTGTGACTCCTTGCGGAAAGCACAGACATGGCCAGACCCTAGCACTAGAAAGCTCAGGACGGAGCCAGTATGATAAACTGCTGTCAGAACAACCAAAACTATTTTCTATTTTAATATAAGAGATCTGAAAATACTTTTTATTAGAAAAGGAATATACTTAAGAGTTGTGCCTGTTTTGTACTTGACCCTGAAATCTTGGTTTCATGACTCTTGCCTACAAAGTATCTTTCAGTACCTTCTAAAGAGATTTGAATGACTGAGTATGTATTGCCAGGGTCTGCTAATCACTGCTTGTTTTAATGGAAGAGAAAATACGGATACTGTTTGTATTCTGAAAGTCAGTGAAGAATTAATCAGACTTTGTTCTGAGCATTGAGTAAAGGTTTTAGTAACCAGGCAGGGAGTGGAGTGGACTTCATTAACACACCTTCACTGGGGTAACTTTTACTTGGGCTAAAACCACCAGAAAGATATTTATAATTGGCCGTACAATGTGTAGGATAGCGCCAGTGTAGGATATTTTGACTTGGTAATATAACAATGTTTTCTTTGTCATTATAGATATGGTTACATTCTGTAGATGACTTTGCAGTTGATCTTGTGATGAGTTTGCAGGTCTTTTATTGCAAGATAATATGGTAAGTAACGCAAAACAATAATTTGTATCCGCCAGAATACACTGACATACACTCGGTGGCCAAAAACTGCTTGACATTTCTGAAAACATACTTTAGATGGCAAGCCTGACACTAAGCAATGAGTGAAGGGTTTAGGTGTTTCTGCAATAATTAATATGGATAAGAAACATGGTAGAACCTCAGGAAGACTAAAGCTCTTAGTTTTGGTAGTGAGGACTGCAGGTGGTTTTGCTTGTGTTAATGAAAGCCAGAAACATTGATGATGTGGCTTAAGAAGATGTTTTGACACCTGAAGTGATTTATGGTGTAGGGCTTTAGGACTTCCTATGAAGAACCAGTTTCTTCCCCAGTGGCTTTGTGTCACCTCCCATAAAATGTCCAGTGGAAGCTTTCAGCCACATTAACTATTTGAGCACTGTAATCTCACAATGCATGGTGACCACAGCAGTTTTGGCCAAAGGCCTGGATAGAAAACCCTGGCAACTCAAGAGATCAAGCAACCTGAATGGTTTGGGCTCTCTAGGAAAGTATTCAGAGGGTCTGCTTCTTTAAACAAAAAACAACAAAACTCTTCCCATTTCTCACTGAACCATCATTGATAAGGGCTCCTGGTGTCCTCCCTGTCTGTTCACCTTAAGAGAGGGGCACAGAAGCCTCTACTTAGCTGCTGTTTCTGAGCCACATTGTGTGGAGGAAGGAGGGTACTCAGACAAACAAGGCTCACTAACCATTTGTTGTACTGTTACAAATTGGGCCGAGCCCTAGGTGTCTTTTCTAGCACCCTTGAAAATAGCATCCAATTCTTTGGCTAATTCCAGGCGAGGTGAAGAACTATGGTAAGCAGTAGCATCATCACCATGGAAAACCAAGGTATATGGGAAAAGTTAAAGATGTGGTGTTCTTGTAACTGTGGCTTATAATCAATGGAAGTAAGGCCCCTATTTACCAATAGTAAAGAGCATTTGTGTTTAGACTTCAAACTGCAGCCCTTCCTGGGTTCTGCTTAAACTTGATTTTTAGTTTCTTGAAGTGGTTTTGGAATTATAGTTGAGATAAAGATAGTAATATCACAATATAGATTTAGCTTTTAAATTGCATCAAGTAATATTGGAAGGCTTTAAAACTTACTTTAATATTCAAGCATAGAACAGGAGAGACTCAGACTATTTATACTTTCGCATTGGAGCTTGAATTGTGTACAAGTATGTATGTGAGTGTTTTGAATGTTTTCTGTTAGGTTTTTAGCTACGATAGGGCACATCAACTTATTTACACTCCAGCATAGTGAGCAGCAGCATAAGCCTTGGATCTGACAAAGCCGTGATTCTGTGGGAACATTTATATCACGTTTTCTGTCTCTCTCTCCTAAAGGGCGACTGAGGGAACCGATCCCTCTGGGACTTTTGCATGAGTCATTTGGCAGTCAGCATTGCTGCTTGTGAGCTATTGACAGGCAGTAGCCACTCCTCCCTCACCATTCCCTGTTCTGAGAAGCATACCTTTATCACTTCCATGCTTTTCTTCTTCTGTTCTGAAATTTTTTTAACAGAAAGGGTGTGTGTGTGTGTGTGTCTGTGTGTATGTGTGTGTGTGTGTGTGTGTGTGTGTAGGGTGAGAGAGGAAGAAAAACAGGTGATTTATATGCTTTAAATTCCTTTTCATTTTGCAAGGAGACCACATGCCATTTCCAAGACAGAGACATCCTGTGAGAAACAGATTTCATTAGAGAGTCTGAAATGACAGGAATGGTTTAAATTCAGCATCGAGGAAGAGAATGCTGCCTCTAGGTAATGCACAGCTAAAGTGGTTCCAAATGTTTTATCTGATGCCAGCTGTGCAGCCTTCTGGATAAATCATTTCACATCATACACTTCAGAGCATCCAGTGCGGATGTATCCCCCTGCCACAGAGATCCTTAACTGGAAACAAGCAGCTACTGCACTGCTACTGCCCCAAAAGGAGCTGCTTCCTCACCCCCTCACCGTTTCAGCATTTCCAGCACCATCACCTCATCCCAACAGCTCCATGACGGAACTCAGAGTGATGCAGACCAATAAACTCTGCCCATTGGGACTGAGTTTCCCTGAGTACACTAGCCATTCACTCCTATTTATTTTCCTTTAGACATGGTGAATCATCTTTTGTGCCGTCTTACATTGTGTGACTCATTGCAGTCTATTTTCTGCCCAGGCTCAGCCCAGTGGCTCATTTCTGGAGAGGCCCCTTCCATGTCTTAAATGTCATGGATCACAACATTGTACTTTGTAGGAATCCCAAGCTCGCTTCACCGGAGATTAGTGTAGTTAATCAGTAAGAGGATGACAAAGAAATTGCCTTTGTATGGATGAAACTACCCAGGTCTCTCAGACACTTATTTTAAGACCATAATTTGCATATTGCTTTGTGGTGATGACAGTGTTGGACTTTGTAATTTCATTCCCTTTGCTTTTATCAGGAGACACGTGTATCAAATGCAGCATGTGAAATCAACATCTGCTTAAAGAAGTTTCCAGCACAAACCTTAGCTAGTGGTGGCCTTTGCTAATGGCCTCCCTTCCCCTCCCCTCTGCTCTTCCACTTACCTTTTCTCCATGTACATGTTGGAGCAAAATAATTTTTATTTCTTCTTGATGCTCTTTCTAATTTATGACAAAATAGCTTTTCCAGATGACATATTACTAGTTAAATCAGAAAAAAAAAGAGTTTGTCCAGTATACTTAGAAATGATAAACTTCACATTCTCTGGAGATTTGAGGAGCTTTTGGTGTCTGTCTTTGATAGTAAAGGAACCAATAGTAGTCTCTGCTTCTCCTAAAGGGCCAGGAAGAGATGCAGAAAAGTCTGGTGTCTGTGTCAGGTGTGAAGGAATGAGCTTGGCTGCCTGCATACCTTGGCCACGATTCCTGATGGCTAGGCTGGCTGTGGCTATTGGGCAAATGTTGAATCTTAGCAGCAGAACAAAGCAAATCTTTTTCCAATTGTTTTATTTAATCACATTTGTTTTTCAGGGCAAATTTTGGGTTTATGCAAGGGTAAGACTCAGCTTTTCCTGGATTAGGAAATGGATTATAAAATATTTTGCTGGGTCAGTACACGAAATACCTCACCCTGAGATGAGCTCAGGCGCTTGCTCAAGGCCCGAATGCCTCGAAAGTTTAGGTTCTGAAGAAAACATGACAGGAAACAATTGCGTCTCCATGCTAGACAGTTACCTAATGAACAAAAGAGGTCCTATGTAATCTATGCAACAGTCCTGGTGAATGGAGAGTGTTGCTTTTAATAGAGTGCTCTCGACAAAGCCATCACGCGGGCTTAGAGATATGCAGCCCAGAGAACGTAAGGCATGCCATGCTTTTGCTGTGTGTTTTAAATTAGCTTAGTCAAGCTATAAATATTTTTGGTAATTTCTAAAAAACGAAATGTTTCTGTCTAAGCCAGAAGACTGGGTTGTGCAATACAAATTAACTTCTTATGGAGTTGAGGTCTGGAAAAGAGGATGGAAGTATGTTTCTGCCCCTGGCTGGCCCAATAGGGTTAATTATAATTGGTCAAATTTGCTCTAATGATTTCTCAGTTACTTCAGGAATGAAATTCACATTTCTGCCCATGAACTCTAATGACCTCCATGGAATGCCCATGCCAGCTTCATATAAGTGTCTGCATCTCTTGATGCACACCTTTTCATGAGCTGCTTCTATCTGATTGGTTTTGCCTCATCTCAATGTACTTTCTCTAACTAGGGTAATTTCTGTCTTCCTTTCTGCCATGTCCTGGGTCTTCATTTCACTTGTCAACACCAACTGAGACTCTATTTATTTATTTATTTATTTATTTATTTATTTATTTATTTTTTGGGGGGACAGGGTCTCACTCTGTCACAAAGGCTGGAGTGCAGTGGGGTGATCTTGGCTCACTGCAACCTCTATCACCCTGGTTCAAGCAATTCTCGTGTCTCAGCCTTCCGAGTAGCTGGGACTACAGGTGTGCGCCACCACGCTTGGCTAATTTTTGTATTTTTAATAGAGATGAGGTTTCACTATGTTGCCCAGGCTGGTCTTGAACTCATGTGTTTAAGTAATTTGCCCTCCTTGGCGTCTCCAAGTGCCAGGATTACAGGCGTGAGCCACCGCACCTGGCCCCAGTAGAGGCTCTTATTCTAAGAACCTTTTCTGAAGAAATTTGAACAACTTCTAATCATTTATGCTTACTCCTCTCTTTTCATTCTGTAATGATTATATATACAGTAGACAATTGGCATTAACTAAAGATCCATTCTGATGGCCATTGGAACAGGAAAATGCAACAATACCATATGATATTAGAATGATGATGATAGAGAGTGTGGAAATGAAATGACATATATGTAGCATTTATTCTCTTTCTTCTCTCCTTCTATTGCCTCACTGCCTGAAAGAGATAAGGAATCATCAAAGATGAAGTTCTTGAACTGGACACACCTGCGCTGGAAACATTGGGCTAACTGATTGATGCTGAGATTTTTCTAGACTTTGGAACTAGTTTTGATGTCTTAACTGGAGCTCTGGTTAACCAGACTTCTGCTGGGGCTGTGGCGGCATTACCTGTGGGTATTGTTGGAAGTAACCACGTTAGGGTTGTGTGGGAAGGATACAAAAAAGAAACAAAAGAAACATAAAATTCTACAGTACTTCAGATCATCTTTTTTTTAGACAAGGTCTCACTCTCACCCATGCTGGAGTGCAGTGACATGATCACAGCTCGCTACAGTCTCGACCTCTCGGGCTCAAGCCATCGTCCTGCCTCAGCCTCCCAAGTAGCTAGAACTACAGGCATATGCCACAATGCCCATCTCATTTAAATTTTTTTTGTAGAGATGAGTTCTCATTATGTTGCCCAGGCGTATCTTGAACTCCTGGGCTTGAGCGATTCTTCCACCTCGGCTTCCCAAAGTCCTGGGATTACAGGCGTGAGCCACCATGCCCAGCGTATCATCAAATCTTTATCGTGTGTTGGATTGTGTCCTGTGCTGTGATGGATACCATCCAGTAGCAGTTACACAACTACACTTTTTTGTCCTAATGATTGAAAGGGGCACAATATTATGGGAATTGGATTGAAGAAGTCGGTTGGGTATGAGAATTTAGATGTAATAACAGGGTGATGAGATGTAGAGAGCTTGAATTGGTTGCAGGTGAATGGCTGGCAGGAAGGGGAAGGCTGGTCTGGGGTGCCATTTAGGTTTTCCTCCTGGGAGACAGAGTGGATTCTGGTGTCATTCACCTAAGAAGAATACGTCAGCCTAAATACAGCACTGGAGTCTACCAAATCTGCATTTACTGGGACCACTAAAGATGTTGCAAACTTAACATGGCCAAACCAAAGCTCTTAATTTCTATTCTTCATCCCTAAACCTACTTCTTGATCATTTTTCTCTATCTCAGACAATAGCATCCACCCTATCAAAACCTCAGGGTAATTCTTGGTTCTGTTTTTATTTGCTTTTCCCTCAACAATAACATAAATTGGTCCACTTCAAAAATATATCCCAAAGACATGCCTTTCTCTCTATCTCCATTTCTACCATGTGTCTACCTATCATAGAAGGTTAAAACAATAGTGTTTTAATGGCATAATCTTAATTCTCTTTTCTTTGAACAAAAACAGAAAACTACCATCAGAACGTGGGGCTATGAAGCCTGGGGGCTCAGGTATATCACAATGTCTTATACCCTCTTCTTTTCCAACTCCACATCCTTGAAGAGTCACCAATGAACAGTATTATGTATGTGAGATCTCACCTTGACAGGGGAGAAAGAAGACACAAGAGGACTTTGTGTAACTTTGGGGAAGGCACATTTTTTTTCCCCGTGTATTGTGGTAGGGTTTATGAGGTTATGTCTGTATTTTTGTGAGCTTCTAGGGGAATGCCCTCCTTTTCTCCTTCCCTCTTTCCTTTCCCATCCCTCCTCAGCCCAAATTCTTCCCATGAGTCCCTCTCATACCCTTAACAAGGGAATCTCAGAGCACAAATCTTATGGTACGTCCATTGGCCATTGTAGCTTTGTAGCTATTCATCTGGGATAGTTCTGTCAGAAAGAAGAGAAAATTGAATAATTCCTTCTCAATCTCAGGGAAATTCAGGGTAGAGACGAGATGGGTCAAATATTTTTTTTCTTATATTTCTTTGGAGTAGTAGATTGTAATAAAATTTTAAGATTTTCTTTCAAAATATCTGCAGTTTTAAAAACTCTCTTGATAAGAGCACATTTGATCTATTTAATTTTAATTTCAGCTGTAATAGACATGGAAACTATTTTCTAAGACAACCCTGCCTCCAACAAAGTAAGTCAAAATAGTAACCAGTCATGCTATTCAATTTTTACCAAGTAGATTTGCCATCGAGAATTTTTTAAACAACATGACTGTTAAATTATCCTATTTCTGAGAAATCCAAAATATTTCATAGGATTCCTAAAGACATTTTAAAGAAAGAAGTAAAAAATGTGAAGTCTAAACAAGAAAAATAAATTGATGCAGCTTTATAAAATTAACATAGCTTCCACAAAAATGCCCAGGATTCAATACTTGTTCTTTATTCATTCCATCAATACACGCATCTTCCATTCTTTCTGAGTTCAAAATAATTTGAACACACTTTTTTTTCCTATTTAGTTAGGGCTGAATTCAATAACTATATGGTTTTTGATGTGTACTTTTTGAGAAAAAATATGTAAAAAGTCTACTCATTACCTTATATGCAATTATCTTTTTGTGTTATTATAAATGCTTATGCACAAAAGACTTGGATTATAGTTAGAAAACTTGTCCTGAAATTCTTTTTAGGACACAAAGAGAAAGAGAAATGTCTACAGGACAGAAACGTAAACTCACCCAAACCCATTTGTGAACTTTTTCAGTGACATTATTTACTACTAAATAGCAATAGAAAACCGGAAAATTTAAGCTCCAGACCTATATGTGATGGCCATCTGTACAAATCTTACCCCCACATCTTAAGCAAGACATAACCCAATTCAATCAATAATTTTTTTTCTAAACCTACTCTCCAATTGATGCCTTGTTACAAAACTCAGCACACAATAAGAGAGGATCTGTAGTCCCTTCAGGATCACAGTCCAAAAACCTAAAATATGAAAATTTCATATTGGAAAGTTGCAGGGGAACATAAAGGATTAAAAATAAGAGACACACATTCTAATGTAATTGTCCTAAGTTTGACCTAGATAGAGGAGAGGAAATGAGTCAATTAGCTTCTAGAAGCCTTTGTTATATCTGTTTTATTATCAAAATGTATGTTTTTATATGCTGTCCATTGTACATGTAATGCCCATTATCAATAGACCATGTTACTTATCAATAGTTTATTTTTTGAACAGTGCAGTAGACACACTTATACCCATCTTACTATATTGTTGGCAAAAAGTTGGTGGTTGACTTGCTATGAGACAAGTAGAGTTATTTGATCTTTATAAGATGGGTATTCTTGATCTGAGACTTATAGCAGTGCTTTGCTAAACCAGTCTCTGTTGTCTTTACAACAGCACCAATTATTATTCTAGTGATTCAATATTAATATGTTCATTCATTTTGTTATTCAATAAGCACTTATTTAAACACTTACTGTGTGCCTGGCACTATTCTGGACACAAAGGGTATAGTGATGAAACTGTTCTTGTCCTCGAAGGGTTTAAAAATCAAGAACTATAATACAGTGATAAATTTATTTTATGAAGATATATGCAAAGTACAGTCAATATAGAAGCCCCTATTTTCTCTGAGATATTCAGAGAAGACTTTACACTGACAAAGATGCTTACCGAGACTTTAAGGATGAAAAGTCTTCTTGTTACATAAGGGAGGAAAGTACACTTGAAAGACACAATGTGCAAAGGAATGGAAGCATAAGAGAGGATGATGTGTTCTGTACAAATAGTTTAATATAGTTAGAAGGCAAAATTAGAGTGACGAGAGATGAAAGACAGAAGATGAGAGTGAACATGTTGTTAGAGTTCAGATAAAGAAAGTCCACGTGTAAATTAGAGGAATTCAGTTTCACCCTTTGGACAATTAGAGCCAGTAAAGAATTTTGAGCCAGCACGTATAATAGAAAGGTCTCTCCACAAAACCCGGGGAAGATAGATTAAAGGTGCGTAGGAGGATCTAGAGACAAAGAGAACATTCAGGGTTACTGAATGTACAGAAAAGGATGATGGTTCTTGAACGAGTGAGTAAGGATTTGGGAGATATTTAGGAAGGAGACTCACAATACTGAGCTTTCATTAGAGAGAGGGTAGAGGCAATGGAAGAATGTAATATGACTCACAACAATCTAGTCTGGGTGTGCCAGTCATGGACAACAGCAGTATAGGTGCAGTAGCTTTGGGGGAAAGAATGAATTATAGTTTAGAGATGCTTGGAAGTCACTAATATGTAAACGTATAAAAGACAAGTGTATATATAGGTCTGGAACTAAAAATAAGTCTTGGCTGGAGATAAATAATTGAGGATTATTTGCATTTTCATGGAGAGCAGACCATGAAACATTTACCAGTCCACACTGCATGTGATCCAATCTTGGCCATGGACCCTGGGCACAGTCTGCATGGTTTCTCCTGGAGCGGGGCGGGTGTCCCCTTTGATAAGAGATACAAGAAGAGATCCCACTACCAGTCTTTCTGCCTTTGGACTACATTGAATGAGGAAGTGATGCCTTGGGATGAAAGCTAACATGGCGAGTATTGCAGAGTGGAATGATGGGAAGAAGTTGGGGCCTTGATGCCATCAGCTACTGCATCAACCTTTAAACTTCATGCTTCTTGTTCTATGAGTTTGTATATTCTTGCTATTTAAGCCACATTCATTTTAGTATTCTGGTACTTATAGCAGAACTTATCCAAACTAAAAGGCTTCTCTTTGTGAGATATTGTGGAAAGAATTAAAAATGGATGGACAAGCACCTTATTTTGTGCTAGATGGGCAGTAGACTGAGAGAGCATTCTTCTTTTTTTCCTGTGGTTTAAGAAGCTAAATGATGACAGAGGAGATGACATTGAGGATTGATGACAGTGGTGAAGGCAATGGGAGGGGATCTGTCTGGAGACATGCAATAAGATTGTCGTCTGTTTGTTTGTTTGTGATGGGGTGTCACTTTGTCACCCAGGCTGGAGTGCAGTGGCATGATCATGGCTCACTGCAGCCATAACTTCCTGGGCTCCAGTGATCCTTCCACCTCAGCCTCCTGAGTAGCTGGGACCACAGGCATGCTCTACCATGTATGGGATGGGGTTTTGCCATGTTGCCCAGGCTGGCCTTGAATTCCTGAGCTCAAGTGATCCACCTGCCTCAGTCTCCCAAAGTGCTTGGATTACAGGTGTGAGCCACCATGCCCAGCCAAGATTGTCAAACAGTATGTTGGGGATAGACAAGGCCAAAGATCACATGAGACAATGGTACTAATTTGTATAATTGTATAATTTTCTCCATGTTGTCTAGGGTGGATGGGAAGGAAGTGTGGGTGGAAGACCTGATATACTTGTGAATCATGTAGTCAAGGGCCTGGAGAACATAATGAATGAGTGATCCAGTGAGGGCACTAGAGGGATAAGAAATTATGGCCACAGAATGGGCTGTTGGGGCCTATAAACATTCAACAATGAAAATAGGTCCAAGCTGCCCATGTATAGGATGCGGTAAAAAAAAATCTGTGTGTCTGGAATATAGAGAAGAAAGTGAAATGAGATAATAATGGAGAGGTGGACATAAGCCAGATGTTGGAGGGCCTCCATCTAACACCTAAAGTTGAGGGGTTTTTTTATCTAAAGGAGCTAGGAAGCCAATGACGGGACTTAGGCAGGTCGATGACATGATCTTATATTTTTAAAAGACCATTCTAGAGGTTGTATAGAGAATGAATTATAGGAAGGCAAGAAAGGAATCAGGATGACAGTTGGTGATTGCAGTAGTTTAGGCAAGAGATAATGATGGCTTGGACCTAAGGGTGATAATGGAGGCAGACAGAGAAATGAATAGCTTTAGAATATAATTGGAAGATGGAACCAATAGAACTCACTCATGGATTAGATTATTGGGTAAGGAAAAGCAAAGAGTCAAAGGTAATCTCCGAATTCTGGTCTTAGCAAAGTAATATATAGTGATGCCAATTACTGATAAGGGAATATTGGAGGAGAAACCAGATTTAGTGAGGGCATATGGTAGCAAGAGAGGGTTAGCTTGGTCATGTCACATGGAGATGTTAAATTCAGTCATGCGTCACTTCATGAGAATATATTCTGAGAAACGTATCATTAGGCAATTTTTTAAATGGTGTGAACATCATACAGTGTACTTACACAAACCTAGCTGGTATAGCCTACTAAACATTTAGGCTTTATAGCATAGTCTAGTCTACACACCTGTACAGCATGTTACTGTGCTGAATACTGTAGGCAATTGTGACACAGTGCTAAGTATTTGTGTATCTAAACATGTCTAAACATAGAGAAGGTACAGTAAAAATATAGTATTATAATGTTACGGTACCACCATTGTACATGCAGTATGTTGTTGACTGAAATGTCATTATATGGCAGTTGACTGTAAATAGTTGGATACTTAAGTCTGGAGCTCAGAGGAGAGAAAAAAATAAAGCATCATTTTGAATATTATATATGGGTATAGTGGTTACCTCCCCACTGTCCCTTCTTTCCTACCACTATCATGTGACACCCATATTATTCAGAGGGAACCGACTCCTCACCTGGAGTCTGGTGTAGATATTGATTGTGGATACTCCTTCTTCTTCCACATTATGGTTATTTATTTTTGAGACAGAGTCTTGCTCTGTCACCCAGGCTGGAGTGCAGTAGCGCAATCTCGGCTCACTGCAACTTTTGCCTCCCAGGTTCAAGCAATTCTCAGCCTCCTGAGTAGCTAGGATTACAAGCATGTGCCACCATGCCCAGGCTATTTTTTTTTTTTTTTTGTATTTTTAGTAGAGATGGGGTTTCACTATGTTGGCCAGGCTGGTCTCAAACTCTTGGCCTCAAGTGATCTGCCTGCTTCGGCCCCCCAAAGTGTTGGAACTACAGGTGTGAGCCACTGTACCTGGCCCACATTATATTTATTGATTAAAGTAAACTAGATCTAAGCCATTCTGCACATGACATTAACCTTTCCAAAGAAATTGGATTAGGAGTAGGTCTGTAAAACATTTGGCAAATAGGACATGTAGAATCTCATTTTCTGGGATCTTCTAAAAAATAATATTTTATTCCCCTTGGAGAACACTGAAAAATCTACCATAAATCAAATTTCCCTCTCATTTTGGATGATATGATTTGTGGATGTGAAGCCTGGAACTGCTGCAGCCACTTTGTCAACATAAGGGACATTGCTTTGAGGATGAAACTAATAAAATAGAAGGCAGGACAGAGAGCTGAAAAGAAATTGATCCTCTGATGACATCATTGAGCCTTCAGGATTATCTTGCTTGAGGAATTTTCAGTTATGTGAGCCAAAAAAACCCTTTATTATTTAGGACAGAGTTTGATTTTTTGTTATTTGCAGTATGAGAGTCCTACTTGATGACTCCTTAGTCATTGGAACATAAATAGCATTAAAAGCCATGAGATTTGATGAGATAACCCAAGGAGATAACATACAGTAGGAAGACTGAATCCTGAGCCCTTCTAATCTTAGAGATTGGGCCAAGGATGAGTAGCACATAAAGAAAGAAAATAAATGGCAGAGACATAGATGGAGAGTAAGGAAATTATGGACTCATTGATTCCCTAAGAGGAAAGTGCTTCAAGAAGAAGGGAATGGTCACCTCTTTGAGAGCTGCTGAGAGTTTATATAACATGGTGGCAGATAGACCCTTGGAAGTACAATGTACAGCTTGTGGTGACCCTGGCCAAAGCAGTCAGTGGTGTGTAAGATGAAAGACTGATAGGAGTAGACTGAAGGTTAAAAGGGGTTAGGAAGTGAAGACTGTGAATGGATGGATACAAGTTCAAGAAGTTTTTCTGTGAAGAGAAGCAGGGCAGTGAGTCAGGTATTGAGGGTTCCGTGGGATCTAAGGGAGTTTGCTTTCATTGCTATTGCTATGTGTTTTTTGAGAGTGGACAACAGAAACATGTCCATGTGCCAATGGAGTGATCCAGAGGGAAAAAATAAGTAGAGGATGGTGGAAAAAAGAAACAATTGCAAAAGTGATGTCCTTGTAAAGGTAAAAGGGTATGGGTTCCAGAGAATAAGAGGAGATATTTCATAGGGAGGGACATTTCCCTCATCAAAGGAGAAAACAAAGAACATGAGTGTGGATAAAGGTAGATTTGTGACAGGTAGATGAAGAAGTTGCTGTTTTAGTTTTAGTTGAGAATGAATGAGCATAATCTACTGAGATAGAGGAAAAGAGCATGATGAAAACACTAATCCCTTAAATTATTACTCCTCTGTGGGACAGAAATTTTCTTTATCAGGCTCTTGGAAAATGACCTTTTATGTTCTTGAAGTAGCAAAACTAACAAATTTATTGTCTATCAATTTCTAAAGCGTTGCTTTATAATTTTTTGCAAGTTTTGCTATGCATAAATGGGATTGGAAGAATGACGGAAGGTGTTTCTTTTGTTTGCTATTAGCTTAAGGTTTAGGCAACCGGATTCAGATTCTAAAGGGAATCTGAAGCTAGTAAAAAAGAAATTTAAAAATTTCCATGAAATATTTACAATTCAATGACATATACGTTCTTTTCCTTCTTTCTTTCTTTTTTTTTTAATTGAGATGGAGTCTCGCCCTGTCACCCAGGCTGGAGTGCAGTGGTGTGATCTCATCTCACTGTAATCTCCGCCTCCTGGGTCCAAGCAATTCTTGTGCCTCAGCCTCTCAGGTAGCTGGGATAACAGGTGTGTGCCACCATGCCCAGCTAATTTTTTGTATTTTTAGTAGAGACATGTTGGCCAGGCTGGTCTCGAACTCCTGACTTCAAGTGATCCTCCCACCCCGGCCTCCCAAAGTGCTGGGATTACAGGCATGAGTTACCGCACCCAGCCTGTTATTTTCTTTCTTTCTTTTTTTTTCTTTCTCTTTTCTCAGCTTCTTTAATTGATGCAATACTGTATGCAGTAATAATTATAATAATGGGTTGAGTTTGTAATATATATAGCAATAATAGTACAAAAAGGGGGAAGAGGGAATAGAGCTACATAAGACCAGTATTTCCATATCTTAATGGAACTTTAAAAAAATTTTTAAATTTTAAATTTTTATTTATTTATTTTTAAGTTCTTTGATACATGTGCAGAATGTGCAGGTTTGTTACATAGGTATACATGTGCCATGGTGGTTTACTGCACCTATCAACCCATCATCTAGGTTTTAAGCCCTGCATGCATTAGATATTTGTCCTGATGCTCTCCCTCCCCTTGCCCCCCACCCTCTAACAGGCCCCAGTGTGTGCTATTCCCCTCCCTGTGTCCATGTGTTCTCATTGTTCAACTTCCACTTATGAATGAGAACATGTGGTGTTTGGTTTTCTGTTCTTGTGTTAGTTTGCTGAGAATGATGGTTTCCAGCTTCATCTATTTCCCTGCAAAGAACATGAACTCATTCTTTTTTATGGCTGTATAGTATATTCCATGGTGTATATGTGCCACATTTTCTTTATCCAGTCTGTCATTGATGGGCATTTAGGTTGGTTCCAAGTCAACATACTAGAATCTCTGGGACACAGCTAAAGGAGTGTTAAGAGGGAAACTTATAGCTCTAAATGCCCACATCAGAAAGCGGGAAAGATCTGAAATTGACCCCCTAACATCACAATCAAAAGAACTAGAGAAGGAGGAACAAACAAATTCAAAAGCTAGCAGAAGACAAGAAATAACTAAGATCAGAGCAGAACTGAAGGAGAAAGAGACACAAAAAACCCTTCAAAAAAATCAATGAATCCAGGAGCTGGTTTTTGAAAAGATTAACAATATAGATAGACTGCTACCCAGTTATTTTCTTTCTTACGTGAAGTTCCTATTTGCCTCAGCCAAGTTTGCTTATGACTGTGGTCTTTGTTTTGTTTTTGTTTTTTTTTTGAGACGGAGTCTTGCTCTGTCACCCACGCTGGAGTGCAGTGGTGCGATCTCGGCTCACTGCAAGCTCCGCCTCCCAGGTTCAGGCCATTCTCCTGCCCCAGCCTCCTGAGTAGCTGGGACTACAGGCTCCCACCACCATGCCCGGCTAATTTTTTGTATTTTTTTTAGTAGAGACGGGGTTTCACCGTGTTAGCCAGGATGGTCTCGATCTCCTGACCTCGTGATCCGCCCGCCTCAGCCTCCCAAAATGCTGGGATTACAGGCGTGAGTCACCACGCCCAGCCACGACTGTGGTCTTTGTTAACACAGCCTTAGCCTTTTCTTCTTTTTTTACATTTCCTCCAGTTCTTTGGTTGGAAGAACTTTGTTAAAAGTCAGAAAAATAATTTATAACACTTATCCAAAGCTATAACTAAAATGTATATTCTTAATAGCCTAGATAAATACTAAAATATCATATTCCATTTTTCTGGACAATTTCATAATAAACATCAAGTGGCAAAACAGCATGATGTTTCAAGATGATTGGCTGTGACTTCTAGGTTGTAAGTTACTAGGAAGTTTTCATTATATTGCAATGATAGGTTTTAGCTAACAAAATAATTTAATTAGATTACTGTGAAGACCATCTGGAGGAGGAAAGAGTGTGGGTTATGGTTTTGTGAACACTGCTGGGTTTGTGCTCATTTTAGGCAGTACGAAATAACTTGTGTTGCACAAAGCTACTTAAGGGACTTGAAATACTTCTTTTGTATCCAGCCTCTCTCTAGCTGTGCATTTCTGAAGAGCCAGCATATCCATCATGTCTACGTGAAGAATTGGTTTTAAATCCTGATGACACATGGCTCAGAACAAGGACTAGTTTCATTCAGGTACAGTCAAACCTAGGTCAAACCCATGGTTCATGAACCAAATAACTTTTTGGCAGAGATGAAAATACAAGACTTATTAATTATGTTGTTTAAAACATGTGGCCCAGGAGAGAATAAAATAACACATTCATAAAACACAGTCACTGGGCCAGTTCCTGGTTTTTTAAAGGGCACCAGTTAAAGCTACCTTGAAGATGTTTTATTTAAATAGAAGATATCAATCATAGTCTCTAGCTATCAACATGTAGCTATTATATAAAATTATATATAATGTTATGTAAAATTCTATGACATATAATTTTAAGTTCAAATTTATGTGTTTTAAGTTATATAACAGCAAGTGTTTTATATATATTAAATATGTATATGTATATATATACACACACATACACATATATACATACATACATATATACACACACATATATATACATATATATACACACACACATATATCCATATACACACACACACACACACAAACACACACACACACACACACATATATATACAACACATGGAGCTCAATCCTCAAAGTAGCATAAAGAAGAAAATCAAACACTGTATGTGTGTGTGTATGTGTGTGTGTATATACAGTGTAATGTAACTTTTAATGAAGGGACTTTCTTTTTTTTTGAAACAGAGCCTTACTCTGTCACCCAGGCTGGAGTGCAGTGGCACAATCTCAGCTCAATGCAACCTTTGCGTCCCAGGTTCAAGTGATTCTCATGCCACAGCCTCCCTGGTAGCTGGGATTACAGGCATGTGCCACCACACCTGGCTAAATTTTTTTGTATTTTTAGTAGAGTCAGGATTTCACCATGACTCTACTACATGGTCAGGCTGATCTCAAACTCCTGACCTCAAGTGATCCGCCCATCTTGGCCTCCCAAAGTGCTGGGATTACAGGCGTGAGCCACCACACCCACCTCTAATGAAGGGACTTTTAATGGTGGGGCAGCGAGAGATAAGATAGGGTCCAAATAACTGTGATGTTTTTAAAGCTGATTTTGAAAGTCTTTTTCTTACTGCACTGAATAGGTCAGGAGCCTTAAGTTATGAGTATAAAGATATTCCTTAAAGAAGAGGAACCCAGTGAGTGATCCTTATTCCTGAAATGTTTGATATAGATTTGTTGGGATAGAGGTGTTTTAGGGATTATTAGTAAACAATTCAATGTGCTTTCAGCTTGCAGTCAGGATAGTGAGGTTTAGGATCAGTAATTAGCCAAGTAGTAATTAACATACCTATTATTTTTATTTTCCTTAATTGGGACAAGTTACCTCTGTCCCCTGCCTGGTACACAGAAGTGAAAGAGGGAAGGGCAATAAGAGGGAAAAGAAAATAAAGTCTCTGTCATTAACCTTGGATTTGTGCCTTTTTTCTTGAATCTTCTTTTTTTTTCAGTAGGTGAATGCCACGTTCTATCATTGGGATTTTGAAGCCTTTAACCAGCTTTGTTATTGGTTCAAATATAGCCCATAGTTAAGTAGTTATTTGGACAAAACGGTTTGCTTTTTATCAAGTCATGCAGACCTATCTGCAGTGGCATGTTGGCAAGGCCGAGTGGGGATGTGTACATAGCCCTGTCAGAAAAGATGAGCCAAGTGCTGTGAAGAGGGCAGGGCATTGGTGATTTACATTCACTTACAATGCATGGAGCTCAATCCCCAAAATAGCATAAAGAAGAAAACCAAACAAACTCTGTTCTCTTCTACCAGATGCAGGCAGATTTCTGTTTTCTCTTGAGTAAGTCTGACAATCAGAATTTTTAGGCAGAATATAATGGAAGATTTAATGTTTCTCTTCTTTTAAAAATATTTAGGCATATTAAGCTAGAGAAGTGAAATTTTGGACAATTCTACAATCATTTTATTTACTGTTTTTCTCAAATTGAAAGAAAAGTCTAAATTATAAGTGTAACAAATTTGGGATAGAATCCAAGATTTGAGTGTAATTTTGCACTGCCCTGTTGTTCTGGTTCCTTCTTCTACCATGGGAAATGCAGGGTGCCCTAGGCCCAGAGAGATTTTCATCTTCTGTGTCCCTAATGTGGGGTTTCTCAAAGTGTGTTTCTAGAACCAGTTGTGCTGAATGCTCCCTGCTGGAGGATTATATATCTTCATGATTTGCTTGACCTTCATGACTTGCTTCAGCCAATGAAATGGCACACGGGGTGCTAGGTGCTACTTCCAGCAAAAGCCTTAAACCATCACATGGTTCTAGCATTTTCTGTTTCCTCCTCCATGAGACTGGCAATAGCCAGATGAGAAACTGCTTTACGCTTGATCCAAGAGTGAAGAAAATGCTGACTAGAGCTGCAGCCAACTAACAGCTGCCATGTAAAGTGAACAAGAAATAAAGCATTGTTGTCAGAAAATACTGAGATTTGTGTGTGTGTGTGATTTGGTTACCGCAGCATTACCCAACTCAAACTTATCTGAGCTAAAGGAGGAAGTTCGAACCCATCGCAAAGAAGCTAAAAACCTTGAAAAAAGATTAGACGAATGGCTAACTAGAATAAACACTGTAGATGAGTGCTTAAATGACCTGATGGAGCCGAAAACCATGGCACGAGAACTACGTGATGAATGCACAAGCTTCAGTAGCCGATTTGATCAACTGGAAGAAAGGGTATCAGTGATTGAAGATCAAATGAATGAAATGAAGTGAGAAGAGAAGTTTAGAGAAAAAAAGAGTAAAAAGAAACGAACAAAGCCTCCAAGAAATATGGGACTATGTGAAAAGACCAAATCTACATGTGATTGGTGTACCTGAAAGTGACAGGGAGAATGGAACCAAGTTGGAAAATACTCTGCAGGATATTATCCAGGAGAACTTCCTCAACCTAGCAAGGCAGGCCAACATTCAAATTCAGGAAATACAGAGAATGCCACAAAGATACTCCTCGAGAAGAGCAACTCCAAGCCACATAATTGTCAGATTCACCAAAGTTGAAATGAAGGAAAAAATGGTAAGGGCAGCCAGAGAGAAAGGTCGGGTTACCCACAAAGGGAAGCACATCAGACTAACAGCAGATCTCTCGGCAGAAACTCTACAAGCCACAAGAGAGTGGGGGGCTGATATTCAACATTCTTAAAGAAAAGAATTTTCAACCCAGAATATCATATCTAGACAAACTAAGCTTCATAAGTGAAGGAGAAATAAAATCCTTTACAGACAAGCAAATGCTGAGAGATTTTGTCACCACCAGGCCTGCCCTAAAAGAGCTCCTGAAGGAAGCACTAAACATTGAAAGGAACAACCGGTACCAGCCACTGCAAAAACATGCCAAGTTGTAAAGGCCATCGATGCTAGGAAGAAACTGCATCAACTAACGAGCAAAATAACCAGCTAACATCATAATGACAGGATCAAATTCACACATAACAATATTAACCTTAAAGGTAAATGGGCTAAATGCTCCAATTAAAAGACACAGACTGGCAAATTGGATGAAGAGTCAAGACCCATCAGTGTGCTGTATTCAGGAAACCCATCTCACGTGCAGAGACACACATAGGCCCAAAATAAAGGGATGGAGGAAGATCTACCAAGCAAATGGAACACAAAAAAAGGCAAGGGTTGCAATCCTAGTCTCTGATAAAACAGACTTTAAACCAACAAAGATCAAAAGAGACAAAGAAGGCCATTACATAATGGTAAAGGGATCAATTCAACAAGAAGAGCTAACTATCTTTAATATATATGCACCCAATACAGGAGCACCCAGATTCCTAAAGCAAATCCTTAGAGACCTAAAAAGAGACTTAGACTCCCACACAATAATAATGGGAGACTTTAACACCTCACTGTCAACATTACACAGATCAACGAGACAGAAAGTTAACAAGGATATCCAGGAATTGACTCAGCTCTGCACCAAGTGGACCTAATAGACATCTACAGAACTCTCCACCCCAAATCAACAGAATATACATTCTTCTCAGCACTACATCTCACTTATTGCAAAATTGACCACATAGTTGGAATTAAAGCACTCCTCAGCAAATGTAAAAGAACAGAAATTATAACAAACTCTCAGACCATAGTGCAATCAAACTAGAACTCAGGATTAAGAAACTCACTCATAACTGCTCAACTACATGGAAACTGAACAACCTGCTCCTGAAAAACTACTGGGTACATAACAAAATGAAGGTAGAAATAAAGACGTTCTTTGAAACCAATGAGAACAAAGACATAACATACCAGAATCTCTGGGACACATTTAAAGCAGTGTGCAGAGGGAAATTTATAGCACTAAACACCTATAAGAGAAAGCAGGAAAGATCTAAAATCGACACCCTAACATCACAATTAAAAGAACTAGAGAAGCAAGAGCAAACACGTTCAAAAGCTAGCAGAAGGCAAGAAATAACTAAGATCAGAGCAGAACTGAAGGAGATAGAGACACAAAAAACCCTTCAAAAAAATCAATGAATCCAGGAGCTGGTTTTTTGAAAAGATCAACAAGATTGATAGACCACTAGCAAGACTAATAAAGAAGAAAAGAGAGAAGAATCAAATAGATGCAATAAAAAATGATAAAGGGGATAGCACCACTGATCCCACAGAAATACAAACTACCATCAGAGAATACTATAAACACCTCTATGCAAATAAACTAGAAAATCTAGAAGAAATGGATAAATTCCTGGACACATACACCCTTCCAAGACTAAACCAGGAAGAAGTTGAATCCCTGAATAGACTAATAACAGGCTCTGAAATTGAGGCAATAATTAATAGCCTACCAACCAAAAAAAGTCCAGGACCAGATGGATTCACAGCTGAATTCTACCAGAGGTACAAGGAGGAGCTGGTACCATTCCTTCTGAAACTATTCCAATCAATAAAAAAAGAGGGAATACTCCCTAACTCATTTGATGAGGCCACCATCATCCTGATACCAAAGCCTGGCAGACATACAACAAAAAAAGAGAATTTTAGATCAATATCCCTGATGAACATTGATGCAAAAATCCTCAATAAAATACTGGCAAACTGAATCCAGCAGCACATCAAAAAGTTTATCCACCATGATCAAGTGCGCTTCATCCCTGGGATGCAAAGCTGGTTCAACATACACAAATCAATAAATGTAATCCAGCATATAAACAGAACCAAAGACAAAAACCACATGATTATCTCAATAGATGCAGAAAAGGCCTTTGACAAAATTCAACAGCCCTTCGTGCTAAAAACTCTCAATAAATTAGGTATTGTAGGGACGTATCTCAAAATAATAAGAGCTATTTATGACAAACCCACAGCCAATATCATACTGAATGGGCCAAAACTGGAAGTACTCCCTTTGAAAACTGGCACAAGACAGGGATGCCCTCTCTCACCACTCCTATTCAACATAGTGTTGGAAGTTCTGGCCAGGGCAATCAGGCAGGAGAAGGAAATAAAGGGTATTCAATTAGGAAAAGAGGAAGTCAAATTGTCCCTCTTTGCAGATGACATGATTGTATATTTAGAAAACCCCATCATCTCAGCCCAAAATCTCCTTAAGCTGATAAGCAACTTCAGCAAAGTCTCAGGATACAAAGTCAATGTGCAAAAATCACAAGCATTCTTATACACCAATAACAGAGAAACAGAGAGCCAAATCATGAGTGAACTCCCATTCACAATTGCTTCAAAGAGAATAAAATACCTAGGAATCCAACTTACAAGGGATGTGAAGGACCTCTTCAAGGAGAACTACAAACCACTGCTCAATGAAATAAAAGAGGACACAAACAAATGTAAGAACATTCCATGCTCATGGATAGGAAGAATCAATATCATGAAAATGGCCACACTGCCCAAGCTAATTTATAGATTCAGTGCCATCCCCATCAAGCTACCAATGACTTTCTTCACAGAATTGGAAAAAAACTACTTTAAAGTTCATATGGAACCAAAAAAGAGCCCGCATTGTCAAGACAATTCTAAGCCAAAAGAACAAAGCTGGAGACATCAGGCTACCTGACTTCAAACTATACTACAAGGCTACAGTAACCAAAACAGCATGGTACTGGTACCAAAACAGAGATATAGACCAATGAAACAGAACAGAGTCCTCAGAAATAATACCACACATCTACAATGATCTGATGTTTGACAAACCTGACAAAAACAAGAAATGGGGAAAGGATTCCTTATTTAATAAATGGTGCTGGGAAAACTGGCTAGCCATATGTAGAAAGCTGAAACTGGATCCCTTCCTTACACCTTATACAAAAATTAATTCAAGATGGATTAAAGACTTAAACATTAGACCTAAAACCATAAAAATCCTAGAAGAAACCATAGGCAATACCATTCAGGACATAGGCATGGGCAAGGACTTCATGTCTAAAACACCAAAAGCAATGGCAACAAAAGCCAAAATTGACAAATGGGATCTAATTAAACTAAAGAGCTTCTGCACAGCAAAAGAAACTACCATCAGAGTGAACAGGCAATCTACAGAATGGGAGAAAAAATTTTGCAACTACTCATCTGACAAAGGGCTAATATCCAGAATCTACAAAGAACTCAAACAAATTTACAAGAAAACAACAAACAACCCCATCAAAAAATGGACAAAGGATATGAACAGACACTTCTCAAAAGAAGACATTTATGCAGCCAACAGACACATGAAAAAATTTTCATCATCACTGGCCATCAGAAAAATGCAAATCAAAACCACAATGAGATACCATCTCACACCAGTTAGAATGGCGATCATTAAAAGGTCAGGAAACAACAGGTGCTGGAGAGGATGTGGAGAAATAGGAACACTTTTACACTGTTGGTGGGACTGTAAACTAGTTCAACCATTGTGGAAGACAGTGTGGCGATTCCTCAAGGATCTAGAACTAGAAATACCATTTGACCCAGCCATCCCATTACTGGGTGTATACCCAAAGGATTATAAATCATG
Source organism: Homo sapiens (assembly GCF_000001405.40). Taxonomy (NCBI): domain Eukaryota; kingdom Metazoa; phylum Chordata; class Mammalia; order Primates; family Hominidae; genus Homo; species Homo sapiens. The sequence goes on along the minus strand of NC_000006.12, from coordinate 82,124,665 downwards.
CTGCTATAAAGACACATGCACCCGTATGTTTATTGCGGCACTATTCACAATAGGAAAGACTTGGAACCAACCCAAATGTCCATCAAGGATAGACTGGATTAAGAAAATGTGGCATATATACACCATGGAATACTATGCAGCCATAAAAAATGATGAGTTCATGTCCTTTGTAGGGACATGGATGAAGCTGGAAACCATCATTCTCAGCAAACAATCACAAGGACAAAAAACCAAACACCACATGTTCTCACTCATAGGTGGGAATTGAACAATGAGAACACTTGGATACAGGGAGGGGAACATCACACACCAAGGCCTGTTGTGGGGTGGGGGGAGGGGGGAGGGATAGCATTAGGAGATATGCCTAATGTAAATGACCAGTTAATGGGTGCAGCACACCAACATGGCACATGTATACATATGTAACAAAGCTGCACGTTGTGCACATGTACCCTATAAAGTATAATTAAAAAAAAATGTTTAGACTTTTAGAATGCAAAATCCAGAGATACTTGCAGGTTGTTTCTGATACAAGCTCTACCCTTCCTCCATCCTCCAAAACATACTCAGAGCCCGACCTGCTATCCTAAGACAATAAGACCAGAGCCTACTACTGGTTTGAAAGTGGGGAAAGGAAAGGGGAAAATACAGGGAGAGGAAAATACTCCACAAACTAGTATCATCACATATTGTTCCATTCCAACAGCTTCATCCCAGTTATGTGTTGACTTAGATAAGGAAGAGCAGACTTTTCCAGCAGTGACATGAGAGACAGCGTCTAAACGGGTGACAGCCTAGCCTTGTGCATGACTGTGCAGGCCCATCCCTGGCTCCGTGTGTTAAATGGCGCACGATGAAACACCAGTTCTACCAGCTGCTTCTGGTAAAAAGCTCTTCCCTTCCTCCATCCTCCAAAATCCAGAGATACTTGCAGGCTCTGTTTACCAGAACAGAGAGCCATTCCCCACGCTCTGGCCACGTGGCCTGACACCTTCAAGGGACATTGGCCTGAAGTGGTGCCATGTAGCAATGAAGGGAACTACGGACAGGTTAAAAATTCTAGAGATTCCCAAAGGGAGAAATCATCTGGTAAAATCTCTTGTTATCATGATCTTCACACTGGTCGACCTAGTTCTGCTTGGTAATTTCATAAAGTATATGTCTCTCTTGGGGTCCAAAGAAGAGGTGACTACAGGCCCTGGAAAATGGACTGTGAAGTATAGAGCCTCTGAGAATCACAGGCAAAGCAGGACTCATATTTTCTTTTCCGAGACATCCTCTTGGGAGGGGGGCAAATAAAATGAACAGTTTCTAGTTATTCAGTGCCCTTTTCTTTTTTTAAAGTGCACTATGCATTTTCTGTGCAATGTTTAGTTTAACCTTCATAATAAATCTGCAAGTTTGGAAAATCCCTATTTTAAAGACAAGGAAGTTGAGCCACAAAGAGGTTAAAATAGTCTTCCTGATTCACACACCTCTAAGTGGTGGAAACAGGGTTAATCAGAAAAGAAGGCTCAGGAGGTGAGGTTGTCAGGGCTCCGCCCAATCACTACTATCTAGTGGTGATACAGCTTGCCTATCATTACTAAGATCTTCTTCATATGTATCCTCCTACTGGGGGATTCAGGTGGCTTTAGAAAACTGTTCAGTGAAAATTAGAAGTTGAAGCTTAAGGCTATTATTAAAAAGCAGGGCTGTGTTTGACATTTTTGTTTCCCTCCAGACACCATTCACAGCATCTCTCATTGCAAAAATGACTCTGAATAAGAGCCAGTAATTACCAGAATGGATATTTAATATTTATCATGTTAAGTTCTTAATAACCTTTAATCATCATTAATCATGTAAACTTATTAAGAATCCCAACAAATTTGTGAGGAACCATTTCCTGGGGTGATTTATAAAATCACAGAGGCCATCAAATTTCAACAGATCATTCCATGAAGTGAAAATAATTTAAAAATGAATATAAATCAAAACAAATTTTGTGTCTGATTTTGACTTAAGTGGAATATTAATGAAAGTTCTTTGATGCTATTTCTTAAGTCATGGAAAAAATAACTTGAGGTTTTTATTACTAACAATAAAGCAATTTTACTCAAATATTCATGATTCTGAAAAGCTTGCCTGCAAAGACTCAATGGTTTCCTGGTCTGTAACGTTGAAGTTGGAAGATCATTGCCCGTAAACATGAGGTTTGCTTTGTTTTGTTTTTTTAACTGGCCGCTTACATAGGACAGTGACTGAATTTAAAGAAAAGGTACAAGTTCAGTGCAAGTTCAAACACAAGCATTGATGGATCATATATTAGGAAATTTGAATGCATACTTTTCTAATTTGTATGCTTTGATGATTAAAATCTCAAAATCTTACTATTCTCCTTTTCACTTTTGAATGATAGTTCCTGCTTCCCTATGCATCATGCTCCAGGACTTTCATTGACAGGAATGCTCCATGATAGATAGACATATTTTTTCTTTCTTTCTTTTTGTATTCTTTTGAGAGACAACGTCTTCCTCTGTCACCGGGGCTGGAGTGCTGTGGCTTGATAATAGCTCACTGCAGCTTCGACCTCCTGGGCTCAAGCGAGCCTCCCACCTCAGCCTCCCGAGTAGCCAGGTCTGCAGGGATGCACCACTATGCCTGGCTAATTTCTGTATTTTTTTATAGAGATGGGGGTTTGCTATGTTGCCTAGGCTGGCCTCAAGCAATCCTGGCTTAAGCAATCCTCCTGCCTTGGCCTCCCAACGTGTTGGGATTACAGGTGTGAGCCTTTGTTTTTTCTTTTCTTTTTTTGAGACAGGGTCTCCTGTCACCCAGGCTGGAGTACAGTGGCATGATCTTGGCTCACTACAACCTCTGCCTCCCAGGTTCAAGTGATTGTCCCACCTTAGCCTCCCAATTAGCTGGGACTACAGATGCATGCCACCACTCCCAGCTGATTTTTGTATTTTTTGGTAGAGATGGGTTTCACCAAGTTGGCCAGGCTGGTATATTTTTTCTTAGTGGAAGAAAAGCTTCTTCATATTTTGAATTCCTGGGTTAAATCAAATGCTTGCTCTCCATCTCGTGTGTGGACAATTATAGATTCTTATACCTGGTTAGTCCTTCTGCTCACTATCTAAAAGAGGAACCTAGATTCTGTTTTCTAAATAACTGGGTTGTCTTTGAATACAACTTATGTAAATATTGGCCTGACTGGACACAGATTCTTTTCAAAAAAACTATCATTTGCATTTTATTTCTGATTATAAAAATTATGGCAAGAAATCTGGAAATTTCTGAAAAGTTTAATGAAAATAAAAGCAGAAATTCCATCATGTGGAAAGAACCGCTGCTAGCATTTTCTATGTTCTCTGTATGTTATTTTTTCTTTTTAACTACTACCACTAATTACATGTAGGATTGCCAGGTTAAAAAGAGGATGACTAGCTAAATTTGAGTTTCAGATAAACAACGAATAATTTTTTGGTATATGTATGTCCCAAGCAATCTTTGGGACATACACTAAAAAATATTCATTGTTTATCAGATATTTAAATTTAACTGGACATCTTCTATTTTTATTTGCAAAATTTAGCAATTATAAATATATGCTCATTATACAAATTTTTATGTATAATATACAAAAAGAAAGACTTAAATCACAAGGATTCTCATATTCTCTTCACTCTAGATTCCTTTCTTAATCCCTTAATATAATTGGAACTCTTTTGCGTATTTCCCAGCTACATTTCTGTAAATGAAAATGTTTTCTAAATGATTATTCTCAACAAATAATAACAGCATCTTTATCTTCTTTGGTTTTTCGTTCTTTCCCTGGAGCCATCTCATTAAGACGAATGTGGATGAAGCCCAGAGCAAGAAACACTGACACAACTATACATTTTCAGTCTGTTAAGAATTTACTAAAATGTTGACAGCAGACCCAGGTTATGATTTCCATCTTTGGCAACCAAGAGAATGGCAGGGGTCGCACAACTTGTGCATTGGTATGCATCTTGATTCTGCCACCTGCCTGAAATATAATTGATGGAGAAAAAAAAATACAGTGCAGAAAAAAAAATTGAGCAAATGTCCCTCACTGCCTATTTCTTGCTCCATCTAAACAAGCTATCTATTCATTCTGCTAACATAGATGGGAGAATGGGCATTGGCTTTCTGAATAATGTTTGTGCTGTGTTGGATACCATGATACTCACAGGAGTGGTAGATTGCATGTATGTGTCTCCATCAAAGGGTGGGCAGAGAACAACTTGTGGGGTAGGGATGGCTCCTTAGACAGCAAGATCTAATGTGGACAGAGCACATCTCCTGGGATTTCTATGTAGTGCCTGCGTGTATCAAGATATCAGTACTATTTTCATCATGATTTTAATGAAGACTGGAATTGTTTTTCAGGAAGTAGGTTTCCATAATTTCTTAAGCAAGGAGTAGATTTCTAAGGAAATGTTCAATGCTTCTCTTCCTCTTTCTCTCCCCCAGCATAAGGGAAAGAGTATTGTGTTACCCTCAAGAGCAAGAGTATTTTGTTAGCTTGCAGAGCTGGGAGGTTTTTCCCCTGTGCTAAGTTAAGGGATTAAAAGCCTGATCCTACAAGAGTTGGGTCTCTCTTTGGCCCTTCTGACTCCTTTGGACTTTTCACCTACTTCTACTTGAAGGGCTAGCTGTGCTCAAGGCCATGAGAACAAACTCTCCCATTAACTTCTCTTTTGGTTATTAGTCTAATATCAAAGACCTTCCCCTGCTTGCTGTGGCTGCTTTTCAGTTGTGAATCTGAAGGATAGCCAGATGCTTTCCTTTAAAATGTCATAGGTATAAGAGAGGCCCTATGATTAAATCGTTGAACTCTTTGTATCCATCTGCTGGCCATTCTTAAGTTCATGCCTAGTTAAAGAGACCCTTCGCCTGTCTGAGCAGGGGTCCAAAAGAAGATTCTCTTTAGATGGATCCCTTCAATGCTTAACATCTGGTCAGGGTTACCCATTTTTATGCCAGGCACAGAATAAGTTGTTGGAGAGAAAACTATGAAAGTCTCAGTACTTGCCCTTAAGGAGTTCATCTGGTAAAGAAAACAGACAGAGAAGAAACAAAAATTGCAATACGAGAAATGTTATGGAGACTATGGCTATGGAGGTGCCAGGACTACATGTGTATGTGTATGTGTGTGTGTACTGGAGTGGTGTGCGGTGGTTTGCTGGAAGAGATGGTATTTAAACTGAACCTTAAAGACTTGTAAGAGTAAGCTAAATAAGAACAGTATTCCAGGAACAGAATTAACAGTACATTCACATGGAGAGACGGCACATTCAGGGAACTGCAGATCAGTGCATCTGGATTTTGGAGCAGAGGAGAGATAAGTAAATGAGACCCTTGGGAGGAGTACAGGGACCATCACAAAGGGCTTAGTGAGCTTTGTGAAAGGGATTGGGGTTGTACTGAGAACCACGGCAAGCCATGAAAGAATTTTAGGAGAGCGTCATATTTGGACTTAAACTTTAGAAAGCTATCAATTGCAACAGCAAGGGTAAGAGACTAGCGGAAGGATAAACAGAGGTAAGAAGCAAGAAATCAACTAAGGCCTGATGATAGAGACAGGTACAAATGGTATTTGCATCAATAGAATTTAGGAGTAAACAGGAGAGGGAAGCAGAACAACTTTCAAGTTTCTGATTTGTGACCTTGGGCGGATGGTTATATGATTCATTAAGAAAGAGAAAACAGGAGGAGGGATTGACTTTGAGGTGAGTTTATGGCATTTTCAGTGTGACTCTTGTGAAATATTTAGATAAGGCTTTGAACTTAGAAAAGAAGTTGGCTAGATTTTTAGGTTTGGGAATAAGTGGTATGTAACCCTAGAACCTATCTGTAATGTTTAGGAGTCTCTGTAATAGGCCGAAACAGGCTTTAGTACATTATTTTAATATTATTTTATGTAGTTCTTTATAGATACTTTTATAGAGATTTTAATATTTTTATTTTTAATATTTCACAGTTGTTAAAATAATTCTGAAAGATGCTAGAAGCACTATTAGCCTCATTTTATATAGAAGGAAAGTGTCATTTTGAATGATGTTTCTGAGGTCATACAGCTAGTAAAGTTACCCTGGTCTGACTTCAAACTCAGGACTCTTTCCTGTGCACCGTGGGGCCTCTTATATTACAGTGAATGATTGCATAACTCTCCACATCCTCCTTCCTGTAGCAGGCAAATGTGGATCCCTTAAGAGTTTTAAAGCCTGAAGGTACAATACTCACACAAAGATTATACCACAACACTTTTGGCATACATAGCACCACACTAGAAGTTCTTACTTTGTTGCCAAATACATTCTTCATACGTGCTTGTTATCTGGACTACACTATAAAAAAGTATGGTTACATAAAGGGCTTCAGCTTATCTGGGTCCTGGTTAATACTTGACTTTCAGTGCCATGGAAAACAGAGCCCCTGGGGTTGGCACAACTTTGAGATGGAATTACGCTCCTTTCAGCACTGTGCCTCTCCCACAGCTCTGCTGGTATCATGTGGCCACTGGAAATGCATTTTGTGGGAGACGTATGAGAAAAGCATATGGTTGCATAGTGAGTTCCCTATTCCATTTCTTAGGTCAAGAAATGACTGTTCATATTAGTTATGAACTTCTAATTTCCCCCTCTCCACTCATAGGTGAGGCCGCAATCTCTCCCTGAAAACCCCTTAACTTCTGCCTTTTTCTTTCTCCCTGAGCTCGATTGCTCTGACGTCCTTAGGTCCCGCCTCTCTCTCTATGGCGGGCCTTCCTGGAGCAATGTGTTGGGTTGGAGTGTCTGGACCAGCCTTTCAGTTCATGCTGCACACTCACATCCCTCCCAGATTCCTGAACACCCTACCTGACCCACAACCTTGGCTTCAACAATAGACAGGTTAAGACAGTCAAGTGAACTCAGGAGGACTTTGGACTTCAGGTTCTACTTTTTCCTGACTTCAGGCATATAATAGGATCATTAAATGTTCTACTTCATTCTCACTATAGTTGACTTACCTATTTCCCTGTCATTGGAAATTTCAGTTATTTATAAATTTCTGCTTAAAATAATAGTACAACTATATTTGTCCATAAAGTCTTTTATTCTGTTGAATTTTAACAATTTTCCACAATTGGTATAGGTATTATGAGTCCTGTGATTTCTTAAGAATTTCTCTCCACCAAGCTCCTTTCTTATGCCAAACCCACTGATAACTCTATTTTATCTCTTTCTCATCCTTGTTTTTATTTCCCAACCCTAATTCGGTTCCTTATTATTTTCCTTTGAACCCTTGCAATAGCTGCCTACATAGTCTCTCTGTCTCAGGTGAAACCTTCCTCCTAATATACCATCGTACCAGGTCATTTCTCCTAATAGAGATACTTAATGTATAAAAAGACTGAGAGTCCCCAGATAGAAAATGAACAGTCTTAGTAATTCAGGAGATCTATAAGCTAAACCACCAGGAGATCTCAGAACTCAAGACCATGGTTTCTGACAAACACAATCCCTGGGTATTTGGCTGCCCTTCATGAGCAGCAAATAGGTGGGGGTTTCCAGAGCCTACTCTCCTGGACTCTGTGCCACAAGCTTGAATCCGATACTAGTCAAGGATTTGTGATTCTTTATTTTGGTTTGTGCAGCTGAACTTCTGATCATACTTGATTAATACTTGACTCTTCTTCTATCAGAATGAGACTAAGAAGAATGCCTTGTTCCCTTTGTGCAGGTTTTTAAAACTCCCAATTAAAAAAAACTGGAAAAAAAACCCCAAAAAACAAACAAACAAAAAATCCTCCCAATTCCTGTCTAGGGCTATGTGAATCTCCAAAAGGATTTTAAAAATAAGGGACCTGTGTTATGATTCCTTCTTATATGAAGACCCAGGATCAGAGTAGAGCCTGGGAATACACGAATTAATCTAAAACCACACTGTATTCCAGGAGTCTTTGATGATGGAGGGACATAATGTGTAACTCCTAGCCTCAAAATCTCCAGGCCCAGTTCATCTTATTCATGTATTATAACTCAGACATTTGGAAAACCACTTGAGTCATGCTCAATCATGCAAACCTGTGATATAGCTAGAAAACAAATCAGATTCTCTGATTTTTACTCCTAAATGTCAGCCTTCCTTCCTACAAGCCTAGAATCTTTAGCTTGGAACTACTTTAAATCAGCTCTAGGATACCTTCAGCTTATTCTTAGTGATTCTAATATCAACACTTTCACTTTCCATATCCTGAAAACATACGTATTCAATGAAAAATTAATACAGATTCTTGAACATGCTAATTATATGCCTAACTTTCCTCCAGTTTGCACCAGACTATCTAAACCTTACATAACCTGAGATCTCCAAATAAGTGCTTTGAAAGCTTTACAATTTAGCAGTGCGTCCTTGGCTTTTAGGCGTGTCAGTGGAAGAATGACCATGTAAAGAAGGAATCTACACTGATGATTACAGTGATGCTGAAGAGGAACCCATTATAGTGTTATCTATAATCCTCTGACTGTGATGTTCTGCATGGGATAACCTCAGCAATCAGAGCCAGGAAAATCTAAATTTGGAGAGAGACATCATTTGGCCCTGTGGATCTAAATTGCACAAGCTGGGGTCTCTGGGGATCGCCCCGCATGGAAAGGGACTTGGGAGAAGACACTAGGACAAGAGTGTGTACCCCCACCTGAAAAGAAAAAGATTCATTTGCTATTCTTACACTTAGAAACTTCTGGGTCAAGAGCATGTGATTTAAGGCATCAAATGGTTCTGAGATTAATTTTTGATTCCATCTCTTACTAGCTTTGTGCCATTGGCCATGCACTCTACCTCTCAACAACTTAGTTTTCCTATCTGCCAGTGGGACAATTAATAAATAACAGCTACTCTTGAGGCGATGTGTTGAGGATTTACTAAGACTTAATGAGATTAAAGATGCCCATTACATAGTTTGTACCCAATAAGCCTTCATTTCTTCATCTCCCTCATCTAGGATTAGAAATTTCTAGAAGGCAGGTTCTGTGTCTTATTCCTCTTTGTACCTCCATCTCCTAGTACAGTAGTTTTCAACCTTTCCTGTCTATTTAGCCTCACTGCATTGAACAAAATTCCCAGGCTTGCAGTTCTGCACATAGATTAAAAATAACCTACAGTGTAATTGATACTCAGTAAGTGCTTTCAATTCTTGGAAAACTGTTTCTGCCATTTATTGATGCTACAATACAACACATTACATTCTTGTTTTTTTGCTTTTGCTGCCGGAAAGTTAAATTCAGTTTTGCACTCAGCTGCTGAAGATTTCCTTAGTTTAGGTTGTCTGGTACTAGTATCTTCTACCAGGTTTATTATTCAGCACTATAAATAATTCCCATTTTTATTTTGGTTTTGCGGTTTTATTGAATTTCCATTGTTTACTGTATGTCACCTCCAGAATCATTTTTGGAAATATTTAGTGCATAAAAACTTTAAAAAAGTGAGTATAGCTCTTTACGTATCCTTTGCTCCTGCCAAACTGGGGTTGACCTTCTTTATGCTTTCACTCAAAGTGTCCTCTTTGCTTGAAATGCCTTTCCTTCTATGACCTCAGTGGTCGAAATCCCTGAAACCTTCACAGCCCAGTACTAATGCCCTGTTCTTTAGGAAGCTTGCTCTGAATTTCCTTCAATGTTTCAATGAGGACTAGTTCAAAGAATACCTTTGAACTCACTTTGGCATGACAAGATCAAACAGGAGGTTAAGTCTGTCATTTAGTATTGTGAAATGAATCATTTTCAGGAACTTTTACCAGGAGTTGTGAGCTACTAGAAAACACCATAAGTTCTAGGTCTCAACTGAGGAAGCAGAGGCAAACAGTAGGGACAAAGAAGAAAAAGAATGGGCGCCTGGAAAATAGACGTGGACTTGAATCATGGCTCTTTTACGTATCGTGTGTGACTCTGGTCAGTTTCCAGGAGGTTCCTCATTTACAGAGATGAGTGTGTCAATTAGAGACTGTGTTGGGCTCAAATGATCAGAATGACACCTGCTGAAACACACAGGGCTTTTTTCTTTTGCCCTGACACCCTTAGTTCAGCTACTCTTCCTCATGATTGTAAGATGGCTCCTCTATTTCCCAACACGGTGTCTTCAGGAAAGGAGGAAAAGGATGAAGGGAAAGAGGCACGGGCTGGCCACATTTACTCCCTTTAAACAACGTTTTCCAGGAACCCACCCTATCACACACCGCTTACATCTTAAATCGCAACTGTGTCACATGGACATCTGGAGTTACAAGTAAAGCCAGAAAATGGTGGTGGTGGTGTGTGTTTAACCTGAACACAACTGCTTCCCCTAAAGTAAGAAAGAAGGGGAGAATGGGTACTGTATAGTAGTGTCTACTACAGTGAGAGTGATGTGCTCCCTTGAGGACATGGAAGCAGCACAGAACCCAGAACGCTCTGGATTTTACTTGTCAGCCTCCTGGGTTAGTCTGTAACTCAATTTCCTTCTGTATTTCGCCATTTCTTCTTACATTGTGACTTTATAAATTGAAGGGCCAGGCAATATCACTATTTCAAATCACTTCTCCTTTCCCATAAATGATGATTACTCAATTCATGTTTGATATTCTCAAATTGTGATAGAGCAGTATCAAGTAGCATTATATAGTTTTATTATTTTATGAAGATTTTGTTTTTCCTTTTGATAAGATGTATTTATGTTAAGCAATAAGGAAACTACTGATTTGTAAGGCAGGACAAAACACTGCTTAATTGTAAGATGTAAGTCTCAGTCAGCACAGGCTGGAGTGAATTTGCTCAGTGACTCCGGTATTTTCACATTGTCAGTTTTGCCTGGAAGTAGATGAAACCGTCTCTTAGGTTGGAGATTTTGCGGATGGCCATTCAGCCTTGGTGAAAAAGAAGTTTGGGCACCATTATTAGGAGAAAAAAACATCCAGTGGTCAACTCGGACTCCTCTTTCCTGCTTCCTCTAAGAATTTCTCCTTCTACCCTGATGCTCCATCTTTTGGCCTCAGATGAAGAAAACACCATATCAAGCACACCTCTCTGCCCTCCGCAAAGTGAATCCAAGGGAATTTTAAGGGAATGGGAAATTACATAGAGAAGATGATCGTGTTCAGGATCTCTGGACTGCAGAGCTGGAAAAGGCTTGTCAGAAACCACGATGGTTGACTCTGTAGTGACCTCTGCCTATAAACCTGCAATAAAGAGAAAACTGTTGTCTGAACCACAGTCATTCACCCACTTCAAATTGTATTGTGTTAGTTTTAGTTTAACCATAGTTTTGGTGGTGATGGTTTCCCAAAGTTATTTCTAGCTCTAACTGATAGTATTTATGGTTAGAACAATCAGACCTACTCTATCCTCACTGATTTTCCTTCAGGCATCATTATAGGATTAACAGTAAATTCCTCTAAAAAGATTACACTTACAAGGGAGAAGGGGAAGGAAGGAAAGCATGCACCACATCACATTCTATTCTGAATCGTCTCCTTGGGGAAATCTTAATTCTAATTTAGAATGTGATAGTCTGACTTCTGTAGTCTATGAATAAAAATCAGTTATTTAATATGAAGCTAATTAGAATTTGAAAATGGAAAATAAAGTCTATTTTCAAACAAGCTTGACTTTGACTAGGTACTAATGTCTAATAAGCCATTAAGAAAATGTTTTTTTCATAGTTACACTGAGGCCTGAGCAGGAAGTAAACAACAAAATCAAAGTGGAGGATAGTTCCACTTGAGTTTCTTTTCTGAGCGCCTCATTTATTCATTCACTCAGAATAATTCACTCCACAAACATTCCTGAGTACTCAGACCTCAAGGTGACAATCCTTGTTGCTAGCTCTTCTGTAACTCTGAAATGGAAGGTGATGGGCCTCAGGGGTGTGATGTCCATCTTATCACTAGAGTGGCTGTCCTGGGGTTTCAGTAGCCACTGATGAGAATCATTTTCACACAGCCTGTTTTCAACAGTAAATTACAAGTGAATGTGATATTATGCCTTCTTTCTAAAGACTGCTGCCAGAATCTATGAAACTCAAAGTGAGAAATTGTAGAAAACCACTCTTTATCACAGCTCCAAACTTTTGCATCTAATTGTTAATAATGCTTTCCTTTGCCAAGTGACTTTTACATGTCACTTCAAGAATGTCTGGCTCTCAACACAATAGTGTTCCTTTATTTCTTTTTTTTATGAATACCTAGTATTAGTGGGGTACATGTGATATTTTGTTACATGCACAGAATGTGTAACGATTAAGTCAGGGTATTCAGGGTATCTATCACCTCAAGCATTTATCATTACTATGTGTTGGAAACATTTCAAGAGCTCTCTTCTACCTGTTTTGAAATATACACTACATTGTTGTCAACTATAGTCTGTGACTATAGTTATCTGTAAACACTAGAATGTATTCCTTTTATCTAACTGTATTTGGCACACATTAACCAACCTCTCTTCATCCCTCCCACCCACTCTAGCAACCCTTCCCAGGTTTTGGTAACTATCATTCTACTCTCTACTTCCATGAGATCAGTTTTTTTTAGCTTCTTCATATATATGTGTGAGAACATGTGATATCTGTCTTTCTGTGCCTGGCTTATTTCACTCAACATAATGACTTCCAGTCCCATCCACATTACTGCAAATGACAGGATTTCATTCCTTTTTTATGACTGAAAAGTATTTCATTGTGTATATATGTCACATTTCTTTATTCATTCATCTGTTGATGGGCACTTAGGTTGATTTCATATCATTGCTATATGAGTAGTGCTGAAATAAACATGTGGGAGCATTATCCCTTTGATATTCTAATTTTTCTGTCCTTTGGATAAATACTCATTAGTGGGATTGCTGGATCATATGGTAATTCTATTTTTAGTTTTCTGATAAATCTCCATTCTCCATACTGTTTTCCATAATGGCTGGACTAATTTACATTCTCACCAACAGTGTATAAGATTTCTTTTTCTCCTCATCCTCCCCAGTACAGTTTTTTTTTGTCTTTTTGATATTAGCCATTCTAACCGTATTAAGATGATATCTCATTGTGGTTTTGATTTGCATTTCTCTGATGATTAATGATATTGAGCATTTTTTCACGTATTTGTTGACCATTTGTAGGTCTTTTTTTGAGAAATGTCTCTTCATGTCCTTTGCCAGCTTTTTAATGGGGTTGTTTTTCTACTGTTGTGTTATTTGAGTTCCTTGTATATTCTAGATATTAGCCCTTTGTCATATAACTAGTTTGCAAGTATTTTCTCTCATTCAACAGGTTGTCTCTTCACTCTGCTGTTTCCTTTGCTATGCAGAAGCTCTTTAGTTTAATATAGTCTCAATTGTCTACATATAGTTTGCAAATATTTTCTCTCATTCAACAAGTTGTCTCTTTACTCTGCTGTTTCCTTTGCTGCACAGAAGCTTTTTAGTTTAATATAGTCTCAATTGTCTGTTTTTGTTTTTGTTCCCTGTGGTTTTGAGGGAGGTTTTAGCCATAAAGTCATCACCTAGACTAATGTCTTGAAGTGTTTCCCCTGTTATCTTCTAATAGTTTTATAGTTTCAAATCTTACATTGAAGTAAGAATTTACAAGGTCCCATCAAAAAAAAAAAAAAAAAAAAGGAAAGAAAGAAAACAACAGGCCAATATCCCTGATGAAGATAGGCACAAAAAATCCTGAACAAAATACTAGCAAATTGAATCCAGCAGCACATATACATACATGATCAAGTGGGATTTATCCTAGGGATGTAAGGATGGTTCAATATACACAAATCAACAAACATGATACATCACATGAACACAATAAAGGACAAAAATATGATGATCTCAATAGATTGATTTAAAATTCATGTGAAGTTGATTTTTTTATATAGTGAGAGATAGGAGTCCAGTTTTGTTCTTCTGCATATGGAAATTCAATTTTTCCAGCATCATTTATTGAAGAGTTGTCCTTTCCCCAGTGTATGCCCTTGGCCTCTTTTTTGAAAACTAGACATTGTAAATAGATGGATGTGTTTCTGGATTCTCTAGTCAGTTCCATTGGTCTACATGTCTGTTTTTATATGATTTTCATGCTGTTTTGGTTACTATAGCCTTGTAATATATTTTGAAGTCTGTTAATGTGATACCTCCAGCTTTCTATTTTTTTGCTCAGGATTGCTTTGGTTATGTAGGCTAATTTTAGGATTGTGAAGAATGTCATTGGTATTTAAATAGGGATTGCTTTGAATCTGTAGATTGCATAGGTAGTATGGTCATTTTAACAATATTATTATTCTGATCCATAAGCATAAGATGATTTTCCATATGTTTGTGTCCTCTTTAATTGTTGACATCAGTATTTTATAGTTTTCCTTGTAGAGGTGTTTTACCTCCTTGGTTAAATCTATTCCTAGGTATTTTATTTTTTGTAGCTATTGTAAATAGGATTGCCTCTTTAATTTTTTTCATATAGTTCAATATTGGTGTATAGAGATGCTATTGATTTTTTAATGTTGATTTAGTATCCTAAAACTTCATTGAGTTTGTTGGTCAGATCTCAGGGTTTTTGCTGGGGTCTTTAGGTTTTTCTAAATCTAAGTTCATATCATCAGGAAAGAATGACAATTTGACTTCCTCTTTTCCAATTTGGAAATAAAAGAAAATGCCTTTTATTTTGTTCTCTTGCCTTATTGCTCTGGCTAGGACCTCTATATTATGTTGAATAGGAGTGGTGAGAGTGGATATCCTTGTCTTGTTCCACTTCTTAAGGGAAATGTTTTCAGCTTTTTCTCATTCAATATGTTAGCTCTGTGTTTGTCATATATGACCTTTATTATGTTGAGGTATGGTCCCTCTATGCGTAGTTTGTTGAGAGCCTTCATCATGAAGGAATGTTAAACTTTATCAAATGCTTTTTCAGCATCTGTTGATATTATGATATAATTTTTGTCCTTCATTGTGTTGATGTGATGTATCACATTTATAGATTTGTGTATGTTGAACCGTCCTCATATCCTTAAGATAAATCCTACTTCATTGTGTATGTGTATGTACTGTTGGATTCAGTTGGATAGTATTTTGTTGATAATTTTTGTGCCTCAATTCATCAAGGACATTGGCCTGTAGTTTTCATTTTTTTGTTGGGTCCTTGTCTGGTTTTGGTATCAGGGTAATGTTGGCCTTATAGAATGAGTTAGGGAGAATCCTTCCTTCTCAATTTTTTTTTTTTTTTTTGGAATAGTGTAGGAGAATTGGTATTAGTTCTCCTTTATAAGTTTGGTAGAATTTGGCGGTAAGGCCATCTGATCCTGGGCTTTCCTTTCTTGGGAGACTTTTTATTTCTGATTCAATCTCTTACTCATTATTGGTCTGTGCAGGTATTCTGTTTCTTCCTGATTTAATCTTGGTAGGTTGTATTTGTCCAAAAATGTATCCGTTTCCTCTAGGTTTTCCAGTTTGTTAGAGCGTAGTTGTTCAGTTGTTCATGGTAGCCTCCGATAATCTTTTGTATTTCTGTGGTATCTGTTGTAATGTACACTTTTTGTTTCTAATTTTTATCTGTCTCATTTCTCTTTTTTTGCTTGGTTAGTTTAGCTAGTGGTTTATCAATTTTTTTTCTTTTTTGCAACCCCTATCCATTTTTACCTATTCAAAAAACTAACTTTTTATTTTGTTGATCCTTTGTCTTGTTTTTATAGTCTCTATTTTATTTAGCTGGGCTCTGATTTGTATTATTGCTTTCTTCTAATTTATGGCTTGGTTTGTTCTTGCTTTTCTATTTCCTAGAGGTGCATTATTACATTGTTTATTTGAAATCTTTCTACTTCTTTGATGTAGGCATTTATTGCTATACACTTCCTTCTTAGCACTGCTTTTGCTGTATCCCATATGTTTCGGTGTGTTGTGTTTCCATTTTTATTTGTTTCAAGAAATTTTTTTCTTTGGTTATTCCTCCATTGACCCAATGGTTGGAGCTTGTTGTTTAATTTTCATGTATTTGTATAGCTTTCAAAGTTCCTCTTGTTACTCTGGTTTTATTCCATTGCAGACTGAGAAGATACTTGATATGATTTCAATTTTTATAAATTTGCTGAGACTTTTGTTTCCTAACATATGGTCTATTTTGGAGAATGTTCCATGTGGTGACAATAGGAATGTGTGTTTTGTAGCTCTTGGATGAAATGTTCTGTAAATGTCTATTAGGTCCATTTGGTTTAAAGTGCAGTTTAAATATAAGGTTATTTGTTGATTTTTTTTTTTTTTTGTCTAGATGATCTGTCTAATCATGAGAAGGGGATGCTGAAGCCCCCAGCTATTATTATGTATTGGAGCCCATCACTCTCTTTAGATCTAGTAATATTTACTTTAAATATCTAGGTGTTCCAGTATTGGGTGCATATATATTTAGAATAGTTATATCCTCCTGCTGAAGTGATCCCTTTATTCCTATATAATGACCTACTGTTTTTTACTTAAAGTCTGTTTTATCTGATATAAATATCACTACTCTTGCTCTTTTTTGATCTTTACTTGTGTGGAATCTTTCCATGCCTTTACTTCAGTCTATATGTGACTTTGGGCAAAATAAATTTCCTGTAGGCAGCATATAGCTGGATCATTAAAAAGAAATTTATTCAGCCTGTCTATATCTTTTAATTGAAAAATTTAATTGGTTTATATTCAAGGTTATTATTGGTACATGAGGACTTATTCATGTCATTTTGTTAATTGTTTTCTGGTTGTTTCATATATCCTTTCTTCTTTTCTTTCTTATTGTTTATTATTACTGTTTGGTGGTTTTCCGTTTCTTGTAGTGGTGACATTTGTGTCTTGTTGTTCCTCATTTGCATATTTGCTCTATCAGTGAGTTTTATACTTTTGTGCATTTTCATGATGGCAGATATTTTTCTTCTGCTTCCAGGTGTAGGACTCCCTTAAGCATTTCTTGTAGGACTGGTCTAGTGGTGATCAGTATCCTCAGTTTTGCTTTTCTGGGAAATACTATATTTTTTATTTATTTATGTAGAATAACTTTGCTGAATGTAGTTTTCTTGTCTGGCAGGATTTCCCCCACCCAGCACTTTGAATATATCATTTAATTCTCTCCTGGCTTGTAAAGTTTTTTCTGAGAAATCCATTATTACTCTGATGGGAGTTACCTTGTATGTGACTAGATGCTTTTCTCTTGCTGTTTTTAGAATTATTTCTTTGACTTTTGACAGTTTGACTATAACGCCCCTTGGAGAAGACATTTTTAGGTTGTATCTGTTTAGGAATCTCTGAGCTTCCTATATTTGGATATATAAATCTCTTGTTAGACTTGGGAAGTTTTTAACTATTAATTTGTTGAAAGATTTTTTTTTTATTATACTTTAAGTTTTAGGGTACATGTGCACATTGTGCAGGTTAGTTACATATGTATACATGTGCCATGCTGGTGTGCTGCACCCACTAACTCGTCATCTAGCATTAGGTATATCTCCCAGTGCTATCCCTCCCCCCTCCCCCCACCCCACAGCAGTCCCCAGAGTGTGATATTCCCCTTCCTGTGTCCATGTGATTTCATTGTTCAATTCCCACCTATGAGTGAGAATATGAGGTGTTTGCTTTTTTGTTCTTGTGATAGTTTACTGAGAATGATGGTTTCCAATTTCATCCATGTCCCTACAAAGGACATGAACTCATCATTTTTTATGGCTGCATAGTATTCCATGGTGTATATGTGCCACATTTTCTTAATCCAGTCTATCATTGTTGGACATTTGGGTTGGTTCCAAGTCTTTGCTATTGTGAATACTGCTGCAGTAAACATATGTGTGCATGTGTCTTTATAGCAGCACGATTTATAGTCCTTTGGGTATATACCCAGTAATGGGATGGCTGGGTCAAATGGTATTTCCAGTTCTAGATCCCTGAGGAATCGCCACAGTGACTTCCACAATGGTTGAACTAGTTTACAGTCCCACCAACAGTGTAAAAGTGTTCCTATTTCTCCACATCCTCTCCAGCGCCTGTTGTTTCCTGACTTTTTAATGATTGCCATTCTAACTGGTGTGAGATGGTATCTCATTGTGGTTTTGATTTGGATTTCTCTGATGGCCAGTGATGGTGAGCATTTTCTCATGTGTTTTTTGGCTGCATAAATGTCTTCTTTTGAGAAGTGTCTGTTCATGTCCTTCGCCCACTTTTTGATGGGGTTGTTTGTTTTTTTCTTGTAAATTTGTTTGGGTTCATTGTAGATTCTGGATACTAGCCCTTTGTCAGATGAGTAGGTTGCAAAAATTTTCTCCCATTTTGTAGGTTGCCTGTTCAGTCTGATGGTAGTTTCTTTTGCTGTGCAGAAGCTCTTTAGTTTAATGAGATCCCATTTGTCAATTTTGGCTTTTGTTGCCATTGCTTTTGGTGTTTTAGACATGAAGTCCTTGCCCATGCCTATGTCCTGAATGGTAATGCCTAGGTTTTCTTCTAGGGTTTTTATGTTTTTAGGTCTAAAATTTAAGTCTTTAATCCATCTTGAATTGATTTTTGTATAAGGTGTAAGGAAGGGATCCAGTTTCAGCTTTCTACATATGGCTAGCCAGTTTTCCCGGCACCATTTATTAAATAGGGAATCCTTTCCCCATTGCTTGTTTTTCTCCAGTTTGTCAAATATCAGATAGCTGTAGATATGCGGCGTTATTTCTGAGGGCTCTGTTCTGTTCCATTGATCTATATCTCTGTTTTGGTACCAGTACCATGCTGTTTTGGTTACTGTAGCCTTGTAGTATAGTTTGAAGTCAGGTAGTGTGATGCCTCCAGCTTTGTTCTTTTGGCTTAGGATTGACTTGGTGATGCGGGCTCTTTTTTGGTTCAATATGAACCTTAAGGTAGTTTTTTCCAATTCTGTGAAGAAAGTCATTGGTAGCTTGATGGGGATGGCATTGAATCTATAAATTAGCTTGGGCAGTATGGCCATTTTCATGATATTGATTCTTCCTACCCATGAGCGTGGGATGTTCTTCCATTTGTTTATATCCTCTTTTATTTCCTTGAGCAGTGGTTTGTAGTTCTCCTTGAAGAGGTCCTTCACGTCCCTTGTAAGTTGGATTCCTAGGTATTTTATTCTCTTTGAAGCAATTGTGAATTGGATTTCACTCATGATTTGGCTCTCTGTTTGTCTGTTATTGGTGTATAAGAATGCTTGTGATTTTTTTACATTGATTTTGTATCCTGAGACTTTGCTGAAGTTGCTTATCAGCTTAAGGAGATTTTGGGCTGGGACAATGGGGTTTTCTAGATATACAATCATGTCGTCTGCAAACAGGGACAATTTGACTTCCTCTTTTCCTAATTGAATACCCTTTATTTCCTTCTCCTGCCTAATTGCCCTGGCCAGAACTTCCAACACTGTGTTGAATAGGAGTGGTGAGAGAGGGCATCCCTGTCTTGTGCCAGTTTTCAAAGGGAATGCTTCCAGTTTTTGCCCATTCAGTATGATATTGGCTGTGGCTTTGTCATAGATAGCTCTTATTATTTTGAGATACGTCCCATCAATACCTAATTTATTGAGAGTTTTTAGCACGAAGGGCTGTTGAATTTTGTCAAAGGCTTTTTCTGCATCTATTGAGATAATCATGTGGTTTTTGTCTTTGGCTCTGTTTATATGCTGGATTACATTTATTGATTTGCGTATATTGAACCAGCCTTGCATCCCAGGGATGAAGCCCACTTGATCATGATGGATAAGCTTTTTGATGTGCTGCTGGATTCGTTTTGCCAGTATTTTATTGAGGATTTTTGCATCAATGTTCATCAAGGATACTGGTCTAAAATTCTCTTTTTTGGTTGTGTCTCTGCCCGGCTTTGGTATCAGAATGATGGTGGCCTCATAAAATGAGTTAGGGAGGATTCCCTCTTTTTCTATTGATTGGAATAGTTTCAGAAGGAATGGTACCAGTTCCTCCTTGTACCTCTGGTAGAATTCGTCTGTGAATCCGTCTGGTCCTGGACTCTTTTTGGTTGGTAAGCTATTGATTATTGCCACAATTTCAGATCCTGTTATTGGTCTATTCAGAGATTCAACTTCTTCCTGGTTTAGTCTTGGGAGAGTGTATGTGTCGAGGTATTTAACCATTTCTTCTAGATTTTCTAGTTTATTTGCATAGAGGTGTTTGTAGTATTCTCTGATGGTAGTTTGTATTTCTGTGGGATTGGTGGTGATATCCCCTTTATCATTTTTTATTGTGTCTATTTGATTCTTCTCTCTTTTTTTCTTTATTAGTCTTGCTAGCGGTCTATCAATTTTGTTGATCCTTTCAAAAAACCAGCTCCTGGATTCATTAATTTTTTGAAGGGTTTTTTTGTGTCTCTATTTCCTTCAGTTCTGCTCTGATTTTAGTTATTTCTTGCCTTCTGCTAGCTTTTGAATGTGTTTGCTCTTGCTTTTCTAGTTCTTTTAATTGTGATGTTAGGGTGTCAATTTTGGATCTTTCCTGCTTTCTCTTGTGGGCATTTAGTGCTATAAATTCCCTCTACACACTGCTTTGAATGCGTCCCAGAGATTCTGGTATGTTGTGTCTTTGTTCTCGTTGGTTTCAAAGAACATCTTTATTTCTGCCTGCATTTTATTATGTACCCAGTAGTCATTCAGGAGCAGGTTGTTCAGTTTCCATGTAGTTGAGTCGTTTTGAGTGAGATTCTTAATCCTGAGTTCTAGTTTGATTGCACTGTGGTCTGAGAGATAGTTTGTTATAATCTCTGTTCTTTTACATTTGCTGAGGAGAGCTTTACTTCCAAGTATGTGGTCAATTTTGGAATAGGCGTGGTGTGGTGCTGAAAAAAATGTATATTCTGTTGATTTGGGGTGGAGAGTTCTGTAGATGTCTATTAGGTCCGCTTGGTGCAGAGCTGAGTTCAATTTCTGGGTATCCTTGTTGACTTTCTGTCTCGTTGATCTGTCTAATGTTGACAGTGGGGTGTTAAAGTCTCCCATTATTAAGGTGTGGGAGCCTAAGTCTCTTTGTAGGTCACTCAGGACTTGCTTTATGAATCTGGGTGCATATATATTTAGGATAGTTAGCTCTTCTTGTTGAATTGATCCCTTTACCATTATGTAATGGCCTTCTTTGTCTCTTTTGATCTTTGTTGGTTTAAATTCTGTTTTATCAGAGACTAAGATTGCAACCCCTGCCTTTTTTTGTTTTCCATTTGCTTGGTAGATCTTCCTCCATCCTTTTATTTTGAGCCTATGTGTGTCTCTGCAAGTGAGATGGGTTTCCTGAATACAGCACACTGATGGGTCTTGACTCTTTATCCAATTTGCCAGTCTGTGTCTTTTAATTGGAGCATTTAGTCCATTTACATTTAAAGGTAATATTGTTATGTGTGAATTTGATCCTGTCATTTTGATGTTAGCTGGTTATTTTGCTCGTTAGTTGATGCAGTTTCTTCCTAGTCTCGATGGTCTTTATATTTTGGCATGATTTTGCAGTGGGTGGTACCGGTTGTTCCTTTCCATGTTTAGCGCTTCCTTCAGGAGGTCTTTTAGGGCAGGCCTGGTGGTGACAAAATCTCTCAGCATTTGCTTGTCTGTAAAGTATTTTATTTCTCCTTCGCTTATGAAGCTTAGTTTGGCTGGATATGAAATTGTGGGTTGAAAATTCTTCTCTTCAAGAATGTTGAATATCGGCCCCCACTCTCTTCAGGCTTGTAGGGTTTCTGCCGAGAGATCCGCTGTTAGTCTGATGGGCTTCCCTTTGAGGGTAACCCGACCTTTCTTTCTGGCTGCCCTTAACATGTTTTCCTTCATTTCAACTTTGGTGAATCTGACAATTATGTGGCTTGGAGTTGCTCTTCTCGAGGAGTATCTTTGTGGCGTTCTCTGTATTTCCTGAATCTGAATGTTGGCCTGCCTTGCTAGATTGGGGAAGTTCTCCTGGATAATATCCTGCAGAGTGTTTTCCAACTTGGTTCCATTCTCCGCATCACTTTCAGGTACACCAATCAGACGTAGATTTGGTCTTTTCACATAGTCCCATATTTCTTGGAGGCTTTGCTCATTTCTTTTGATTCTTTTTTCCCTAAACTTCCCTTCTCGCTTCATTTCATTCATTTCATCTTCCATTGCTGATACCCTTTCTTCCAGTTGATTGCATCGGCTCCTGAGGCTTCTGCATTCTTCATGTAGTTCTTGAGCCTTGGTTTTCAGCTCCATCAGCTCCTTTAAGCACTTCTTTGTATTGGTTATTCTAGTTATACATTCTTCTAAATTTTTTTCAAAGTTTTCAACTTGTTTGCCTTTGGTTTGAATGTCCTCCTGTAGCTCAGAGTAATTTGATCGTCTGAAGCCTTCTCCTCTTAGCTCGTCAAAGTCATTCTCCATCCAGCTTTGTTCTGTTGCTGGTGAGGAACTGCGTTCCTTTGGAGGAGGAGAGGCGCTCTGCTTTTTAGAGTTTCCAGTTTTTCTGTTCTGTTTTTTCCCCATCTTTGTAGTTTTATCTACTTTTGGTTTTTGACGATGGTGATGTACAGATGGGTTTTTGGTGTGGATGTCCTTTCTGTTTGTTAGTTTTCCTTCTAACAGACAGGACCCTCAGCTGCAGGTCTGTTGGAATACACTGCCCTGTGAGGTGTCAGTGTGCCCCTGCTGGGGGGTGCCTCCCAGTTAGGCTGCTGGGGGGTCAGGGGTCAGGGACTCACTTGAGGAGGCAGTCTGCCCGTTCTCAGATCTCGAGCTGCGTGCTGGGAGAACCACTGCTCTCTTCAAAGCTGTCAGACAGGGACATTTAAGTCTGCAGAGGTTACTGCTGTCTTTTTGTTGTCTGTGCCCTGCCCCCAGAGGTGGAGCCTACAGAGGCAGGCAGGCCTCCTTGAGCTGTGGTGGGCTCCACCCATTTGGAGCTTCCCAGCTGCTTTGTTTACCTAAGCAAGCCTGGGCAATGGCGGGCGCCCCTCCCCCAGCCTCGCTGCCGCCTTGCAGTTTGATCTCAGACTGCTGTGCTAGCAATCAGCGAGACTCCGTGGACGTAGGACCCTCTGAGCCAGGTGCGGGATATTATCTCATGGTGTGCCGTTTTTTAAGCCAGTCGGAAAAGCACAGTATTCGGGTAGGAGTGACCCGATTTTCCAGGTGCGTCACCCCTTTCTGTGACTTGGAAAGGGAACTCCCTGACCCCTTGCGCTTCCCAAGTGAGGCAATGCCTCGCCCTGCTTCGGCTCGCACATGGTGCACGCACCCACTGACCTGCGCCCACTTTCTGGCACTCCCTAGTGAGATGAACCCGGTACCTCAGATGGAAATGCAGAAATCACCAGTCTTCTGCGTCGCTCATGCTGGGAGCTGTAGACCGGAGCTGTTTCTATTCGGCCATCTTGGCTCCTCCCCCCGAAAGATTTTCTTTTTATTTAACCTTTATTTTATGTTCAAGGGTACATGTGTAGATTTGTTATATAGGTAAACTTGTGTCATGGGGGTTTGTTGTAAGATTATTTTGTCACCCAGGTATTAAACGTAGTACTCATTACTTATTTTTCCTGATCTTCTCCTACCTCTCACCCTGCACTCTCAAGGAAACCCTAGTATCTATTGTTTCCCTTTGTGTATCCATGTGTTCTCATCATTTAGCTCGCACTTATAAGTGAGAACATGCAGTATTTGGTTTTCTGTGCCTGAGTTAGTTTGCTAAGGATAATGGCCTCCAACTCCATCCATGTTGCTGCAAAGAACATGATCTCATTCTTTTTATGGCTGCATAGTATTCCATGGTGTATATGTACAACATTTTCTTTATCCAGTCTATCAGTGATGGGCATTTAGGTTGATTCCATGTCTTTGCTATTGTGAATGGTGCTGCAGTGAACATAGGCATGCATGTGTCTTTATAATAGAATGATTTGTATTACCTTGGGTATGTACCCAGTAATGGAATTGCTGGGTCAAATGGCATTTCTGTCTTTAGGTCTTTGAGAAATTGCCACACTGTCTTCCACAATGGTTAAACTAATTTACACTCCCACTAACAGTATATAAGTGTTCCTTCTTCTCCACAATCTTACCAGCATCTGTTACTTTTTTGACTTTTTACTAATAGCCATTCTGACTGGTATGAGATGGTATCTCAATGTGCTTTTGATTTGAATTTCTCTAGTGATTAGTGATGTTGAGCTTTTTTAAAAAATATCATTATTGGCTGCATGCACATCTTCTTTTGAAAAGTGACTGTTCCTGTCTTTTGTCCACTTTTTAATGAAGTTCTTTTTTTTTTTTTTTTGCTTGTAAATTTGTTTAAGTTCCTTATAGATGTTCCTTTAGTTCCTTTGTCAGATGCATAGTTTGTGGAAAATTTCTCCCATTCTGTAGGTTGTCTGTTTATTTCATTGATGTTTTATTTATTTATTTATTTGGCTGAGCAGAATCTCTAAAATTTAATTAGACCCCATTTATTCATTTTTGCTTTTGTTGCAATTGCTTTTGGTGCCTTTGTCATGAAATCTTTGCCCATTCTTATGCCCAGAATGATATTGCCTAGGTTGTCTTCCAGGGTTTTTATAGTTTTGGGTTTTACACTTAAGCCTTTAATTCATCTTGAGTTAATTTTTGTACATGGTGTAAGGAAGGGGTCCAGTTTCAATCTTCTGCATATGGCTAGCCAATTATCCCAGCACCATTTATTGAATAGAGAATTCTTTTACCATTGCTTCTTTTTGTCAGATCTGTCAAAGATCAGATAGTTGTAGGTATGTGGCCTTATTTCTGGCTTCTCTATTCTGTTCCATTGGTCTGTGTGTCTGTTTTTGTATCAGTACCATGCTGTTTTGATTACTGTAGCCTTGTAGTACAGTTTGACATTGGGTAGCATGATACCTCTAGCTTTTTTCCTTTTGCTTAGAATTGCCTTGGCTATTTGTGCTCTTTTTTGGTTCCATATGAATTTTAAAAGTTTTCTCTAGTTCTGTGAAGAATTTCAATGGTAGTTTAATAGGAATAGCATTGAATCTATAAATTGCTTTGGAGACTATAGCCACTTTAACAATATCAAGTCCTCCAATCCATTAGCATGGAATGTATTTCCATGTGTTTGTGTCATCCCTTATTTCTTTGTACAGTGTTTTGTACTTCTCTTTGTAGAGATATTTCATTTCCCTGGTTAGCTGTATTATTAGGTATTTTACTTTATTTTTTGTTGCAATCGTGAATGAGGTTGCATTCCTAAGTTGGCTCTCAGCTTGACTGTTGGTGTATAGGAATATTTTTGTGATTTTTGCACATTATTTTTTATCCTGAGACTTTGCTCAACTTATTTATCAACTTAAGGAGCTTTTGGACTGAGATTATGGGGTTTTCTAGATATAGGATCATGTTGTCTGCCAACAGGGATAGTTTGACTTCCTCTCTTTTTATTTGGATTCCCTTTATTTCTTTCTCTTGTCTGATTGCCCTGGACAGGATTTCCAAGGCCATTTAGAATAGGAGTGGTGAGAGAGGGCATCCTTTTCTTGTGCAGGTTTTCAAGGGGAATGCTTCCAGCTTTTGCCCTTTCAGTATGATGTTGGCTCTGGTTTTGTCATAGATGGCTATTATTATTTTGAAGTATGTTCCTTCAATACCTAGTGTGCTGAAAGTTTTTCATAATGAAGGAGTGTTGAATTTTATCAAAAGCCTTTTCTGTATCTATTAAGATAATCATGTGGTATTGGTCTTTGGTTCTGTTGATGTGATGAATCACATTTATTGATTTGTGTATGTTGAACCAACCTGATATCCCAGGAATAAAGCCTATTTGATTGTGGCAGATATACTTTTTGATGTGCTGTGGGATTTGGTTTGTCAGTATTTCATTGAGGATTTTTACATTGATGTTCATCAAGTATATTGGCTTGAAGTGTTCCTTATTCATTGTGTCTCTGCCAGGTTTTGCTATCAGGGTAAGTTGGCCTCAGAGATTTAGTTAGGGAGGAGTCCCTCTTCCTCAGTTTTTTTGGGAATAGTTTCAGCAGAAATGGTATCAGCTCTTCTTTGCACATCTGGTAGAAAATTCAGCTGTGGATCCACCTGGTCCTTGGCTTTTTTTGGTTGGTAGGATATTTATTACTGACTCATTTTTGGAGCTCATTATTGGTCTGTTCAGGGGTTCAATTTCTTCCTGATTCAGTCTTGGGAGGGTGTAGCTTTGCGTTGCAGTTTCCTGGAACTGGGGCATGGGGCAGCACAAAGAAGCACCTAATGAATAACACACCTACAAGGAGAAGGGAAGGACATTTCTCTCTGAGAGCTAGTGATGAATCTAAGCTATTCGCCCCAAGCCTGCTCAGAGTAGGGCCATTCCAAGAGAGAGAAAAAAAGAAGCAATAAAATGTTAAGAGTAAAAAAGGGAGAGTCAGAGGGTACTCTGTAGGGACACACATGCATCCCTGATCATGCCAAGTGTCCATCCTCTGCAACAGGGCTCCATTAATGCCTGAACCTATAACCCTCTGAGTAAAGTGACAGTGGCAAAAAGGGGAAGTTATGGGCTCTCTTTTAAAGCCAACTGCCATTTTCTCCCTTTTTACACCATATCTCCTTGATTAACCCTATGACTGCTAACCTAAATCTCTTCCGGTAGGACAGAGATCTATTCTCATATGTTGGCAACTGTTTCTTTCCTGCACAACTCATTTCAAAGTTCACCTCATCAGTAAGTAGTCAATGTTATTCTCACTCTACTATTGTACTGATTGTCATTATCTCCTAGTCTCTTGGAACTTGCGTAAGTTAACAAAAGTAGAGAGAGAATGAACCCCCAGGTGGCTGTGTTATCACACCTTCAGGGATTGTGCTTTGTGTGTTATAAGTAGTCAGTAAATATTGAACCATCACAACAAATATGATTCATAGAAAGAAAAGTGACTCACCTGACATAACACGAAGAGAATTATTCATAAAAATAGACCAGAGATCTTAGTTCCAAACAATCTTCAACAGTACCTAGTTATGTGTTTTATTATTATTATTGCTTTCTTTCATTCTTTTATCTTTTTAAAGTCTAAAGTATCTCCTTACTGAGACATAAATGTCAACACCAATTTTATCTAGAAAATTTGCACTATGGTGCTTATTTATCTCTTTATTCTTTCTTTTGCTTTTTTTTTTTTTTTTTTTTTTAGAGGGAGTTTCACTCTTTTCCCCCAGGCTGGAGTGCAATGGCACAATCTTGGCTCACTGCAACCTCCATCTCTTGGGCTTAAGTGGTTCTCCTGCCTCAGCCTCCCAAGTAGCTGGGATTACAGGCGCCTGCTACCACGCCCGGCTAATTTTGTATTTTAGTAGAGATGGGGTTTCACCATGTTGGCCATTGGCTGGGCTGATCTCAAATTCCTAACCTCAGGTGATCCACCTGCCTCGACCTCCCAAAGTGCTGGGATTACAGGCATGAGCCACTGCGCTTGGCCTCTCTTTATTCTTTAGCATTTAAAATCTAAAATTCTTAGAGTAGTTTCTAATCAAATGCATGTTTGTGGGAGGAATTATTGCATCAGCACGAATAAGAAGGTTAAAAAGAGGGCTGATATGGAGGCCCTGTTTTCTTTCTCTGCAATGTGGAGGCAGTAAGCTCTACCATTCAATGTTGTTCAAGGCTAGAATGAAATATTATACCTGAAGGTGTTTCTCAAACTGTGAAAAACTAAGGAAATATGTTACCACTACAGAGAAAAATTTTATTAGTCTATTATTCCCAGTCATACTTTAAAAATATACTGCAATGTATTGTTCAAGGAAAGTATCTGATACTGTGAATTCCAAGCATTGTTTCTTAACCTGTTCAAAATTAAGCAAAATGTGAGTATATACCAAAGAATACTTTACTTTTCCATAATTTCCATATTTGAAAAAGCTGCAAAAATTTATGGAAGACTGGGCTACATGCTGAGTTTTATGCTAAAATGTATGATAAAAACAATAAATGGGCCAGGCGTAGTGGCTCACACCTGTAATCCTAGCACTTTGGGATGCTGAGGTGGGCAGATCACCTGAGGTCAGGAGTTTGAGACCAGCCGGGCCAACGTGGTGAAACCCCATCTCTACTAAAAATACAAAAATTAGCCAGGCGTGGTGGCAGGCACCTCTAATCTCAGCTACTCGGGAGGCTGAGGCAGGAGAATTGCTTGAACCTGGGAGGCGGAGGTTGCAGTGAGCCGAGATCACATCATTGCACTCCAGCCTGGGCAACAAGAGTGAAACTCCGTCTCAAAAAAAAAAAAAGTAATAAATATAAAACATTTGTCAGATCACACACTATTCAGATAGAAATTAAGATGTTCATTCTTAAAAGTAAGAGTTAACATAGATTAATAAAACACCTCTACTTACCTCAATTTTGGTATGCTAGTTTAATGACTTGTAATCATCATTAATATTTATGCAGTTTTATGTAGTTGGTTTTTTGAATCATTTAAACCAAATAGGGGTATACCATATTTTATATTATTCCAAATGCCCTCTAACCTGTTATGTATAATATTCCTTTCCCATCCCTTAATAACATTTGTCTAGAATACTTTATTTCCTGTCATTTTCAGTTATTTAAAAACTCAATCTGGTCCAATATGAAATGTAAACTTCTAATTTCAAATTCAATTCAAATTTTGTCTCCTTATTCCCACCTATGCATTCCCATCCTGTGGTAGCTCATCTCCAAAGCTGGCCCTCAATGGATCATTCCCTTCTATGTCCCCTTCTGCATCGAATCTGCACTTGGCCTGTGACTCATTAAACAATAGAATGCAGTGGAAAGGATCCTGAGCTGGTTCTGTGCCTAAGTCATTAGAAGGCCTAGAAGCTTCTTCTTTTGTGATTTTGGAAACATTGAGCCACCATTTAAGAAATCTGGCATGTCCACATATCATATAGAGAGACCACATGGAGAGGGAGAAACCCTGAGCTTTCAAGGAGAGACAGAGAGAGACCCCGTTATTCCAAAGTACCAGCTCAGCCCCATCTTCCAGCTCTCTCTACCAAGGGACCAGCTATGTATCTTGGGTATGAGAGCTTAGTCAAGCCAGATGATTGCAGCTGCAGCGAATTTCACATGGAGCAGAAGAATTACCCAGCTGATTCCAGTCAACCTTCATACCCGTGAAAGAAAAGCCACTACTTTTTGGGGTAGTTTATTATGTAGCAGTAGATAACTGGAACATTTCCCCTAATATGGTTAGGCTTTGTGTCCCCACCCAAATCTTATCTAGAATTTTAATCCCCATAAACCCCACGTGTCAAGGCAGAGACCAGGTGAAGGTAATTGAATCATGGGGTCGGTTTTCCCCATGTTGTTCTTGTGATAGTGAGTGAATTCTCACGAGATCTGATGGTTTTCTAAGAGGCTCTTCCTCTTTCACTTGGCACTTCTCTTTCCTGCCCCCTTGTGAAGAAACTGCCTTGCTTTCTTTTCACCTTCCACCGTGATTGTAAGTTTTCTGAGGCCTCCACAGCTATGCTGAACTGTGAGTCAATTAAACCTTTTTCCTTTATAAATTACCCAGTCTCAGGGGTATGAAAACGGACAGTATTAAAATGGATTAATACATCCCCTTTCCTTTTTTATCTGGCCTGGGGACAAAATTTTTTTTTCTCTCTCTTCCTCTTCTGCTTTTAGCTTTTTGTATTGGAGACTGGTAAGAGGAATGAGGGAATAGAAGCAAAGTATTTTTTTCTGAACTGGTCCTGCCTCAGATGATGTCCTAGAGTTGACTTGTATCAGCTGATTATTAAAGTTACAGAAATTTTATGTGCCAATTGTTAAATGTTATTATTAAAACCAAATTATATCAAATTATATTGAAAACAGGCAATAAATGCTAACAACGTGTCACTTCCTAATTATTTTACTGTCTTACTATTATCTATTCTTTTATGGTTATTTAGGTGTATCACACTTTTATATGGTGGAAATACTTTTGTAACTATATGCTGTTGCTTATGTCTTCCAACTCCAATCAGTCATATCCCACTGATAGCTTAAAATCACACATGGTCGGTGTGTTTATACAATGGAAATAAGCAAACATTACGTATCAGTGCTTTTTCCCCTCTGCATTGATTTCTGGTTGTCAAACGTTTACTAGCAAACCACTGCCTACAGTTCTCTGTTGTATATATTTGTATCATCTTTGACCCATCCTGGCTGGTGAATGCAGTCTGTGTGGTAAACATGAAAATGTTAGCTGTCTTAAGGGGATCATCCATGAGATTTTTGAGGGTATCCTTTGAGACACCCTCAACATCACAGCTCCTAATAGGAGAAGCTCCTGCTCTACCTCCTCATCTTTACCTGGAGAAGAAAACCTCTCAGCCTCTTGCTACTAGGTCCCTTTGCCAGTGGCTAGCCCTCATTTGTGTAGCATTGGCAAAACAGACCAAGCCCCATCTCTCTTTAAGTCCACTTGACTCATCAAATAAAGTTAGGCCTGAAAATGAAAGGATATGATTATTTGGATAACGAGTTTACTGTTAGTCAAAGTAATACTGTCCCAATTGGGTTCCCCAGCAAGAAAATTCTGAGTTGGAGCTAGTGTACAGAAAGTATATTAAAGTGGGGGTTACAGAGGAAGAAAATTGGGCAGAAGGAGAAGTTGGGCTGAGGGGCAGTCACAACAAAGCCTCTACCTACACTGTGGCAGCTCTAAAACTAGAATGGCCTTTTAGAGTTGTCCTGATTTGGGGTGAGAAATCCAGGCTTTTACAGTGCATTAAGTGGTCTTTTTTTTATTATTATACTTTAAGTTTTAGGGTACGTGTGCACAATGTGCAGGTTAGTTACATATGTATACATGTGACATGCTGGTGTGCTGCACCCACTAACTCGTCATCTAGCATTAGGTATATCTTCCAATGCTATCCCTCCCCCCTCCCCCCACCCCACAACAGTCCCCAGAGTGTGATGTTCCCCTTCCTGTGTCCATGTGTTCTCATTGTTCAATTCCCACCTATGAGTGAGAATATGCGGTGTTTGATTTTGTGTTCTTGCGATAGTTTACTGAGAATGATGGTTTCCAATTTCATCCATGTCCCTACAAAGGACATGAACTCATCATTTTTTATGGCTGCATAGTATTCCATGGTGTATATGTGCCACATTTTCTTAATCCAGTCTATCATTGTTGGACATTTGGGTTGGTTCCAAGTCTTTGCTATTGTGAATAGTGCCACAGTAAACATATGTGTGCATGTATCTTTATAGCACCATGATTTATATTCCTTTGGGTATATACCCAGTAATGGGATGGCTGGGTCAAATGGTATTTCTAGTTCTAGATCCCTGAGGAATCGCCACACTGACTTCCACAATGGTTGAACTAGTTTACAGTCCCACCAACAGTGTAAAAGTGTTCCTATTTCTCCACATCTTCTCCAGCACCTGTTGTTTCCTGACTTTTTAATGATTGCCATTCTAACTGGTGTGAGATGGTATCTCATTGTGGTTTTGATTTGCATTTCTCTGATGGCCAGTGATGGTGAACATTTTTTCATGTGTTTTTTGGCTGCATAAATGTCTTCTTTTGAGAAGTGTCTATTCATATCCTTCACCCACTTTTTGATGGGCTTGTTTGTTTTTTTCTTGTAAATTTGTTTGGGTTCATTGTAGAGTTTGGATATTAGCCCTTTGTCAGATGAGTAGGTTGTGAAAATTTTCTCCCATTTTGTGGGTTGCCTGTTCACTCTGATGGTAGTTTCTTTTGCTGTGCAGAAGCTCTTTAGTTTAATGAGATCCCATTTGTCAATTTTGTCTTTTGTTGCCATTGCTTTTGGTGTTTTAGACATGAAGTCCTTGCCCATGCCTATGTCCTGAATGGTAATGCCTAGGTTTTCTTCTAGGGCTTTTATGGTTTTAGGTCTAACATTTAAGTCTTTACTTCATCTTGAACTGATTTTTGTATAAGGTGTAAGGAAGGGATCCAGTTTCAGCTTTCTACCTATGGCTAGCCAGTTTTCCCAGCACCATTTATTAAATAGGGAATCCTTTCCCCATTGCTTGTTTTTCTCAGGTTTGTCAAAGATCAGATAGTTGTAGATATGCGGCGTTATTTCTGAGGGCTCTGTTCTGTTCCATTGATCTATATCTCTGTTTTGGTACCAGTACCATGCTGTTTTGGTTACTGTAGCCTTGTAGTATAGTTTGAAGTCAGGTAGTGTGATGCCTCCAGCTTTGTTCTTTTGGCTTAGGATTGACTTGGTGATGCAGGCTCTTTTTTGGTTCCATATGAACTTTAAAGTAGTTTTTTCCAATTCTGTGAAGAAAGTCATTGGTAGCTTGATGGGGATGGCAATGAATCTATAAATTACCATTTGCAGATGACATGATTGTATATCTAGAAAACCCCATTGTCTCAGCCCAAAATCTCCTTAAGCTGATAAGCAACTTCAGCAAAGTCTCAGGATACAAAATCAGTGTACAAAAATCACAAGCATTCTTATACACCAGTAACAGACAAACAGAGAGTCAAATCATGAGTGAACTCCCATTCACAATTGCTTCAAAGAGAATAAAATACCTAGGAATCCACCTTACAAGGGACGTGAAGGACCTCTTCAAGGAGAACTACAAACCACTGCTCAATGAAATAAAAGAGGATACAAACAAATGGAAGAACATTCCATGCTCATGGGTAGGAAGAATCAATATCGTGAAAATGGCCATACTGCCTAAGTGGTCTTTATATGTGGTGTGCCTGGAAGGAGGCATGATTTTGGGATGAGGTCCTCTTCAGCTGAGGCAATTCCCAAGGAGGACTGACACTCTACAACCTTCTCTTGAGCTGGGGAGATACATGTTTCAATCTTGCAGGGAGAATCTGACTGTAGCACTGCATTCATGTTGGCCCATTCCTTATACTGCTTGGTTGTACTTCAAATGAATTCTGGGGCCAGTTCCTATAGGATTCTGGTGGGCCTGTTTTCCTGAGGCAGGCTTAAAGAGACTGGTTAGTGAGAGAAACTATTGCCCCACCACTGCAGTTAGCTTCAAGGCCACAAATGATACTCATTACCTCCCTCCTCTGCTAACCATTCAAAATTCCCTTCACCTTTGGCTGATCTATGGGAATTACTTGGTGAGAGGTCCAGACTCTCAACCCTAAGGAGTTCAATCTCCCTTTTCAGGAGTTCTTGCTGCATCATCATCAGCATCATAATTAGGCAAGGGAACATTAAGACAAGCTCAAGAGGATCATCTGGGTGCCAACCTTACTCCTTTCTGCTCTCTTTGTGTAACAGCAATTTTGCATCCTTCCTGATTGATGATCAGGGTCCATTACCCCTGCCAAGATGATTTCTTTTTTTACCTGCTAGTCCTTTGGCATGTGTTGCCTGTAGTGCTTGGACAGCAGGTATAGCTTAGTATTCAGTAGGATTCTTGCTAGGTTTCTTCGTTGATGTGTTTTCTCTTGAGGACTAAAACCTCTAAACTAAAAGAAGTCGAACTAGTAGGGATCAGAAAAAAAGTTCACTAAGGGAATGTTAGGAAGTGTTTCATAGCCTTAAATTAACAAATTAAACCTGTTTCAAACATCCTCTTTTGTGTTTTACTGTGCCAGAAATTGGAAAAGATCAAACTTTTACTCATGTGAGATGATAAGTAAAATATAAGAATGATGGAACTGGGCTGGGTGCAGTGGCTCACGCCTGTAATTCCAGCACTTTGGGAGGCCGAGGCAGGTGGATCACTTGAAGTCAGGGGTTCCAGACCAGCCTGGCCAACATAGCAAAACCCTGTCTCTACTAGAAATACAAAAAAGTATCTAGGTGTGGTGACTTGCACCTGTAATCCCAGCTACTCAGGAGGCTGAGGCACAAGAATCGCTTGAACCCAAGAGGCAGAGGTGTCAGTGAGCTGAGATCATGCCATTGCACTCCAGCCTGGGTGACAGAATGAGACTGTCTCAAAAAAAAAAAAAAAAAAGGATGAAACTGAATCCTAAACCATTTATAGATTGTGAAGTAGTAAAATATGAATCCTAAACCATTTATAGATTGTGAGCAGTAAAATATAAAATAAACCAATTGATGTGAAATTTTTCATGAATAAATTTTAGAGGTAATAAATTGGCAACATTTGGATCCTAGTACACTGAGACATAGGTCTTCCATTGGATTCCTTTCTGTATGACTAATAAATTCGTCCTATATGGGATAAGTGGAGCCCCAGAAAGAATCAGGAGAATATAGCCTAGATAATAAAACACATTCAGTGTGCTTCTTTATACATATGTTTTATTTTACATATATATTTGAAACAGGGTCTCTTTACCCAGGCTGGAGTTCAGTGGTGTGATCATGGCTCACGGCAACCTCTGCCTCCCGGGCTCAAGTAGCTGGAACTATAGGCATGTCCCACCATGCATGGCTAATTTTTTTGTATTTTTTGTGGAGACAGGGTTTTGCCAAGTCACCTAGGCTGGTCTCGAACTCCTGGGCCAAGGCAATCCATTTGCCTCCGCCTCCCAAAGTACTGGGATTATAGGCGTGAGCCACTGTGTCTGGCTTGCTTCTTTGTATATTTATAGCACAATGCAGGTTTTAATTATCATTAAGTCCACAATTTGTAATTTTCTTTGACCCACCTCAGTATACTGCTCTGCTTTTTCTTACTTTTAGTCTTGCTAAAAGTAAGAACATTCAACAAATTTTTTCCATGCCCAAATCGCTACTAACAGTGGTATTAAAACTAATTGTGTATTAATAATGGTAAGTTTTATTGAGTGCTGTGCTAAACAATCTATATATATTATCTGCTTTAATCCCCAAAATAATATTAAGAGGAAAACTTTATTATTTTTATTTTACAAATAGGACATGGGGGCTTAGAAAAGCTAAGAGGAATAGTTAGTGTAGAAAGAAGAGAGAAAAGAGAAGTAAAATTTCTTTGAATCCTCTGCTTTTCATTAGCTTCATTGTTTAAGTTCTTGTGTTTTAGTGATTACAATTGCCAATTCAAAAATCAGGACACAAGGCTTAACAAATGCTTCTTGTGCCTCTTAAGGCCATACAAAGCAGTCTGTGCTGTGAGTATGAGGAAATGTAGAGACTAGTAGTGCAGACACAGAGGCAGGCTGATTGAGTCACACTAGGCTCTGTTTCTGTGTACCACTTATGAGACTCTGGGCCAGGTACCCATTTTAAGCTCTGGCTTCCCACATGCAAAATGAAGTTAATGAAGGGTGGTGTCTTATTCCATTCAGTGTTGCTATGACAGAATACCCGAGACTGGGTAATTTATTAAGAAAAGTTTATTTGGCTCAAGATTCTGGAGAGGCTGGGAAATCCAAGATTGGGCAGCACATCTGTTGAGGGCCTCAGCTGTTTCTACTCATGGCAGAAAGCAGAAGGTGGAGCAGGGTGAGCGCAAAGGGACCAAACACAGGGAGGAGCAACTTGCTGTCTTGGTAATTAATTCAGTCCCACAAGAGGAAGAACTCATTCTCAAAAGATCATTAATCTATCCATGAAGGATCCACCGCTGGGAGCCAAACACCTCCTAGCTAGGCCCCACCTCCCATCACTACCACACTGGGAATAAAATTTCAACATGAGTTCTGATGTAGGCAAACCGCACCCAAACCTCAGCAGGTGGTCTTGACAATTAGGCATGATATCCAACTTAAAACACTTAAACTAATATCTCAGTTCTGTAGTTTCAGTGTCAAGAGTTCTGGGTTATTTTTGAGCTTTATAATCCATTGAGGATGACATGTGAACTATTTCTAAAAATGCAAGACCCATGATTGTTCTTTTTAAGCTTATCTGAATTTTTGTCCCATTCCTAGCTCAGAATTCAAGGCTGTTATGGTGCTTGCATTTTTCTTTCTTATTCTTAACATTTTATTTTCCAGGCATCCAGAGCTGCTTCTCTGACCCTCTGGTTTCTTGGCCCAGCTGATAAGATAACCCCTATTTGTCTGTTTGAATTTCCATTATTTCGTAGCTTCTGTACTGTTTATCTCATTAGTTTTCTTTCATTAACTACTTTGACTTTAGCTTCTCAACTAAGAAACTCGGAGTTTTTCTACTTAAAAGTTCATCCTAATGATCATTACAAATTCCGGCACCCAAGGTTAAGATTTTAGATCCCTGAACTCATTTTATTTACTGGTAAATTCAAAATTAGGAGAGCTACCTTTGTAGCTCTGGGGCACATTGGCTGGCATTTTTGCTTTAGGAGTTTTTTTGGACAGTGTCCCTTTGCTCCTTTTAGTTAGACTAACATCAGTGACCAATTAATTTCTAAACAGAATAGCTAATCTTCAGCAAGTAAGTGCTCTGAGAAACCTTCAGGGTTTAGCCAGATATTCTGTCTTCTTGGGCATGGCCTGTGTGGTTGTACTGGGCTATGTGCTCGTTCTACACTTGGGTTTTATGAAATGCAGTCACCATCTTGATTTTCTTAATTTTATCTTTAAATTTGTGTTTTATAAGTGATGTCTGATGGGACCATAGAGGGTGTAGAAGGTCTTGGAGCCTGCTTCACACAAGGTCCTGCTTCTTGTCATGAGGCTTCTCCCAGGGACAGGTTCTCAGCTGCTCATTCCCCTGCCTCTGCCTGGAGATCACTGTCCCCATATGTCCCCACCACGGTGGGCTGGGTACAGATTTGAGGAGAGTCAGAGGCAGGTGTGCAAACCCCATGTGCTGAGTTGGAGAGGTTGGAGAGAGTTGGGGACTTCACGCCTATGAAGATCTGTACTTGCCTAGTGAGTGTCTCTGTGCTCAAAGAAGCAGGACATTAAATGGCAAAAAAAAAAAAAACAAAAAAAAACCCACCATGACAGGTTGAGAAAAAGACTTCAGAAAAAAAGAAAAAATGGCTTTTTTTTTTCTTTTTGAATAAGAATCCCCACATTTTCATTTTTCACTGTGCCCTGCAAGTTAGGTAGCCAATCCTGCGGGAGTTGTACTCTAAGGAGGTGCAGGTGGTTTTAATTTATTTTTTAGCATCTTACAGGGTCTGTGATGACACTGCAGGTATACCTTTCCTAATAAGCAAGACTTGAGCACTAGTCAGGGGTTCCATGGCCTCCGGAGGCTGTGGCAGGGCCAGATCTCCCACAGCTCTGTGAAGTGGCAGGTCATCCATTGTTAGGCTCTTCAAGGCCTGTGACCCAGCCTCGTCTTCCCTGTAGCACACTTATTACGGAATTACATTATGTGGTATACACATCATGTCTATTACTGCTTCTCATTATAAAGGCAGGGATGATGCAAACATGTCTTTGCGGAATTTACCCAGTAAAGTTGAGTTCCTAGATAATTCCCAGTACTATAATAAAGGACTGAAAAGTTTAGTGAAATTCTTGCTGGCTTGTTTCTACATATATTTTTTTTCCTATTTTCTATTATTTAGTTACATAATATTTATATAAACTATAACTTAGTGCCACATCAGAACATTGAATTGCCATTTCAGTGACTAGTCTTCAGCCTGGTCATTATGGCTGCATTGTGAGTGCCCAGCTCTTTTATGTAGGTTGGTAATCCACACCCGGAAGGAGTCTTGGGTTCCTTTTCAAGTCCATCTAGGTAAATATTTGTGTTCAATATGACGCAGGTTCTCCCTAGGGAAGTTAAGCTGGGTGGTTCAGTTTAGTTCTGTTTAGGAGGGAGTTATCATTAACTTTGGCTTGTTTCTCCTTCTAAAGAAAATAGTCACTGTGGACAGCCCCTATTGAGGTTGTGTATACTCACTGCCAAAGTGAAAAGTCTCATTGTGTTCAATGCAGGAACTTTTAATTCCACACAATGTCTCTGAAAGAAATTAAAAGCAAACTGTTCTGGTTCTCGGTTTTAGCAAATTGGTTCAAAACATATTGCATAATGCCTACCAAACAGCCCTGAGAAAGATTTCCAATTAAGGTCACAAAGCCAGTGTGGCACTTTGGTATCCCATGTTTGGTTCAAAAACTTGGGTTCTAACCCTTACCCTGTTGTCGATGAGTTGTAGAAAGAAAGAGATGACATATGAGAAAGGGACTGGCGGAGTCTGGGACAGAGTAGGCATTTAATAAAATTTGTTAAAGGGTCTTAAAATAACTTCAAAATTTTTATTTTGTAATTGACAAATAAAAATTATGTGTATTTATGGTTAACAGTATCATGGTTTGAAATATGTATGCATTGTAGAATGACTAAAACTCATTAACATATGCATTACTGCACACACTTTTTCGTGTAGTAAGAACACTTAAAATCTACTCTCGGCAATTTTAAAGTCTACTACACATTGTCATTGACTATGTGTAGTACCATATAAATTTCTTGAACTTATTCCTCCTTAACTAATTTAAATTTTTTATCCCTTGACCCTTTGACCAACATATTCCCAATCCTGCTCCTCCCTTCCCCCAGCCCCTAGAAATCACCGTTCTACTCTCTGCTTCTATAAGTTCAACTTTTTTAGATTCCACATAAAACTGAGATAATATGGTATTTACCTTTCTGTGCTTGGTTAAAATAACTTTTGTTTTGTGTGCTTTAAAAACCTCACTTAAATTCTTATTATCTACCAGAATGGAAGAAGCATATATGTTATTTAATAATACGATTGATGCTATATTTAAAGTATAATTTGTTTAAGTGAATCTGCATGCATAACGGAGGGGTACTACACTCCCATTTTGCCATTTAGTGTACAATTTCCACAGGCAGCAACAATGGAGATTGGTATTTCCCACCAGTGAGCTCCAGTCTGCCAAGTGTGTCACAGAGCCTAGCTCTTCAGAGGCCACATGGCTGTGGAGTCTCAGTGGCTCCTAGTGGTGCTCAGCAAGAAAGCTCACACGGTGCCTCCTCATCATTCATCTCCTATCACTCAGCAGCAAGCAGAAGCTGCAAACGTAGAGAGCAAGCTGCCACCGATCACCAGGGAAATCACAAAAGTAACTTGGAAAGCAAACGTGGCTTCTTCTAGGTAAGATATTAGGAGTTCCAGGTCTTAAGGCTCTAACTTCAAAGTATCAAGATAAAGAAAGCTTCCCATAGCAAATTAATTTTAAGAAAAACACAACAACCATTCCATACGTGACGTTAGAAATCTGTTAATTTATAGTAGGTTGGAAAGTATGAAATTGCCAAGATTCGATTGTTTCTGATCTAAAACATAGCAGGTTAATATGATTCTATTAAGTAATAGTCACATACATTTACCATATAACAATTTGTTTTGCTAATCTTGCTGATCAGCTGAATCCTAAAGCATATCTTGTTTTAGTATAATTTTAGTATTAATTATATCTTTAGACAGAAAGTGTCATTGAGTTTTGTACTGTACTATGGCACCTTGTGCTTTGTTTTTGTCCTAAACATTCAAGTCATACTAGTTTTTATTTTTATTAACTTTTTTTTTCTTGGTAGAGACGGGATTTTGCCATGTTGCCCAGTCTGGTCTTGAATTCCTGGGCTCAAGTGATCCACTCGCCTCCAAGTCATACTAGTTATTAATGAACTGGAATGTTTTATAGTTTGAAATCCTCATAGAGAAACTCACTATCATACCCAGAATACTGTCCATAATTTGACCAGGACCCTTATTATCTGGACTTGCCAAATAAGGATGTTCCTAATACTGGAAAGTTCAAATCTGTAATGTTTTGAAATGTTCCCAGAGTGATGATTACCTAGCGAAGGGCTGTCTGATTTGAAGCTACACATAATAAAGCTATTTCCTCTTGATTTTGCTCCTGATTAAAGAGCCAGAGAAAATGACACCCATCTGAGAATCATTGTGCCATTAGCCAGAAAAAGCATGTACCATTTTCAGAATGTTGGCCAGTAAGAGCCTTTCATTGATGCCAGAAGCTTGGGACCCAAAGCCATCTTTGTGTTTTTTGTCTTTGACGTTTCCTTTTAGAGACAGTAAGCTTAATCTTCTCTTCTATGCATAAGTGCATGTCATCAGTTATTACAAATATTGGGCTGATGTTATCAGCAAGGTCTAAAGACAAACTGACAGATAATTTAGCTTCAATTGCTAACCCACACTAATCATCCATCCGGTTACATAAAGATGAATGACTGCAGTGTGCCATCTGGGAATATGAATGTTGTATTGTTATTTGCATTGGGAGGCTCTTCACAAAAGCTTTATTATTTTACAGAGGAAATGCCAGCTCTAAAGAGAATAGGGTCCTCTTTACTCTTTTCCTTCTGCCTGATTGTCACCAAATGTCTGACCTTGGCTCTTTGTACCTTAGCTGATAAAATGAAGAAGTTAAAGGAGGCTTATGAAAGGTTGGTAAGGGCATAAAGAAAAGGCTAGATTTCTTTCCCATACCTTTATGTACTGTAGCCCCCAGCATGATTCCAAGAGGCCTAGCATTTTGAGGTCAGAAAGAGAGATTATCTAACAAGAGGAACATTCCAATCAATGTGTCTTTTACTGTGGACAAAAAAAGTATTATATATGGGCTTTCAAAAGAAGGAAATGCACGTAGAGAAAACAATTTCCCGTATACTAGACTCTACTATTTATACTAATAGGATACAGTTGTCTGATATCAGGAATTAACCAAATTTCTCTTTGTTTCAATTTCCTTATTCCTAAAATAGGGATTCAATAGTACCTACTTCATAGGTGGATGAAAAGATTAAATGAGTTAATATATGTAAAGTTCTGAGAACAGAAACTATGGCCCATGAGCCAAATCAATCCAGCAGCCTGTTTTGTTTTTTTTTTTTTTTTTTTTTTTTAGTGATCCATGAACTAAGAATTAAAATAAAATGTTTTAAATGATTGCATTTGAAGTGGTTGTATAAGTACTTACATAATATCGTCAATTTTGCCTTTTGGTCCATAAAGCCTAAAATGTTTATTATCTTAAAGAAAAAGTTTGCTGATCCTGGCATAGGACAGTGCTGACACATGGTGAATACTTTTAAAGTATGTACTAGCTATTATTAATAGTATTCCTTACTATACTACATTATACCATATAAAATTATACTCTCATGCTCTCTAAATGAATTGCTAAAGTCAAGAAGAAGGGCCCAAGTATCAAGTAACACTTCATGCAGGCTTTTCTGTAGGCTCAGGACCACCTCAGTTCTCAATCCTTCAAAAGGTACTATGGTTCAGTGAGAGTTCACTCAAGACTAGTGCCCAGATTCCAGAGGCAGGATTGCTATCCTTATAGATTGCTTATTTATTAAACGTTTGCTTAGTGGTCTCCATGTCTTTTGTTTCTGATGGGTTCATCAGGAAACAAGAGTTCACAGCTTGACAGAAGAGTATTTGGGTTTCTTCCCTAAGGATAAAAGGTGCAGGGTGCAGGCCTCCTTGGGTTCTTTTTTTATAAATTAAAATAAATTACAATAGAGACGGGGTCTTGCTATGTTGACCAGGCTGGTCTTGAACTGCTGGCCTCAAGTGATCCTCCCATCTTGGCCTTCCAAAATGCTGGGATTATAGACATAAGCCACCATGCTCGGCCAACACTTGGGTTCTTTATTTGGTTAATTTAAAGGTAGAGAATGTCTCTAAAATAATTTTAGTCAATTTACATTTTAAAAGTTCCATCAAGAGAGTCAAAGTCTTACTTCATGTTAATAATAAACTTATTAATAGACCACTTATTAGTTAACAGACCCCTTAGAGACATCTATTTCTGATATTGCATATTCAAATTAGCAAAGCATTGGTTACTGATCAAGAAAAAAGGAACAGCTCTCTTAGCACAAACTTTGGAGTATGGGCTTCCTGAATAGAACACCAGTATGTCATTTAATCTGGATAACACTCAGGTTACAGTTTAGCTTAAGTAATCCACTTTAGGTCACATTGCATATGCTGAGTGGTTTAAATTATAGACATTGAAAATTACGTATTTAGAAAATATTTGTTTTATGACATTTGTGTATAAACTTGACAGCAACTAGATTTCTGCTGATTTCTGTGTATAGTTCCTATATTAATTCAAAATGGCATGTTTTATCTTTTAAAAGCAGAAAATTAAGTAGTCTTTTGAAAGATTGACCAATAATTCTGCATTTAACAATCAATAGCTTTTAAAGTGCACCGCACTAAACCTGGGACACAGAGTAAATTTTAAAGAACACATTGCACTCTCTTCTGAAGAGAATCTGTTATTATTTCAAAGTACATTTGATATTCAGATGTGTGTATGTGTGTATGTGCATTGGAGAGGTGAAGTGGAGAGTGGATTGAAGGAAGAAAGACAACAGGGAATGATATGTTGGAATGTTTTTGACAAGATGTATGCATGCCTCAGAGCTGAAGACACAAGATACTGAAGATAGCATAGTGTGTAGACTGTTAAGTTGTAGCCAGGTTTTCATATGTATTTTCATTATGCTTTATCTAGGTTATAAGTTCCTGGCATCAAGAACCTTGCCTTATGCTCCTTTTACCTGCATAGTCTTGAACAGTGCCTGGGTATTCAA
This sequence comes from Homo sapiens, assembly GCF_000001405.40. Classification (NCBI taxonomy): domain Eukaryota; kingdom Metazoa; phylum Chordata; class Mammalia; order Primates; family Hominidae; genus Homo; species Homo sapiens. The sequence continues at coordinate 82,082,266 of NC_000006.12, read as the reverse complement.
AACTGGGCTCAATAATACAAATATCCATTAACAGCACAATGGACAAATTAATAAATTATACAGCAATCAAAAAGAATAAACTACTGCTATAAACAACAGGAAGAAACTGCACAGACATATTAATGAATAAAATGTATCCAAATTCCATTTTTATGAAGTTCAAGAGTAGGAAAGATTATTCTATGGTAATAGAAGTCAGAAGAAGTGGTTAACTCTGGGGAAGTATTGACTCAGAAGGGATAAGAAACATCTTTCTGGGGTGTTAGAAATATTTTTATCTTGATCTGCCTGGTGATTACATTAGCGTGTGTATATGTGTGTGTATGTGTGTATACATGATATAAATATGTATGCTTAAGATTTGTGCACTTTATACCTTTTATATTTCAATTAAAAACCAAAGAAAATGAAAAATTAAAACACCATCTTTGTTGATCTAGGGTTGTGGTGGAAAAATTGCTGAGAATAATACATATAGAGAAATGATATATTTTTACTGAATCAGAGGGTGAGTTGAATAAATGTGATATTTCAAATAAAAGGAAACATTGGGAATGGATTCATTCATTTAAAAAAAATTTTAACTTTTACTTTAGATACAGGGGGTATATGGGCAGGTTTATTACCTGGGTACATTGTGTGATGCTGAGGTTTAGAATACCAATCCCATCACCCTGGTGGTGAGCATAGTACCCCATAGGTAGTTTCTTAACCCACTCTCCCCACTCTACCCTTTAGTAGGGTCTAGTAGTTTGGTGTCTATTTTTCCCATATTTATGTCTATGTGTGCTCATTGCTTAGCTCCCACTTATAAATGAGAACATGCAGTATTTGGTTTTCTGTTTTTGCATTAATTTGCTTAGGATTTTGGCCTTCTGCTCCATCCATGTTTCTGCAAAGGACATAATTTCATTCTTTTTAACAGCTGCTTAATATTCCATAGTGTATAGTATTCCATGGCATATAAGAAAATATACATTTTCTTTAGCCCATCTACCATTGATGGACACCTGGGTGAGTCCATGTCTTTGCTATTGTGAATAGTGCAGTGATGGACATACAAGTGTGTGTATATTTTTGTAGAACAATTTGTTTCTTTTGGATATATACCCAGTAATGGGATTGCAGGGTAGCTCTGTTTAAGTTCTTTGAAAAGTCTCCAGGTGTTTTTCACACAGGCTGGACTAATTTACATTTCAAGGTATAAGTGTATACATTACAAGGTATAAGCGTTCTCTTATCTCAGCAGCCTGGCCAGCATCTGTTGTTTTTTAATTTTTTAATAGTAGCCATTCTGACTAGTGTGAGATGGTATCTCACTGTGGTTTTGATTTGCATTTCTCTGATTAGTGATGCTGAGCATTTTTTCATGTTTGTTGGCCACTGGTATGTATGTCTTCTTTTGAGAAGTGTCTGTTGTCCTTTGCCCATTTTTAAAATGGGGTTATTTGTTGTTTGTTTGTTGAATTGTTTAAGTTCCCTGTAGATTCTGGATATTAGGCTTTTGTCAGATGCAGAGTTTATGAACATCTTCTTCCATTCTGTAGATTGTCTGTTTACTCTGTTGATAGTTTCTTTTGCTGTGCAGAACCTCTTTAGTTTAACTAGGCTGCAGTTGTCTATTTTTTGTTTTTGTTGCAATTGCTTTTGGGAACTTAGCCAAAAATTCTTTGCCAAGGCTATGTCAACTAGACTATTTCTAGGTTGTCTTCCAGAATTTTATTTTATTTTGAGGTAGAATTTCACTCTTGTCACCCAGGCTGGAGTGCAGTGGCGTGTGATCTTGGCTCACTGCAACCTCCACCTCCCGGGTTCAAGCGATTCTCCTGCCTCAGCCTTCCGAGTAGCCAGGATTAGGTAGCCTGCTACCACATCTGGCTAATTTTTTGTATTTTTAGTAGAGATGGGGTTGTGCCCTGTTGGGCAGGCTGGTCTTGAACTCCTGACCTCAGGTAATCCACCAACCTCAGCCTCCCAAAGTGCTGGGATTACGGGCATGAGCCACTGTGCCCAGCTGTCTTCCAGAATTTTTATAGTTTGAGGTCTTACATTTAAATCTTCAATCCATTTTGAATTAATTTTTGTACGTGGTGGAAGGTAGGAGTCCAATTTCATTTTCTGCATATGACTAGTCAGTTATTTTAGCACCATTTACTGAATAGGGAGTCCTTTCCCCATTGCTTGTTTTTGTCTGCCTTATCAAAGATCAGATGGTTTTAGGTGTGCAGCTTTATTTCTGAGTTTTCTATTCAGTTCCATTGGTTTCTGTGTCTGTTTTTGTACCAGTACCATGCTGGTTTGGTTGCTGTGGCTTTATAGTATAGTTTGAAGTTGAGTAGTGTGATGCCTCTGGCTTTGTTTTTTTTTTTGTTTTGTTTAGGATTGCTTTCGTTATTTAGGCTCTTTTTTGGTTCCATATGAATTTTAGAATAGATTTTTCTAATTCTGTGAAGAATGACGTTGGTAGTTTGATAGGAATAGCACTGAATCTGTAAGTTGCTTTGGGTAGTAGGGCCATTTTTATGGTATTGATTCTTCCAACCCATGAACATGGAATGTTTTTCCATTTGTGTCACCTCTGATTTCTTTCAGCAGTGTTTTGTAGTCATTTTAAAATGACATCTGGGGTGAATTAAGCATTGTTTCTTGGACTGAGGACTTTCATTGTTAAAATAGGAGAAGGTAAATGAATTTTGAATAGTTTCAGCAAGTTCACAACTTGTTGTTCCATAGATAAACAATAATGTAAACCATTGTACAACATTGTAAACAAAAGTTCATCTATAACTTTATGTGTTGTTGCTTAAGATTCTAAGTGGAAAGTGGAAAGTGGGTTGAGTTAGGAGGCTGAGAACAAAATGTATGTTTTATTCTCAAATGGAATGCTGAATGATTTTATGTGTGCTCTTTAACAGATGTGTTTTTATAAAGATAATCCCAGAAAATATTTAGAAGTTTGTAGAGTACTGAACTGGAGGATATTTTCAAACCTGAGTGTGAGCAAGAATCAGCATGAAGGCCAAGAAACACACTCAACTAGCTGGTTTCCTCAATTAGTTTGGTCAGGAGCAGTCTTTTAGAAATTTATCTTCCTTCTTTAGAGAATCATTGGCATTCATCTGTAGTGATTGACACTGGTTAAAGTCAAACAGTCACAAATAGTCTAAGGAGGATTAGGTTTTGTTGTTCATTTTTTTTTCCGGAAATACTTACTATTTAAAATCTTTGGCTGGGCATGGTGGCTCATGCCTGTAATCCCAGCACTTTGGGAGGCCAAGGCAAGTGGATCACTTGAGGTCAGGAGTTCAAGACCAGCCTGAATAACACAGCAAAACCCCATCTCTACTAAAAATACAAAAATTATCCAGGTATGCTGGCACACACCTGTAGTCCCAGCTACTTGGGAGGGTGAGGCATAGGAATCGCTTGAACCTGGGAGGTGGAGGTTGCAGCGATCTCCACCAGAGATCGCACCACTGCACTTCAGCCTGGGTGACAGAGTAAGACTCTGTCTCAAAAAAAAATTAAAATAAAATAAAATAAAATAAAATAAATAAAATAAAATAAAATAAAATAAAATAAAATAAAATAAAAATCTTTAACATGAGGAGGGCCATAGATTGTGGGACCCAGTACAAAATAAAAGTGCAGGGCCTCTTGTTCAAAAAGTAAAACCTTCAAGATAGTAATAGCAGAGCAGTAAACTAAGTATAGAGTGCTTCTAAATGTGGGGCCCTGTGCAGTTGCATAAGTCCCATGCCCATGGAGCTGGCTGTTTCCTAACAGTGCATTTGAACTGTTTGTGACCATGGCCCTGGCATGCTCTGCAACCTCATCATCTACCTCCTTCCCACATGCTCCAACTATTTCACATGGCTTGCAGTTCTTAGGATACTTCATGTTAGCTCATGTGTCCATGGCTTTATGCATATGGTTCATTTCCTTCCCAGAATTTTCTTCACTACCAAGGCTGACTGATACGTTCTATTCATTTTTGTCCATTAACTCCCCTGAGAGTTATCCTATCCTTTGTTGAGCCATCTCTGATCTTGTGAAGTCTTTATTATTATGCTTTACATATTTTATTATATTTTTGTTTACTTGTTTCTCTTCTAAAATATGAGCTCATTGCGGTGAGAAATTGTTTTATTTACTTCATTGCCTAGTCCAGAGTGGATATTTAATAAATGTTTATTTGTAAATGAACAAAGGGGTAAAATTCTAAACATACAATATAAAGGTAAGCTATATTTAAAATAAGTACAATTTTTTAATTGAAATAGTGTGACATACTTAAAATTAAAAAAAAGGAGTGACTCGACTTAGTCTTTTCAATTTTTCCCATTTCTTATTCAATTAATCTTTAACATATATATATATATATATATATTTAAAAATTATTTATTTTTGAGACAGAGTCTTATTCTGTCGCCAAGGCTGGAGTGCAGTGGTGCAATCTCTGCTCACTGCAACACCCACCTCCTGGGTTCCAGTGATTCTCATGCCTCAGCGTCCCATAGCTGGGACTACAGGCACGTGCCACCACGCCCGGATAATTTTTGTATTTTTAGTGGAGATGGGGTTTGCCATGTTGCTCAGGCTGGTCTCGAACTCCCATCCTAGGAACTGCAAACGATCCACCCACCTCAGCCTCCCAAAGTGCTGGGATTACAGGCATGAGCCACAGCCCCTGACCAATCTTGAATAATTTTTATATTCAAATTGGTAAAATAATTTGACCTCGTTCTTACACTCTGGTTTACTCTATTTTTACTTTCACATTTTTGTCTTTTAGTGCTAGGATTAATAAGTCCACTTCACATAAATAAGATGACAAGGGAGTTATTAGGAGTGATGTTTTGGAATAAACTTTTCTGAGAGATTATTATATCCTGAATGAATAAATGAACCAATAACTGAATGCTAACAGTAGCTGGACTAGCAATGATTGCTTTCCTTACGTTTTTATTTATAGTTTTTTATTGTTATTTCCATACACCATGGCCAAATTCTTTCTTGTTCCTTTGCAATAATTTCCACCAACTGCTGGAAAGTTAACAGGTATGAACTGAAATATAAACTGCAGTTTCTCTAGAGTTTTGTGCTGCCTTTTCACTCAGTGAGACATTACTTTCCAGTCCCAAGGGTCAAGATCATGAATCATTTTATTATTTTATTTCCTCTTTTTTCTTTTTCAGGAAAAGTAATTCATCTGAGAAGGCTGACACCCTCTGGGCACTATAAAAAGCTCTGTTTAATAGCAAGCAAAATGAAGAAGGGAGGAGACACCCTTAGCTGAGTAAAGGGTAGACTGAGGATATTTCTGGCCCTGACTGTAGTCTGTAAGAAAACAGAAAAACAGAAACAAGTGGAAATATAAAGAGGAGTAAGCCTCATCCAGGCAGTGGTAACCTGGAGTAAGGATAGTCACACAGAGCGCTGTAGTCCTCAAAGCAAGACTGTTCCAAATCATGTTTATTGAGCATTCACAATTTCAGAAGACCTGGTCTCAGAGCTGCTGGAGCCTAAATCCTAAGAAAACAGATGAACAGAGTGATCACTGCATGATGTTTTCTCACATTTATTTCATCCTTTATTCCAGGGTGGGAATTGTGTACTGATTATGATTATGGTAGGTAGGAAAACACTTTAAACTTAAGTTTTGTGAGAGAATTGAGGTAATCATTGGGGAAAAAAGAGGCATGGGAGAGAATTATGCCAAGCATATTGGATGGGATGGAAAAAATAAGAGTTTGAGGAAAGCGAGGGTTATTTTATGAAACAAGTGAACATATATTTTTTCTTATATTATTTGTTTTGTGATCAATTCAAAAGCTTTTGCTTTTCACATGTGAACCTTTTTAAAAACTTTTATTTTAGGTTCAGGCATACATATGCAGGTTCATTATACAGGTAAATTGCATGTCACGGGGGTTTGGTGTACAGATTATTTTGTCATCCAGGTAGTAAGTGTGTAGTACCTGAGAGGTAGTTTTTTGATCTTCTCCCTCCTCCCCACCTCCACCCTCAAGTATGCCCTGGTGTCTGTTGCTCCCTTCTTTGTGTCCATGTGTGCTCAATATTTAGCTCCCACTTATAAGTGAGAACATGCAGTATTTGATTTTCTGTTCCTGTGTTAGTTTCCTTAAGATAATATGTAAGCCGATATTTGAGAAGGAAAATTAAAGAATGGAATGGAGGGAAATAATATCAGTAGGAAAGCCTGAAAACAAACTGGGACAACTAATTTTATTCATTCATTCACTCATTCATTCACCCATGTAATTGTCTAATGCTTGCCAGGCAAAATAACAGATCCCACTAACTTTGTTTTGTTCCTTTTTTTAAATAGAATGGCAAAAAGCTGGAGCTATTCTTTTTTTTTTTTTTTTTTTTTTTTTTTGGAGATGGAGTCTCACTCTCCCGAGTAGCTGGGATTACAGGCATGTGCCACCATGCCCAGCTAATTTTTTTTTTTTTTTTTTTTTAGTAGAGACGAGGTTTCACCATGTTGTCCAGGTTGTTCTCAAACTCCTGACCTTAGGTGATCCACCTGCCTCGACCTCCCAAAGTGCTGAGATTATAGGCATAAGCCACCGTGCCTGGCCAAATGGAGCTATTCTTAACCTCAGCTCTGCAACTGTCTGTTTATTGCCATTTCTCAGCCAATTTACATGTCTCCTTTTCAGTCAACTCCACTAGGATCTATAGGCTCACAATATAAAATCAAAACTATACATATAATTAAATCATACAAATATACTATCTACTTTGTTATATTTTTATAATAAATACATACATAATTGACCAATATAGAATGTATATATTTGAATTGTGGAATAAAAAGGAAAGTAAAATATCTGATTATTTTCGTGATAATTTTCTATGTCATATATTTATCTGGATGATTAATTTCCCATTGAACTTAAGAAAATCTATTTTAAAGTATAAAAAATTCCTATTTACACCTGAAAGTAACATAGCTATTACTGGTATAATGATAGTGATAATAATAGCTAGCATATATTGTGTGCTTCATACCAGGTGCTATTCCAGATACTTTAAATATACTACTTTAGCTAATCCACACAACTTTTTGAAGAAAGTACTGTTATTATTTCTATTTCCTAGATGAGGAAACTGAGGCTCACAGTGTTTAAATCACTTTCCAGGGTGATGTGGAGAGAGAAGAGCTTGTGTTTAAGTGCAGTCTGGCTGGCAGGAGAACCAAGCTCTAAACTCCCAAACGCTACTGCATGTGCAGTGTTTATGGTTTAGCAATAGCACTTAATAGATATGTAATGTTGCCAGAGTGGCGTGGTGCTACTTCATATCAATTCATCAGGAATACTTCATGGTGCAGAGATGCATCTTGTGCATCAGCACACAGAAAACTGGAAAAACACAAATATTTTACACTGTTCTTGATCTTTCAACTGTAGTCATTTAGGAATTTTACCATTTCCTTCTTTGGCCTGTGGGCCATTGTTATTTCTCCTACTTACAATTCAAATTCCCACGAGAATAGAATTAGGAGGTTTTCCTTTTCCCTGATAGAGAGCCAGACAGCTGACAGGAAATGCTAGAAAGAAACCTAAGAATTTGAAGAAATAATTTCCAAAGTTACCTACCATTCCTTTCATTTAATTTACTTTTTCCCTCTTAACAACTTCTCTCCCTTTCTATTTCTTCTTCCCTTCCCTCAGCTTAAGAGGTATAATGGTTTTTTCTTCCTTTTTTTTTTGAGATGGAGTTTCGCTCTTGTTGCCCAGGCTGGAGTGCAATGGCGCAATCTTGGCTCACTGCAACCTCCGCCTCCCGAGTTCAAGGGATTCTCCTGCCTCAGCCTCCTGAGTAGTTGGGATTACAGGCATGCGCCACCACACCCAGCTAATTTTGTATTTTTAGTATAGATGGGGTTTCTCCATGTTGGTCAGGCTGGTCCCAAACTCCCAACCTCAGGTGATCTGCCCTCCTCGGCCTCCCAAACTGCTGGGATTACAGGTGTGAGCCACCGCGCCCAACCTCTATTTCTCTCTTTTTTTTTTTTTAAATTATACTTTAAGTTCTAGGGTACATGTGCACGACGTGCAGGTTTGTTACATATGTATACATACGTCATGTTGGTGTGCTGCATCCATCAACTTGTCATTTACATTAGGTATATCTCCTAATGCTATCCCTCCCCCAGTCCCCCACCCCACAACAGGCGCCGGTGTGATGTTCCCCACCCTGTCCAGCCTCTATTTCTTTAATCTTCCTCAGACTCATCTCCATAGGTTATCTGGAATATCTTTTTAAAAATGTTATTCTGGAGGAAACAATCACTGGGTTGTGTAAATATTGTGGCAATATTTCTTTTCTTTCAAACTTCAGATGAGTTTGGGAGTCAGCGAACAAGCCATAGGATGTGTGTAGCTTTAGCTGTGCCAAGGGCAGTGGACTGGAGTTGGTCACTACGAGGAGGCCCAGGACTACATCCTCTCTTACAGGCACCATTGACCATGGGGCAGACAGCGCAGGTGGTGCTAGACAGGAGTAGGCTGCTTCTACTGTGTGAACACTCACCTCCCACAGGGCTCAGTCGTCAGGGCAAACCATGCTTCTTATTGACTGCTGAAAGGATTAGTCTGGCTTTTTTTCTCCTTTGTTTATCTGCTGTGAGTTCCCTCTGATATTTCTATTTGCGCAGCAGTGCCATCTACCTCTGTACCCTAACCCATCTCCCCATCTGCTAATTCCTCTGCAAGCTGGCACTCTGTCCTGAAGGTGGGAAGTAGTTTGACAGTCTTTGATAACACATCTCTTGTAAGTGACAGGCCAATGAAGAACAGCCATGCCAGGTTGGTGACTTGTTCAGATATGACTGCACAAATGTGAGTTCCATGCTTGGACAGAAGTCATATGGGCAGCTTGAGGGCCCTCTGAATTCAGATTTGAAGAAATGGACTCGGATGTTAATTCTTTTGGGGATATTGGACTGTATGCCAGAAGATTTCTAAGTTATTAAGTATTATTTCTGATGTTGTCAAAGCATCACATGTTAACTTTCCCAGTGAATGAAATTTATTTCCAAAGTGGTATACAAACAGCAATGGTTTCTGCCACTTTTGCCTGAAGCTACTTTAGTTGTTTATTCATAAATTTTATAGAGACTTAGCCATAGGTTATACGACTTCTGGTAGAGCTGAAAATCCACCTTCTGTGTGTATGTGTGCATGTGTGTAATGAATCCTTCAGAAGCCAGTATGGGTTTTCAGTGCCTTGGGCCCAGACCACAGGTTCTGTCTGAGTGCGCTCATTTCCAAGTGATGTGCAAGGAGTCATTGCTGTGGAATGATCTCATTTATGATGTGGATGGGAAATGGAAATTCCAGTTCTGTTTTTGCTTCAGAATATTTCTGCTTTTTTTGGTTTCCATTTAAATACTGAAATATTTAAATGCAAAACACGAGCAGATTTTTTCCCCAATGTACCTTATTTCATGCTTAACATTTTATTACCAAATTACGTTTACTCGGTAATAAGATATTCCTGGATAAGGATGCTACATAATGAACTTGGATCAGATTTTATTACCTGATTATCTTTTTACCTTGGCCAGGTTGGCAGCTTGAAATCTAGTCTTAATAAAATTTTGCTTATTTGACTTATTTATAATTGGTTTTTAAAAATAAGTTCTAAGGGGTGGATTTTGATTCTTGCCAGTGAAAGCTTATACTAATTTATTTTTTCCTGAAGGATCCTGAATGTGTTTAAAAAGCTATATTTAGGAAGGGCTTCATGCAACATCTGAGTAGTTGTGCAGCAGCTGGGTAACTGCACATAAGGAACTTGACTCAAAGCTCAGAATGCTAATTGAGAAAGAGCCTGTGTTTAGTTCCAAAGTCAAGGGGAAAGCAATGTGGGAGGTAATTATCCAATTTAGGATATTGCTTGTTTAAAAGAGTTACTGTGCTAATAAAAATATAATGAGGTCTAGTTCCCTGGTGCTGCTGTTTATTTTTGCATCTCTCCCCAGGAGATATCTCCAGGTGCAAGATGGCTCAGTGAGACCATGTCCTACTCTTGGCTCTGACTCAATTAGAAGGTGGGCGTCTACTTCCTGAAAAACACTAAACCCAATACTGACATGACACTGGGAAAGTAAATAATGTACAAGAACGGCAAGATAATCCTCTTGCTATTCTTGGCATTGGTGAGGGTCTTATGTCAAATTCTGGTTTATCATTATATTTTAATTTCAAGAGAGATTAGTGATAGGGAAGAATAAGAGGATGAAAATAAAGATTTAAAAAAAGGATTTAGGGAGGAGGGTTAAAGAACACAGTCATTGGTTTGGAGAAAATCATGTACATTTATAACATGTAACTTAAAGTGAAAATGTACTATGAATCTCAGGGGAATACCTCTGAAACAGGACAGTTAGAAATTTACCTGGGAAATAATCTAGGCCTCCTGTTGTACTGCAAACTTGAATAAATAAGATAGCTTTGGAAGTAAATGGCATTTTCAATATAGGAAGTAATGGATAAGGAAATTGTTTTTGGTCCATCTCAAAAATTCCCTTCTCTTCTAGCGTGATTTGCACATCGAGTGGAAGGGCTTTTGCCCTCTGGTCTGTTCTGGTTTTCAGTAACATAACATTAAGATTCTTTCTTTTGTGTTTCTTCTACATGTTTACTCCTTCTGGCTCCCACAACAGTCCTTTGCTCCCCACAATCCCTAACCTTCTACCGACTGGTCCCCCCCATCCCTTTACTACCCTGCATCCCCTTGTTGGCTTCTCTCCTTTCCTTAACAACCTTGATTCTGAGGCCAATTGTCATGTCGTTCCCTTATGTACACACTGGGCTACCCTTCGCCTCTCTCGTTTTGTAGAAGTCTCTTAGAAAGCCTAGAGCCCTGGTTCAGTCCAAGAGTCACCCTGCTCGGTGCCTGCTCTGTGCAGCTGGGCTTGGCTGGAGAAAACACTCAACTCAACCCCTTTAAATTCATCACCACACACACTAAATAGAACTTGGCAGCCACTGGACAGCCATTCTATACTTTCCTAGCTATTCACTCTCCCACTCTCCTGGACATGTATTTTACATCTTCTCCTCTCTTTGCTCCAAACTCCAACACCACCTCTTCCATCTTGACTCTCAGGTGAGGACCCCAATTCCTGCTTCATGAGTATATTGAAGTAAATAGAAGAGAACTTGCACAGATGACTACTGCCCTACCTATCTGCTTGGCAGCATCCACCTCGTCTGCCTTTGGTCTGCACCGTAGGAGCTCTGTGTCAATCCCTGTACTCTTGCATAGATCTCATCTCATCTTGCTTCCTCAAGGACATAGCTCCAGCAAGTCCCCTTTCTTTCTTCTAAGTTGTCATTTTTTCCTACTCTTCTCAATTGCCACCATCAGCATATATGTATGCACTTTTTCTTTCAATTTCAGAAGGCTTTCTTTCAATCCTCCTTCCCCTGCCAGCTGCCATATCATTTCATTGCTCCCCTTGTGTTAAAACAACCCTAAAGATATTTCTGTGCTCACTGTCTGCAAATCCTCTTTCCTCATTCCCTCTTAAGTCCACTTCAGTCAGGCTTATGCTCCAAATACTTCACCAGGATGGCTCTTGTCAAAGCCACCAGTGACCTCCTTGTTGGTAAATGTACTCAATAATTCTCAGTCCTCGTCTTACTTATCCTACCCATGAATCTAATAAAGTGGAAGCACTCCCTCCTTGACATCCTTGCTTTGCTTGCAGGATACCCCAATTTCTTGGGTTTCTTCCTATCTCATCAGTTTCTCCTTTTTTGTCTCCTTTGCTGCTTGTTCTGCTCTCCATTTCTCCATTTCTCTCCACTCCTCAGGTACTGTGGGTTCTGTTTATAGATCTCTTTTCTTTATCTATATTTATTTTCTTGTTGACCTCACCGAGTTTCATGATTTTGAATATCATCTGTGTGCTGATGTACTGTAATGAACATCTTCAGCCCATAACCTCTCCTGACCTTCAGATTTTTGTATGCAACTGCATACCTGACGTATCTAGTTGGATATTTAATAGAAATCTCAAATTTAATATGCCCCAAATACAGAGTCCCTGATCTTTCCTCCCAAATCTGTTTTACCTTCAACCTTTCCTATCTTGGTCAATGGCAACTCCATTTTTCCATTTGCTTACATACAAAACCTTGGAGTCACCCTTGACTATTTATTTCCCCTCATAACCTATGTCCAATCTATCAAGAAATTTTATTCTCTCTACCTTGAAAATATATCCATAATCTAACTATTCCTCGTCCCTAACACTGCAATACTGGCCTGTGCTATCATTTCCAGTTAGTCTCCTGGTTTCTACATTTGGTTTTCAACCTAGTATCTTTAAAAAAATGAAAGTTAGATGATGTAACTTCTCTTTTCTGACTCTATAATGGCTCCCATTTTTCCCAATTAAAAAACAAAGTCCTTATAATGTCCTATGGAGCCTACCTTAATTTCCTAGAGCTGTTGTAACAAAGTATCACAAACTGGATGGCTTGTAACAATGGAAATATTCTTTTACAGTTCTGGAGGCCAGAAGTACAATACCAAGGTGTTAGCATGCTCCCTTTGAAAGTTCTAGGGGAGAATCCTTCCTTGCCTCTTTCAGCTTCTTGTGACTCCTGGTGTTCCTTGGCCTGTGGCAGTGAAACTGATCTCTACTTCCCACTTTACACAGCCCTCTCTTTTCTCTTATAAGGACACTTGTTATTGTATTTAAGCCCCTGGATAATCCAGGATCATCTCATTTTGAGATGATTAAATTATTTGCATTTGTAAAAACTCCTTTTCCAAATAAGGTCACATTTACAGGTTCCAGGAGTTAGGATTTGGGCATATCTTTTGGGGGTCCCGCATTTATCCCACTCTAGATCCCCACCTTCTATGAACCTGTGTTACCTCTTGGACCACTCCTCTTCTTGATCACCTTTTTGAAACTACACTGGCTTCACTGATTATCTCAAACATGCCAGGTGCTCATAGATTAGGGCCTTTTGCACTGGCTGTTCCCTCTGCCTGTTACACTCTTCCTCCAGATATTGATAGGGCTCACTCCCTCGTTCATCTTTCTCATGAGGTCTCCCCTGGATACTCTATTTAAAACTGTAATGCTCACCTTCCTTCTTACCTTGCTTTTATTTTTTTTTTCTCCCATTTTAGTTGGATAGGACAATCCTTCTGCTTCATGTGGTGTTGCCTGGGGTGCTAGGATGGCTTGAGGGTCCAGATGGCCTCAGACATGTGGCTGGCAGTTGATTCTGGCTGCCATATGGGAGCTAAGTTGAAGCTGTTGGCCGAGGGCCTGGGTTCTTTTCCATGTGAGCCTCTCCATGTAGCTGTTTGGGCTTCTTCACTGATTGGTGGCTGAGTTCCAGGGAAGAATATTCTAAGAGGAAGGAAATAGAAGCTGCCAATCTTCTTAAGGTCTGGACTTAGAAGTACACAGAATATTATTTTCGCTGTATTCTTTTGGTCAAGGTAGTTGCAAGGCCAGTCCAGATTCAAGGGGAGAAAAAATAAACTCTGCCTCTCAGCTGAGGGAATGGCATGTTGTACACCAAAGACAGAAACTGATGTATAATTTTTAGAACTATCTACCAAAAGGACCTTCCTGGGTCCCTGATATTAGGCCATTGTGGCTGCCCACAAAATGGACATCTTTATCTTTGTGTTTATTCTTTTTCTTTTCTTTTTTGAGACGGAGTCTCGCTCTGTCACTCAGGTTGGAGTGCAGTGGCGGGATCTCGGCTCACCGCAAGCTCCGCCTCCCGGGTTCACGCCATTCTCCTGCCTCAGCCTCCCGAGTAGCTGGGACTGCAGGCGCCCACCACCACGCCCGGCTAATTTTTTGTATTTTTAGTAGAGACGGGGTTTCACCATGTTAGCCAGATGGTCTCGACCTCCTGACCTCGTGATCCACCCGCCTCGGCCTCCCAAAGTGCTGGGATTACAGGCGTGTTTATTCTTTTTATCCTGCCATCATGTTATTGACAGATCGCCCTGATCTTTAAAAAAGCAAATAAATAAGCAATATTTTTTAGATTTTAAAATTTGAAACACATAGATAAATCAGTTTATTAGCCATCCTCACTGTTCCATGCATGAAACTCATGAAAATTATTCTGTGTGCAGTGGAAGAAGATAAATCAATTTATTTTATTTTATTATTTATTTATTTATTTTTGAGATGCAGCTTAGCTCTCTCACCCAGGCTGGAGTGCAGTGGCTCAATCTCGGCTCACTGAAAACTCCTACTGCCATGTTCAAGCAATTCTCCTACCTCAGCCTCCCAAGTAGCTGGGATTACAGGCACCCGTCACCATGCTCAGCTAATTTTTGTATTTTCAGTAGAGACCAAACCATGTTGGCCAGGCTGGTCTCAAACTCCTGACCTCAAGTGATCTGCCCGCCTCGGCCTCCCAAAGTGCTGGGATGATAGGTGTGAGCCACCATGCCTGACCTGAGAAATTAATTGTTAAGCCTTAAAAATTAGTGCAAGTTTTATATAGTTTGCCTTAGTTTCACATTCAAAGAAATTACTCCTTGACATTATTACTGCTACTTGACAGGGTCCTGATCTATAATCATATAGAAGAGGCAATCATTATTATAAATAATATTTTGAAGGTCTCAAGCCATTCTAGTGATAGTGGATTTTAGAAAATCTCAATATAGTTAGGTAAGATTTTTCTGCTCTTACCTAGTAAAAATCAGTGATTAAATAAGAGGATATCTAATGGAAGCTAAAGTTTATTGCTTTTTGAAAGGGGTTATGCCACCTCCATTGTGAAACTACATTTCCTTAAATTGAAAATAGGGGATGTATGTCTTTTGTTTATATCGACTTTTCTGTTTCAGTCTGCTCTTACTGCCAAACAAAATATTACAGACTGTGTGGTTTAAACAAAAAACAATTTATTTCCCATAGTTCTGGAAGCTAGATGTCTAAGATCAGAGTGCCAGCGTGGTTGAATTCTGATGAGGGCCTACTTCCTCACTTGCAGACAGCTGCCTTCTCTCTGTGTCCTCACATGACAGAGAAAGGGAGGAGGAGAGAGAGACACAGAAAGAGAAACTGAGAGAGTGCGCACGAGAGAGCAAGCTCTTGCTTTCTGGTATCTCTTTTTTAAGGGACACTAATCTCATCATGAAGACCTCACTCTCATGACCTCATCTAAACCTGATTACCTCCCAAAGGCCCCATCTCCAAATATAATCACACTGGGGCTTAGGGCTTCAACATGTGAATGTGAGCTCATAGCATTGACTTATTTTTTTCATCTCTTCATATAGACTACTGGTAGCAGATGAGAATGAAACATAAATGAAGCAAAGAATACATTTCAACATAAGTTCTGTAAAATTCATTCACCAGTCATAAAATTTTATTTATCACAAATCTTTTCATAAGCTTATTCTCTTCAATATGGGAAATTATCGTTCAGCCAGGGATATGTAAAATTGGCATAGTAGAAAGACTAATGGCTTTTCAAAGGTGTCCACATCCTAACCTCTGGAATTTGTGAGCATGTTTTCTTACAGAGCACAAGGCACTTGGCAGATGTGATTAAGGCTACAGAATTTGAGTGGGGAAATTATACAGGTAGGCTCAATCTAATCACATGAGACCTTAAAAGTGGAGGAGATTGAGAAGGTCAGAGAGATTCAATATTAGAGGGGCTCAACCCACCAGTGTTGGCTTTGAAGATGCAGGAATGGGACCTCTAAAGGCTGGGAATAGCCCTCAGCTGACAGCCAGCAAAGAAACAACTACCTCAGCCTATAACCTGTAACCAAAAGGAACTGAATTCTGCCAACAACCCTAATGAGTAGGAAATAGATTCTCCCCTAGAGCCTCCAGAAAGGCATATGGTCTGCCAACACCATGATTTTAGTTCAGTAAAACCCATACTGGACTTCTGGTCCACAGAACTCTAAGACAATGCAATTGTATTGTTTTAAGCCACTAAATTTGCTATAATTTTTTATGGCAGCAAAACCCAAAACAAAACACAAAAACACACACAAAAAAACCTAACACCATTTGTTATGAATTAAAGACCTCAGTTTCCAAATTCTAAAAAGTCACCCAAACATGGCAGATTTTTCTAATCAACGAGAATAGTTGACACTTATTTTAGCAACTATTCTAGGACCATCACAGACATTTTTTGAATCACTGTAGTACTATGTTCTTTGAAAGCAATTACATATGATCCCTCACTTATGATGGTTCAACCTATGATTTTTCAACTTTATGATGGTGCAAAAGTGATATGTATTCAGTAGAAACTGTCCTTTGAGCACATATCCAACCATTCTGTTTTTCACTTTTACTATAGTATTCAATAAGTTATGTGAAATATTCAATACTTTATTATGAAATAGGCTTTGTGTTAGATTATTTTGCCCAACTGTAGGCTGGGCAAATGTATGTAAATGTTCTGAGCACATTTAAGTAGGCTAGGCTAAAGTAAGGTGTTCGATAGGTTATGTGTAGCAAATGCATTTCAGCTCACAATATTTTCAATTTATGATGGGTTTATTAAGATGTAATCCCATCATAAATCGAGGAGCATCCGTGTATCATTTTGAACTATGGCTTTTGACGTATTTCTAGGTGAGCTGGGAAACACTATGTCAGATTAACAGCTGGATTGGGAGAGTAGATAGGTCATGCTCAACACCAAGGAATAGAAGTTAGTGGAGGCATTCTGGAAAATTCAGAAGTTGTATAGAGTCTGAAGTCCTTAGTTCTTCTACTAAAATATTCCTTATTAAAGAAAACTGTGCTTGATTTCAGAGCACGACTCTAAATCCACGGTATAGTTGGATTCACATTCATCATGTAGCCCCCTCCTCTTTTTTCTTAACTTTCTAACTTTCAAGATGAAGACATTGAATACAAAGTCAAAGGTGACCCAGGTATTATAGTGTTGTTTTAATTACCTGGGAGCAAAGGTAAGCCACCTTGAGTGGACTTGTTTTAACACACTGAGGAGCTATCGGTAGGTTTTGCCAGATTAAAAACAAAGAAAAATTGGCATCAAACATAAAAATATTCAAACAAGAAAAAAATTTGCCAAATAATATTTTAGGCTACTTCACTAAGAAGCACTTTGGCTTTTGGTAAATGGATGAGGAATAAAACTAGAATCACGAGAGAGATTATTTCATGTCAGGCAAATTATTAGAAATACAGAGAAAATTAAATGATCTACTAAGCAGTCATGTGACTTAGTAGGCTATGCTAAACTATGATGTTTGATAGTTTAGATGTAATAAATTCGTTTTCAACTTACAATATTTAGGCTTACAATATTTCAACTTATAATATTAATATAGTGAATTAATTTTCCATCAGAAATTTTGAATCTGGGCAATGCAAGTTATTACCTTTGTTACCCTGGACACACTGAGCCTTGAACTTCATTTTCCTTATCCATAAAATGGGAATAATAACAATATTTGCCCTATTTATCAACTATGGCTCAAGGGAGAGATACTATGTGGAAAATAGTATTTTAGCAAACATAAAATATTGGGTATTCCAAAACATTATCATTAACACAAAAGACTTTTTATTACTTGTTTAATTTACTGAGAGAAATTATTGCACCTCTTCAAAAAAAAAAGTATATTTTTTGTAAATGTTTGGTACTTGTTGCTTTTTGTGTGATAGAAGGAAGTGTTTCAATTAGCCAAGTGTGGGGGTGCACACCTCAGTCCCAGCTGCTTGGGAAGCTGAGGTAGGAGGATCACTTGAGCCTAGGAGGTGGAGGTTGCAGTGAGCCGAGATTGCACCACTGCACTCAAGCCTGGGTGACAGAGTGAGATCCCACCTGAAAAAAGAAAGAAAGAAGCGTTTGAAAGAATATATTTTCTCAATTACAAAGAGGTCTAGTAAAGAAATACAAATTTTATCTATTAAAATGTACAGTGTTCTCTGAGGACTGAAAGTGTTTTTATGAAAATGCAAGTTAGTTATGTCCAATTTGTTTATTCATTAGTAACTCTATGGAAGAATAGTATAAATATAGAAAGCACTCTAATTACAAGTGTGCTACTTGATGGTGTCACCTATAAAATGATCACCCCCGGTAAGCAACACCCACATCAAAAACCAGAATATTACCAGCACTCAGAAACCCTCTTCTTTGCCTGCCTCCTCATTCCCAAGGGTAACCACTTCTAACAGATTATACTAGTTGTGCGAATTTTATACTTTAAATTACTGGAATCATAGTATATATTTTGCATCTGGCTTGTTTCACTTGACATTGTTTGTGAGACTCATCCATATTTTTATATATAGTTATAGGGTGATTATTCTCATTGCTGTATGGTATTTTGTTGTGTGAATATATCATTTTGCTTATTCTTTCTATTGTTGTAGGCATTTGGGTAGTTTCCAACTTGCAGCTATTATCCATGTTCTATGAATATTCTAGTACTGTCTCTGGTTAGCACATGCACACGTGTTGATCATACGGTACACGTATGTTCAGCTTAGCAGATACTGCCAGTTTTCCACCCAATTAACATTTCTACCAACAGTGTATGTGAGTTCCTATGACTCTACCTTTTCACCAACACTGTTTTCCTTCTATGCTATTTTAGTCATCTTGTTTGTCTAGTCATATCTCATTGTAGTTTTATTTTGTATTTCCCTGATGATCAATGAGATTAAGCACTTTCACATTCATTAATTGCCCATTTGGATATTATGTTTTGTGCAAGATCTGTTCAGGTTTTTACCCATTCTATTGGAATGTCCTTTTCCTTAAAGATTTGTAGAAATACTTCATTGAAATTCTAGACTGGGCACGGTGGCTCATGCCTATAATCCTAGCACTCTGGGAGGCTGAGGTGAGTGGGTCATTTGAGGCCAGGAGTTTGAGACCAGCCTGGCCAACATGGTGAAATCCGACTCTACTGAAAATACAAAAATTAGCCGGGTGTGGTGGGATGCACCTGTAATCCAAGCTACTTGGGGGGCTGCAGCAGGAGAATGACTTGAACCTAGGAGGCGGAGGTTGCAGTGAGTGGAGATCAAGCCACTGCACTCCAGCCTGGGTGACAGAGCAAGACTCCGTCTCAAAAAAAATAAATTCTAATATTTTCTTCTACTTGCAGTTTTTCTGTTCCCTCTAGTATTATGCTTTTTGATGAATACAAATTCTTATTTTAATATATTAACATTTATTAATTTTTTATAGTTAGTTTTTTTCCTGATTAATAACTCTTTCCTTACTTTGTAGTCATGAAGATATTCTACCTACAGTATTGTTTAATAATTAGAAGTCAGTATCAACAATAAAGCTATATAAAGGAAAAAACATTCAATTTAGTTATTCAAATGCAATTAAGCAAGTGACTTACTAAGCAGTGAACATGAACAGACGAATCTTTAGCTCCATAATCAATCATTTCAAGCAGTCATGTCAGTTTTTTAGGGTGAAGTAACAGTCTTGTTTTTTTTGTTATTTTTTTGAGACAGGATTTCACTCTGTTGCCCGGGCTGGAATGCAGTGGTGAGATTTTGGCTCACTGCAACCTCTGCCTCCCGAGATCAAGGCATTCTCATGTCTCAGCCTCCTGAGTAGCTGGGACTATAGGTGCGTGCCACCACGCTGGGCTAATTTTTGTATTTTTTGATAGAGATGGGGTTTCACCATGCTGGCCAGGTTAGTCTTGAACTTCTGACCTCAAGTGATCTGCTCACCTTGGCCTCTCAAAGTTCTGGGATTACAGATGTGAGCCACTGCGCCCAGCCTTTTTTCCCTTTCTTATCCGTCTGATTTTAGCAGTATCAGATTACCTGTCATGACAGGCTTTACACTTTCCTACACGCCACCAAAAAAGATAGCTTCTTACCTAATTCTGGAGGACACAACTTGCATATTGGATAGTGAGGAATTTCGAGATTGGAATTAAGAGACAAATAGAAAATGTAGATTGTGGTTCGTGACCTAAACTGCAGGCATACATACATATTGAGAAAATTGAGTAAGGTTTGAAAACAAAGCCTTACTCCTTTGTTTTCATCTGTTGTCATTTTTGGTAAATATTGAAATTAGGGCAATTGCCATTTGGTGTGTAGGGTTTCCGTCTTTCTTTATGAATGTAAAATATTTTTGAACACCAGACTGAAAGATTCCCCATCAATCTCCCCTGGCCCAATAAAGCTAGTGGTTTGCTAGCTTAAAATAGCATTTAGCGTTAGATAGAATTCAGGTTTGCTAGATGTAAACCAGTCAATGCAAGCATGTGTTGAGCCACCTAAAGGTGATTCAGAATATTTTTGGCAAATAAAAAAGATACTTAATGTGTATTATCTCCCACCAAGGGTGTGGGGAGAGGTGGTGGTGGTGGTGTACAGTTTCTTTGAGAAAACATTTATTTGTGATTTACATGAGAACTCTCAGAAGCTAAAATTTGCTTTTTGAGTTCAGGGATTTTCGAGAATAGTTGGGTATAAATATCTGAGGATTCTTTACAGGAAGACCTTAAGATTTTTAAATGAAACAATTGAAACTACGCTGGTAGACCAGCACAAAAATCCTCATTTACTTAGATGGCTCCCCTGATTCCCATGAGTTTAGGCCAGGTGGAACCAAGCATCTTGAGGAATCAATTCAGCTTCTCCAGGACTTAGTACCGCCCACTTGGGATAGTCCACTGTTTCTCTGGATCACTGCTGTTGGGTTGTCCCATTTGCTGTGATAGTGGCCCAGAGATTTGGGAGGTTCAGTTTATGTTTGCCATGGAGGGGTTCATCTGAATTTGTTTTTGTAAGAGACTTCTTATTTTCGGTAATCATTTGTTTCGAGAAGGCTAACATTGTTTGGCCCCCGTACAGTTTGAGAAAGAAACAAGGAATCAGGGTGGACACTGAGGGCTCTAAGTTTTCTTCGTTTTCAGACTTGACCTTTCTGGAACAGTCCTGAATGAATTAGACCCTTGGGGGCTTCTTCACAGTGCATTTTAGAGATCCAAATCTGAGCTGCACAACTCTTATCTTACAGCCACCTTTCTAACCACTTCCTAACTTGGCATGTCTTCAAATACCTACAGAATTAAAGCAGATCATTGTTTGTTTTTCCTTATTGTGATATGCAGATAGTGATACACATTAGAATTTACATTTAAAAATTTTTGGATTGCAGAAAGACTTCAGCAGTGGATCACTGAAGGAGACCAACCATAATAGAATGTTCACTGGGGGTTTTAAGAAGTAAAATAATGAAATCAAGTGCATTGATGCTTTAATGAATATTTTTTAGAAATCAGTGTTTTATTGTTACCTGGGGGATGAATTTTAAATGAACCCCTGAAGGGCTTCAACCAGCACTTTCTTCCACCTCACAAAGACCAGTAAAGGCCCCAAAGCAGCTTGGACCAGAGTGTTTGGGGAGTGGGAGTGAGGCAAACACGTATTTGTGAGGATCCTCCTACATCCTCCCCTTACCCCTCTTTGAAGGAAGCTAGCTCTCTTGGAATGTGTACTATTCCTTGGCATCACTTGGGAGGTTGTCACATTGATCTAATTTCAAATGTGACATTGAAGACATGCCACAGAAATGTCTGTCTACTTCTGCCTCCAATTCAAAAGCCATCTCTGGAGTGGCCATTGGTGGTGGAAGATTTAGGTTCTAGCTGTCTAACATCTATTGCTATCTATAACTCCTCCTGTTCACAAGAACCCCTAGACCACTGAGCTTGGTTCTGCCCTCTCATATGTGAACTATCTTCCTCTAATTTAAGGACTCTCATGTGTGTTTTACTGATGGTAAGGAGTATGAGTCAAGAAATAGCACGGGAGTGGATGTATGGTGTCCATGTACACAAACGTGCTTTTAATGACTTTAATGTTCATCTATAAATTCATTAGCTTCTTGAAGGTTTAGTTTACTCTCTATATTTCTCATGCTACTTAGCTTGGTGCTTTGCATATTGAAGATAATGAATATTATGGAATGGACCATGCTTGTATAAATCATGTAGTAGCATTTACAAGTGGAGTTAAATGCTTTGTTTCTGGAGTCAGATAGCTTGGGTAGATTCCTGGCTATGCCACTAGATAACTGTGTGACTTTGGGCAAGTCATTGAACCTCCTGTGTCTGGACTTCCTTATTCAGAAAATGGGAAAAATAATACCACCCACCTCATAGACTGCTGTGAGCCTTAACTGAGTTAGTATACATAAAGTAGAACCGCTGTTGACATGTGGTAACAACTTGGTAAGTGTTAGCTCTTGTTGAAATTATTATAAGAGCACTTTCAAGTTTAGAGAGCTCTTCCTTACCATAGCTCATTTGATTCTCACAAGAATCCTGTAAAATGTGAAGGACATATATCTTTAGTCTTGTCATTGCCCTGTCTCTACCATCACACACCATGTATCATTCTGGAGGGAATTAAATAATATATGCACATTAAATTATATTGTTATGAGGGAGAATCACAAAGTTATGAGAGCCTTGGCTTCTGGGATCACACTGGGAGACCACATTGATGTAATCCTTCCATGGTCTTATGTTTCTGGCCAGATGGAGTGAATTGCACAGGAGGCAGCCCAAGTCCATGGGGATGGATAGACATGGCTCCCGATGGACGTGGATTGGTGGGAAGACAGGCTGTAAGGTTGCTTTCCTCCCTGAATTCAACTACTCTGAAGAATGATGAAAGCCAAGCTGGTCCTTAATAAGGACCTGGGGAATGGGGCAGAGAAAAGGCCAATATCTCTATACAGAAGTTTATGTTCCTGAGGCTTGTGTGTTACCAAGGTCTTCTCTCACTGTCTCTGCCATGTCCTCCCTTCTGTGCCTGATGCTTGACTTGGCAGTTTGCATCTAAAAGATGTTCAGTAAAGAAAAGCTGAATAAATGAACAAATACTCTTTTCTTTTGATTATTTGATTGCCAACTAGTAGGTATATGAACACCAAAATAAAAAGATTTGAAATTAGAAGTCACTTTAGTTATATTAAATATTCGACTAAAATTGGACTAATATTAGCTATCAGCATACTTAGCTTTTTAAAATACAAAATTTCACCCAATTTAATACCACAAGAAGTACCTCTTCCAGTAATCCCAGTTCCCTTTATCCTACTTTACTTTTCTTTCTGTAGCACTTACTACTTTCTATCACAAAATATAATTTACTTATTTATTATGTTCATTATTGATTGTCTGATTGTCCACCACTGGAACTCTACTCCCTCAAGGACTGAGAGCTTTGCCTGCCTTGCTCAGTAATTTATCTCAGATTCCTAGAACAGTTCCTGGCATATATTAGCTCAATAAGTATTTTTTAAAAATAAATTTAACAAACATTTAATGGCTCCCTTTTATGTGCAAGGCAATGTGAGTGGTGTTGCATATAGGGATAAACAATGAGTGAAAGACCATTTCATTGAATATGTATAAATGCATATATATTCACTGATACAAAGGGCTGGTATATTTTTATATGTAAATATATGTATATTAAATAAAGTATTAAATATGTGCTACATATAGCTTAGTATACATATGTACTACAGATAAACTTAAGTAAAGGACTGTGCCCAACATGATCAGTTTTGACCTGATTGAAGAGTGTCTTTGCTTTCCTGAGTAACCCCTATCACCCTGTAGATGACATTCTCTGGGGTGTGCAGGTCAACTCTGCAGGAACTCACCCAGCCGGCCATATGGCCCTCTCTCCTCCCTCTTCCTCATGCTCTAGAACGCAGCTCACAAACTAGATGTCTAAGGGTTGCATCTGGCACCCATATGTGTCTTGTTGGGCTTGCCGGGGGTTTGGAAATTCTTTAAGTCAATTGCCAACATTTAAAAATCTGGAGAATTATCATAAATATTCAAATTTCCTTCCACCTTCTCTTGCAAAGCCTCAGAGTGTTTGTCAACATTGGGCTGGCCTTTCTATGTGGCCTGAGCAGGCTGGGGCTGAGCAGCATCTGGCCCATCAGACCAGCAGATGAGGCATCTGCTCTCTTCCTTACAGGCATTGCCACTGGTAACCTCGCCCATTCACTTCCCTGCCCAGCACCTGAACAGGCTGAGCATGCAGCCCCTGCTCCTTACTCATCTGCATCTCTGGTAGGAATTTGATACTGCTGTAAACTGCTAGGAAGAGGCTAGTAGATAATAATGTTCAATTCACACTGATTGGTAGCTACACACGCTTTTTCTTTCTTTCCTTTTTTTTACATCTAGGATCCAGTCCAAGAATAAGTAAATGGCATCCTTCCAGTGGAGAGCTGACAGCTGGGATTGAAACAAGGTTTGTGATTCTTTCACTGCCCTTCAATACAATGTGCTCATTATGAAACAATCTCAAAAACAGTGTTCTTTTTTTTTTTTCTGAGAAAAAAGTGACATTAGAGACTAATGGCTAGGCATGTCGCAAAACACCTTTCTGAGGATTTTTCTTCTGCCACTTGAACTTGTCCAAGCTTGTCTGTTAGGCAAATGTGCCTTTTTGCTTTTCAAATAATCCCCCCCGTACATGTCACTTTGGGCAAAATATCACCATAGGCTTTCCCATTCTGTTATCACAAAGAGGGGTTATTATCTGATATTTGAAGGCAGCAAGATGTACCCCGAACACTTGTTCCGATCCAGATGAAAACATATCGAAGCCAACATCTAACCATTAGTGGATGAGAGGATACCACTTTTTTTTGCGCTTTCTTCTCTGAGAGAAGAAAACATGATATTAATAAATCTCCTTTGGTTGTTTATTCTTTTCTTTTCCTTCCTGCTGACAAGGATTAGAAGGCTATAATGTGAGGGCAAATTTGTGTCAGGTGGTACTGAGCCATTTACAGGAAAGTTTGAGTGTAATCTGAAGTTTTCATTCCTTTTAAACAACATTGCTAAGCAATTAACTAAAATGTTGTCACTGATTGCCCTACCACAGTTTAACCCAGTGCTCAGTAAAGGGTAGGAGTTTTAAGTGAAAGAGAAAAACAAATGGCTCAAAACATTAGACAGCAAATAAAGAAATTTGGGTAAGCCATCCTAGGGTTTGTTCCTGATGAAAGTGACCCAATTGGGGTCAAAGATGCCTGGTGATTTCAGCACCCAGGGGGAGTCTGACTTGGTGGGTGGGTTGTTGCAGTTGAAGTCTCCAGGAAATGCTCATGGACAGGTGCACACAGCAGCCAAGGGGTCAGGGCATAGAGTTTAGTGGCCCAGAAAGAAGGGAGCCACAGGCAAGAGCTAGGCTGTGTGTTGGGTGTCAGCCAAGGAGCTTGAGAGAAACAGGGTTCCAGGCCTTGAATGGAGAGCAAAAGTACAAATCAGGAAAGTGAGGCAGCTGCCTAGTCCCATGGGTTGCACAAACTCAAAACGGGTGGGAAGGCTGTAGCTCCAGATACTCACAGGAGCCCAAGGCTCATCCTGGCCCTCAGAGAACCACAGTAGCAAGATCAGTTCCAGACTCTACCAGCTAGTGGGAGCTCTGTCTATTGTTATATTATGGGTCTTGACCACAGAGGGGTCAGGATAAGGCTGAGGCAAGACCAAGAAGCCAGGACCTTACAGGCATCAACACTGGCAAAGACACCTGAAAACACACATACATGCACACACACACACACACCACCCTCTGGAAGTATATACTCCAAAATATTAACAGTGGTTAATGATTTGGTGGTAGAATTATGAATGGGTTCTTTGCTGCTTTTCTAAAATTTTATTTCCATGTCCGTGTCTGCTTGATTATTTTTTACCATGAAAATAAAATGACTATAAGAACTTCCATAATAAGAAAAAAGGTTATTAAATTATGCAAAATATATGATTCACTCTAATTGAATTTATACTTGGAGCAGGTTTAAAGGTTGTTAACGTGGAAAAAAAAAAGAATGGTGAAAGTTCTTTTCCCCACACATAGGTCTTATTACAATCTAATCATGATTATACAATTACCCTCCAACCCTCTTTCTGTCCTTGCAGGTGGAGTAGGAATAGTAAAGGTAAAAGAAGAGAGATCATACAAAATATTTTTTGAGGATTTCTCTGGAGTGGCCTTGTAGGGAATAAACTGAAAGCTGCCAAAATAAGAATTAGCGTTTGTATTTGAATTAGTAGCAAGATCTTATCAGTCAATGTTTTAGTCTTTGCTTCCAAGGAAATATATACTGCTATTCTCTTTATTCATATGTTCTTATTATTTAATTTATAGAATTGAATCTCTTGGTAACATCTTAGCAATATGATATCTAGCTCTCAGCAAATACCAGCCTATGCTTATTCACTGATTTTTAATCTGAAGGAAGTAGAGAGGTACAAAGCTATATTCGCTGGGGTCTCCAGCCTATCTCCTTCTATTCTTACTCTTCTTGTTTGAATTGTACTGTTCAATTATAGAAATGGCAATAACTGCTCATAATTGTGCCTTAATATGCAATTAATGTTTTTGAATGATATCAGCACAGCCCAGTACCTTGGGATAGGTTCATTTTCAAGGTTGCCTATTACAATTTATTTGTGTTATTCAGTTTATTTATCTAGGCTAGAGATTGGGTGATGGATGGATCACAGTTTTTTCAAAGGGTGAGAAATCTGTCTTGTACTCTTCACTAAGTGTAACTCTAGGTGAATTGTTCAGTCTCTTGACATTGACATTCTAATCTGTAAAATGGGGTTGGATTTAGTGATCTCTATAACCTGCCTTCTACAATAAAAAAATTGGCTTTAACTTACCAGCTTTGAAATAATCTGGGGTTGGAAATGGGATGTCTTCATGAGTGGGGTAGTTCAACTTGTACGTGGTGATGAGAGGAAATATCAGAACCAAAAAAAGGTTTGACTAGTAGAGAGACATTAGATTTCAGCTGAAGATAATTCTCTTACTGCTGTCACTACAGATGTGCTGCTGCCAGATCTCTTTCTTTGCTTTCTCCAAAAGGGAAATGCTGATAAGAAAAGCAGAAGCAGGGAGGGGTTGTCTCAGCGATGGGATTCCATCCAAAGCATGGACATCCCTTCTAACTTCAGACCTACAGTTGATTAGTTTCTAGTCCTAGTATTTGTCCTTTCTCCTCTTTTCCAGACCTTGGGGACTGGCTTATCCATATCATAGATTTGACAAAAGTATAATAACGATTCTGGCCACCTCTCAGGAAAACAGGAGGGAAACTCTTACTTTTAACTGGAAGGATACTTGTTAGAACTCAGATGTTACACCTGTTGGGTGAAGCTCATGTCTTCTGAACACCTCTTATTCTGCCACCACCACACAGTTCCTGGGGATGAGGCAGCTGACTTCAAGGGTCACCCAGAAGGGAGAGTTAGAGGCTCATGCTTGCTGTTGTGCTGGCATCCACACCCATAATCTCTGGTCAGTTTCTCTTTCTGGACCTGTTTAATTATTGTAGAACTAAAGGGCTGCCCCCAAAAAGGCAGAATCTTGAATCATCTAGTTTATTGACCATCCCTCATATGTGATAAAATTGCTCCCCCAATCATAGCTGAGTGAGAAGGAAGTGACAAAATCAGTAATTGACTGGACTTCAGGTGTCAGTAAAAGTCTGGGATTGGCTCCTGACACTGAAATTCTGATAGATAATACAGACTTAATAAATTTAGGGTGGAGTGTGACCATTTGTCTTATTAAAAAGTTAGAGAATGTCAGGAAAAAAATAAGAAAGAAGAAAAAAAATGGGAGGTGAGTTCCCATAACAGGTTATCATGACCTTATGAACTATTCTGGGCCCCAGTTTTATCCCTTGATACCCTTTGGTCAGTTGTTATCCTCTGGGGAGAGTCAAATATTTGGCTAAGGGCTGGAGGGTTTGTAATCCTCCTTAAAATTCTACCTTTGAGGTGGTTTTTTTGTTTGTTTGTTTGAAGAATGCTGTACCATAGATTTTTGGATGCTACTTTAATGATCTCCATGGAAAGAGGTCAGATGATCATGACTGCAAAGAGTAACAGAGACACAGATTAGTGGTTTGTAGATGAAGAGGAGCTCTAGATCAAACCAAGTCCTGCCTGCAGGGGACCAGGTGATTATAACATTGATGATAGTGCTGGTATGATTCTGTCAAATGAAAGCATGATTCAAAATCATTTTTAGGTAAACTTGTGGGGGAGGGGAGAATAAGAGATTCCTGGCTTACTTGCCTCAGGCCCACTGATATGGTTTGGCTGTGTCCCCACCCAAATCTCATCTTGAATTGTAGTTCCCATAATTCCCTTATGTTGTGGGAGGGACCAGATAGGAGATAATTGAATCATGGGGGCAGTTCCGCCATACTGTTCTCATGGTAGTAAATAAGTCTCACAAGACCTGATGGTTTTATAAGGTGAAACACCTTTTGCTAGGTTCTCATTCTCTTCTCTTGTCTGCTGCCACGTGAGACATGCCTTTCACCTTCCAACATGATTGTGAGGCTTCCCCAGCCATGTGGAACTGTGAGTCCATTACACTTCTTTCCTTTGTAAATTGCACAGTTTTGGGTATGTCATTATCAGCAGTGTGAAAACAGATTAATACACCCACAGACCTCATGCCCCACTCAGGCCAGTGCCCATCTATGCCAGAAAGCCTTTCCTAGATACTTGTTTCATCATCCCTGACACCATATCCTCCTATAGTTGATACAGGTCTTCTCATAACACCATGCTCTCTTGTGCCTGTACATCTTCGCCCATGTTATTCCCTCTGTCTAGATGTTCTTTCACCCCCTATTTTGTCTTTCTAGAAAGCTCTTATTTACCTTTCAAGGCTCAGCTCCAAATTTTATCTGCTTAGTCTTTCCTGACCTTCTTTTAACTTCTGTGTTCCACATCAATAGGTTAAGGTTCTAACATATTGATAATGACTGGTCTCCTCTCAGGTTAACAGATTTGCCTTTTTTTAGTCTAAACTAGAGTAAAGGTTGAAGGCAGATTCAGTAATAGTCCCTTTTCATAGGAAGCCTGCAATCTAATTGTGGAAATAAAAACTGACACACTTAAATATTACCATATTGTGCACTAATTACAATATGATACGTTGTAAATTTATAGGAGCTGCAGAAATTCTAAAAGGACTGTTATAATCTGAGAAGAAATATTATGAACAGCATTAAACCAGTAACATTTGACAACTTAGATAAAACAGAAACATTTCTTCAAAATGCAATTTATCAAACTAACATGAGAAGAAATGGAAAATATAAATAGTTCTATAAAATAAATTGAATTTGTTACCAAAAACCTCACAAAGAATCTATACATCCAGATAGTTTCACTGGCAAAATCTATTAACAACTTAAGAAATAAATATTGCCAACTTTTCACAAATTCTTTTGGAAAATAGAGCTGAAAGGAATACTTTCTATATTATTCTATGAGGCCAATATTACCCTGATAATGTAGCCAGACAAAAACATTGCACACAAAGAAAATTATAGTCAAATATCTTCCCTGCACACAGACATAGAAATCCTTCACAAAATAATAGGAAATACGATTCAGCAGTATGTTTGTTGTTGTGTGTGTGTGTGTGTGTGTGTATGTTTGTGTGTGTGTCTGTGTGTATGACTATATCATGATCAGGTGTTTGTTTTCAAGGAATAAAAGGGTTTGTTTAAAATTTTAAAGTCAGTCAACATAGTTCACCATTAAGAAAAGGAGAAAAATCATATATTCATTTCAATAGGTGCAGACAAAACACTTCACAATATTCAACATCCATTTATGATTAAAAGCTTTCAGCAAGTTAAAGATAGAAATTTTCTCAATCTCATAAAGAGGACTCACTAAAAATCAACAGCTTATATTTAGTTGTGAAATTGAATGCTTTCCTTTTAAGATTGGAAACAAGAGTGTTTGTTTTTACCATTCCATTTGTACTTGAGGCACTAGTCAGTGCAAAAAGACAAGAAAAAGTCACAAAGATCAGATAGGGAGAAGTTATTTTTCTTCTATTTATATTCACAGGAGAAATCATTGTTTACTTAGAAAATCCTAAAGAATCTACAGAAGAACCACTGGAACTGAGAAGTGAATTTAGGAAGGACTCAGTATACAAGATCAATATTAAAAGATTATTTCTATATGTTAGTCACAAACAATTAAAAAACAAAACAAGAAAACATTTTTATCCTTAAAGCACTCAAAACATAACATTCTCAAGAATAATTTAAACAAAATGTATACAAGACCTCAACATGGAAAACTACATTGTTGAAAGAAATTAAAGAAGACTTAATAAGAGATATAGAACATTTATGGATTGAAAATTCACTATTATTGAGATATTAATTCTCCACAAATTTAAATATAGATTGAATCCAATTTCAACCAAAATGTTGGTTCTACATGTTTAAAATGTAGACATTAAAAAAAACTGATTCCAAATTTATATGGGAAATAAGAGGCTCTAGAATAGCCAAAACAATCTTGTAAAAGAACAATGTTAGAGGCTTCATTGTACCTAATTTCAAAAGACAGTCAGCTCATATCTGTGGGTTTTGCATCTGTAGGTTCAACCAACACAGGAAACATTTGAAAAAAACAATAAAAATAACAATACCACAATAAAGATAATGCAAATTTAAAAACAATACAGTATATCAACTATTTACATAGCATTTACATTGTATTATTATAAGTAATCTAGAGATGATTTAAAGTATATGAGAAGTATATGAGAGGATGTGTGTAGGTTATATGCAAATACTATGTTATTTTATGTAAAAGACTTGAGCATCTGCAGATTTTGGTATCTACAGGGTGTCCTGGAATTCCTCCCCTGCAGATCAAGGAATGACTACACTATTAGGCTGTATTGCTTAAGACATCTTGAAATTGGTATCAACATAGACAGAGAGCTAGAACAGAATAGAGAGTGCAAAAGTAGACCTATATATACATGGTAAACTGATTTTTTCCAAAGGGATCAAGGCCATTTAAAGGGAAAAGAAAAGTCTTTTCAACAAATGGTACTAGACTGTTTAATTTTAT
The DNA here is from genome assembly GCF_000001405.40 of Homo sapiens. NCBI lineage: Eukaryota > Metazoa > Chordata > Mammalia > Primates > Hominidae > Homo > Homo sapiens. Next base: position 82,051,258 of record NC_000006.12, on the reverse strand, counting down.
GAAAAAAAGGGTATTAACACTACCTCATGCATACTCAAAAATTAATTTGAGATAAATTATAGATCTAAACAAAAAAGTTAAAATTAAAAAGTTTCTAAAACACATAAGAGAATATCTTTGCAAATTTGGAGTAAAGATTTCTTAAATAGTATAGAAAAAGCACTAATTATAAAAGAAATTAAAAAATCAACTTCATAAATATTAACTTTTTAATATCTAAAGACGCCATTAAGAAATAAAAAGGCAGGCTGCGCACAGTGGCTCACGCCTGTAATCCCAGCACTTTGGGAGGCTGAGGCTGGTGGATCACTTGAGGCCAGGAGTTTGAGACGAGCCTGGCCAACACAGTGAAACCCTGGCTCTACTAAAAATACAAAAATTAGCTGGGCATGGTGGCACATGCCTGTAATCCCAACTACTTGGGAGGCTGAGGTGGAGGGATTACCTGAGCCCAGGAGGTGGAGGTTGCAGTGAGCCGAGATTGTGCCACTGCACACCAGCCTGGGTGACAGAGACTCCATCTCAAAAAATAGAAATAAATAAAAATAAAAAGAAAATCCATAGATTTGGAAAGTATATTTTCAATACATATATTTGAAATTTGTAAATATAAAAACTCCTACAAATCAATAACAAAAAGTCAACCCATTCAAAAATGAACAAAGCTTGAACCAACATTTCAATGCAAATAACCATTATGCAGAAGGATAGGTGCTCAACATTGTCTTGGGGGAAGTGAATTTTACCCACAAAAGGATACCATAGAAAATATTCCACACCAACTAGAATAATCGAAATTGAAAAGACTGACTGCACTAAATGTTGGCCATGGTATGAAACATTATGGACTATCATACATTCCTGATAAGAGTATAAAATGGTATGACCACTTCAGAAAACTGCTATTTTTAAAATAAATTAAACATATGCCTATGCTATGACCCAGCAATACCACTCTTAGGTATTTAACCAGGAGAAATGAAAACATATGTTCACAAAATATTGGAAACAAATGCCCAAAAATAGGTAGGTAGTTAAATAAATATGGTACTGATGAGCTACCCCAAAACATTGGGCATTTGAGAAAGAGCAGAAGTAGGAAGGTCATTTTTCCTTTTTCCCCCTTCTCCCTGAAGCAGGGTATAAATCCTAAGATGGTTACTTTCTGACTTCCCACCCTTCTCTTCTGAAGCTGGTCATAAGACTCTCACTTGAGAGGTGCCCTTCTTATACCTGGAGAAAAGGGACACAGAGAGGAATCTTAACAAACAGGCCTTTCTAAGTTCCCCCCAGTTTATTATCATTAGATCATACCCCCTTGGCCCAGACATACTTCTCCATGGCTATCTACTTTTCCATCAAACCTAAGTGTAAAAATATGAAAGTTCACCTATTTCTTTGAGTCTTTATTTCCTTATGAAGTTTCCTGTATTATCTAAAATATATTAAATACATGGGCATGCTTTTCTCTTGTTAATCTGCCTTTTGTTATGGGGCCTCAACCATGAACCTATTAATGGATGAGGAAAGAATCTTTCCTTCCCTGCAGTACACATACATAATTGAATACTATGCAGCTTTAAAAACAAAAAGCAAAGTTCTCTATCAAATGGCATAGCGTGATCCTTCCAAAATGTTCCATTTTTTAAAAAGTGCAAAATATATATAGTATGCTACTTGTGATTAAAAAAAAGAATTGAAACACGTATTTACTTTTCCAAAAAGGGGCCCAGGAAATATAAACCAGAAACTAATGAAATTGCTGAACAGCAAGAGGTTCGGTATAAGGGAATGGAGCAGAAGGGTTACTGGAGGGAGAGAAACTTCTGAGTGCTCTACTTGCTTAGAAACAGTAACGCTTCTGCTTTGCAGATGAACTAACCTAGAGCCCAGGTATTGGTTTCTAAATACCATTCCTTACTAAAAGGAACTTAGGCTATTTGGAGAAATGACTGAGTCCATGGCTGGTGCAGGGAGTATACAAGCTGAATCCAGAACATCTTGTGGTACTTGAAAGTAAGAAAGTGCTCAGAATAAAAGGATGGGGTCATGTCCAAAGGACAGAGGAGCTAGCTTGAGCAAAATCTGGGACAATGTGAGCATCAGAAAATTGTAACTCATTAAATAAAGTAAGAATCCATGAGTCTACACTGCTAACAAATAGATAAGGAAAATAGGGAAGAAGATAAAACTCTGTGAAAGTAGAATGCCATCTAGTAAAGTAAAAGAATAGTCGTACATTCATCCCCAAATTGCACTGGTGTTCAAGGATTATAATTGGGTTGATATGAGTCTGCACTTTCTCCTGGGGACCAGGCACACCCTCAGGCCCCCTCTCAGCACGTCTTCTGCGCCAAGCACCAAACATGGACAGGGATTTTACACTCTCCAGCCCAGCCCAGGTGGTTCTTATTTAGGCCAAATGAGCACCTTGGACTACTTTGGTAGTCAAAGTTGATTACACCTTGGAATCATCTGGAGAGTTGCGGGCCTAACAGTGCCTGGGCTTCACCCTCAGAGATCCTGATTTAATTGGTTGGGAGTGGGTGCAGGTGCCAGCATTTTAAAAAACCTTTCCAGATGATTCTCTTGTACAGCCAGGTAGAAAACTACAGACATAAAAAAGAGTAGAGATTCTGAATTTAAAGAAAAGCTGAAGGATTTATTAATATTCTAGATCTTGCCTTGCTACATAAAATTATCAAAATCCTTATCCTATTTGGGTGCTTAGTCCCAACCAGCTTCCTATTTGACCACACCTGCTTCAGAAAGGAAGATGGAGGTTGAACTTCACACTGGTGAGTCACACATGATTTTGTTTTAGGGCGAACTTAATCCTTTTAGGATGAGTGCTCCTTTAAGATGATATTCCCTCCCAGTCCTTTCAGTGAGGTCAGTAACTGGGATTTCCACAAAGCAACCCCCTAGGTCATTGGTCATCCTTGCTTTTGTTGGCAATGGCAGGACCACTTTGAAATAACAGGTGTGTGAGTGAGGGTTAGAAGGGGGAAGGAGCACAAGAGACAGAAGTGATTAGGTGACATTGTCACCCTGCCATTTGTCTGCATGTCAGCTTGGCTTTTATATTCTTATTTCCAGGTCAAAATGTTCTCTTTACTTTTTTACCTGGAGCACTGAAGGCAAAAAACATCAGAGGGTTTTTTAATGGAACAACTTTGATGATGTAATTTTTAAAATTCATTGGTCAATGAGAACTCACTTCAGCTATTAGGGAATGATATTTGGCTGGGACAAACACAGACAAGCACTAAATTATGTTGTAAGTAATGAAAAAACAATTTTATGGATTTTGAAACCTAGTGTCTCTTCAACCCACTCACAATCAAATAAAGCTCTAATGTTAATCTTTGTGAACTGTCACCACGACACTTGCTACAAACTGCCATCAAGGTTGATTAGGTTGCTAGTGGAAAAAAGGGAGATAATGTGATTGGCAAAAAGTGAGGCTGTTTTATCATCTGTCTGGTCAATAGCTGAAGTCTTGTTTACTACCAATAGCTATCAGTTAACTTCTTTCTAAATTCTGATCTTCATTATATATCTTCAGTCTTCACAACTGTTGGAGAAAGGTCTGTGTGAGTGAGCAGAGGTGGAAGGGATTGCCATCTCAAATTGCTTAGGTCTATTTAGAATCTAAAATATGGCCCATTATTTAAAAAGAGCCACAGTGTGGAGGATCTTCCTTGTATTTTGGAAGTGACTTTTTCAGTGTGCAGACTATCTTGTTAGCTTCTATACCTATTTCCAATTTGCATACATTCAATTTCTTTTCTCCCTCTGGGGAAATAGTCTGGTTCTGTTTCTTCATTTTCTATTTTTCCTAGTTTTTCTGTTTTTCAGGTTTCCCCATACCGATTTGGGCTTCATGGCTTCTGTAGTCTCCTGAAGCTCTTGAAGAATGTACTCTAACATTTAGAACAAATTCTGGTTTTAGTGCTTCTTGCAACTTTATATGCATGTCTCATCTTTCTAACACAACTTTAAGCTTTTTTGAACTTTAACCCACTTTAGGATAGAAATATATACTTCTGAATGTTTCTCAGCATCTAGCACAGCATTGAGCATATTCTAGGTAAAGACTTTAGTTAACGGCCAATTAATGTTGGGCTACAGAGATTTTTGCATAATAAATTTAGCATGGTGCTTCCTGTTGGGATCCTGGTTAGTACAAAATGATATATCATAATATAGGTAGGTGTATAAAGGGATGTAGTCATTTTTAAAGTGCTACGACCTTTTCTTTTGTGGAGCTAAATATCTTTTTGTTAAAGTGGAGAATCACTTCCTAATTTATCATTTATGGAGCATCTATAATTTTTGAGGTTTTTTATTTAATATGAAATTTCTCCATAGAACTAAGGAAACAAAAAATAGCAAAACCATGGAGAAGGATAACATTTTACAGATGGTGTTATTTTTTCTGAACACAGGTCTAGATGTGTCTGGGTTTGGCGGTACAGTTTATGTGTTGTTCAGTTCTCAGTTTCGTTCCCACACTTCAACCCCAACTCAGGACTCATCTCTCTGCCCTCCTCGGCTTCCTCCTTCTCCACCCCAGGATAAGTTGTGATTTACACTCTGAGTGAATTGTGTGGATATTAGGCACTATGGCCTCCTTTGGTCTGAATGAGTCATTACGGTTTCCATTCTCAGAGAATTAAAGTCCTATGTGGTCTAGTGACTCTCTGTTCCATGACCTTATATGACATTGTTCTGCATGACTCTTTAAAAGATTCAAGTCTTTCTCTGGAATTTCTTTCCTGAGTCTTTCCCAATTCATTTGAAGTAATTCTGGTCTGTAATGCTGAGTAACCATGTCTAAGTATAACCTTTGAAATAGGAGATAAAGAAGAATGGGTACTGCATATAATTCAGCAAGTCATGAAGACTGCGGGTTGCAAATTGTACCAGGGGTCATAAGTATTAGATGACTACCACAACTTGCTTGCAAAACAGCTGGAATCAGTATAATGTCTCTGATCTGCAGCCGAATCAGACATTGAGGTGATCTCAAGCAGAACCATGCACCAATATTAATGTTGTACATAACTTCTTGGTAGTTACATACAGGGCTGCTGATTTAGCATTATTTGTCCTTTGCAGAAATCTTCTTAATAATCCATATAATTGATGAAAGTCAAAAAATAAACTCATGACAGAGTAGATATTCTGCCATGACAACTGAGACTGACAGAGCAAACAGCCAATGAGACTAATGCTTACCTTCAAATAGGGGAGATGGAAAGGGTAGCAGAGAGATTTAGACGTTGGATCTACCATCCTGAACATTTGCAATAGAATCCTGTGATATTTTCAAACACTGAAATGGCGTGAGACAGGGATACTGTGGTAGTGTTTGCTAGTGAAGAGTACCTAACGTGTTCTGTCTCTCTACCTCCATCAGAAAGCAGTCTGAAGTCTCATAAGACGGCAAATTCCTGGGGACAGGGCAGCCCATTCCCAACTTTGGACTGCTGTAGCTATTGGCAATTTTTTCTTTATATTTGGCATTTATATTTATCGTATTCAAGCTTTTCTTTTGCATGTCTGCTTGGAACTTTTGCCCAGTTCAAGAAATGTTGAGGATATTTTGCTCTGTATTTTATGTAACTATATCTAAATTTAGCCAGTATAATCCCAAAAGTAATGGCAAAATGAATTGTTCGGTAAGATTTGACAACTTGAGAACATAGAGGGATTACGTGTTTTATTAATGATCATAAATAATATATTTAACTATGTAACATAATTCACTTGTTTATTTCCCACTTCAATTTACAGATTTTTTTTACACATTTGTATCACAGGGGACAAAAGTAAATGATAAAGTATTAATAGAAAGCCAGGACCAAGGGGAAGAAAATACAACTATGCTCCTCATATAAAATGACATAATTGCTGGGTGATATGGTTTGGCTGTGTCCCCACCCAAATCTCATCCCGTAATTCCCACATGTTATGGGTGGGACCCAGTGTGAGATAATTGAATCATGGGGGCAGTTTCCCCCATACTGTTATGGTAGTGAATAAGTCTCATGAGATGTGATGGTTTTTATAAGGGGTTTCCTTTTTCGATTGGCTCTCTGATTCTCTCTCGCCTGCCGCCATGTAAGATATGCCTTTTGCCTTCCACCATGATTGTGAGGCCTCCCCAGCCACGTGGCACTGTAAGTCCATTAAACTCTTTTTCTTTATAAATCACCCAGTCCCAGGTTGTCTTTACCAGCAGTGTGAGAACAGACTAATACACTGGGGTAGGGCTTCAAGTTTCACTCTTGGTGAAAAAGGTGAACATAACCAAGGAGAGAGCAAAACAATTCTTGAGCAGAAGCAAGCTTCATTTTAGCACTGACATGAAGAGATTCACTCAAGGACCCCTATACAGTGAATGATGATTCATGTCATTAATGATGTCCTCAACAAGTTTTACAGTAAACAAGAAAATATTTTTTATGGTTTTTCAAAGCAATATTTGGTAAAAGCTAGCACATTAATGTTAGCACTTGGTGAAGTCAATTCTGAAAGGAGCTAGACTTCACCAAGTGCTTCATTATACAATCTTTTAGAGGCATTGCTGGACTCAAAGACAGCATTCATAGACTCTCAAATTACTTTAACTTTTAAAAAACATTTTGGAAATAATGCATGTATACATATGCACAGATAAATTACAAGATATTGAAATGTATAAAATTAGAAGTAAAGATCTCTTCCTTACTACTTCCTGTTAAGTTAGTCCTACTCCCCAGAAGTAGTCCCATTGTCTTTTACTTTTTCTGGAATTGACATTATAATTTTAAGTTCCCAATTTATCAACTTTAGACCACATGCATTAACCCAGTGATTTATAAGATGAGGGATTAAAATAAATTTAAACAATTCTATTTTTCTTTCTTGATTTCCTAAATGTGTTGGTTATATTATTATTTTCAGTTTTTTTCTGGTAGTTGAAGGACTGTGTTTTGATTTATAGATTCACAGCATCTATTAACTCCCACAGAAATGAAAGTTTTAGTGTACTTACACTTCTCACTTCCCTTGACCTGATTTTATTTATTGTAGTGTTTTCACATTGCCAATATTTATATTACTGTTATATTCTTTCCTTCCTTCCTTCTTTCCTCTCTGTTTCTTCCCTTCTTTTCCCCCCCTCAACCACTCTTCTATATAGTTCCTACAGCATCTTTCTTAAGCACTTTTTGGACATAGGTTAGATCACCTGGACTGTTTTCTATGTTTTTAAACTTATCTTCATATTTCCCATTTCTTTAAATTTTTTCTGTTTTGGGAGACTGCCTTTATTTCTCTTTCTGCTCACTGACTTCAGATTTATAGATTTTATTATGCAGCTTTTTCACTGCCCTTATGCAAATATATTTTTATTTTTATTTTTGAGACAGAGTCTTGCTTTGTTGCCCAGGCTGGAGTGCAGCAGTGCAAACTCAGCTCACTGCAACCTCCACCTCTCAGATTCAAGCAATTCTCCTGCCTCAGGCTCCCAAGTAGCTAGGATTACAGGTGAGCACCACCATGCCTGGCTAATTTTTGTATTTATTTATTTATTTTTCAGTAGAGATGGGATTTTACCATGTTGGCCAGGCTGGTCTTGAACTCCTGACCTCAGGTGACCCACATGCCTTGGCCAACCAAAGTGCTGGGATTACAGGCGTGAGCCACCATGCCTGGCCTCAAATATATTTTTAATTAGATAAATACCTTGTTTTCTGATTGCCCTCTTTTTCATACCAGTTATAAAAATGATATTCCTCAAATGTCTCTGAAGATACCAATTGAGATTTAAAAAAAAAAATACCTCTTCTGTCCTGTTGTTTACTCCATAGCTAGTTATTTTATCTTAGACACTCTCTTTCATGATGCTAATTTTTCTTACTTTTTCTGGTAATCCTTTGTGGTCCACTTATTTTTGGTGTAGGTAGCTGGTAGGCATTTCCTCTGAAATTCAGTTAATGAAGGCTTTTAACAGTACAATTATTATTGATTTTGTCTGGTTATAAATAAATGCAGACCTATTGCATAACATATACAAAATGCAGAAAAAATAAAAAGTTTAACGTGCATCACCTAGAGATAACCACTGTTAACACTTTTGGGTATTTTCTGGCACACACACACATGCAAGCAAACACATACATACACAGGGCCCATCTCTCACTATTTCAAGATAAGTAGCATATACTGGAAAATAGAAAGTCTCTGCTGACATGAAGATTATGGTTTGGTAATAGAAAAGATAGAACTAAAATAGTCACATAGATTAGGCATCATTACAAATTGCTGTAAGTGCCATGAAGAAAAAGACATCGTCCCATGATTTCATATACAAGTAAGAAAAGAACATAGAGCTGAACTGGGGAGACAGGAGCCTTCTCCAGGGAACTGAGATTATGTCCTGAATAAGTCTTAACTAGATGAAGAGAGGGAGATCACTTTAGACAAAAGAAACATATAAAAAGGCCCTGTAGCAGGAAAAAGAAAAAAAAAACTTCAAAGGAAGAGAAAGAAGCTAGAGTGCTACAGTGTGAGAATGAAGGAAAGAAGCAGGTAGAGGAGGCTGGAAAGGTAGTTAGAAATGAGTCTGTGTAGGGTTGGCAGATTGTGTTTAGGATTTTTGTCTTTATCTTAAAAGCAATGGCAGGACTTTAAGCATACGGATTGGTAAACTTAGATTTGAGTTTTGAAAAGGTCACTCTGACTGCAATGACGATAGCCATCAGAGGAGCAGAGTGAGTGTTAGGACACAAGCTAGGAAATTATTACAGTCACCCAGATGAGAAGTGATTGCTTAAATGGTGTAGTGACATGGGAAGTGGGGAGAAGTAGTTAGAGGGAAATGCCCACAAGTTGCTGAGATTTCCAACTACAGCAACTAGATGGATGGAGTTGCTACATACCACCATGGAATGCTATCAGGAGACCAACTTTGTGAGAGTTTTGAGTTCTGTCTTGAACATGGATGGATTTCAAGAATTTTTGAGACAGTCAGGTAAAGATGTCAAGCTGACAGTTGATTATTTATGTTTAAATATTAAAAATGGATCTGAGCTAAATGGCTGATTTACATTGGAAAACCATAGGCCTAGAGGTGAACTAAAGCTATGGCATGGGGGAGATCTTAACGTATGGAGCATTCTCTGAAAAGATGGCACTGGTTTATAATGCATCAATAGCATAAGTGTACCTGTTTTTCCACACTCGTAACAATAGAGTTGGTCCTTGAACAATGCAGAGATTAGGGGTGCTGACCCACATGCGGTTGAAAATCCACCTGTAACTTTTGACTCCCCCAAAATTTTACTAATAGACTACTGTTGACCGGAAGCCTTACTGATAACATAATCAATTAACACAAATTTTGTATATTATATGTACTATATACTATATTCTTACAGTAAGGTAAGCCAGAGTAAAGAAAATGTTATTAAGAAAATCATAAGTAGAAATTTAGTAACAATTCATTAAGAAGTAGATCATCATAAAGGCCTTCATCCTCATCATCTTCATGGTGAGTAGGCTGAGGAAGAGGAGGGGTTGGTCCTGCCATTTTAGGGGTGGCAGAGGCAGAAGAAAATTCACATATAAGTGCAACTGCACAGTTTAAACCCATGTTGTTCAAGGGTCAAGTGTACTTTGTATTGTTAAATTTTTGAATCTTTTCCAAATTGACAGATTAGAAAATGGTAGATCCCTGTTACTTTGGCCTGAATTTCTAAGGGAAATTGAGCATCTCTTTTTGTGTTTATTGGCCATTAATGTTTTTTTTTTTTCTGTGACTCTCCATGTAATAAGAAATTACATTTTTCTACAGAGAAAGGCCATAGATTCATCAATTCGCAAACTGACCCTCAGATGGTTCAGAACCACTGATTTGGAGTTGCTCTAAACAAAGGAAGTTTAATCTTCCACATTTCAGCCCTTCAAACATTTACTGGCTGCCATCATGGCATCCTTCAGCCGCCTGTTCCACAGGTACTGGGATGAAGGGTATTGCAGATTAAGAAAGGGAGGAAATTTCCACAGGAAATTTTTCCATTTCCTCCCTGTCTTAGTTCACTAAACCTTGAGATGTCTGTCTTCTCAAGTTGAGCCTCTAAGTGTGGCTGTGATTTCACTGCCTTGACTTTGGGATCACTAGTGCAGACTGGGACAGATCTATCATATTCCACATTCCCCCTTTCTCCTTTTTTATGTATACAGTCTTCCTGCTTCTAACACTTTTCTTCTCACAAAACAAGGAAGAGCTTGTTTACTCTGTGACAGACACTCATTCCCTTCAGTCTGTTAATTTCTAGATATTGGGTTTGCCGAATATTTCTTTCTAATCACGGAAAACAGCAGCAGCATATGTGTCAGGTGGGGAGTGGGGAAATGAGGTGCCCATTCCTACAATCAGCAGCATTCAGGGCTGGCTCTTTTTGCTGTCAATGAGCTGTGCTTTAGGCCATGAAAAGGTTTCCTGAGGCTGTCACTAGGGGGAGTGTGAGACAAATTTTTCACTTAGAAAATGCCAGAAAGAGGGTTGGAATGGTGGGGCATAGAAAACACTGAAAACTTAGGAATTTCTATGCTGGGGCATAGAAAGCACTGGAAACTTAGACAGTGGGGCTGTGTCCTGCCAAGGGCTATGCTTCCAGCAGGTCCAGACCCACACTCAGTCCTGTATACTGTATAGTCTTGTATACTGTATAGTCCTGCATACTGAGTGGGGGTCTGGTCGTGCTGGAAGCACTGCCCTTGGTGGAGGATTCACCAGCAGCCAGAGACTCAAGACTGGGCAGTCCGAAGAGGCCAAGGAGGAACAGGGAGGACTGACATTCTCTGCCCCTCTAGGGACAGTGAGGGCTGTAGGGCTTGTAGAATTATTGCATACACTATCCAGGTAAGTGTATGCCACTTGGATCTTGCTTTGATTCAGGCATGCAGTGTCTGCTATAGCATATCTTTTTGGATGTGCCATATGGTAACAAATGAAGGAAGTTACCCCAAAGCATGAGCTCAGGCAGCATGATATGAAAGGGTAAAAAAACATTTCGTGAGTCCTGCTTGGTACAAACCATGATTCTAAAGCCAATTGAGGGCAGATAAAAAGGAAAGAAAAAAGGAAAGCTATAATCCTTGGACTTGCGCTTGTTTGGAAGTTCGTAGTATTTCCATTTCCTCCCTTTCTTTATTTCAATATTGCCTTCTTTATCCTATATCGTTCACGTTTGTTTCTCTCTATGTCTGTATTTATAAATAATTTTGTGTCTGTTTCTCAGTCAAAAAGAGACTTTTCTCAGTCTGACATTGTTCCTTCAGCTCACCCTAAGCCCTGCCCTATTGCTGTCCCTTTCCACAACCAGACTTCCTGAAAGTGGTCTCATGGCCATCACTTCCTAATCAGTCCAGTCCTCAACCCACTCTGCCTTGGCTTTGCTTACATCACTCCTAGAAACACTTTGGGCAAAGATCGTAAAAGATGGCATCCACCAGAAAGGATCCCTGCACCCCTATCTCCTAGCCACTCAGTTTCTCTCCACACAGACAATGATGGTGAGGATTTCGTGTGTGTGTGTTATCCCATAAATGTTATATACATATCCAATAAAATATATTAATATGTCTTCCCCTTTTACATAAAGATACCATGCTGTACACATTGTTTTGTACTTTAAAAATATGTGTTGTATCTTGGTGACCTTTCCATTTATGGAAGTTCTTTTTTGTTTTTTAAGTGCAAGTGTATCATATTGTGCTGACAATGTAGCCAACCTGCTTTTAGTGGGTATTTAATGTTTCCGGTAGTTTGCTACTAGAAACAATGCTGAAATGAATAAAGTTGTACATATGTCAGTCTACGTGAGTGTGAACATAACTGCAAGACAGAGCTCGAGAACTGGGACTGCTAGGTGAAAGGTATGTGTGTTTTTAATTTTAATATATATTACCAAATTGATATTACTCCTGCCAGAAATGTGTGAAAATGCCTGTTTCTTCACCCCTCTCAAACTTTTTTCTTTTTGCCAATCTGATAGGTGAAAAACAGTATCTCTAAGTTTAACCGAGCATCTTATGTGCTTAGACTAAAAGCCATTTAATGTTGATTATTTTGAAAATACGAATCAGATCATATAAGAATTTCTTGATAGTTCTGATAGGTCTTTACCCTTGGACCCAGCTCAAATTCCCAAGGTGGTCTTTCCTCTACCCTCCAGCCTCCTTTGTCACCCCACCTCTTTCCCACGCTCAGCATTCCAGGCTCACTGGGCTTCTTTCCGTTCCTGGAACAATGTGCTCTCTTTTGCCTCTGTCTGCAATACCCTTCAACTCAGGCTTCATGTAGTTAACAACTGTTGTCCCTAAAGACTCAGCAACGAGAAGCCCTCCATGCTGTCCGCCTCCATATGCCTGGGCTTAGCTCCATTAGGTTCTTGCGATTTTTTCCATCTCTAGCACAGTTCCTGGAAGGATGTTGGCCCTTAATACATATTTATTGGATGTATGAAAGACTGTCACTACAACTAAATTTCCTTTGTAATTAAAAAAAATTCTGATTTCCAAGCAGAATTTCAGTTGCCAAGTGAAAATTTCCAGATAAATTTATCCTTTTGCTATTGCTATCCACAGATTTCCTTTTCTGTTTTTTCTTTTTCCCCTTAATTAAAAAAAAAAATCCTAGAAATAAAAGCCTCTCAAAGTCCATGCAATTCAAATTCATTTTTCTCTGAGTTGTGATGATTTAAGGGCAGCATGCTTTTTGCTGTGGCTTCTATTAAAGAAAAGATCAAATGTTTTGAGATACTATGTAGTTCTAACTTTCTTTTACTGGGAATGGAAAATACTTGACTTGTCCGTTTGTAGGAGCCGTTAAGGCTGATTGGCTTGAATTGGCCACTGGGGCTCAAACCTGATTCCCTTCAGTATGCATGTATCTCATGGCTCCAGTTTGACTCCAAGGGAAACTGATTTTCACATCATGCTTTAGAGAATGTCTGTTCTGGTACATACAGAGAAAGCTACACTACTGGGAGTCAGCAGGTCTTGTTACCGATCTTGATGCCATTGGTTGACAACTAGCCATAGGACTGGAAAGTTCTCTCACCAGCAAAGCAAGGGGTTTAGATTGGTTACTTACTAAGCTCCCTGGTTCTGATGTTCTCTAATTTTAAATATCTTTCTGTTAAACTTTACTAAAATATTTAACATCTACTATGGGAAAAAACCTATTTTCTAAGAATTCAGTTTTACTAAGTGTGATTATTCATTCATTCATTTTCCAAATGGTTCCACATCTAGTCTCAGACAAAATGATGACAGATTAAACAATAAAACCAAATTTACTAGCTAATGGCAGCCATTTTTTTTTTTCATGTAGGAACTCTATTCCCGTGAGAATCCCATTCCTGTTTCCAGGACACACTGCGAGGTGTCCTCTGTGAGTTCATGATCTGTGTGGATCATTTCTAGTTCCCTGTGCCAGTCTAGGAATGCAATGAGCCTGAGATGCTCCAGCATTTCTGTCCTTGTCTTTACCATGCTGAGAATCCTTTTCCACAATTTTTTTTTAATCTCCCCCTGAGCTGAAGCCTGAGGAGTAAGGATGCTGTTGCAGCTGAGAGCTGAGCGGGCACAGTGGCCATCATCTCTCCTAGGCTCCAGAATTCAGCTCCCTGCTGATCTTTGCAATCACCTATGTCCTTACTCCTGAGGCTGAGGAGTAAAGGATACTCTAAGATAAAGTGATGTGCTCTATGAAAATGCACCAGAATTAAGGCAGATTAGGCCTGATTTCTCACCCAACTTAGTTTATTCATCTACTATTCATTTCATGCACCAGAAGTAAGGCATAAATTCCAATTGTGGACATGGTTTGAGTATTTTTTTCAAGGAGACTTTTAACCCTTAGTTAGGTTAACGATTGTAGAATAGATATGAAGGAGTTTGGGCTAGGAGTAGGGTGAGGTTCACTTAGGTTCACCTGCCAGCTGTGTCAAATTTCAGTTTTGGCTAGCCAGAACCCTAAGTATAAATTCATTCTACAAATGTGTTAAACGTATTTTTATAAAATTATCTATTTTTTCCAGACACTGTTTTAAGGCACAATTGGGTAAGTTAGAGTATATAAAATATAGCTACAGCACTAAACAACTTATACTCACATTAGTAAGTAACAATAAGTGATAAATGTCAATATGAAAAATTTAAAAGATAGCATCTATTTAGGGAAATATTATTTTCAGAGGCTGAATAGAGAAGGGATTCATAGGAGTCCTCCTAAAGCAGCTGGTCCAGGAAAGACGGGAAGAGCTTGGTTTGTGGAAATGAGAACCAGAGAGATTCAATCAACAAATATGCCTGAATAAGGGCTGCAAATGCCAAGAGTGAGGAATGTAAAGGGGACTGTGGAATGGTTCATTTTGGCTGAACTGGAGTAAGGATAGGGCAAAGAGATTAGTAGGAAATGAACACGGCTCTAGATTGTGTTCTTAACCATAGAAAATAATAATGCCAATTTATTAATAATGGTAAAGTTAAGCTTAGGAATTGAGAAAGCAATAAAGAGTGTAATAGCACTTTAGATTCCATTTCACCAAATTCATCATGTTTAAAAGCATTTTGATACTTAAATAAATTAATTATTCTCTGAAATATTCATATATATGGAACCCCTGAAAAATACTGACTATACATTGGGCTTTATTGCTTCACTATTTCTGAATCATGCTGCTTTTTTTTTTCTAGTGCATTTCACCAAAATTCACATATGCAGTATTGAACATTCCCTTGGGACACTAAAGGAGAGAGTGCTGTAAGTGGGTAGTGGCATCTTGACCTATGCTATGGGCAGAGTCCAGGAGAGGCGAGGCATAATTGTGGTGGTCTGGGAGACACAGGCTGTCTCCTGTGGGAGGGCCATGGCTATCACTTAGAAGTGGCATCTTTCCAGAAGTACAACAATATCACAGCTCAAAGTTGTACATTCTTCCAAAGTCATTTGAGAATGTAAAAGTTTACTCTAACCTATGCCACTGGTGCTGTGTTTCATAGGGGTCCTCATAGTTGACTGCTGCAACCCTCTGTGATGTGTTCTCCAGGATTTTGCCCCACTAAGGGTCTGTCACTGAAAGGCTTTTCTGTACAATTACTACTCCATTCAGTAGCTGTTACACTAAGAGAATCTTCTGATTACATAAGAATAATACATTCATCAAACATTTCTTATAGTTGCCTCTGAGGAGTTATGTTAAAATCATTACATCCTTACATATATGTATGTGTGTGCTTATATATGTGTATATGTAAAGTTTTCATATATAAAATCAAATTCGAGAGGACAGAGCTTTTCATTTCATAATTGGAATCTTGGCCTCCAATATGAATCTTCTTATGACTTACAAATGTAATATAAGAATCTTTTGTGTTTTGACGGGAAGTAGATCAGAACTCCAAGAAAATTTTCCTGGCACCTGGTCTCACTCAAGGGCAATAAGTAGGTCAAAAACCTATGAGACCTGCAGAAGAAAGATGGGCTCTCCTCCCAACCTCCTCAAAGCTGCCCAATGGCCAAGAGAAATTCTAAACTCATGTATGTGGAAGCTGTGAATATCAGTCCAAAGAAACATGGAGATGCTATTTCAGGGTATTTCATTCCAAGAATGTGGTTTCTTTTAAATGTGCAATAGTGTACTGCCCAGGTTTGGTAGAAGAAAAAAATAAAGATGGATATATGTAATTAAAATAAAACCAGGGCCATAGGAGACTGTTTATAGAACAGTAAAATGTTTTTACAGGAAAAATCTGAAAATCTCAGACCCAAAGGAGAAGCTATTTATTTTTCTTCTATATAATTTATCCAATGTTGAAGTTGCATCAACCCTGGTGATGGGGTCTCCAGAGGCAGAGGCAGGCTGCATTGCCAGCACCAAGGCATATTGCATTGTTCTTAGCCAGTCTTCTGTCATTTCACCTGGCAGAGACTGCTTGAATTCTCTCTGACCTTTGGTGAAGAGACTCATTCTCAGCTGAGGATACTGGCAAATTGAACCAGCATCCCAGGAACATCCTACTGCTCAGTGGTATGAAGTAGAATTCTCTGTTAGGATTGTGGGTTAGAAGTGTGGGTTATATTTAACAAACTAGAGAAAATAATTAGCATCCCACCCATCTTAAGCTTTGATCAACTTAATATTGAGGTGTTGAGGCGTTAGAATTTGAAAGATTAAAATAATTGGCCAGGTGCGGTGGCTCATGTCTGTAATCTTAGCATTTTGGGAGGCTAAGGTAGGAAGATTGCTTGAGGCCAGGAGTTTGAGACCAGCATGGGCAACATAACAAGACCCTATCTCAACAACAACAACAGCAACAATAACAAAGTAGCCAGGCATGGTGGTAAGTGGTGAGGTATGATTGTGCCACTGAGTTCTAGCCTGGGTGACAGAGCAAGACTCTGTCTCTAAATAATTAAATAAATAATTTAAAAATGAAAAGAAAAAATGATGAATTGCAAAAAGTCAAAGATTATGATATTTTATCACTGCAGGATTAGAGTCGATTTGTTTCCCCCAAATGCTTTTCACCCAAGAGTCCAAATCAATAAAAGCTTGTTCTTTTGGACATTATTTGTTTCCATTGTTAGCCAATTTAGTGGGAGTTATTTTTGAAGGGGCTTAGGAAGGCCACCTAAGCTTGTTTGGTATTTTCTAGTCATTTTCTAAAGTGTTGAGATAATCTTTCCCTTCTCATCTCACTCACTCTACATTGAGTGAGGAAACTCACTCCTCACTCTACATTGCCCACAACTTTTTCTCTGCTCCTCTCAAGGGTAAATTACTACTTTGTCTCAAGGATAACAATGTTTCCTGACCTCAGGGACCACTGATGGGTCATTTGAAGTACTTTCTCTCAGCGGCAGGCTGCCCCTACAACTTACCTATTCTCTTCCTCTCCAGGATGAAGCCCAGAGCTAGGGTTTTCAAATCTGAGCTTTAGCAAAGTCATGTGATGCTCTAATTATAGGAGACATTTGGAGACACTCAAATATTTTGTTGCAACCCCCACTTCCCCCTCCTCATCTAAGAATGTTTTCCCTTAAACTTGAGAGATGAGTCAGAGATAGTGATAGTGAGAGCTAGAAAAAACGAGTCTCTCAGGAGACCTGGCAGTGAAGGTCTGCCTTCAAAGCAAGTTCCTCATGGAAAAAGTTTTTTCTCAAGACTACCAAATATATTAATTATGCAAGAAAACTTTGGATTGGCTATTGCTACCCACATGTGTTAGCGTCTGTCAGCCTGCCAATGTGTGAGTCTTGGAAATACTCCTTGCACCGTCTGTTTTTCTCATTGGGCTTGTTGACATACACTGCAGCAACCCTGGCCTTCTCAACTACACCATGTCAAATATCAGTTAAACTTCACTTTCTGTCTTGACCAAATTCCTATGAGTCTGGCCCTATGTTGCCAAGGGGGAATGCAAACTTGGCTCACTGTTCCCTGTCCTTTTAAAGATGCTGTCATCCCCTGAGATTCCTCTGTTCAAACTAAGTGCAGGCCATTACACAAAGCAGGATGGTCCACTTAGCATCCAGCAAAGGCAAGTGCAGTTCCACACATAAATGCAGTTTTGAGCGAGGTGCATAAAAGCACATCCATGGTAAGAGTCTTTGAATCCTGGAAGATAGAGTTGTAATTGGTTTTGCTATTAAGTATATCTTTTGCATTCCCATTCTTTGAACTCTGATATCCGAGTATGACATATACAGTTACTTTCTATTGATAAAAATTTGATTAACTGGTCTCTGATTGGATAATATCTTTTACAGCATTTAGAGTAGGTATTATTTGAGGAAACTGTAGTTTTTTAAGGAGCATTTTTTGGTGCCTGATTTTTACTCTGGGGGAAAACACAAATCCATTTTATTTTCTTAAAGAGACCTTTAATTAAAAAAACCCCAATATTAGGCTTTTTATTGTCTAAAAATAGGCTTTTCAAATGTGCAGAAGTTAGAAAGGAAGAAGATGATATAGAGGTGGGTTTATATGTTTTCTGGGCATCTAAAATACAATAATGGTCCAATGTAGGCCCCTAAACCTGTTTTCCCTTCTGTGGTCCCTCTCTGAGACTGGATCTACCGCAGGTCTGAAACATCTCATTGGTTACAAAAATCCCACCAGTTCCACTTTGAAGGTGATGGCTCTGCTTGGTCATGGCTTTAATTCAGGTCCTTCCCACCTCTTTCCCCTCACTACTCCTCACTTCTTCTCTAGCTCACATCCTCCCTCCACATGGCAGCTGGAATCATCTTCCTGAAATGCCAAGCTGAGCCTATTACTTAAATGCTCAAAATCTCTCAGTGCATTTTTATTACCAATAAGAAAAAGCCTTTGCTCCCAAGATGGCCCAGAAGGCCCTTTGAGAGCTAATTGTTTTTTTCTTGCTTCACCTCTTGCTATTCTCTACTCCTGGTACTTTATTTCAGAACTATTTAATGCATTGTAGTTTATCAAATCTTCAATTTTATTTCTTGCTTTCCTGCCAGTGAAGATTCTCCTTGGAATGTTTCTCCATTTTTTTGTGTGTGTGTTGAATGAACTCCTACTTATCCTTTAAAACCCCACTCAGTCACTACTGCCTCTTTGAATTGTTTTTCTGTATGTTAAATCTTCATGGCATATTGTATATATTATTCTGTAATATTAATACATTCTAGTTTATCTTCCTTTAGATTTTAAAATCATTTGTTGCCACTTACAGTAGTCATTAAATGTGTATTGAAATGAATATGGTAGAGAATTTTAATGAAATTGCTATTGCAAAAAAAAGTACTTGAGAACTTAATCCTAAATCACATTCCCTAGAAGGTGAAATTATTTGGACTTGGGAGCCAAGCAAGTAGCCTCAAGCTTAGGGATATATTACATCTTGGATCATACGAAGCAATGTCATGAGTGTGAGTGGGCTTATGGAAATAGTCTTGAATAACTGCTTACATGGTACTCATAATTTCATTCATAATATAAAGCTAACATTTTACATGTAATAATTAATATGCTGGTTACTTCCTTTTTATTTTGCATGAAAGTAAAAAAATCTTTGTATATGTACATTTGGCTTATGACATTTGGCAGAGATATTTGCACATCCCCATTTACAGTAACTATTATTGTATTTTAATCAGTTGCTTTTGGTTTCAGCCTGTTAAGCAGCTACATTGGCTTTTTCTTGCTTGTTGTCTTTTAAAGTTGAACATCCCTATGCCTTTATACTGTCAAAGTATTTCCTCATTCCCTATGTATGGATATTCATCAGTGTCACAATTTTGCATCTGGATAAAACTGTTAAAATAACCTCTGTTTTTTTTTTTTTTTAAATAACAGATCAAATAGAAGCAGAAAAGTGTTTTGTAAAACCTTGTACAGTTGTTTGGTGGCCCAGCCAAGCCCATCTGGTCTCCTGACCTATTTCAAAGCTGGTGCCCTTTCCCCTGCCCATATGGCCTCCTTCTATTGGACATCTTCGTTGGATCTCTTCTTCTCTCCAAACCTCTTTCAGAGCAGTCAGTTCACTTTACCAGATTAGTATCTGTGTTTTCCGTTTCCTCTATGCTCCTGGGTATTGGGGGAAAAATGTTGGTACTTATTGAATTTTCTATTTCTTGTTCTAGATTTCATCTCTCATATTTCTTCTATAAAAGTTGAAACTCTACTTTTGTTTTAAAATTCCTGTGACTTGGATAAGGCTTTCACTTTCCTTTATTTGATTCTGTGGTTTTTCTATATTCTTACTGAGTATATTTTATGTTTACTTAAACCATCTATTTTTTATTTGTGGAGTTAAAATATGCAATTCCTCTCATTTTTCTTTCCTCCACATTGTCTTTAATAAAAAAGAATTCCAAATTTTGGTTAGCACATTCCATTTCCTTATAAGATATCATGTGTTATTTTGTCTGGACATTAACATTCTTTACTTAAATGAAAATCTTCTTTATAGAATTCTTGAGTATCAAGGTCAGAAGCTTCATGATCCAAGCTAATTTCCAATGCTTTGATTCCTCTCTCTGTGTTAAGCCTTTGCTTGAAGACATCCAAAGATAGAGAATTCAGTATTTCTCATGAAATCCCAACTGCCTGTGGACACACTACCTTTTAGAATCTTCTTTTCATCCAGTTGAATCAATCTCTTTTAGTAATATAATTCTGACCTCAGAGCCATAAAAAACAACTCTTGTTCTACTTTCAGCCAGCTGATTGTGTATTTGAAGGCAGCTTTCATTTCCCCCATGACTGTTCTTCCTCAGGCTAAACATTCCTGTTTCCTCCAAACCAGGCTTCAATCATTTGGTTTTAAGTTCCCTCCTCGTGCTGATTGCTTTCCCTTGTATGTGTCTGTCAAAGGCCCAGAACTGACTGCCATTCCCCGGGTGTTTTCTGTCCAGTGAGGCTGAACTGTCCCTTTCTTCCTGATCTATGCAGTCATGGCTTTCATGATTGGCAGATTACTGTTAATTCACACCGAGCTGTTTGTTATGGGCTGAATTGTGTCCTTCCAAAGAGATATGTTGAAGTTCTAACCCCTAGTACCTCAGAATGTGACCTTATTTGGAAACAGGGTCTTTACAGAGGTGATCAAGTAAAATGAGGTCATTAGGGTGGGCCCTAATCCAATATGACTGGAGTTCTTATGAAACGGGGAAATTAGAACATAGTGACAGACATGCACAGAGGGAAGGTGGTGTAAACCCACAGGGAGACGATAAATATTGCTGGCAAACAAGCTAGAACAGGCAAGGAAGGGACAGCTGCCAGAGAGAGCATAGCATTGCTAGTACCTTGATTTTGGACCTCTGGTCCTTAGAACTGTGAGATAATAAAATTTCCATTGTTTTAAGCTACCTAATTTTTGGTACTTTGTTATGGCATCCCTAGAAAATTAATACACTATCCTTTCACTAAAATCCCCTGTTTTTTGTTCCCCATTCTCTAATATTTCTCTCCCTCTCTTTTGTAATAATGCTCCAGTTCTTTCAACCCATGTGAAAGGCCCTATTTTTTTATGTTTAATTTTTGTTTGACTTGGCTCATTATTTAAGCCATTTGAGATCTTTTATGTCCTGTTTCTGTCACATGGGTATTTGCTATCTGTCTCAGCTTTGGCACTTTCAGAGTTGAGAAACCTTGCTCAAACCACAGGTAGAAACATTGCATAGGATAGGAAAGATGCTCTTGGAAATCCCTTTAGGTTGACACTGACTTCTTCATCAAAGTTATTCAACCCATTTTAAACTCAACTAACTCCCCTTATCCAATTTATAATTCTCTGCCCTGAATACAAAGTGAAATATTTTAAGAGACTCTGTCCAACATCTTGCTGCAATCATGATATGCCATATTTAGATCATTATTTCCTGCCAACTTAGTAACTCTACCAACAATTAGTTTAATCTCAGTTGATTTATTTCTTATTATCCCTACTTTCTTTTCAAGTATTAAAAGGCAAGGTTTTAATAATCCAGTCAAGAATCTTGCCCAAAATGAACATCAAATCTTCTGGTTTATGATTTGAGGAATTTGTCTCTCCTCTTTGGAA
Source organism: Homo sapiens (assembly GCF_000001405.40). Classification (NCBI taxonomy): domain Eukaryota; kingdom Metazoa; phylum Chordata; class Mammalia; order Primates; family Hominidae; genus Homo; species Homo sapiens. Next base: position 82,029,655 of record NC_000006.12, on the reverse strand, counting down.
ATGTACACCACAATGGCCCATTCTCTGTTTTTTCTGGCTCCTCAAAAATTTGTTTCTGAGAACTCTTCCCCCACCCCAAATTATTCATGTGATTTTGTTCAGATCATGAGACTTAAGTTATTTTAGAGCCACTCTTAGAATCTCTATATTGTTCTTGGGTTTTGGGTTTATCTTATCCTTATTCTGATCTTTCCAAGCTCAAGATTGTTCTTCTTGACAAAGAAGATGAAAGCATGAGTTTAAACTAAGTGTTACGCATATAGAAACGTGATAATAATTATGTCTTAAAAGTTTTTACATTGTAAAATAATAAAAGCATTTCTGACACATACTCAATTCTCTAGATGGGTAGCTACCATTATCACATAGGTTTTCTTGCTTAAAGTTTTACTTGACACAAGGGTCAGTCACTGAATATTTCTTTAAGCATCCTTTTTCTCAGTGTTGGCTATAATTATCCCTTGTCCACTTGATAAAATTTCAGAATGTCCTGGTATAGCCTATCACAGTTTGACTAGATAATTCTAGAAGATGGCAGAATATAAGCCAATACCAATATATAAGTCATGTGCATTGTAGTATATATTTTTATGAGACTGTATCACACTAGAGAAAATAAGTTCCATATGTAATATGCCAAAACACTCAGTACTTATCTGTTTAAGGTGCATCACATAAAATTTGAGTTGTTTAAGGAAATCAAGTTCAAAATAGGTTCCTTGTCAATAGTAACACAACTGTAAAAGGCATTGAACCCAGAGTAGATGTCCTTGTTGACCACACCTGCCTACTACCTAAAGTAGGACATGGCAGTGGATAGATGAAGACCTGACACTAGGTCATCCTCACTGGATGACAGCCTGATTGGCAGCCGAGCTGCAGTCACACAAGCACTCATCTTATCATTCAGAAAAATCGCCATCCTTCTCCAAATTTCTAATAGTATTTTCTCATATTTCCTTTGACATTTGCTACAGTAAAAACCACGATATTTATGTGTTTATCTCTCTTATCGGGCTGTAAGCATGTTGAAGAAAGAAGCCACATCATAAATATATTTGTATATTCTTTAAGTTCTCAAGGTAGTCTGTTGCACACCAAAAGTGTTCAATAAATGTTTATTGAATAATACCTTAAAGTGTGCTTCAAAGGAAAAGTTGTCATTATTAGTTTGTTCTTTGAGTTATATAAATCCATCTTCTGTACTGAAAATAAATTATCTAAAATCTGTGTTTTGAACTTAATATTAAGCATATAATCCAGTGAATGACAAGCTTCTCTGGGAAACATTAAACTGAAATTGCTATGTTCCATCTCTTCAATCAAATGTGAATTTTCTATTAAAAAGAAAAATTATACTTTTAGAAGGTTGAGTAGGATGGCACTTTTAAAAGCCTTCCAACTGCATAAATTTAGAACAATTCAAGGAAATTCTCTAACTCTGAGCCCACATCTTCTTCATTTATTGTCAATTGGAGCACTTTCATTCATTTTAAGTTTTCCTGCCTCAGCTCTGTGATCTCTAGAAATGAATGTTAGAGATGAGGACTTAGCCAGATCAGCACTCAGATGGACAGTGGAGCAGAGGTTGTCTCTATAGTCTTAGCGGAATATAACTCACTAATGGGGACCCAGGTGAATACAAATTGTAACTGCTGAGGGAGGAGAAGGAGATTGACAGCAACCAAAACAAACAAACAACAACAACAACAACAACAAAAAACCCCAGTCGTCTTGATTCAAGAATGTTCAGCTAACTATCAATGCTTAATTATCATTACTAGACTGGTCAAATATAAGAGCTGGAGATGCAGTGTAAACCCAAGGTAAACAGTTCTTTACCAATAATTCACTAAAAATGAGTGTTTGTCAGGCTCCCATCTTTAATCAGCACTAAACAGACACACTCACTGAACGAAAAAGAGGAGAATTGCTGAAGTCATTGCAAGCACTTCTCCAGCATCAGGGGAGCTTAAAGTAAATGAAAATGCCTTCTGCTGCACTGTCCATCTCAACAGCCTCCACCTAACTGAACCCTCTTCTCTAAAATTAGTTTTTAGAGATCACAGAATTCCCAAATATCATTCACCCCCCCAAAGTTTGGGTCTTATATTCTTTTTAATGTGTACTCTGCTCTATCTGGATCAGCCCTAGCTCTATCCCTGTGGCCCTCCCGAAAACCGGGCTCCATTGTTCCCTTTTTGTCTGTTGACTGGAAACTTCAACCAGAGAAGCTCCATCCCACTTTGGTAAACATACAATGTAGAATATCAGCTGACTTCTCCCATTATGAATTCATATCATTGTGCTTCTGTTTTGTTCAAACTTACTGTTCTATTCAAAAACCCAAACCAACAGTTTCAAAATTTCATTTCTGTAGACTCACAGCCTAGGGAACTTACTATTTTCATAGAGAAAAGTGACAGTTTACTGCACATTCACAAATGTTATTTGTTTAGTTATTATTTATTTTAGAATATGTATTTATTTAAATTGTCAAATAAAAATTGTGTAGATTCATCATGTACAACATCACATTTTAAAATATGTATATATTGTGGAGTGAATAACTTAGCTAATTAACATATGCGTCACCTCATTTTTTGTGGTGAGGTAATGCATATGTTAATTAGCTAAATTTACACTTAAAAGATAATCATTTAAAATTTACTCTCTTACCAATTTTAGAGAATGTAATACATTGTTATTAACTATAGTCATCATAGTTCTTATTTCTTGACTTGCTAAATTGTACCAGAGGTTTCCTTTGCATTTGTATTTGTGCCAATTTGTAGTTGTTTCCTAATAGTTTTAGTCAAAGAGGTATATTTCCTATTCTAGAATATTAATTTGTAACACTTGCACTAAGGTTCTATTCTCTTTCACACACGTACACATATACAAACCCTTCTGACATCTCTAGTCCTGTTAAACTTCACTCACTCACACCTTCAAACATCACATTGACTACAGCTTCTGAGCCCTGAATCTGGACATGTTGTGTGACAAATGATTTGTCATTTCCAGAGTAGAAGATGAATCTATCTTCTATCCATTCATCTTGATTTTTATCTGTAGTCATACAGAATAACTCTTGCTTTCTGTTTTGCATGGTTCTCCTGTATAACTGTGGTGATCAAACCTCTTAGTTCTTTTCTTTCCTATTGCAAACTTTCCCTGTTCAGTTAACATGTTTCATTTAATATAGTTTTCAAACATTTCAGACTTTTCAATCTCTTTATAATGTCGTGATAAGAAATTGTGACAATACTAAAGATGTAGTCTGTTTAGTGTTAGGTACTATAGACCTACTCCTTTCTTTTGTGTACACCATATTTTATCAATAGAACCAAGATAACATTCACATTTTGACCAGCTTATAAAACATATCTTGGCTTATATTGTACCTGCTTCAATTAAAACCTCAATGTCCTTTTTGTTCAAGTCTCTTGTTATGTGACTGTATGTTACTTTACAGTAATATAATTTGTAACTCGAGAGTTCCCCTCAATTCTGTAGTTTTGGGTCATTCAGCAGGCAGCAAACATTTACTGAGCCCCTGCTGCATACATGGCACCATGCTTAATGCTAAGGGATACAGTGGAGGAGCTCACAATCTCATGAAGGAGAGAGACTAACACGTATTTTTAGTTCAGAGTAAGAAATGCAGCAGGAAAGATATCTGTAAGATAGACTTCTACCCAATTAAAGAGGAGCAAGTAGTTATCAATGTGCTAAGAACTTTAAGTAGAAATGTTCAGTCATTGGAGCTGGGAGAGATTTAGCCTAAATTTAAAGATGGGAGCATGGTAGACTTGTCATTTTGTACCCACTTATTCACTGTTTCTTCCTTTGCCTTTGAGACACAAGCCTTTCCCTCTTTAATACAGCCAGATTTGGATTAGCAATTGACATATGCTCCTTCTGTCTCCCTTACCCATGGGATTATGATATGTCCCAGTGAGACCAATATGATATTCAGTTTCTGGAATTTCAGTTTGACCAAGGAGCTGAAATAATTTTCAGCCAATTTATTGAAGTTGCTGGGTCCTGATGAGACTTCTTTCGGTTCCTACAAGCTTGGTGCTGAACTCCATCTAGGTCTGTTTTTAAGCCCAAGTCTTTAGTTTCCCCTTCAATTATGTGAGTTACCTCATATCCTTACCACAAATTCCTTTTCAGCTTAAGTTGTCAAAGCTGGTTTTCATTGCTTGCAACTATATAATTCAATTAAATAACTTATTGATGCAAGTCTGCATTAGCTTAACTTAGTTGTTAATGTCATTAAAGTAGATAGGATAGTCTTAAGAACATAAACTCTGGAATCAGTTTCCTGTATTTAAATGCTAACTCTATCACTAATTACTCTAATAAACTTAAGCAAAATACTTTATTTCTTTGAGCATCAGTTTTCATATCTATTGAATGAAATAGATATGAAATCTATTCAATATCATAGATATTGAATGGTTTTTAAATAACCCTATCTGTCTAATGTGTGGTTTTAAACGTAAAGGAAGAGAATGCACATAAAACACTTAGCATAGTGTCTGGCATTTACAAAGTACTCAATAAATGTTAGAGTGGAAAGGGATTAAATGTTTCAGGAGTTAGTAAGAATATTACTCAGGAAAGATCAGAGTAGGAAGAGAAGAAGTGGGAGAGAGTGGAGTCATGGATTCAGAAGATGAGATTATCTGGTCAGAATGGGGCAAATGCTACAGGTAATCAAATAAGGTAAGAACTAAAAACAACAATTTTCAGCAAGGAAAAAGCCACAAGCAACCCAATTCAAAAACAGGCAAAGGATTTGAATAGATATTTTTTTCAAAGACAATATCTAAATGGCCAATAAGCACATGAAAAGATACTTAACATCTCTAGTCATTAGGGAGATGCAGATCAAAACCCCATACTTTCCACCTACTAGCATAGTAATTATCCAAAAAATAGAAAATAATGTTGATGAGGATGTTCAGAAATTAGAACTTGTTTGTACTGCTGGTCAGAATGTGAAATAGTACAGCCACTGTGGAAAACAATTAGGTGGTGCCTAAAAAGTTAAACATAAAATTAACATAAGATCCAGCAATTTTACATCTAGGCATATACCCTAAAGAATTGAAAGCAAGAACTCGGTCTGATACTTGTGCACCAATATTCATAGCAGCATCAATAACAATAGCAGAAAGATAGAAACAACACAAATGTCTATCAACAGATAAATGTATAATCAAAAGGTGGTATACACATACAATGGCATATTACTCAGCGTTAAATGAGGGAAATTTTGACACATTCCTTAACATGGATGAATCTTGGAGACATTATCCTAAGTGAAATAAGCCAGACAAAAGAAGGACAAATATTGTGAGTCCACTTATGTGAGGTACATAGGGTAGTTGAATTTACAGAGACAGAAAGGAGATAGAAGTTACCAGAAGCTGAGGGGAAAGGGGACTGGGAAGTTACTGTATCATGGGTACAGAGTTTCTGTTTGTGATGATGAAAAAGTTCATGCAAATGGAGAGTGGTGATGGTTGTACAACACTGTAAAAAGTACTTAATGCCACAGACTTATACACTTAAAATGTTCAAATTGGTAAATTTTATGTATATATATTTTACTACAGTAACAATATTAAAAATACAAAAAATGGCTATGTGCCTTAAGATGTTATAGTTGACCTTTCCTAGTCCGTTTCAGAATGTAAGGGCTAGAATCACAAATTTACTGCGTGCTATGATGGGGGAAATGGAAAGGAAGGAGGTAAAGTCATCAAGAACAGTTGTGAAGAGAAGGATAGAGTGAAAGCTATAGGGATAACGCAGAGTTAAGAAATAGTTTGCTGAAGATATATTTGGGCACGTTTTTGTGCTGAAGAGAAGCAAGCAAAAACAGGGAGGTTGGTTATACAGCAGAAAGAGAGAGTCGATAGAACAAGGTCCTGAAGAAGTAAGTAAAGTTCAGTGGGGTGAATGTAGCTTGGTAGATTGGGTGGAAGGCTGATGAAAGTGCTTATTCCCACTGTGAAGTAGCAGGTGTGGCCATTAATAAGAATGAGTCTCATTCTCATTATTGAGACCCTAACCCTAATGTGGAGCTGAAGAGGGGGCTGGAGTTTGAAGTAGTCACTAAGGGGGCTGGAGAGGGTGCCGATCAAGAATAAGTCAAAGGAATGCTGTTCATTGTTGAGGGCACAGGAAATGAGAATCATACATTTTTGTTGTGATTGTATGATTTTTTCCATTTGTGTTTAGCATACCGCGGAGGAAGGGACAAAGTAGATTATTGGATTCACTCCGTGTTTAAGGCTTCTGGTATAGGGGCAGTAGGACACATAGTCAAGGAAACTGAAATCCAGCCTTGATGGGAGAATGGTTTAAGTGATGA